>NC_000020.11:21322741-21950944 GCF_000001405.40 Homo sapiens | reverse complement strand
AAGAGAAGATATAAGTTAACACCATTAGAAAAATTAAAATGGCAAATTACAAATATGGAAATTTTAAAATTATTTGCAAATACTATGGAGGACCCTATATCAATGCATTTTAAAATGTAGAAGGGATAGATTATTTCCCAGGAAAATACAAATTACAAATCTCCTTATCTAGGTTCACCAACATCATTTTGTGCTTTAACAACACATGAAAAAGAACCAGAAAGTAAATCATTTTTTTAAATTCATTCCAGCCTCGTTCTAGTTCCTTAATTCCTGAGAATAGGTCACCTGAGAACCCTCAGCCTCCTAGCTTTTTAAAATCCAAAGCTCAGTGACTTATTCACACTGACTAGACAGAGCACTTTTCTACATATGAAATCTGCATATTTAAATGCATAATTTGTGATCATCATTTCCAATATGAAATTGTATTGAAACATACACTCACTTAAAAGCGTTTTTAACAAAGATAAAAAAGTAAAAATCTTTTAACAAAAGTAGAAGAGTGACATGGTAAGTTACAGATGTAATTGGCATCACAGAACTCTTCTACTGTTACGCTTCTGGGTACAATCCTGGGTACTTTTGACTTCTCAAAAGATTGTTACACAAAAGTAAATGTTATATTTTGCACTTGAAAAAAAAGAATCCATCAGAAAAGAACAAACGTGAATGCCACAACACATCAAGCAAGCCACAAGCTAGTGATGCATTAACACTAACATAAATTAAAGTTTAAAATTTCAGTAGGAGCAATCAAAGCATGTGAAAGAGTAAATGCTAGAACACACTAATGCTCTTGTACTTCATTAGATACTAAGGTAGCGAAAGAGGAAGCATATCTGAAGTCTACAAGATAAAGTATTCCTGAAGATGCTGTCTCCCTCCATTTGGGGCTATCATCCAGCATTCTGTTAACAGATTGTCATGCTACAAAATGTTTGTTAGAAGCTTGGCAATCAAACAGCTTTTGAGAACAAAAAGAATCTCAGCTCTTCCATCTGGTAACTTTCCTTAGATATGGAAACAAGAGGTTTGGGATTAATTACTTACCAAGAAGATAGAGATTCAAAAATCAGCCTTTCTCACAAATTTAAATAACAAGAATTGCCATTTCTATTTAACAGATGAAAGGATGAAGCCAGACATCAAATAAGGAGATACAATTATGCGATCTCTTTGCTGTAATGGAAAGTTGGAAGGGAACTGGACACACTTGACCAGCCCAGCCTCTGTTGGGGGAGTTTCTGAGTCTGCAACTTTCCACTGGCTTCTACCTCAAAGTCCTTACAATGGTCTGGCAGTGCTATGCAATCCGGTCTTGCCTCCCTACCTCTTTGCTCTCATCTTCTCTCTCCAGGTCTCACTCCTGCAGCCATATGCCAGGAAGAATCCTGCTTTAGGGCCTTTGTACTATCTCCCCTACCTCCCAAGGAGTCTTTTTACATATTTTGGGCTAACCACTCATCTTTTTCCACACTTTGTCCAAATGTCACTTATACCCATTGGTAAAAGTGGGATCAATGGGGTCTCTCCTAACCACTCTATTTAAAATTGCAATCAGCCATCTTCCACTCCACCCTCTGCACCCCAGTCTCCTTGTCCTGCTCAATTGTTTCCTATAAGTTACACATGTTCCTTTTATGTTATGTAATTATTACTTGTTGTTGTTCTTTGTCTTAGGTTTCTCTTAAAGCAGAGCCTAAGACAAAGTCTTGAATAGGGGTCATTTACGGGTCTAAGAAGTGAGTCCGGGAGTCAGGAGAGAGGCAGAGAAGGAGAAAACAGTATGAAAGGGCATGATCAAGGTCACTGCTGAAGACCTTGGGTTTGATGATGCAGGGATTTCTGTGATCAGAGTACAGAATGCCTCTTGGAGGTGTGCCCCTAAAGGAAGAGAAGCTGTAGTATTCACCTGCTTCCCATCTCCTATTGGTTTTTCAGGCCACAGAAGTCATGGCTATCTATTCTCTTCTAATCAGCCTCCCACGGGTGTAGCACTGCTGGGGAAGAAAGCAAAAGACATCCTGCAGGCCCTTGTGAGGTGAAGGCACTTCCTGGTAGAGGAAGAGTCTGCGCCTGCTTGGACTGTCCTCCTCAACTGCAACTGCAATCAGAGGTTGGCCAAGGGGAGGAACAGGAGTAATGGGAGGAACACAAGGCATTTGCCAAATTGTTCATGATCTGAGGTCTCCCAATTCAGCGTAAGGTCCTCCAGGACACACAACATTTTTCATTCTTCTGGGGTCGGAGCTCAAGCACCTAGCACAATTTCTGGCACATAGTAGCTGTTTACTAAATATTTTTGGATGTTGAATGGACCCCAGGACTATTGTAATGCAGGTAGCTAGAGAACTAATATTGATATCAAATCACAAAGAAAATGTTGAGGAAATTCAAGGTACAAGGTCAACAGAGTGAGATGCCCTTGAACCCATGTCAATTCAGAGCCTAAAAGGCACCAGTTGCCAAAGAGCTGATGGTATAGAGAATGAAAATCTCTGGAACTGGGACTAAAGTTTTCCTGACTACTGCTTTCAGCCAATCTATGAAACTTCAGTAGATGTCAGACTTGTAGGCATAAGAAGGAGGGATCTGTCAGCTATAGACTGACAAAAGAGATGCTGTTGGTAGTTGTTAGTTCATCTATAGATCAATTACCTTTTAAACTATACTGATGTTAGCCTTTAACTAAGCATTTTAAAAACTGCCTTTGAAACTTTTTTATTTGCACACAATAAGGCTTCCATAAAGACACAATAAGTTACAAGAAAGAAATGTCACACATTGAACCACGTTTTTCTTTGATCATTGCTATTTTAATCTTCCACCCAATGATATTAACATATGCATTAATTATTTTGCTATTTTGGTTGTCTCCCTGTACAACTTTAAATCTTTAACTCTCACTTTCACTCAAACACAAGAATTGTCTTTTCATTGTTTCCAGAGTTAGAAAAGGAAAGAAAGAAAAATCCTTAAGCCTACTTACAGCCAATACATTAAAAGAGTAATCTAATTCATATTCGAAGAAGAGGCTTATAGTAGAGAAATGTGACCATCTCAGTTGGCAAATGTTTTCACTGAATTATAGAAATCTTCAAAGAAAGAGAAATTCCCCCAAACTATTTAAAACCTTCATAATGGACCTCCCACAAATGATAACTTCTTTAAAGTAAAAATTCCCCTAAAGATGTACAAATCTTCAAAAAAGAATACTCTTCAAATGATTAGAACCTTACCAAACTCCATCTGGATTTGAGTTCCAATAATAAGGGTCAGAACCTTGTCCATACCTAGTAAAAAAAAAATACTGTAAGAAAGCACATTTTTTAGTATTTCCAGATGTAGATGGAACATTTTTCGTTTTGAAATACAATGAGAAAAGTTTTTCATGCTATTTTGGAAACGATATATAGGCCAAAGCAGGCAGAGAAAGTTATTTGAAAGTGGTCAGGCCAAAGAGACTTTAAAGCAGGTGAGTTTGAATTCAGGGTTACAGACCAGTGGGGCCTCCTCTGCCCTCTGCCCACATAATTTTTTAAGCTCATTTTCATTGGTAAGAATATTAATATCTGGCAAACATTGTTTGTGAAGTTGGGTTCAACTATAACATGATGGGTAAAAGATAGCTGAGAGACAATGAAAATGGAAAAGTTATAGTTGCACATAAACAAAAGCAGAAAAAGTATTAAAAAGCCATTGTGTATGCCTAAACATGTATTCAAACCCACAAGCACACACTCATTCTTCCTTATCTTTTGGTAAATTGCTCATCTGTATTTGTTTAGTTTTATACACATTTTGCAAAGACGAAGACAAAACGGCAGCTCCATCGTGCTGCCTCTGAGCACACAGTTTGTTGTCTCTGCTGAACGGCCCTTTACCATGAGTGAGAAAGTGTGTGAATGTCCACTCCTGACAGCTGTTCGCCAAAGAGGCATTTCATGTATCTGGTTATCCTGATGCCTTTTCTCTCCAAAACACACTCCTCAAACAAATACAAATGGAAATAAGCCAGAGAAAAAAACATGCTTGTGTATAAACATTTGAATGTGTTTGCCTATAAAAATAATAGTTTAGTATCTACATCACTACCATGCTTCTGTATTGTTATAGTGTGTTCTGTTGCTGGAGTTTCAAAATTTAGGGTTTTGGTTTTGATTTTGCTTTTTGCTGGAGCTGCATTTTTACATCTACTTTCCTCAAGATTATCATTTTCTGGGCTACTCTAAAGGCATTACCATACCTAGAATTATCTTGCAAAATTGGTGGTCAGGAACAACTTAGCGGGACTTAAAACTCACCCCTCAACCAGTGACCTTAGTCTGAAACTTACCTTAAGATATCTCAAGGTAAGGACCAAAGTCCTTATAAAATGGGAGCCAAAGTTCTCAGTCTTTCTCCCTAGACAAAACCATTTAGATGGCACCAGAAGTCAAATTTTATAGCAGCTCTTACCCTGACTCTTACCTTATTCCTTCATGATTTCTATTCATTGAATGACTAGACTATTTGTGGAATACAAATATTCTAAGGCAGTCAGCAAAGGCTCCCAGAGGGGAAACAGAGCTGAGTTCTGAAACCTGAGTAGACTTTTTTTCCATACCAGGGGAGTGGGTAGACAATGGAGGTGGTGGTGCATATTCAAGGCTCCCAAAATTATTCCCCCCATTCCATAACATCAACCCTTTACTCTCGAATTGGGGAATAATAATAGTGACAATTTTATAGGACTGTTTTGAAATCAAATGAATCGGTAAAGGTAGAGTGATTATGCAGGGCATATACAAGATGCTTAAACTTTTTCAGATAATTTTACACTGTATCTTTGATCCAAATATCCTGCCTTCTGGTCCTTCTCTTTCCCTGCTTCACAGAGTGTTCCTGTCACCTCAGAAAGAGGACACTGTTCTCACTTTACCATGGCACTTAGGAATTTGTTTGAGTTGTGTTTTTTCTGTTTCATTCATCTTGGACTTGGCATCCTTCCAATTCCAAGATCACTGATGCAGTGATTTGACCAAAGTTGAGTCCATGTGTACATGGGTACTGAGCCAGTGGAGATGGCTACTACTAGCTCAGAAAGCCAACTGCTAAATATTTAGGAATGTTGTGAGCTGGTGTTAAACCATCAGTAGCTAGAAATGGGCCATGGTCATGGCAGGAGTATCTACACCGTGGAAATTGGCAAATGCCACAAATCAGGACTTTGTTTTGTTGCTGTTTTGGGGGGCTTTGTGAGAGACAGTTTACCTGCACACCACTGACCCTGATGCTCTCCCTCCACCTCATTCTCCATCTAGTGGCATTCTCTTTTTGCCAGCTCTTGTCACCACCTCAGCTCCTGAGCTTTGGAAGATCTCTCTGACACTGATTTTCCAGGCTTTGCCGGGTGTCCCCTGGAAGATGTAAGGTGGGGCCTCTTCAGGCCTAGAGGCAAAACAATGCACCTTCAGCCAAGTCCAACGGGGGCTAGGGCATGAGAAGAGGGAAGACATGCACTCCACAATAGCAGATACTGAAAGCCTGGTTAGAGGACGGGTTCCAAAGTAATCTTCAGCCAGCCCTGAGATGTAAACAAGTATCGGCTCTGGACCCAAAACTTGATGCAAAAATGGCTTCATCCTCACAAATAAGGGATTGACTCTCTTATATGGGACATTTTTTTTCCCAATAGTGTGCTCTGTTTCTTGGGTCCCCATCTCTGGATAGAGGCCTCTGTTTTCAAGAGAACCTACCGAAAGAAGCCAGAATAGAGCTGAGAAATGTAATGGAATATACCTTTGAAAGCTGCTGCCTCCTTTCTGCCCTTAGACAAGTAACTCAAAAACCCTCCATCCCGGAATCATCTCACTTTTCCCATCTCACCCCCACCCTGTGATACCCCTGAATAACCAAAGGTTTAGAAAAGTCAGTGTCTCCTGTTGCTTCCTTTCCTACAAGAAACTCAGGGGTGTCTACAGAGACGACTGGCAATATGGTGGCTTGGACTCTCCGAATATCACACAAGTATCATCAAGACACTTTCATTGTCCCTATGTGTCTACTATCCATTTTTGTTTATATCCAGTTTTGTTCAATTATTTGCACAGTTCAAAATATGTGACACATGTTCCCCTGCTTGAAATGGTTGTTGAGGAAAACGTTTAGAGTTCAAATTTGTAAAGGAACACAGCCCACTCATCAAATAAGAATTATCCCTAATTTTCATTTGTGAGATAACAGTAGAAAATAGGTTTTTGAAGGAGAATAACCAGATAAAATTTCACTGTGGTTGTTTTATTTTTACCTGGATATTTTAATTCTTTCACCGAATTAGCCAAATCATCAAGTTCAGTGTCTCTTCGTTTCCTCCACTCCCTGTAAGATATAAGCTTAAATAATCCATTGCTCCCAGTGCCTTTCCCAGCTGACTTGTGACACATGAGGTAGTGATGCAGGTTTGATGTTTGTCTCAGCATTGGGCTGTTTGTCCAGCAACCTCGTCTCCACTGCCCATGGCCAGCTGCCGCACCGCATCCACCAGGCTCTGCCAAGCAGTCCTGTTTGCACTGAGGCCCTGCAGTATTTTTCCTGGCAAACCCTCCCTGGAGGCAGCAGTCCTGGTCCTCGTTCAGATGTGGGATTTTCAGAAACTACATGAGCAGGTACTTATTTGATTCCAGAGGTCTTTGCAGCTTGTAGGTCCTTTGGCATATTTTTGCACCCTCTGTCAAGAGGACCAGGGGGGAATAACAGGGGTCTCTAACCCTAATCGGCCTTAAAAGACAACTGACCTAATTCTGAAGCCTATGTGGATTTTAATCACTGAGAGCTCTGGGAGGAAAGAACTCTTTGGCTTCTTGCAGGGCTTCTTGGGTCTATTTGTTGTGTGAGAGACACGCCGTAGTTTCTTCCTATTCCCTCATGATCACTGCCAGCTGTCCCTCTCCCTGACATAGTGCCCCCATAGTGGACTCCTGTGGTTTAAGCACAGCATTTCCCTATTCACACATCCGTGCAACCATCAAATCAAATGAACAAGCAATTTTTGGACCCCTCCTTAATTCTAAGCCTGCACTCCAAAAGAAAGGCAAACCAAAAAATTATTCTTGGATTTGATTTTCTAAAACTGAATTGTTTTCTCCCAATGTAGTCCTCAAATGTTGTGTAGACTCTTTGAATTAATTCAAACAATGTTATCCTTTGTCTCACTCATACTTCTAAATGCCAGATCCTGCTATAGAAAACTCCTTTTGAGGAAGAAAAACTCGAGCCTTGGCTAATTTTGAAATTTCTGTTACTTAGCAAATCAACAATAGAGAAAAGTGTGTATTAAGAATCTTTGGTTTGCAACTATCAAGAAGCAACCTTGTCTAATTTATGTTTGAGAATACAGCAGGAATTTATTGGAGGGATTTTCTGGAGTCCACAGCCTGGATGGAAGACTAGAGAATTAAGTGGAAACAAAACAGGATGCGAATAGGATGTAGGGAAATGCCAGACATCTAGACAGCAGGAATTAATTGATCACCTCATGTATGCTTTTGGAATGAGGAACATCCAGCATTTTCCTCTCTGTTAGAGATTCAGCATGCCAAAAGTCAGACTCTGGCCCAGGCAGGGCTCTTGGCTAGCTCCCTTATTTTTCTGAGGCAATGAGAAAGAGGAGCTGGAGGAAGGGACTTCAGGGACCCCACCTGCATCCATGGTGGAGGGAGTTGCCTGGATATCCCTCATTCCAAGAAATACCACGGGAGAGGGCTAATTTCCCAAAAGGAATTCAGTCAAGGTTGTTAGGTAGGGGAAACAGATGGTGGGTAGCACAGCCTAAAGTGACATGTGTCCAACAAAACCAAAAACTAGGCTTTCCAGATGCCCAGTACATAGAGTTACATGGAGGATTAACTGTACCTTACGAAGCATTAGCATCCACTTGCTGTGGCCTTAGGAGAAAAGAACTCCTGCTTCCCCTGGCTAGCACTGTCAGTAGGAGTATCTTTTTTATCTGCTGGGCATTGAGCACTGCACTGGTTGTGTCAATAGCACCTTGGATGATTAGATCTGGGACTGTGCTTAAACATCAAACAGAAGTGGCTAACAGACAAACAGAAAGCAAAAGAAATGCACAGTAGGAGGGAAGTATTAGGCTGTCTATGAGAGATGGTTGGGTGAACCAAAATAACATCTTGAAGGATATGAAATTTGGGCTACAGTTTTTAAGGAAGAAAGAGATTCAAGGTCATGACTGGCCAGAGTGAGAAGAAGAACTATCGTGGCTTGGGGTAAAGTATCAGAGGTAGGAGAATGGAGTGAGTCATGGCTGCGAGAAGAGTGGGTTGACAGAAAAGAAAGATTTTAGTTGACTCGAGGCTGTGTGCTCTCAACAGACTAATGAGCAAACCAATCTTGAGCGAGGAGTTACCAGAAATTCAAACCCTGTTGAATCAGACAGAAGGCTCAAGGTCATTGTATTTCATCAACTCAGGCAAATTAGGGGAGCGCTTTTGCTTTACAGCTTCATAAGATTTTTCAGCCACAGGAATGTAACACCCTTTTCTTGCCCCAAAACCAGCCACTGGGGGCAGCTATAATAAAATCACAGTGTTCATCATCTTCCCACCCCAACCTCCCCCAAAAAGAAAAAGCAGAAAAAACATAATTGCTGATATTACTATTTCGTGCATTGGATGACAGTTTCCAAAAACAATAACAATTAATTTTCTTTGGTGGTGTTAGCCAAAAAACAGTGAGGTGCCAGGTTTCCATGATCTTCTTAGATCATCTGGCATCTGTGAACAATGGCTGTGAGCCACAAGCCCTTGGAGGCCAGTAAAGTTGCGTTATAACCCCGACTTCAGAGATTTCATATCTTGGCCATTCCACATCACAGCAGGTAGAAAACCCAGGATGGAAAATGTCAGCCTGGATACAAATTTTCTCCACAGAAATATTGCTTCAACATAGCTGAAATCCTTAGATATCTTTTCTGTGTAAGGCTTCAAAAACACACTAGCCTTGGCTTCAGATGCCGTTTTGATGCTGCTCCAGACATACTTAAGAAATGGATATAATTTTGAAGAATATATTTGGGCAGCCAACCAAGGCCTAACAGTGAATTAAGCCATCCTGATTTTATGCAAAAAGAATTTTTAAAAAAATAAATGTGGCCCAAATCCTGAAATTTTTGAAGGCATTTACTGATCTTCTGTCACTTATTAAAGGAAAGGTTGAAGACAAAACAAGAGAGATGTCATGCTATACAAGTTGGGGTGTGAATGCCCATCTCAGTTCTTTCTCCACCATTGCTAGGTGTAATGAACACATCTTATCTTTACTTTCAAGATTTTTAAAATCCCATGAACATTTCCCTTAAAAAAGTAGCATTAACATGAAAGTTTGCCAGCACACAATGAGATAGTCTTGCTATGCTTCCTGAAATGCTAAGCTGATGTTTCATATTTTTCTAGGCTTATTTTTCCCCAGTTATCTTTTCTAAACAGAATGCTGTCAAGATAAAACAGTTAACTTGTTGGATGATAGTAAAGCAATAAAAATGTCGAAATGTCTCAATAAAGTTGACTTAAAAATAACAGGAACAAAAAAAATGAAAAATGATTTAGTCACTCCAATAAGTACCCACTGTGGAAAGAAACAATGTTAGATATTGAAAAGAATTTCAAGGAGCTTAAATATAGGCTGTAAAATAAGATGTGTGTGTGTGTGTGTGTGTGTGTTGTTACACAACAATCACGTTTGTGTAACAACATGATTGACAAGTACCAAATGCAAGAAAATGATAGCTACCATTTATTGAGCACCTTCTAAGGGGCAGATTCCACTTTATGTGCATTGGCTGTTTGTAGTGTTGGCTGACTGTCAATACTACCACCATGCTCCCATGGCACTCTTGTCATATGCATGCCAACCCACCTTACCGACAGCACCTGTAGTTCTCCACTGAGGGTTTTCCCTGGCTACAGGAGCATGCTCAGGCCCTCACTGGGCAGGTTGTATGTGCAAGGAGTTAACAATTCTGGGAGAAACCCTCAACCAACAATAAATAAGAGATGGTGGATAAATATGCAAACTTCTTTCCGCATTAGCAGGACAACTCTGAGCCAGGCTCTAGACAACCCAGGGGCAGTTTACAGGCCCTACCTTCCCCCAGCTCCCCATGAGGTCTCCAGTGGGATTAGCCCCACTGTTCACAGTGGTCATTAACACACCTTACAGCAGCTGCCTCACTCCCCCACTCTCATTCTGGCGTTTCCTGGGACCACCTCCCAAATTCACTACGTAAACCTGAATTGTCATGTCAAGGTCTGTTTCTGAGGGAACCCAAACTAAGACAAGCTATTTAATCCTCACAGGAATACTATGAGCTGAAGTTTTACAAATGAGGAAACTAAGGCTTTAAAAAGCTAAAACAGGCTGGGTGTGGTGGCTCACGCCTGTAATCCCAGCACTTTGGGAGGCCGAGGGGGGTGGATCACTTGAGGTAAGGAGTTCAAGACCAGCCTGGCCAACATGGTGAAACCCTGTCTCTACTGAAAATGCAAAAATTAGCAGGGTATGGTGGCATGCGCCTGTAGTCCCAGCTACTGAAGAGGCTGAGGCACGAGAATCACTTGAACCTGGTTGGCGAAGGTTTCAGTGAGCCAAGATTGCGGCACTGCCCTCCAGCCTGGGGGGATAAATAAATAAATAAAGCTAATACAAAAAACCACTTGCATTGCCTATCTCTAAGAGGGAGATCAAGCCAGGAGTCAAGATCCAAGAGGTGATAGTTATCCAAGTACACCCCTCCTGGTTACCTACTATCACAATCATTTTCTTCCTAGCACTTATCCACTGTAATTACACTGGTATATGAGTTATTTAGTTATGTATTATCAGTTTTCCACACTGGGTTAGAAACTCCAGAAGGGCAGAGACCTTTTCTATATTCCACCCTGTCTGATAAATAGGAGATCAATAAATAATTTGCTAAATGAGTCAATGAGTGAGTCAATTTTACCTTAGTAAGCTAGACATGTTTCCATAAAGAGGTTCTAAACAAAAAAAGATTAAAAACTCAAAATGTTAAACATATATGTTTGTTATCTTTAAGAGTTGGCTCAATAAGAAACTGAACCATCTGCTTTTGTTGCAAGAATTTTAAAGAAGAATCACATTCAGGCTTGCTGTGATACAGAGAAACTGCTGAGGCTGGATCCAAGGGTAAGACTGGTGTGTGGTGTGTCCAGGTTTATAGATATAGGCATATGCAGGGCACAGAAGGAACCATAACTTGTGGGTACCCTACGGTTTTCCTGCAGAACTTCAGGAGCTCTGGGATTGAATGGCCAAGGGGAGCAAAGTCAAAGACTGTAGGAGTTCCTGGCATAGAATTATGAATCCACTGGATACACTGTCACATGTTGGTATATGGGTGCATGTGAAGCAAAAAGACCATTGCAACAAAAATATTAAAATCACAGGGTTAAAATTCATTCCTTAGTGCTCTCTTATGAGAGCTTTTCAAAGTAGAAAGAGCTGTTTTTGCTCACGTCAAAACTCCCTGTGTTGGCAAGCCTGGACCTTGATGGAGTGACTGTAGTGGTGCAGTGCCCATATCTCCTCCTTGCAGCACACGTACCCATCTCCTAGTTTTGAGAAATGTGGGCTACTGACAGCTCCAAGTGGATGCATTCCACACTAGAATTGCCCTAGACCATAAAGAACTGCTTTGCCCAGAGTTATGCTTCCTCCCAGGGTCTGGCTTACAGCTTTGACCGGTTAGTGTGGGTATTCAAATCCCAGCTCCTCTTTACTTCAGTTAGTGCAAATCTGAAGGGCCATCCAAGCTCCAGAGTTTCCCAAGCAAGACCAACTTCATGGGCACGCAATCTGAGGAACCTCGCAAGATCCCACACTCAGAAGAACCCTGGGTTTGGTTTCATGCTCTGCTGTCACCATCTTGAAATGTTTA
Organism: Homo sapiens; assembly: GCF_000001405.40. Lineage (NCBI taxonomy): Eukaryota > Metazoa > Chordata > Mammalia > Primates > Hominidae > Homo > Homo sapiens. The sequence continues at coordinate 21,938,988 of NC_000020.11, read as the reverse complement.
ACAATCTTATCTTTGAATTTGCATTTTGTAGGTAAAGTCCACGGGGACAATGGAGCATGCAGGTGAGCAGAAGAGATAGCACAACATAGGTGCTCTCCTTTATTGTCTCAATGCCCCATGGCCACAGAACTCCAGTAGATCCACGATGAGTGGGAGTTCAGCAAGACTTAAAGCAAATTACCAATCAGCATCTCATCTACAGCTGAGTAAGCATGAATGCTGACAGCCTGTAGAAGCCACCCTTTTCATCCAAACCGGAACTTACTCCAAACACAGAAAGAAGGCAACGGCATTCTAAAAAACATGAACAACAAGGGAAACCTACCATGTCCTCTCTTATTCATATTAGTTCACTGGATGAGCCAACCATGGTCAGATAGTTACATTTCCTTTCAGTTCTCTGTTAGTCACCAGTATGCCAAAGGTAGAGAACATTGGCAGAATATGCACATATCAATAAGTGAAATAAAATCATTTGAGTTAGTTTTGTGCAGTGTTTTTACTCTTCTTGTTAGAACAAAAACCTATACACGCATGAGTAATAAAATACAAAATGTATATTTTGGTGAGTCGCCATACAAGTTAATTAAACACACTTGTGTTTAAAATTAGCAATGCATAATATAAAGATGAATGGCAAAAATCGTTGCTAATAATTTAAATTTTTATTTTTCTTTCCTTAAAAAGACATTTAGAAGAAAATAACACCACCATAACAATTTGAGACACCACAGATAGAAAAAAAAAGTGTGTTTCTGTACCTCTAATGACACTTTTTTCTTGCATTTTGAACAAGGTACCCTACAATTTCATTTTGCACTTGGCCCCGCAAATCACACAAAGTCCTCACTTAATGTTGTTGATAGAGTCCTGGAAACTGCAGCTTTAAGCAAAATGACATATAACAAAAACAATTTTTCCATAGGCTAATTGATATAAACTATAATGAAGTTCCTATGGCAGATTTCTGATCACAAAATACCAAACTTCTAAATAAAGGCAAAACATTTCTAATATTAAACATTGAAATAAATGTGAACTATACATACATTTAAGAAAGATTAATAAAACCAAGTAAGATAATTCTTTACCTGCTTATTTCCAGTTCATGGTCATGGGTGGCCAGAGCCCATCCCAGCAGCTCACGGAGTGAGGTGGGAACCAGCCCTGAACAGGACAATCTCTCATGGCAGAGCACACTCACACCCATGCTCACATTCACTCACACTGAGTCCATGTAGACATGCCAATTAACCTAATGTGCATGACTTTGGAATGAGAGAGCAAACTAGAGTACTCAGAGAAAACCCATGCAGCTATGGGGAGGTTGTGCAAATACACACAGATGGTGGCCCCAGGTGCAAATCAATTGTTTTCTCATCAACGTTATAAGGAAAGAACATCGAATGAACCAACATTATTCAGGAACTGCTGTACACAGCCAGATCTGCCCCCCAGGAATTGGCTGAGGCCTCATTGCACGTTTGTTTTGGATCAGTTTCTTCCTCTACCCAGTCCAGGCCTTCACTATTATTATTATTATTATTATTATTATTATTATTATTATAGTTATTTCGCAGGTGTGGATCCTGAGAGCACTCTCCATGAAACCTCCTACTCACAGTTCTTTGTCTCAGAGTCTATTTCCCGGGATCTCAAACTAAAACACTTCACCATAGTTCAGATTTAAGAGGCTCCTTGTCCTCAGGAAAAACTGGTGGATGAGACTTGGTAGGCTGTTGCCAGACAGAGCAGAAACTGATCCCAGACTGGAGAGCTATGTCCCAGAGTTGCAGGAGGGCTCAATATTAAGAGATGTGTCTTCATGTAAGACTCCCCTGGGCCCAGGAGCCCTTGGAACCACTTCAAACATTTTCATTCTTCCAAAATGCTAAAAACTGTGTTTCTTTTGTTTCTCAAATGGAACTATTGTTTTTCAAATGGCATAGGCTCCAAATGCTTTCCCTCTAGAATTCTACTGGCTGTGACCATGTCAGCATGTCATCCTCCAGTGGACTCTCGCTTAAGTGGAGCCCTGTGGGGGGAGAATGAAAATTACTGGGCAAAAGTGGAGAAGGTCTTCCTGTCTCATGCTGGCAGAGACAACACAGAGCTTCAGATTAAGCCAGGAGCTATTATTCACGTGAGTCATAGCACAAAACAAAGAATTCTTGCTAGAAAAGTAAAGAAAAATTCAAATGACTTCCAACCACTAAAGGAGGTAGTAGTGAAGTGAGTAAAATCTTCACATGTTAGAAAGAAATTTTTTGTTCACACTGAAAGACACAGATAGAATGAGAAACTTTATGGAAATGTGTGTCACTCATCACCCCACAGCAGTTTGGAAATTTTTGAAAATCACTTTTCACAAATATTATTTTGTTTGCTGGTTTTTGTTTTTAGTTCTTCCCTTTAATGTTTTGAAGAAAATAAATAAATGAAATTCTCCTCAAACTCTTTCCCCACTGAAATGAAGCTTTGCCCGCTCTCCCTCAGTGCTCCCACTGCCAGACGGGTCACTGGTAAGGGCCTGCTGTATTCCAGTTCACGTGCGAGGCAAGCCCTGGGACTACAGTGATGAACAAAGCAGACACAGTCCTGCTGTTTATTTTAAAAGAAAAATCTAAATTGGGAGAGTATGTCCATGTAACTTCCTGCAAAGTGTTGGTTGGTTCTGATGTTTTCAATAAAGCATATAAACTACAATAAGAACATAACCTTAAGAAAAAGAAAAGCTTAATTACAAAGCAGCTGTAGGCAAAACAGGATACTCTCTTGTTCAGAATTGTGGTAATGGTAAAAAATATTTGTAAGCTTCCTAAAATTGTTCTGAGTCTAAACCAGTATGTTTTCAGTAGGGTTTTTCAGAGTTTCATAAGTAATCTGGTGTTCATTCTCATTATAAAAGAAGTGAGTCATAATTTTTTGCACCTCTAAAATCCATCCTTACTTGGTTTTTTAGTTGGCAGTAAGACTAATAATTCACGTGATGGTAGTATTATCTGTCACCTTCTTCCATTTAAAATAGGAATAGAACCCTGTGCTGATCATTTTAAAAAGTCAATGTATAAAGGACATCAAATTTATGAAAAATTACAAAAAGAAACCTTAGTATGTTAACATTTGTTCTCTCTTGGTAGGTATCTGAGTGATTTTATTTTCTCCCTTACCATTTTCTATATTCTTCAGTTTTTCTGCAATGAACACATGATTTAATTTTAAGATAAAAGATAGATTTAAAAACAACAAAGACAGTTGTACATACACCATTTGGTCATAGCTATGTGCAAATTTGTACATAGAAAGGAAAATTTTTATTTTGGGTATAGGGCAAAAAAAAGAAGAAGGACAATGAGTAAGTTTTTCTCTTCTAGTCTTCTTTTCCAAACTTCTTAAACATCAGTTAGGAATGCTTTAAGCTGCAAGTAAGAGAAAGCGCAAAGAACTGAGGCTTAAATCTTAAGGACATTAAGTTTTTAGTTAATGAGGAATAAAGGTAGGCAAATCTTTCCCCTCAATGACTCAGTCAAGGACCCAGACTCTTTTACTTCCAGACTGACATCCTCCCTTTGTCAGCATGATCCTTATGCATCATGTTCTTACCTGACAGCTTCTCAAGCAGAAAATAAAGGGCTTTCCTTTCCTACAATTCTGTCTCATTACATTCTCTTACATGCGATTAGCCAGAATTTGATGCACCATGGTTATGCTAGGAAAAATTCTGCTGACAAAGTAGAGAAAGGCACCATGATTAGTTCAGACCAGTCTTATGCAATAGAAGTTTGTATGATGAGAGAACTACTTCATATCTACATGTTCCATATGGCAGCCACCAGCCACATGTGTCTATTACTTAAGAAGTGGCTAGGTGACTAAGCACTAAATTTCTAATTTTAATTTTATTGACTTTTCATTAATTGAAATGTAAGTGGCTACATGTGTTTATCTATTGAACAGTAGGTTTAGATAAATCAAAATCCCCTACATCTAGCCACTTTCCTCTCATACTGGAGTTGTATTAGCAAAAAGATGTGGGAGGAGGCATAGCTGTTGGATAGAAAACCAATTGTGTCTGCCCAACTTACCATTCATTTACATTTTAAAACTTATTTGCCAACTTTTATTTTAATAAAATTATCAGGGAAGTCAAAGCTTTCAGTGGTGAAGGGCTGGCTCTTCCATCCCAATCCCAACTTCTACTGAATATTGGGTAGCTTGTTAAATAGTGATTAGTGTGAAATACCTAATATATCTGCACCCAAGTATTCTCAATGTCAGAAGGTGAATACAAGGAGATATTGGAGAGCTAAAAATAACTGTGTATTGGAGGATTAGGGTATCACTTAACATTGTTTGTCTCAGCCCAAACCAAACAAGTGTGAGGCTCTGGCCCTTTAACAGATGCTGGTTTCATCTGCCTCTCTTGCCTATGGGGATAGCCCATCCCTTCCATGGAGCCCCTGTGACCATTTCTAGTAGTGATGCTAATTGAGGATGAGCACTCCTTTTGGAAACCCCTGGGCCTAACTACTGGCTTTCATCATTAGCACCTAAAGCAAAATCCTGCATTGGGTATCACGGTTCGATAATAGTTGAAATTATTTCTCCTGCCTAGAAGAATAACATGTGAGACATGTTGGGTTTCTAATAGCAGGCAAAAAGACACAGTTTTGGGTTCAAGATGTTATTAGGGGCTGGATGCTGTGGCTCATACCAATAGTCCCAGTGCTTTGGAAGGCTAAGGCTTGGGGATCTTTTAAGTCCAGGAGATCAAGACCAGTCTGGGCAACATAACGAGACCTCTGTTTCTACAAAAAAAAAAAAATTTACAAATTAGCCAGGCATGGTAGCATATACCTGTAGCCCCAACTACTTGGGAGCCTGAGGCAGAAGGATCACATAAACCAGGAGTTTGAGGCCACAGTGAGCCCTGATGGTACCACTGCATTCCAACATGGAGGACGGAATGAGACCCTGTCTCTAAAAACACACACACACATGCACATATATATATATGTGCATGTGTGTGTGTGTATATATATATATATGCACTGAATATATATATATGCACTGAATATATATATATATATATGCACTGAATATATATACATATATGTTTTTTAAATAGATGTTATTGGGGATCAAAACTTGTGAAAGGAAGGGAGAGAAAGCAGGACTGGCAGAAGAAACTGTTGAATGGTGACACAGGCATGATAAAGCTTAGCCATCATGACAGGGACCTCTAGAGTGAGTATTGCGCAAGTCATCAAGCATCAGGGGGAACTGCAAGACTTTTATTCTCCATTTCACTCAGCCACCAGATGCACGCTACCCTAGGAAGGATGATCTCTGCAGCTGAGACACACCCTGGAGGCACCTGATAGCCACACCCCTGCATCTGGGCCACAAGTCCTTCCTTGAAGGCGAATCTGAGCTTTGTATCTCCATGTCTGTAACACATGACTAGAATGACTTCTTGTCAGTGTCTTAACAGAGATTAGAAGCACAAAATAGCAATTTTCTGAATAGTTAATGAGGCTGTCTTTGTGGATGGGATTCAGTGCATTTGACCATGCTGTGCACTGGTCTAAGGAGGTATCCAGTCTTACTGTGTTAGCACCCTAGAGGACAGTCCAGTCTGAAGCTGGGAGGTTTACTTATTTTTGCTTTTCACTTTTTTTTTGTTTTTTCCTTATGTGTTTTTTTTTTTTAAGTATTTTGGCTGCATTCATGTGACAAGTTGTAAATCATTGAATGAACAAAATAGCATATTGCATTAACTGCTTTTCTCCATTCCACTTTCAGAAATTCAGTAAAGAAATTTGACTCAATTTTTGGAATGCTTTTATTTTAATTGTTCTTTTCCTTTTGCTGGTTTTTTTATTTTATTATTATTACCCTTTAAGTTTTAGGGTACATGTGCACAATGTGCAGGTTAGTTTCATATGTATACATGTGCCATGCTGGTGTGCTACACTCATTAACTCATCATTTAGCATTAGGTATATCTCTTAAAGCTATCCCTCCCGCTCCCCCCACCCCACAACAGACCCCAGAATGTGATGTTCCCCTTCCTGTGTCCATGTGTTCTCATTGTGCAATTCCCACCTATGAGTGAGAATATGTGCTGTTTGGTTTTTTGTTCTTGCGATAGTTTACTAAGAATGATGATTTCCAATTTCATCCATGTCCCTACAAAGGACATGAACTCATCATTTTTTATGGCTGCATAGTATTCCATGGTGTATATGTGCCACATTTTCTTAATCCAGTCTATCATTGTTGGACATTTGGGTTGGTTCCAAGTCTTTGCTATTGTGAATAATGCCGCAATAAACATACGTGTGCATGTGTCTTTATAGCAGCATGATTTATAGTCCTTTGGGTATATACCCAGTAATGGGATGGCTGGGTCAAATGGTATTTCTAGTTCTAGATCCCTGAGGAATTGCCACACTGACTTCCACAATGGTTGAACTAGTTTACAGTCCCACCAACAGTGTAAAAGTGTTCCTATTTCTCCACATCCTCTCCAGCACCTGTTGTTTCCTGACTTTTTAATGATTGCCATTCTAATTGGTGTGAGATGGTATCTCATAGTGGTTTTGATTAGCGATGGCCAGTGATGGTGAGCATTTTTTCATGTGTTTTTTGGCTGCATAAATGTCTTCTTTTGAGAAGTGTCTGTTCATGTCCTTTGCCCACTTTTTGATGGGGTTGTTTGTTTTTTTCTTGTAAATTTGTTTCAGTTCATTGTGGATTCTGGATACTAGCCTTTTGTCAGATGAGTAGGTTGCAAAAATTTTCTCCCATTTTGTAGGTTGCCTGTTCACTCTGATGGTAGTTTCTTTTGCTGTGCAGAAGCTCTTTAGTTTAATTAGATCCCATTTGTCAATTTTGGCTTTTGTTGCCATTGCTTTTGGTGTTTTAGACATGAAGTCCTTGCCCATGCCTATGTCCTGAATGGTAATGCCTAGGTTTTCTTCTAGGGTTTTTATGGTTTTAGGTCTAACATTTAAGTCTTTAATCCATCTTGAATTAATTTTTGTATAAGGTGTAAGAAAGGGATCCAGTTTCAGCTTCCTACATATGGCTAGCCAGTTTTCCCAGCACCATTTATTAAATAGGGAATCCTTTCCCCATTGCTTGTTTTTCTCAGGTTTTTTCAAAGATCAGATAGTTGTAGATATGCGCTTTATTTCTGAGGGCTCTGTTCTGTTCCATTGATCTATATCTCTGTTTTGGTACCAGCACCATGCTGTTTTGGTTACTGTAGACTTGTAGTATAGTTTGAAGTCAGGTAGTGTGATGTCTCCAGCTTTGTTCTTTTGGCTTAGGATTGACTTGGCAATGTGGGCTCTTTTTTGGTTCCATATGAACTTTAAAGTAGTTTTTTCCAATTCTGTGAAGAAAGTCATTGGTAGCTTGGTAGCTTGATGGGGATGGCATTGAATCTATAAATTACCTTGGGCAGTATGGCCATTTTCTTGATATTGATTCTTCCTACCCATGAGCATGGAATGTTCTTCCATTTCTTTTTATCCTCTTTTATTTCCTTGAGCAGTGGTTTGTAGTTCTCCTTGAACAGGTCCTTCACATCCTTTGCAAGTTGGATTCCTAGGTATTTTATTCTCTTTGAAGCAATTGTGAATGGGATTTCACTCATGATTTGGCTCTCTGTTTGTCTGTTATTGGTGTATAAGAATGCTTGTGATTTTTGTACATTGATTTTGTATCCTGAGACTTTGCTGAAGTTGTTTATCAGCTTAAGGAGATTTTGGGCTGAGACAATGGGGTTTTCTAGATATACAATCATGTCATCTGCAAACAGGGACAGTTTGACTTCTTCTTTTCCTAATTGAATACCGTTTATTTCCTTCTCCTGCCTAATTGCCCTGGCCAGAACTTCCAACACTATGTTAAATAGGAGTGGTGAGAGAGGGCATCCCTGTCTTGTGCCAGTTTTCAAAGGGAATGCTTCCAGTTTTTGCCCATTCAGTATGATATTGGCTCTGGGTTTGTCATAGATAGCTCTTATTGTTTTGAGATACTTCCCATTAATACCTAATTTACTGAGAGTTTTTAGCATGAAGGGTTGTTGAATTTTGTCAAAGGCTTTTTCTGCATCTATTGAGATAATCATGTGGTTTTTGTCTTTGGTTCTGTTTATATGCTGGATTACATTTATTGATTTGCATATATTAAACTAGCCTTGCATCCTGGGGATGAAGCCCACTTGATCATGGTGGATAAGCTTTTTGGTGTGCTGCTGGATTCAGTTTGCCAGCATTTTATTGAGGATTTTTGCATCAATGTTCATCAAGGATATTGGTCTAAAATTCTCTTTTTTTGTTGTGTCTCTGCCAGGCTTTGGTATCAGGATGATGCTGACCTCATAAAATGAGTTAGGGAGGATTCCCTCTTTTTCTATTGATTGGAATAGTTTCAGAAGGAATGGTACCAGTTCCTCCTTGTACCTCTGGTAGAATTCAGCTGTGAATCCATCTAGTCCTGGACTCTTTTTGGTTGGTAAGCTATTGATTATTGCCACAATTTCAGAGCCTGTTATTGGTCTATTCGGAGATTCAACTTCTTCCTGGTTTAGTCTTGGGAGGGTGTATGTGTCGAGGAATTTATCTATTTCTTCTAGATTTTCTAGTTTATTTGTGTGGAGGTGTTTGTAGTATTCTCTGATGGTAGTTTGTATTTCTGTGGGATCGATGGTGATATCCCCTTTATCATGTTTTATTGCATCTATTTGATTCTTCTCTCTTTTCTTCTTTATTAGTCTTGCTAGCAGTCTATCAATTTTGTTGATCCTTTCAAAAAACCAGCTCCTGGATTCATTAATTTTTTGAAGGGTTTTTTTGTGTCTCTATTTCCTTCAGTTCTGCTCTTATTTTAGTTATTTCTTGCCTTCTGCTAGCTTTTGAATGTGTTTGCTCTTGCTTTTCCATTCTTTTAATTTTGATGTTAGGGTGTCAATTTTGGATGTTTTCTACTTTCTCTTGTGGGCATTTAGTGCTATAAATTTCCCTCTACACACTGCTTTGAATGTGTCCCAGAGATTCTGGTATGTTGTGTCTTTGTTCTCGTTGGTTTCAAAGAACATCGTTATTTCTGCCTTCATTTCGTTATGTACCCAGTAGTCATGCAGGAGCAGGTTGTTCAGTTTCCATGTAGTTGAGCAGTTTTGAGTGAGTTTCTTAATCCTGAGTTCTAGTTTCATTGCACTGTGGTCTGAGAGATAGTTTGTTATAATTTCTGATCTTTTACATTTGCTGAGGAGAGCTTTACTTCCAACTATGTGGTCAATTTTGGAATAGGTGTGGTGTGGTGCTGAAAAAAATGTATATTCTGCTGATTTGGGGTGGAGAGTTCTGTAGATGTCTATTAGGTCCGCTTGGTGCAGAGCTGAGTTCAATGCCTGGGTATCCTTGTGAACTTTCTGTCTCGTTGATCTGTCTAAAGTTGACAGTGGGGTGTTAAAGTCTCCCATTATTATTGTGTGGGAGTCTAAGTCTCTTTGTAGGTCACTGAGGACTTGCTTTATGAATCTGGGTGTTCCTGTATTGGGTGCATATATATTTAAGATAGTTAGCTATTCTTGTTGAATTGATCCCTTTACTATTATGTAATGGCCTTCTTTGTCTCTTTTGATCTTTGTTGGTTTAAAGTCTGTTTTATCAGAGACTAGGATTGCAACCCCTGCCTTTTTTTGTTTTCCATTTGCTTGGTAGATCTTCCTCCATCCTTTTATTTTGAGCCTATGTGTGTCTCTGCACGTGAGATGGGTTTCCTGAATACAGCACACTGATGGGTCTTGACTCTTTATCCAATTTGCCAGTCTGTGTCTTTTAATTGGAGCATTTAGTCCATTTACATTTAAAGTTAATATTGTTACGTGTGAATTTGATCCTGTCATTATGATGTTAGCTGGTTATTTTGCTCGTTAGTTGATGCAGTTTCTTCCTAGCCTCGATGGTCTTTGCAATTTGGCTTTTAGTTGTTTTTATATACACATACCACATACTCTTAGCTGAGTTGACTGTCTATTTCAGAAGATGTATCAATTATAGTAAGTGTGTGGTGATTTGTCAAATGTGCAGTAAAATAGTAATTTTTTGTGATTTTGTTGTAAGAAAAACTTATCAGTATATATGCTCTTATGAGGAAGCATTCAATCAATAACATACTTGAGAAATGCTTAGTAAGAAGAAGACATGGAGCCCTGATTGCTCAATTGATTCTGCTGTTTAAAGCACCTTTGTGTGCTATTGCATTTCACTCCTGCAAAAGTGCATGAAGTGGGAAAACCAGAAAAGAGCACCCTTATTTTACAAATCAGATGTCTGTCTCAGGGCTGTTGAGTGGCTTCCCAAAGACCACCCTAACTGAAAATGACAAAGCAGTCCCTCAACTTAAGTGCAAATAAGGCAAAGACTGCAGACGTACATCTGTATGGCACATTTATCCATATTAAATCTGTGCCTACTGTCTCTAGCCAGTGGCTATAATTCACAGGCGCTATTGTCATGAAGAAAGAAAAAGAGGTGGTGCATGAGGAAAACTAGGGAAGCACTCCTTCCTGAGTGCTCCATGCAGAATGTGCTGGATCTTCTATGCATGTCACCTAATTGACTCTTCACCAAGACCAAGTGAACAAAATTGCTACACTCATTTTACAAATGGAGAAATCCAAGCTTAGAAAATTTGACTATCTTCCTAATAGCAGTAAGCTCTCAAACGTGGTGGAACTAGAAATTCAACTCCCTGGTGTCTGACTTCAAACTCCTGACATTCTCCTGGTTTGTCCTCCTTCTCCTGCTCTCTCTCTCCCTCTTCTTATCCTCCTCTCTTTTCCTCCCTCCTTGCTACTTCCTTTCTCCTTGAAGAGTTAAATCTATCGTCTCAAAGAGTTCTTAGTACTTTGCAGTTTTTTCTTAGTATTAGCACATTTTCCTGCCTCAGGCTCCCAAGTGGCTGGGACTTCAGGCATGCACCATCACATCCGGCTAGTTTTGTGTTTTTAGTGAAGACAGGATTTCACCATGTTGGTCAGGCTGGTCTCAAACTCCTTACCTCAAGTGATCCATCCACCTCGGCCTGGGATGGGTGCTGGGATTACAAGTGCGAGCCAGTGCACCCGGCAGATTTTCATCCTTTTTATGTAATAAAAAGTATAAAGCCACACATGGTTTATTTGAAATATTTCATCATTTAAAAAAATACTGAAGCAGGAAAATCAATTCTAAGTTCAAGCGAGGGATGATGGTAGTTTGAACCAAAGGGTTGCATGTAGCAAGAAATTGTGATTTAAGATATATTTTAAAGTTGGAAGTAGCAGGATGTTCTGATGGAGCTTGACTTTGGTTTTGGGCCCACTGAGTTTGAGATGCCTTTGAGAAATGAAGGAAGCAGACAGAGAATAAAAGAAAAACTGGCCGGGCACAGTGGCTCACACCTGTAGTCTCAGCACTTTGGGAGACCAAGGCAGGCGGATCACTTGAGACCAGCTTGGGCAACATGGTGAGGCCCCATCTCTACAAAGAATACAGAAATTGGCTGGGCATTGTGGTACATGCCTGTAGTCCCATCTACTCAGGGGGGTGAGATGGAAGGATCAATTGAGCCTGCGAGTTCAAGGCTGCAGTGAGTCGTGACTGTGCCACTGCACTCCAGCCTGGGTGACAGAAGAGACCTTGTCTCGAAAAAGAATCTGAAAACAATGGAACCATGCCTTTATAATTCTAGAAAGGAAGTTATTTTCAACCGATAAATCCATATTCAGTCAAATAATCAAGGGTGAAGGTAAAAATAATACATTTTTAGGCAAGCAAAGACTCAGGGTTTACCTCCATGTACCCTTTCTTGGGAAGCTATTGGAGAAGAAAAGCAACTTTCCAAGTGGGTTTCCGTTGTAACTAAAAGTCATTTAGAGTTTTGCCCTGAACTTTTGGACTAATTCAGACCTTTTTGCCCTTTAAAGGCCTGAGGTTTATAATCTGCTTCTTAATTCCTGGGGTGTAGTTGGATCACCTGCAGAAGGTTTAAGACTGAAGAGCGTATGGCAAGAATCCCACTGTATCTTTCACATCTGACACTGTTCACCTTCACATTTACTCCACCTACCATGTGAAAGCTTGTTGATCTTCATGCAAAACTAGAGTTATAGATCAAGAAGCCTTTATTGCAGTCATTTTAAGTAGATAATAGATTCATGTTTTGTTAACTTCAGGATCTGTCTGGAGTTTCTCAGTGTTAGTTAAGTCATTACAAAGACTCAATTACTCTGCTCCAAACGCAAAGAAAGAAGAAGAGACATCAGCCTTTGGTCTCTTGTAATTTTCATTTTATTATATTTTATGTATTTGTTTTGAGCGTCTAGCTCTGTCACCAAGGCTGGAGTGCAGTGGTGTGATCACTGCTCACTGCAGCCTCAACCTCCCGGGCTCAAGCAATCCTCACACCTCAGCCTCCCGAGTTGCTGGACCTACAAGCACATACCACCATGCCTGGTTAATTTTTTTTGTAGAGGTGGGGCCTCACCATGGTGCCCAGGCTGGCCTCTAACTCCTTGGCTCAAGCAACCCTCCTGCCTTGGCCTCCAAAGTGCTAGGATTACAGGCACGAGCCACTGTGCCTGGCCAATTTTTATTTTATAAAGAAAGTGTTAATAGTAACAGAAAGGGAAAAATATTTGAGTACCTACTATGTCCTAGGAACCATGCTAGACACTTTTAATAACTCCCTTACTCCTCATAATAACCTTACGTAACGAATGCAGTTGATGGCCTGTTGCCAATAAGGAACAAAAGCACAAGCTTTGGGAAGCCCAGGCTATGACGGAGGCCAGAAGTATGGACTCTTCAGCCAGACTGGATTCATTCTCATCTCCCACCCACTAGCTATAAGACCATAGACATATTAACTTAGCCTGACCTCCTGACTTCAGGTTTTTCAGCTGTAAAACGGGAATAGTATTTGCCTTATAGGGTTATTGTGAAGAGCCAGAATTTGAACCCATGTCAGCCTGACTTTATGTAAAATTTTTGCCCCCATATTTTATGTATACATATATATGTACACAGAGAGAGGGTGTGTATGTGTATGTATACACATGCAGAGAGAAAGAGAACAGTACACAACAAATTAATTGTAGAGTTTGATATCCTCATGATTTTGAGATAGACAAAGTTTTCTTAACAGGACACAAACAACAGTAAGTGTTAAGGAAAAACTGTACAAACTGTACTACACTAAAATTAAGAATTTCTGTTTATTGAAAAGCATTATGAGAATAAAAAGGCAAGCTACAAAGTGGGAGTGGATATCGCAGTGCATTTATATGACAAATGACTTGCCAGAATATATTAAAATACCCACAAACCAATAAGGACAGACAACCCATTAGGAAGATGGCCAAGAGATTCAAACTGGTACATCACAAAAGAGGACACCCAAATGGCCAATAAGCACATGAAAAGATTGTCAACCTCAGTATACCACAGGGAAATGCAAATTAGAACCACAATGTGAACACACTGGACATGGCTCAAATGACTGAAGCTGGAATGACTAAAATGACTAAATGAAGTGAATGACTAAAATGGAAAATATAGACCATGCTAAGGGTTGACAAGCATGTGGAACAACTGGAGTATCTACATTCTGTTAAGATCTCCACACAGAGCCAAGTTTGAAAAATAATGGTGCATATATAGCCCCTCAAAAAGAATTACAGTGGCTACTGTTGACGATCCATTGGATAGAAACAAATTCATATTGAAAATGGGAATACAGTAATTATCAAGGGCCAGAAAATAAACATACACTCAGCCCAGTCATGCAAAAATCCGTTAACTCCTGGATAATAAGAATAATGACTCTCACCACTTTCCTGTGCCAGAGGAACCATAAGCTAAGCCAGCCAGCTGCTTGCTTCTGCTTCGACTTCGACCCTCTTGACAATGCACAGAAATGACCAAGTTGGTATTTCATCAGAGTATAAAATGAGGAGAGAAATTATGAATGCAGTATAGTAGTTGTAAAGTAGACATTTGTGTTTGACCTTCAGTTTGTAAATATTTACCTACGAGAGGTGATCTCAGGATCCCAATTAGAGGTGCCTTCAACTTAGAGACCATCTTGTTGGCTGATCTACATTTTTTTTTTTTTTTTTTTTTTTTTTTTTTTGAGGCAGAGTCTCTCTCTGTCACCAGGCTGGAGTGCAGTGGCACGATGCTGGCTCACCGCAACCTCTGACTCCCTGGTTCAAGTGATTCTTCTGCCTCAGCCTCCCAAGTAGCTAGGATTACAGGCATATGCCACCACGTCCAGCTAATTTTTGTATTCTTAGCAGAGCCAGGGTTTCACCATGTTGGCCAGGATGGTCTCGATCTCCTGACCTCGTGATCCTCCCGCCTTGGCCTCCCAAAGTGCGGGGATTACAGGCGTGAGCCACAGTGCCGGACTGGCTGATCTACTTTTAAGTTCTCAAGTCCATACAAGAGACTGGATCCGGCATAATAAGGTGCTTTTTAGATCTGGAGAAACTAAGCTGCTCTTAGTGGTAGTCCAGATGGATCTATGTTAGACTGAATTTTGTTTCCTCTGCTTAAGGTGTTTTATTGTTCTGTATAGTTTAGGTCTTCTGTGAAACAATATTAGATTAGACATGCAGGAGATTGACGGGAAAATATTCTGTGCAAGATTAAGGAGATGGGGGACAGGAGAGGGCAGAGAGAGCCTTCAAACAACAAGGCAGTTGGGAGCCTAAGAACAGCAAATGGGAAGGAGGAAGAGTTGGATTTGAAGAGCTTTAGACTGTAGTTCTGAGAAAGTCTCAGCCAGTGCAGCAAGGAGTCCCCAGCAAAGGTTGGCCAATACATGAATATTGACAGGAACATGCAGGTTCTAACATCCCTGCTGTGCTCTGTCATTGGCTAGGAGCAGCCTGGGGAAAGGGTGGCCTCAGTGTTTATGACAATGGATCTGGAGGTTTGGCAGCTGGGGCTGTTCATCAACTGCACTCCCTATAGCAGATTCGCTGGAAGAGCTCAGTAGTTGCAGAATACTAAGAACTCTTTGAGATAATAGATTTAACTCTTCCAAGGAGAAAAGAAATATCAGAGGGGAGGAAAAGGGAATAGGAGAGGGGGAGAGAGAACAGGAGAGAGAGGAAAAACCAGGAGAATGCCAGGAGCTTGAAGTCATACACTTAGAAATTGAATCTGTAGTTCCACCACTTTGGGAAATACGTTCTGTCTCTCAATGGGAGCTGAATCCTGTACAATCTGCATTCCATGTCCATGGGTTGTGCATCCGCAGGTTCAACCAACCAGAGACCAAAAATATTCAGGAAAAAAACAACAAAAATATTCAGGAAAAAACCAAAATTTGTATTATTTAAAAATAATACAAATTTTAAAACCATGCAATAATGCAGTATAGCAGCTATTTACATAGCATTTACATTGTACTAGCTAACTTTACATTGTATAAGTAATCTTGAGATGATTTAAAGTATACTGGAGGATGTACCTAGGTTATATGCAAATACTACAGCATTTTACATAAGGGACTTAAGCATCTGCTAATTTTGATACTGCAATTTTGATCCCTGGCTGGTTATACTATTAACAATAATAGTAACTAGTATTTTGAGCACTTATCATATGCCAGGGGCTCTTCTCAGTATTCTGCATACTGAAGACTCACAAAATGGGAATGGAAGGGAAGGAGTTAACAATTTTGATGGCTAACATCATATGAAGAAAAGTTCAACACCACTGATCATTACAGAAATGCAAATCAAAACCATAATGAGATACTATCTTACACCAGTCAGAATGCCTATTAAAAAGTCAAAAAATAACAAATGCTGGTGAGGTTGTGGAGAAAAGGGAACACTTATACACTGTTAGTGGGAGTGTAAATAGTTCAACCATTGTGGGAGACAGTGTGGCAATTCCTCAAAGACCCAAAAACAGAAATACCATTGGACCCAGCAATTCCATTACTGGGTATATCCACAAAGGAATATATATCATTCTACTCTCAAGATATATGCATGCGTATGTTCATGCAGCATGATTCACAATACCAAAGACATGGAATCAACCCAAATGCCCATCAATGAAAGATTAATTAAAGAAACTGTGGTACATATACACCATGGAATACTATGCAGCCATAAAAAAGAGCAAGATTGTGTCCTTTGTAGGAACATGATGGAGCTGGAGGCCATTATCCTTAGCAAACTAACACAGGAACAGACAACCAAATACCGCATGTTCTCACTTATAAGTGGGAGCTAAATGATTAGAACACATGGACACATCGAGGGGAACTGGGCCTATCAGAGGGTGGGGTTGGGAGGATGAAGTGGATCAGGAATAATAATTAATGGGTACTAGATTTAATACCTGGGTGATGAAATAATCTGTACAACAAACTCCTGTGACACAAGTTTACCTATGTAACAAACCTGCACATGTACCCCCAAACTTAAAATAAAAGTTAAATAAAAAATAATCAATTAATTTAAAAAATTTGATGGCTTACTATGTGCCAGACACTGTGCTAGGTACTTCGTCTCTGCCCTCTTGTTGTGGGGGCCAGGAACCACTGGTTGAAGCATTAGCTTTGCCATTAATTTACTGTTTCGTCCTGGACATGTCACTAGATTTCTGTCTAACAAAGAAAAAATCTCACAGATTCTCTTGGTACCTTCTTCAGTTCCTTTCAATTTGTAATTACATCTTATTTGTTTATGATGCCTGTCTCCCTCATGATAAACTTAATGATGGTGAAAATTTTTGTCTGTTTTATTTATCATTATATTGCAAGGGCTTGCATAGTGCCTATCCATAGATTTAAAATAAATGTGAATTAAATCAGTGAATAAACCTTTCATAGCCTACACCCTTTCAGTTACTCAGAGACTTTGATTTTCACCACCAAAGAAATAAAATATCTAGTTTTTTACATTATAAACATATATATTTATATGCACTTAATTATTTTATGGTAAAAGTTAAGAAAATGAAATTATAGTATTATCATTTTTCAAGTAAGCTTTGTTGTAAAATCTCAATGATTTTAAATATTCTGATTTCAGCTTTTGCTCTTACCACTCCCCGACCCATGGTAACATATACAGTCTGCTGAGAAACACTAAATCAGATGACATGACCCCTGAGTCTGGTGACCACAGATCTCAGTATTTTTGGAGCAAGATCAATTCCCAATATTCTCTCTAATGTCTTTTTCTGTGCTGATACATTCACATATCATAAAGGAAACATTTTTTGGCAGACCGGTTCCCAACTTTTGATTCTGAAAATATGGTCACCAGATCCTCAAAACTTCTGGAAGATTTTCCTAGGCATTGTTTAGAGGAACTTTGGGTTTGTGGTGAACAGTTTGCCTGACGATAAATCTAAGTGTCACAGTATCCATTTCCATGTGTCAACGGTCCGTTCTCCTTAAGCTTTGACGGTGTCTGTGCCTCCTTCCTGACCCCTTCCACCTCCCCACCCACTTGCCCTCTTGGCCTACCATGCACACATCCTGAGCCCTGCGTGGAGGAGTTGGTCTCCCCCATTGCTCCTTCATGACAGTGATAATCCAAAGAGTGTTGTGTGACTGCACATGATCTGTGACCCTTTCCACAGAACTTCCACAGCAGAAAGGTTTTTGCTAGATTGTAAAAGACTGTCTTAGTTTACATCCCCCCAGAAGCAAATTCTGAAACAAGAGACTTTCCTGGGGAGATGATCCCATGCAGTACTGGATGGAAGAGAGGATTAGGGGAGTGAGACAAGGAAGGGATAGGAGCCAATAGACAGGGATGGCAAACAAGCAGGTTTCCTCTGTAAGTAACTGGGTCTCAGTCCCATTAGAGGCCTCTGGGAGAGGGTGCAGAATATGCCTCTGAGTTGTCCCAATGGGAGGCCAGGAAGCAGGAGCTCTTATCCACCAATTCCCAACTGAGATTGATTGAGGGTCACTCCTGGGGGCTTTCACCTCCCCTACAAATGCCAGCCTGTGCCCCACCTTGTGCAAGAAAGTGTGCTCAAGAAAGCCCCCTGATAATGAATGAGCCATGGTGCTTCCAGTAAGAGCCCATGGAGTACACGAACAGGGCACCAACAGCATCTTCCACAAAGACCAAAGACATCTAAGAACTGGGTCTGATGAACTTCTGCCTAGACTAATTCCCTGTCTGAAAACCTATGTGTTGGGAGTTGATCCACTGACATTGTCACTAATTCACTCCTTAGACCACCCTAGCTTTTTCTCACAGTCCCTTTTTTTCGGCTCTAGAAAGCAACTCCCTGTGTTTGGTTCATTAGCAGAGTTATATGTTAATAAGCAAGTACTTGGGAAAAAGCACATGAGCAAAGAGTGGATTTCCATTGCAACTGGATCATGTTTTGCTTCTGTGGTGGAGCCTGCCTAGGACATCTCCACAACTGTGTCTCATGTGCTAGACAGTCACTTCTCAACATTTATTGGATGTGACAGTGTACTAGGTGTGGTCCTAACCCAGGGGACTTTGAATCTAAATAAACCTCTTTCTTTGATGTATGGTATTTTCCTTTCCTTTCATTCAGTGGTTCTTTGCAGCAGGTGCTGACATTTTTATTATTCACACATACGTCTCCAGGATACCATCTCACCATAACACTTCAAATTTATGCAGGACCTTTCTTCGAAGGAGGCCAACGCTCTTCTAAATAAACCATCTCTATCAACACAGGATTTTAAACTCAAGGAAATCCTCATGTGAAGGAAATGGAGGGAAAACATGTTTTCCTCATCCTATTACTAGAAAAAGAAAAGAAACACAGTGGGGCATGGCTTTCATGCAAGTTTATGGCTGCCTGAGAGCAGGAGGCCTCAGTTCCACACCTGTAAAATAAGCCTGTAAGTAACAAAAAGGCCAACTGTATGCGTCTGCAAGGGGAGTAAATGAGATAACTCATGTGCTAGTATAGGTCAGGGTAGTAAATGTGAGTCACAATTGTTGTGTTATGGAGATGCAAAAGCTTTACCTACTGTTGCCCCATAACATGTAACTCACCATAACATCTGGGTAAAGTGGGAAAAACTTGAATTCAAGGGCTGGCCCCAATGCCAACCTTATTGGCAACCACAGAATTTCCCTGAGCCTCATGTTTTCTACAGGGATAATTATCCTTAACTGGGTAAGATAATGTCTTTCCAATATCACCTTTCTCAGGATGCTGTTGTGAGGCTTAAAGAAGACAATAGCTTTTTTGGTGGGTGCAGTTATGGTTTTCAATCCCTCTTTCTCTCTATCATGAAACTTAATGGCACAAATATGATCCCCCTTCCATGGATGATGAGATTGGCCACATGACTTGGTTTGGCCAATGAGATACTGGAGGAAGTGATGTAAACTGAGACCTTAAATGTGCTGCAGGGTTGGCTAGACCTGTAGTGCTCCAGAGAGCCACTGTATTAAGTTAGCACAGTTTATTCAAATGGAGAGAAGTCATCAGCTGTTACCACTGTATACCATGCCATCTGGAGCAAATTAGCATTAACAATAAGGTTATAAAAACAGTAATCACTCACATTTCTTACTACGTGCCTAGGCACTGCCCTCAACACTTTACATGATTTAACTCATGTAATTAACTCCCAATAACTCTATGAGCCAGCACTATTATCCACTATTATTATTATCCCAATTTTACTTATGCAGAAACAAATGACTATGAAGGACAAGTGATTTGCCCAAGGTGCTCCAAAAGTGATGAACTTGCACTTCCAATCATGTAATCTTAATCTCGGGCCCAGTCTGTTCACCATTACGTACCACCTAGAACACAGGAGCTGTGAGCAGTGAAAAACATGAACTCTCCAGAGCACAAACTCACCTAGATGCTGCGTGCTACCATGATGGATAGCTCTGGCTATAAGGTGAGACTAGTTCAGAGTTTTAATTCACTTTTCACTAGCTATAAGCAGATGTGCCTCAAAACTTCTCTAGGCCTCAATTTTCTCACCTGTAAAATGGGTTCATATGAGTCATTCAGTGCTAAAGCTATTAGAAAGGTTAAGTGGGCATAGAATGAGGTTAGTTCCTGTCTTGTTTTCAGCATCTGGGCTTAAGGCAGGTGCCTCACAGAGAATCACTGCCCTGAGGATCTCTTTTGAAGAATGCTGGGGCTAAGACAGGTAGCAGAAGCCCTGATGACGATCTTTGCCCACCTCTGTGCTTGGTCCTCAAGCACTTCCAACAAGGACAGAGCAATCCTTTGTCTGTTGCTATAAAAACTGCTCCTGCTTCAAATGGGAACTTACGAAGCTCGGGTGTTGGGTTTTGGTTGATGCTTTTAGATCAGCATCCAAAGGTTTGGGCCTCTGACGTCATTCGTCTCTCACCCATGAGTTTAGAAAAACTGAGGATGCCAAGTAGGGGGAGCGACATAGTGCCAAGGGTACATCACTGTGGCTGCCAGCAGCAGAATGGGTGGCCTCAGAGATGAGGCCAAGTACTGCCCCACGACTCTGGGACCTGCTTGGCTTTCCAAAAAGTAAAAATATCATTCATTTTTATGCCAACTTCCAAAGTGGCACATCTATTCTTTCGCAGTCTTCCAGCCATTTCCTTATCTTTGCTGGAGAGAAACATCTCCATACATCCATTTAGCACAGTGTTTATTATGAGAAAGAGTTGGTTCCAGAACTGAGGGCACTTAACATCTTTAAACATAGATTTCAGAGTCTCTAATCTGATGGAAGCCACATTCTCTCTGAATGGGGTGTATCTGAATATCTCCCAGGTGAGTTAGGAGGCTAAGGAGTCTCTTTATAATGCACAAAAGGAATATGCAATGTTGCGTTTTGATTTTAGGCGGCTTGTAAATGAGGCCATAAATGCAGGGCCAACCTTGAAATATGGTGCCTCACCCTGCTGCACTTCCTGAGGTCGCTAACTAGGGCTGGCATATGAAAGCAGGGCAGAGCCTATAAATTAATATTAACTCTTTGATTTTACTGTGAGTTTCTAAGACCACATAGTGAAATCACTGGGCTCAAAACCTAGAAACGGCCTTGGCTTGCTTGCAGTTTTAACCCTTCATCCTCAGTTCATCAAGAAGCCTATAAAAAAAAAATCATGAGCACACTTCAACCACTGCCTTTCGCTCCCCTAATGAATGCAGAAATGTCCATGGAAAAGTATGATTTACAGGGATTGTAGTAACCACCATTTCATCTTTGCTGTAATAAGGTCTCATGGTTGACAACTTTATAAAACACGATTGGTGTACCAGGAAAGCAAACCACTTCTGAGGGTTGCCTCAAGATTGTCCAGTCCCTCCAATGAGCTTTTATTTGCAAAAATAACCCATAGAAGGCCAAGAGATATGCATAACATAATATAGCTCCTGGTTCTTAATATGCCATTTTTTAGAATCAATGGAGCAAGTTTTATTGAGTGGGGTCTGATGACCCACACATTTTTTCTTTTTTAAAAAATGAAAAAGAAAGAAAAAAACACACAAACTAACTTCAGATGGTGAGTTTGACCTTTACTGATCTGAGACTAAAAAAAAAAAGGCTTAATTTTTTTCATCTAAAGTTTAATAAAAATCATGTTTCCATTTTTCTGTGACTGTTTCTAAGTAAACGCTCAATGCGTGTTTCTCAATTTTGAAAGAAGTCACCACTCAGGCTACAAACCAATGATTATCATGCTATAAAAAATATTAAACATCCTGAACTTTCTTTATATTATGATGGAACTTGCAACATGCTATGCAATTTCATAGTAGAATCACTCTTTCAACAAACAGCACCCAGCTATTTAAGGACCAACAAATCCCTAGTTCTATAATCCTAAATTCTATACCCCTAACTTTGGTTTTAATTTTTAGCACTAAAAGGACAAAAATGTGGGAAACATTGTTTCATCAATAGCTGTTGTGAATAGAAATTATATAAAATCTGCACTAATATGCAATATAAGATCACATAGGAGCCCGATTAGTGAACAATAAATCTCACTTTGATCACTGAAATGACCTCAATAGTCCTTAGAATAAAAAGCTTAAAAAGCTTCCCCTTGGGGAGGAGCCAAGATGGCCGAATAGCAACAGCTCCAGTCTACAGCTCCCAGCGTGAGCGACGCAGAAGACGGGTGATTTCTGCATTTCCATCTGAGGTACCGGGTTCATCTCACTAAGGAGTGCCAGACAGTGGGCGCAGGTCAGTGGGTGCGTGCACCGTGCGGCAGCCGAAGCAGGGCGAGGCATTGCCTCACTTGGGAAGCGCAAGGCGTCAGGGAGTTCCCTTTCTGAGGCAAAGAAAGGGGTGACGGACGGCACCTGGGAAATCGGGTCACTCCCACCCGAATACTGCGCTTTTCCAACGGGTTTAAAAAACAGTGCACCACGAGATTATATCCCGCACCTGGCTCGGAGGGTGCTACGCCCACGGAGTCTCGCTGATTGCTAGCACAGCAGTCTGAGATCAAACTGCAAGGCGGCAGCGAGGCTGGGAGAGGGGTGCCCGCCATTGCCCAGGCTTGCTTAGGTAAACAAAGCAGCCAGGAAGCTCAAACTGGGTGGAGCCCACCACAGCTCAAGGAGACCTGCCTGCCTCTGTAGGCTCCACCTCTGGGGGCAGGGCACAGACAAACAAAAAGGCAGCAGTAACCTCTGCAGAATTAAATGTCCCTGTCTGACAGCTTCGAAGAGAGCAGTGGTTCTCCCAGCACGCAGCTGGAGATCTGAGAACTGGCAGACTGCCTCCTCAAGTGGGTCCCTGACCCCTGACCCCCGAGCAGCCTAACTGGGAGGCACCCCCCAGCAGGGGCACACTGACACCTCACACGGCAGAGTACTCCAACAGACCTGCAGCTGAGGGTCCTCTCTGTTAGAAGGAAAACTAACAAACAGAAAGGACATCCACACCAAAAACCCATCTGTACATCACCATCATCAAAGACCAAAAGTAGATAAAACCACAAAGATGGGGAAAAAACAGAACAGAAAAACTGGAAACTCTAAAAAGCAGAGCGCCCCTCCTCCTCCAAAGGAACGCAGTTCCTCACCAGCAACGGAACAAAGCTGGATGGAGAATGACTTTGACGAGCTGAGAGAAGAAGGCTTCAGACGATCAAATTACTCTGAGCTACGGGAGGACATTCAAACCAAAGGCAAAGAAGCTGAAAACTTTGAAAAAAATTTAGAAGAATGTATAACTAGAATAACCAATACAGAGAAGTGCTTAAAGGAGTGGATGGAGCTGAAAGCCAAGGCTCGAGAACTACGTGAAGAATGCAGAAGCCTCAGGAGCCGATGCAATCAACTGGAAGAAAGGGTATCAGCAATGGAAGATGAAATGAAAGAAATGAAGCGAGAAGGGAAGTCTAGAGAAAAAAGAATAAAAAGAAATGAGCAAAGCCTCCAAGAAATATTGGACTATGTGAAAAGACCAAATCTACATCTGATTGGTGTACCAGAAAGTGATGGGGAGAATGGAACCAAGTTGGAAAACACTCTGCAGGATATTATCCAGGAGAACTTCCCCAATCTAGCAAGGCAGGCCAATGTTCAGATTCAGGAAATACAGAGAACGCCACAAAGATACTCCTCGAGAAGAGCAACTCCAAGACACATAATTGTCAGATTCACCAAAGTTGAAATGAAGGAAAAAATGTTAAGGGCAGCCAGAGAGAAAGGTCGGGTTACCCTCAAAGGGAAGCCCATCAGACTAGCAGCGGATCTCTCGGCAGAAACCCTACAAGCCAGAAGAGAGTGGGGGCCAATATTCAACATTCTTAAAGAAAAGAATTTTCAACCCAGAATTTCATATCCAGCCAAACTAAGCTTCATAAGTGAAGGAGAAATAAAATACTTTACAGACAAGCAAATGCTGAGAGATTTTGTCACCACCAGGCCTGCCTTACAAGAGCTCCTGAAGGAAGCACTAAACATGGAAAGGAACAACCGGTACCAGCCACTGCAAAATCATGCCAAAATGTAAAGACCATCGAGACTAGGAAGAAACTGCATCAACTAACAAGCAAAATAACCAGCTAACATCATAATGACAGGATCAATTTCACACATAACAATATTAACTTTAAATGTAAATGGACTAAATGCTCCAATTAAAAGACACAGACTGGCAAATTGGAAAAAGAGTCAAGACCCATCGGTGTGCTGTATTCAGGAAACCCATCTCACGTGCAGAGACACACATAGGCTCAAAATAAAAGGATGGAGGAAGATCTACCAAGCAAATGGAAAACAAAAAAAGGCAGGGGTTGCAATCCTAGTCTGATAAAACAGACTTTAAACCAACAAAGATCAAAAGAGACAAAGAAGGCCATTACATAATGGTAAAGGGATCAATTCAACAAGAATAGCTAACTATCTTAAATATATATGCACCCAATACAGGAGCACCAAGATTCATAAAGCAAGTCCTGAGTGACCTACAAAGAGACTTAGACTCCCACTCATTAATAATGGGAGACTTTAACTCCCCACTGTCAACATTAGACAGATCAACAAGACAGAAAGTCAACAAGGATACCCAGGAATTGAACTCAGCTCTGCACCAAGTGGACCTAGTAGACATCTACAGAACTCTACACCCCAAATCAACAGAATATACATTTTTTTCAGCACCACACCACACCTATTCCAAAATTGACCACATGCTGGGAAGTAAAGCTCTCCTCAGCAAATGTAAAAGAACAGAAATTATAACAAACTATCTCTCAGACCACAGTGCAATCAAACTAGAACTCAGGATTAAGAATCTCACTCAAAACTGCTCAACTACATGGAAACTGAACAACCTGCTCCTGCATGACTACTGGGTACATAACGAAATGAAGGCAGAAATAAAGATGTTCTTTGAAACCAACGAGAACAAAGACACAATATACCAGAATCTCTGGGACGCATTCAAAGCAGTGTGTAGAGGGAAATTTATAGCACTAAATGCCCACAAGAGAAAGCAGGAAAGATCCAAAATTGACACCCTAACATCACAATTAAAAGAACTAGAAAAGCAAGAGCAAACACATTCAAAAGCTAGCAGAAGGCAAGAAATAACTAAGATCAGAGCAGAACTGAAGGAAATAGAGACACAAAAAACCCTTCAAAAAAATTAATGAATCCAGGAGCTGGTTTTTTGACAGGATCAACAAAATTGATAGACCACTAGCAAGACTAATAAAGAAAAAAAGAGAGAAGAATCAAATAGACGCAATAAAAAATGATAAAGGGGATATCCACCACCGATCTCACAGAAATACAAACTACCATCAGGGAATACTACAAACACCTCTACGCAAATAAACTAGAAAATCTAGAAGAAATGGATAAATTCCTCGACACATACACTCTCCCAAGACTAAACCAGGAAGAAGTTGAATCTCTGAATAGACCGATAACAGGAGCTGAAATTGTGGCAATAATCAATAGCTTACCAACCAAAAGGAGTGCAGGACCAGATGGATTCACAGCTGAATTCTACCAGAGGTACAAGGAGGAACTGGTACCATTCCTTCTGAAACTATTCCAATCAATAGAAAAAGAGGGAATCCTCCCTAACTCATTTTGTGAGGCCAGCATCATTCTGATACCAAAGCCAGGCAGAGACACAACAAAAAAAGAGAATTTTAGACCAATATCCTTGATGAACATTGATGCAAAAATCCTCAATAAAATACTGGCAAAACGAATCCAGCAGCACATCAAAAAGCTTATCCACCATGATCAAGTGGGCTTCATCCCTGGGATGCAAGGCTGGTTCAATATACGCAAATCAATAAATGTAATCCAGCATATCAACAGAGCCAAAGACAAAAACCACATGATTATCTCAATAGATGCAGAAAAGGCCTTTGACAAAATTCAACAACACTTCATGCTAAAAACTCTCAATAGATTAGGTATTGATGGGACGTATTTCAAAATAATAAGAGCTATCTATGACAAACCCACAGCCAATATCATACTGAATGGGCAAAAACTGGAAGCATTCCCTTTGAAAACTGGCACAAGACAAGGATGCCCTCTCTCACCACTCCTATTCAACATAGTGTTGGAAGTTCTGGCCAGGGCAATTAGGCAGGAGAAGGAAATAAAAGGTATTCAATTAGGAAAAGAGGAGGTCAAATTGTGCCTGTTTGCAGACGACATGATTGTGTATCTAGAAAACCCCATTGTCTCAGCCCAAAATCTCCTTAAGCTGATAAGCAACTTCAGCAAAGTCTCAGGATACAAAATCAATGGACAAAAATCACAAGCATTCTTATACACCAACAACAGACAAACAGAGAGCCAAATCATGAGTGAACTCCCATTCACAATTGCGTCAAAGAGAATAAAATACCTAGGAATCCAACTTACAAGGGATGTGAAGGACCTCTTCAAGGAGAACTACAAACCACTGCTCAACAAAATAAAAGAGGATACAAAGAAATGGAAGAATATTCCATGCTCATGGGTAGGAAGAATCAATATCATGAAAATGGCCATACTGCCCAAGGTAATTTACAGATTCAATGCCATCCCCATCAAGCTACCAATGACTTTCTTCACAGAATTGGAAAACACTACTTTAAAGTTCATATGGAACCAAAAAAGAGCCCGCATCTCCAAGGCAGTCCTAAGCCAAAAGAACAAAGCTGGAGGCGTCACACTACCTGACTTCAAACTATACTACAAGGCTACAGTAACCAAAACAGCATGGTACTGGTACCAAAACAGAGATATAGATCAATGGAACAGAACAGAGCCCTCAGAAATAACGGCACATAACTACAACTATCTGATCTTTGACAAACCTGAGAAAAACAAGCAATGGGGAAAGGATTCCCTATTTAATAAATGGTGCTGGGAAAACTGGCTAGCCATATGTAGAAAGCTGAAACTGGATCCCTTCCTTACACCTTATACAAAAATCAATTCAAGATGGATTAAAGATTTAAACGTTAGACCTAAAACCATAAAAACCCTAGAAGAAAACCTAGGCATTACCATTCAGGACATAGGCATGGGCAAGGACTTCATGTCTAAAACACCAAAAGCAATGGCAACAAAAGCCAACATTGACAAATGGGATCTAATTAAACTAAAGAGCTTCTGCACAGCAAAAGAAACTACCATCAGAGTGAACAGGCAACCTACAAAATGGGAGAAAATTTTCGCAACCTACTCATCTGACAAAGGGCTAATATCCAGAATCTATAATGAACTCAAACAAATTTACAAGAAAAAAACAAACAACCCCATCAAAAAGTGGGCAAAGGACATGAACAGACACTTCTCAAAAGAAGACATTTTTGCAGCCAAAAAACACATGAAAAAATGCTCATCATCACTGGCCATCAGAGAAATGCAAATCAAAACCACTATGAGATACCATCTCACACCAGTTAGAATGGCAATCATTAAAAAGTCAGGAAACAACAGGTGCTGGAGAGGATGTGGAGAAATAGGAACACTTTTACACTGTTGGTGGGACTGTAAACTAGTTCAACCATTGTGGAAGTCAGTGTGGCGATTCCTCAGGGATCTAGAACTAGAAATACCATTTGACCCAGCCATCCCATTACTGGGTATATACCCAAAGGACTATAAATCATGCTGCTATAAAGACACATGCACACGTATGTTTATTGCGGCATTATTCACAATAGCAAAGACTTGGAACCAACCCAAATGCCCAACAATGATAGACTGGATTAAGAAAATGTGGCACATATACACCATGGAATACTATGCAGCCATAAAAAATGATGAGTTCATGTCCTTTGTAGGGACATGGATGAAATTGGAAATCATCATTCTCAGTAAACTATCGCAAGAACAAAAAACCAAACACCGCATATTCTCACTCATAGGTGGGAATTGAACAATGAGATCACATGGACACAGGAAGGGGAATATCACACTCTGGGGACTGTTGTGGGGTGGGGGGAGGGGGGAGGGATAGCATCGGGAGATATACCTAATGCTATATGACGAATTAGTGGGTGCAGCGCACCAGCATGGCACATGTATACATATGTAACTAACCTGCACAATGTGCACATGTACCCTAAAACTTAAAGTATAATAAAAAAAAATCTAGAAAAAAAAAAAAAAGCTTCCCCTTTCTCCCTAGGGACGCTGGCCTTGTCCACTCATGCTTCCCACAAGGAGTCTTCACGCTCTGTCTCCATATTTGGCTCTCAACTCATCTATACTTCAAAGGGCTCACCTCTTTTCCCTCACTCCTACCATCTTCAGGACAAGTGACACTACCCAGGTGGGGCAAGACATGATAAACTATGGAATAGGAGGAAAATATAATTTCTTCCATTTATGTTTGCTTTCTCTAAATAAATGATGAGCCAGGCTTTTGTCTTGGTTGATATGCAGATGGACACCGTCCCTTAGCAGGCTGCATGCCAGCGGTCATGTGTCACTGACATTACAGGAAAGATCCAGAGGACAGCTGCGGAAGGCAGTGCCCTCACTCAGGGCTGGTTTTCTGCATCTTGTGACATATTGCAGCTCACATGTGCCCAATTTAGTGGGTTTATGGATTATACTATCTGGTTTTAAGTACACTAAACCCCTCGAATTGGCTAGGTGGCTTAGAAAAAAAAATCCCTGAAAAGCATCCATGAATCGAAGTTAACAGTGATAGTGAGGGCAAAGTAAAGAGGAAGATGAAGGCAGGGCTGCCATGCCTCCTCTTCCTCCTAAAGCCAGGTGAATGCACAACCCGTGTGACAAGCCACTGGCCAAAACTGTCGAATTACTGAGAGCTCCATTCCCACTCCAGAGAGAGTAGCCCTCAAGGCATTAGCTCACGGCAATATTAAGCCACCACAACTCGCGAGACTTTTTTAAAAATGTATTTAATTTATTTATCTTTTGTTGGTTTCTATTTTTCTGTACATTTAATGTCCATATAATCTTAAAGCAGTAGAACTTAAATTGTTGATACATAAAATTCAAAATTGGTTTACATATAAGCATGTATGTTAAGAAAATAAAACAAGAATGAAACCAAAAATTTAATTCTCATGTCTTTGTTTGGATTCTGCCGGAAGCAGATGCTAAGACAAAAATTCACCAACCAGTCATTTATTTTGGAGTGATCACAGGATATACATTTTCAAGCAAGTTATCTAAGGGTAACAGGAGCTTAATCTCATTGGGAATTCTGAGAGCCACAGTAGAACACACCTCAGTGTCATCCATCTGGGATGAGAACCAAGACAGTGGGTTATTTATACACCAACTCCCATTAGTCATTGGCTGAGGGCTGCTCCTGGAGGGAGTAGCGGGGGGATTCATATTCTGGTACTTCTGGCCTGTGCAAGAAAGAAAAGTAGGCTCTGATGGCCAGAGAGATTATCGGGTAAAGAAATGTAGGTGATGACTGGTGGGAGCCAGGAGTCAGGCCAGTGTGCCTTGATGGGTGCAGGACAGAGGATATGAGTGGGGCTAGACCACCCCTCTGATACAACTGTGATGACACACATATCACTTCTACTTACATAACCTATTTCCAATATGGTACTTTTTTCACCCTGCCCTGCAAACTTAACATATCCATTTGGTCTCTCCAAACACAAGCCAAACTCCTTTAAAGTATACCCCATCATATGTCTATTTCTACCTCTGTTCCTGTCACAGTGGCCAGCACTTTGTAGTGAAGCAGTACTTTTGGAGTATGTTTACTGGGGATCTACCATGTGTCAGGCAATCTTCTAGGCATTGGGAATAAAGTGGTGTACATTATAACCTCTGCCTTTATATAGGTGGCATTGCATTCACAGATGCTGAGATACTATATTCAGCCCTGCTGGCCCTTGAATCAGTTAGCTTCTGTTGCATAATAAACAACCTCAAAATCTCAGTAGCATAAACCAGAAGAATGTATTTTGCTCATGAGTTTGTGGGTTGTGTGGGGCAGCCCCGTTCCACTGGTCACCCTCCATTCCCTCAGCCCATGCCAGGAACAGCCACCCAGCTAGGGCATGCTCTTTTCATAAGACAGCAGAAGTTCAAGAACAACAGAAACACGTGACGTTTCTTAAGGCCTAGGATCAGAACTGGAACACTGTCACTGTCCCCTTGGTGTCATTGGCCAAAGCAAATCACAAGGTCACGCCCAGAGTCAAGGATAAAGGACATATACTCCTCCCATAGAGGTGGGGGACTGCAAGTCACTTGGCAAAGGATAGAGATAAAGGGAGGGGTAAAGAATTGGGGACAATGGTACCCTTAATTACAGTTTGAAAAAAAATACATAGAAATATTTGTTCCATAAATGGTTATTATTCCTGTGCTCCTACAAAGCTGGTACAATTAATCTCCATTAACTTTATGCCTCTTCATCTTTCCATGTATTTCTGTGCAAGTGATAGTTTTCATCTAGGCAGGTAGGTAGGCCCCTCACTGGCCGGTCCAGTCCAAACGCATCTCCCAGATCACAGTGATTACTCCAGGGATGGGCGTTCATCACCCATCAGAAGCCTTGCTCTCTGAGATCACAGGCCACTTTACCTGTAACCGCTGGGGCTACCTTTCCTACCAAAGCTGGAGAATGGAGGTAGCACTTAAGAAAGCAGAGCCAAGGATAGAGGAGTGCCCGATTCCTGGTGTCAGTGGGAGTTGCTATCCTCCAGGCCAGAGTCTACCCAAATTATAGTTCTCAGATGGCCCCAATGACAGCATTACTAAGCTTGGTAATGCTCTCACTGGGGCAAACACAGGTAGCTACCTATGTTAAAAAATAGTAACAATAATATTAGTAGTGCTGAGTAGATTGACCCATTCCTCTCCTAGAACCTCACTGCAGCATATCGCCTCCTCTCCTACACCACACATCACTTTCCCCAGTGTCTGAAATACACCCAGGCATGCTTCTTCCTTTTAGACCCTTAGGTCTTTGATCAACAGGACTCACATCCATCCCTTCTTCATATCCGTACAGTACTAAGAAGAAAGTTTTGTATTCTAAACAATTTATATATAATTGTGTATAAATGTGTTCCAACAGTTACCAAGCTTGAGTAAATCTACTCAGCACATCCAACTAGGCTGTTCTTCAAAGAATCCTGCTGTCTCCTACAGCATTCACAGGTCACTCTCTTTGTGTCCTGATGTCTTTGTGTTTTTAGCATGGAGTGAATAATCATGTATATTTAGAAGGAGTCACAGAAAGCAAATTCTACCGTCAAGCATGTCTTGCTTTATTTGATATGAACTGGAAATACAACATAAGAAAGAAAATGTTTACTTAAAAAATATATTTTTATCTCCATCTCTTATAGGCCATAAGGTTCTTAAGAGCAGAGAATATTGTTTCTGTAATGATTCTCGGCAAAAGCACTCAGGTGGGTAGATCACAATGAGAATCATTTAATAATTGTTGACTTAGAGAACTTAAAGGAGTTGGGAGTAATTATTTCACAGTCACAGCAAAAATGTCCAATAAAAGAAGACAGTAAAATAGCATTCACTAAGGGTCCACTATGTGCCAAACACGTAAAAGATAATTGACATAAATTATTTATTAACTTACAGTTACAGGATTCATACCACATGATAGATTCTAAATCTTGGGAACAGAATCAAGAATCCAGAAATGGATGGAACCACACGTATATGAACAACTGATTTTCAACAAAGATAAAAAGGTAATTCAGTAAAGAAAAAACAGCCTTTTCAACAAATGTACTGTTTTAAAAAAATGGATATATATGTGTAAAGGAAAATTAACTTATTTTCACACCTTATACCATATTAAAAAGAGCAATGCAAATAGATAATAGATTTAAATGTTAAACCTATCACTGTAAAATTTTACAAGAAAACATAGATAAATTTTATTAGGTTATTAGATATGACCCTGAAAACATGATTCATAAAAGAAAAAGTTAATAAATTGGACTTCATTAAAATTTTTCTGTTCTTCAAAGTGCAGTGTTAAGAGAATGAAAAAGAGACGTGGAGAAAATATTTGCAAATTATATATCTGATAAAGGACTTGTATCCATAATAGAAAATAAACCACCCAATTTAAAAATGGGCAAAAGATTTGAACAGACATTTTCTTGGAAAAAAAATACTTGTATGGCAAATAAGCACATGAATAGATGCTTGACATCATTAGTCATTAAGAATAAGCAAACTAAAACTATAATGAGATATCTGTTAGAATAGCTAAAAAGACTGACCACAGCAAGTATTGGTGAGGATATGGAAGAACTAGAATCTCATTCACTGCTGGTGAGAATGTAAAATGATACAGCCCCTTTGGAAAACAATGTGTCAGTTCCTTATAAAGTTTAAAAAAAAACACAATCACCATATGATGCAGCTATTCCATTCTTGGTTTTTACCAAAGAAAAAATGAAAGCATAAATACACACAAAGTCATATACATAAACATTCAAGCAGCTTTATTTGTAATAACCCAAAACTTAAACAACTCACATGCCCACCAACAGGTGAATGAATAAGCAAGTTGAGATGTATCCATACCTTAAAATCCTACTCAAAAATAAAAAGAATAAATATTGATTCATTCCATATAAAGAATGAATGTCAAAACAATTATGTTGAGTAAAAGAAGTCATACAAAAAAGAATAAAATCTGTGTGATTCCACTATATAAAACTCCAGAAAATGTAAACTAAGCAGATCAGTGATTGTCTAGGGAGGAAGAGAGGGAGGAATGCAGGGAAGGATGACAAGGGGCACAGGGAACCTCTTGGGGATGAGGGCTGTTTGCCATCTTGATTGTAGTGACAGTTTCATGGATGTACACATAAGTCAATGCTTATCAAATTGTACACTTTAAGTGCATGCTGTTTATTTTATGTCAATTATGCCTTAATAAAGTAGTTTTTCCATCAATTTACTTCTGTAAGATGAATCTTCAAGAACTATACTACTACCTCTTTTTTACAAATAAAAATCAGAGACTCCAAAAGTTGAGTCCTCCAGCAAACACATGACCAGCGGATGTGAGCTCTGCAACACCCTGATTAAACAATCAGGGTTATCTTGGACAAATCCATTTATTTTTCTGGGCCTCATTTTCTCCATCCATAAAAGAAAGGGGTAGAGCTGTAAATGGAAGATGAGTTGAAGATGAGTGATTTTCAATGAATAAATGTCAAATTATTTCTTCATTTGAAGATCTTATTTTTAATCTCTCATGTTTGTAGGAAAAGCTCACCTATGAAAGGGTGCTTCTCTCCAGCCAGACAATAGGAGTAGGGAAGAGACCGATGCTGAATGACTCACGAAAATACTGCAGGAAATGACAGGACCGTCCCCAGAAGTCCCTTCCACTGCCTTTTGCCGGCTTGCTACATAGAAGCTTGCAAGAAGGATGAATCACAAGAAAAAGGCATATTGTAACCTCACATCATAAATTTTACAAAACTGCTTCATAAAAAATAACTTTGGGTCCAGGAACTCCACTAGAAAAATGTCCAACCTGTCTTCAAATTTGGGAACTTTGAAAAGTTTACATACCAGCAGGTCAAGATTCAGTTCATACATCTTAGTGCTTCAGTGTACTATATTTGGCTCGGAAACTGAATGCCCCTTTTCTGGCAAACCACACTGTATTCATAGGTGTGAGCTCTTAATAGAGCTTTGTCAAGTTGCCATCAAACATATGGGCCTGGTTCCTCTAGTTCTCTAATAAAGAACAAGTAGTTCAACTTATTAGATGGTGTTAATATTCCACGTCCGGAAAACCAAGAATTTAAAGAGCAATAAGCACTCTGGCAGAAAATGACCCCAAGCCCATCAGTCTGAAATAGGCTGGGTGGGTTAAGGAGAGCACAGGCCTTTTAGTCTATTTCTATTGCATTGTTTCTATTTGCATTTAAATCCTCAGAAGCTTATGCTTCTGTTAGTCTTGAGTATATCATAAGTGCTTTGTCTTTTGTTCTTCCCCAAAGCAGACCCTGGGATAAGTTCTTAGATGAAGGGATTTAGTTTAGGAAGTGATGCAGGGGAGCACAGCTTGGGAGTACGAAATGAGGCAGGAAAGAGAAGGAAGCCACGAGGGTGCAATAATGAGCATTGCCATCATGGGCAACTGAGGCTTAGCCCTCCTGGGGCCACTCTGGGAGACTGTAGGGAGCATGCCTCAGAACCGCCCCTCTGAGTGGGACACAAGCTGGTGTGTGCCCCTCAGTGCCCACCCCTCACTGGCCTGCTCAGCTTGATGGCCGAGAATGCCCCCTTATTTGGCCAGAGGATGCCTCTGGGAAGGGAGATGAGAGAATCCACTCTGCAGCTGTCCTTCAAGGCTGGGCCAAAGCAATGTGAGCAGGGCACCAGCAACATGGACTTCTTCCTAAAAGTACATGTTTATGCTTATTTGTTCGACTTGACTTCTACATTTTTTCAGACCTCAATGTCTACTCAATCACCCGATCTTTCTTTTTTTCTCTCTCTCTGTTGCATTCCTCATTGAAGTTGGATGCCTGCTCTCTCCTGAGAGGAACTAATGTGGCCACACAGACCTAAATTTCTCCTTCAGTTTCAGGACACCTACACCACCATGTAATGCCATCCCACTGAATCCAGACGAAGACTCTGACCAAGACACACATAAATACAGTGAGAAAGGATAAAAAAGGGGAGATCTCAAATTAGCGGGGTGTGGTGGTGGGTGCCTGTAGTCCCAGCTAATCTGGAGGCTGAGGCAGGAGAATCCCTTGAACCCAGGAGGTGGAGGTTGCAGTGAGTTGAGATCACACCACTTCACTCCAGCCTGGGTGACAGAATGAGATTCTTTCTCAAATAAAAAAGGCGGGGGTTGGGAGACCCTCCTTCCCCTTCCCCTCCCCCAAAAAGGATTGGCCTCATTCAAGGAACACCTTTAAACTGAGCTCCGAGCCATGTTTCTGCTATGGGACACTACGCTGGAACCAGTGCCTTTCTTTTGGTCTGGAAGGTACGAATCAGACTTCAGCTGCCCACACATTACCCCCACTGAACGGACACCACATGCTCAGACCTGCTCTGATAGGGAAGGGTTCACAGAGAAATGACTTCTAACCTTGGTGATGAATGAGCAAAAGACTTACAAAGGAAATGGAGGGAAAGTGGGTTCCAAGTAAGAGGCACACCTGTATAAAGGAACAGAGAGATTTAAAAATGACTATGAGTTGGTTCAAGAAACTAAGATACATGAATGGGCCAGTCAAAAGATGCTCATTGGAAGAATATTCTGCCAACCACATGCCCTGCCCAAAACAAGAGTGTAAATGTAGGCCCATCTACTAGATGTCTAAGTGTGCCACAGATGCTATCAAGAAAAAAAGCTGTGACACAAAAGGTGTTCTCTCCTCCTATCTGCCTCTACACTAGTGTATCCTCCTAGTGGTCTGGGAGATCAGAATGGAAGGTAGAGTTCTTGAACTCTTCAGTGCTCTGCACTGAGAAGCACCAGGAGAAAGAGCCAGTTCACAGCTGCCCTTCCCACTTCTCTTCTCACCCCCACTCCATCCTGCACCACAGGGGACCTCACACTCATACATACTTGCCAACCTCCATCCCACAAACTATAAATATCACAGCAGCCACACCCCATGTCCGAGGTGCCCATCCCAGTGGAATAGCATACCCTCAAAAAGAAAGACCCATGTACACCCTAGGAACAAGGGTGGGTTTGTTGGAGCATGGAATTCCAGGATTCTACTCCCTGAGCAAGTCCAGAAGAGGGGCATGGGCTCTGAGCAGGTGCAGCATGTGATTTTGGCCTTGCAGACCCTTTATCCTAAAGAGAGGGGCTCAATGGGAAGAAGCCCAGGGTGGGGCTTTTAAACCACAGAGCCCATCTTGCCTTGGTCTAAGGTCAATAACTGTCCTGCTATAATATTCTTTTTTTTTTTTTTTTTGAGAAGGAGTCTCACTCTGTCACCCAGGCTGGAGTGCGGTGGCGCAATTTCGGCTCACTGCAACCTCCACCTCCTGGGTTCAAGTGATTCTCCTGCCTCAGCCTCCTGAGTAGCTGGGATTACAGGCATACACCATCATGCCTGGCTAATTTTTGTATTCTTAGTAGAGACGGGGTTTCACCATCTTGGTCAGTCTGGTCTCACACTCCTGACTTCAAGTGATCCACCCACCTCGGCCTCCCAAAGTGCTGAGATTACAGGTGTGAGCCACTGCAAAAAAAAATATTCATTTTTTGCTTGCTTTTTAAATATCTGTCTCACTGTTAAGGGGATTGTGATATTTGCAGCAACATGGATAGAATTGGAGGATATTATGTTAAGTGAAATAAGCCAGGAACAGAAAGACAAATACTGCATGTTCCTACTCATAGACAGGAGCTATAAAAGTTGATCTCATGGGCACGGAGAGTAGAATGATGGTTACCAGAGGCCGGGGGTGAGGGAGGTTCAGTGAGATGAGAGAGGTTGGTTACTGGGTACAAACATACAGTTGGATAGAAGGAATACGTTCTAATGCTTGACAGCATAGTAGGGTGGCTATAGTTTGCAACAACATACTGTATATTTCAGGATAGCTAGAAGAGGGGACTTGAAATGTTCCCAGCACACAGAAATAAACACTGGAGGAGTTGGACAATCTGACTTGATTATTACACATTCTATGCATGTAACAAAATATCACATGTACTCCATAAATATGTGCAAATATTATGTATCAATAAAAAAGTAACAAAGAAAATGAACATATTTTAAATAAATATGATATTAAAAATTTTATTTAGAAACTGGGACTGTGAGAGCAAGATTATTCTCACTACATTCCAAGTGCCTAGCAGAGAACCAACTTGGCACATACTAAAGGACTGATGGTTGACAACCTGCTAGGTGATTGAGTACTCCATTTGTCTGCTCAGCTGATCTGCATGACAAGCCTTGAAGGTGAAACTTATCATAGTTTCCTGATTAAGAGACCTGGGTTCAGAAAAGCCCAGCTTGTCCAAGGTCACACAAGTAGTAAGTGGAGATATTCAGTTGCCAATTCAGGCTGCCCAAGTCCAAAGCCTTGTTCCCTCCCTGACAGCTCACTGTCTCCCATTGGGTGATAATGCGTTACACAGAACCACAGTTAAATAACGATCAGGTGACTTCGCTTGTAAATGGCTGTATTTGTTTTGTTTATTTTATAATAGAGAGGGGCTGAGTTCCAATTTCCTCTCATCACTAAAACCTTTTGACTTATTTTTTTATGGCCCAAAGCTTTTGAAATATTGGGTTTACTCCTTGCTTATTTCTGGCCTGGGTTGCCAGTGTCCACTCCACTCCCTTTCCTGGCAGCCTAGTCAGCAGGGCTGGCACCCAGCCACAATATCCAGAGTTCCAGAGTCAACACTAGGATGCTCACACACAAAGAGGGAAGGCAGGCCTTCTTTTCTTAGGAAAATTGCAGAATCCTCTTCAGGCCGAAATTACAGATTGTTCTTGCTTTGAGTGTGATAACTCACTGCTTGTTCTCAGTGTGTGGGGATATGATGCTAGGGCATAATGAAACAAAATTATTCGATTGCATAATTTGTAATTAACTAGGGATAACTAAGAATAAGTAGCCATTGGTAAATGCTTTGTGTTAAACATTTATCAGATAAAATTAAAAATTCCTAAATATTTCCAATTTAACCTTTAAGTAATAAGGGATAGAATAAGAATATCAGGATGAAAGAAAGGAGATTAAGATTCATTTGTTTTCAGTTTTCATCATTTGTAAATTCTTCTCTTTTCACTGCTAACTGCAGATGATGCCTGGAATTTCTTTGACTGTGGATAATCCTACAATACAATCTTTTGCTTAGAAATATATTTAAAACTCATTTGGGTGAAAAACCTTTAAGTTGCCTTCAACTCCTCTGCCCACTTTGTTCTGTAGGTTTAAATTGAGCCTAAGTGCAACATACTCCTCAATTTTATTCTCTCATTTTAATCTCCACTGCCTTCACCTGATTTATAACCTCAACTGCTGGCATTAGCTGTCACTCTGTCTCCAACCAACTCACCTGCCACAATGCCATCAAAGCTGTATGTCTTTTAAGCAGAGACCTCGCCCTGTCAGTCTGCCACCCCAACTCTCTCCTGGCTCTCTACTGCCTGCATTATTAAGATGTCTTATTATTTTGCCCGCATTATTAAGATGTATTGTATTACATAAGATGTCTTATGGCATCTGAGGCCTCAATGACTTGGCCCAAATTCCCTTCCAGTCCCATTGTCTCACCATTGTCTACCATGTCACCACCCACACTCAGGTCCCCATAAGGTCTCCCACTTTCACCTGTGTGTGCTGTTCGCTGCTGGCAATGGCTGCTTCCTCGCCCACCCCACTCACGCCTGCTGAAAGTCTCCTTTTAGAAGCTCATCTCAAATGCCGCCTTAATTCAAGCCTCCTGTTACATGCTTCTTCCTTTTGACTCCACAGAACTTTGGTTCCACTCTCTTCCTGCTTACACATTGCTTACTAGCACCTACCTGTCTGTTTCTCCTCTTTGACTGTGCTGTTAAGTTTAGCCAGACAGGGCATGGTGGCTCATCCCTGTAATCCCAGCACTTTGGGAGGCCAAGGCAGGAGGATCACTTGAGCCCAGGGTTAGAGACTGGCCTGGGGAACATAGCAGGACCCAGTCCCTACAAAAATAAAATAAAATAAATAGCCTGGCATGGTGGCACATGCCAGTGGTCACAGCTACTTCCAAGGCTGAAGTGAGAGGATCACTTGAGCCAGAAGGTTGAAGGCTGCAGTGAGCTGTGATCACACCACTGCACTCCAGCCTGGGTGACAGACTGAGAACCTGTCTCAAAGAAGAAATAAATAGATTTAGCCTAAAGATGCTTCCTTACATATTTAAATTTGCCCTTAAGGTTTCTCCATACATAGCAAACTATCACCTAACTGAATGTGTAAATGACTGCAACCTACTCTCTTAACAAGTAGTGAGTCTCAGCCAATCCCAGCAGCCAAGTTTCAGCCAATCACAGGCAGCCAACAGTTCAAGCTATGTTCAAATAAGGCAAACGCTGAGCTATAATCAATCCTGTACCTCACTTCTGTTTTCTGTGTCTCTTTACTTGTTCTGTTCATAAATGTTATCCAACCATGTGGCAGCCCTGGAGCCACGTGAACCTATTCTGGTTCAGGGGGCTGCTTGATTTGCAAGTCATTTTTTATCAATTAAATTCCATTAAATTTAATTTGTCTAAAGTTTTTCTTTTAACAGCACATAAAAGTCAGGGGCAGTGGCTTACCCATCTTTGTATCTAGAACAAAGTAGGTGCTTAATAAATATTTATCTGAGTAAATTTATTTAAATGGATGCTGACTGAATGTCACACTAATATGTAAATGATTGATAGCCTGCTCTCAGGAACAGTGCTAGTTTTGGACACAAAGAGGCAAAAGCCTAAGAGATTCGGTTGCCCAAATCAAGCTAAAGAGATTGGGTGGTTTCAGAAGGAAAAGTTTTCCAAATTTAGGGGCAGCTTGCCTGTGGAAATGGTAGCATGTAGTCTATACAACAGAAAAGATTTTGATTCTTCCAAATCTGTTAACTCAGATGAGAAGACAAAGTTCATTTGTCCTATTGGAGATGCCAAGTTTATGATTTTAAGGACTTTCTAAGCCTTTTATTTGCAATTCAGTTTAACTGCTTTCTAAGGCCTGAGATTTGCCTGGTGGGTTTTTCAGTCCCCAAAATGTTTTGAAACACAGAGTCAGTAATAAAATTCAATGTGTCACTTTTTAGAGGCAAGGGAGGTCAGTTAGAGCGGAGCCAGCTCTGACACATTAGCTAAGTAATGGAGCTAGTCAGTGATTCATGAGCAGGTCTTAGCTGGCCAGTTGGGATACAGCGTGGCCTCCAATTCCATTTGTTTTTGCAAATATGGCACCTGAAAGCAAGACAAGGAACAACAGCGTGTGCCAAGCATCATGTGGCAGAAGTGTCCTTGCTCAGCTCTGCCCGTGCCACCTCATCTCTGGCTTGGAGGCCCCCTGCTGCGTCACTCCCTCAACAGAGCCTGCCAATGTTTTTGAATTGTATGGTGGTTTCACGTCGTGGATGAATGTCCAGTATTTACTTGGATGAAGACATCTGATTCATTTTGCTCTGACTCCTGGTTCAGTTTACAGCCTACCTCTTCAGAGGCAGGAGGTGTATTAACTCACTTTTCCCACTGCCTTGTCTCCACGGCATCTTTTCAGGTTGTGGTTGGAAAACCTAGTGCACTCCCAAGTCTGGACACAGGCACTTGTTATGACTCCAGCATGACAGAAGCTGAAGGTACCGAGGTCCAGCTGCAGTCAGAGCATTGGGCTCACCCAGCTGGACAGGGACCCCAGGAAAGAGAGACAAGATGGCTTAAGGAGGGCTGGGACTCCAAAGCCAGGGAGTTGCCGGATCTAGGGACAGACATCAGTGAAGAAGCAGAAAAAATGGACGCTCTCTTCTGTAGTATAACATTTCTCTAAAGGAATTTAAGTACTAAGATCTTCTCAAGATGGGAAACTATGAAAGCTACCAAGATGGAGGCAAAAATGCCTCAATGATTTGGTTAGTTTTCCCATTTTCTTTGATTATACAACACAGTCTTGCTGCTATATTTAAAAAGTTTTAAATTAGCACAAGCATATAAATTCATAAACTACTATCAAAGGATAAAAATCTATCCACAGATTTTAGGTTAGTTACTCAAACCTTCCTCAGATTTGCTGAAGATGGAGAATATCCACCATGGAGGAAAGGCTCTGTATGTTTCCCATACTGTGATAGGAGCTGTACACAAAAGAAATGCATAACATAATGCTTTGGGTTTCTTTTTATGTTAGACAAAATATATTTTTAGTTGATAAGAGTATGGTCTTTGTGTTGCAATTACCTATTGTTCTATACATCGGTTGTAATTTATTTTATGCTTTGGTATATTTTTAAATTGTGTTTTTGTTTTTATTCATAAGTACCTATGCATGTGTGTCTGACAGTGTTTCTTTCTGGTTAAATTTTTTTTTTACCCACGGCCCCTTACTCAGTTTTTTTATTTATGTATTTATTTTTTTTTAGACGGAGTCTCACTCTGTTACCCAGGCTGAAGTGCAGTAGTGGGATCTCAACTCACTGCAACCTCCACCTCCCAGGTTCAAGCGATTCCCCTGCCTCAGATTCCCCGGTAGCTGGGACTACAGGCACCCATCATGACACCCAGCTAACTTTTTGTATTTTAGTAGAGACAGGTTTTCACCATGTTGGCCAGGATGGTCTTCATCTCCTAACCTCATGATCCACCTGCCTCAGCCTCCCAAAGTGCTGGGATTACAGGCATGAGCCACCATGCCCAGCACAAATTTTTAACTTATATAAGGCTATTAAGTGATTGGCTCAGAGATGGTCACATGCCCCCAATGATATCTGTTATAAGCTGACTAAGACCTGTGAGTTGATGTAGCTCAAAAGACTCAGCCCAACAGGATTGACATCAATTACCTCAGCCAATCAGATGAGAATACAAAGGCTAGAGAATACAAAGAAATTGGCAAGGAGGAATATTCAAGTTATTATTGCTGCATAGCAAGACACCCAGAATGCACGGGCATTAAACAGTCATTTTATTATGCTCATAGATTCCATGTGTCATACATTTACTGGGTCCAGATACAGCAATAGATAGCATTTTTGTGTCCCACAACATCTAGCAGATTAGCTGAAAAGACTCAAAAGCTGGGAGCGTCTTGACAGCTGGGAGTGAGAACAACATGGAAGCATCTCAATATCTGGCAGTTGATGTTAGCTACCAACTGGGACCTCAGCTAGAGCTCCCAGCCAAATCCCCTAACCATGTGGTCTATTCATGTGAGCTAACTTGAGATTCCCCACAGCATGGCAGCTGAATTTTTCTAATGAGTGTCTGTCCAAAAGAAAAACCGAGATGTAAGTGTGTGACATTATTATAATTCCATCTCAGAAGTCACCCAGCATCACTTCCACTACATTCTGTTGGTCAAGGCAGGCCCAGGTTGAAGGGTAAACAACCAAGTCCCAACTCTCAATGAGAGGAGTATTAAGGTCACAGTGAAAAAGAGCCTATGGGATGGGAGACATTGTTTTAAAAACCCACCATGCAAGTAAAAAGGATGGAAAGACAAACACAAATATTCCAGGGCAGTCATTTCTAGCTAATTCTTTTACAAGGAATACAGATTACTTTTGTAATGAGAAATAGGTATTTTTAATTTTAAAAAAATACTCTGTATACTAAGAGTGGCAAAAAAATGAGAAGTTTACGAAGAAGAAAACCCTAAATGGCAAGGTTATGTTTCTTTTGAACCTTAATTTTTTCTAATGTAAGTAAACATATTGATGCTCTATCTTAGTTTGGGTTTCCCTCAGAATTCCGCTCTAAGGTAAGGATTTCACTTCCTTAGTTCATTTTGAGATGCAATCCCAGGAAGCACGCAGGTAAACGGAGAGGTGAAATGGAGAAGAGGAGTGAACACCAGGTGCATTAATTAGTAAGTTATTACTGAGGTAATAATTGAGCAGCTGAGGCTCGATCCCCCTGGAGGAATCCGGTAGACTGTGTGGAACACAGCTCACCTGAGGGGTGAGGAAGCCAGGTTATTTATCTCTCAGTCACTGGTTGAGAGCTGCTCCAGGAGTGACTTCTGCATATGGACAGAGCATACTCCCATGGCCAAGCCAAGCCTGCAGACACAGCATCAGATCCTTACTATGAGAACCTTCCTCTGTGCAGAATCATGGGAACTCTGGCAGCATCTGCTCTCAGTATGTATAGAATAATTTCAGAACCGAGTATTTCATCACAGATAATTTTAAGTTAATTGACACAGAGCAAAGGTATATGTCA
This sequence comes from Homo sapiens, assembly GCF_000001405.40. Lineage (NCBI taxonomy): Eukaryota > Metazoa > Chordata > Mammalia > Primates > Hominidae > Homo > Homo sapiens. The sequence continues at coordinate 21,896,084 of NC_000020.11, read as the reverse complement.
TTGAACGGCTATTTGATAATATGTTAAGGTTAGGTAAATCAATATCTGAAAACCTGGAGAAAAAGGGTATGATCTGATTATAATCATATTGCACACTTTATAAAGTCAAGTGTACCTTTGGCTCCAGGATGGAGCCTCTCACTAGCTTACCTGGATGGAGCTTGGATAACAATCTCAGCACATCTCATTCAGTGATATGTCTTGGATGTTTGTTCCCTCCAAATTTCATGTTGAAACGTGACCTCCAATTCTAGAGGTGGGACCTGGTGGGAGGTGTTTGGGTCATGGGGGTGGATCCCTCATGAATGGCTGCGTGCTCCCCCTTCCCTAATCAGTTCACACAAGAAGCGCTGGTTGTTGAAGAGAGTCTGACTCCTCCTCCTTGCTCTCTTGCTCCCTCTCTCACGATGTGATGTGCTGGCTCCCCATCACCTTCCACCACGAGTAAAAGCTCCTGAAGCCTCACCTGAAGCAGATGCCCTTTTTTATAAATTACCCAGCCTCAGGTATTTCTTTTTTTTTTTTTTTTTTTTTTTTTTTTTGGAGGCAGTCTCGCTCTACTGCCCAGGCCGGAGTGCAGTGGCGTGATCTCGGCTCATTGTAAGCTCCGCCTCCTGGGTTCATGCCATTCTCCTGCCTCAGCCTCCTGCGTAGCTGGGGCTACAGGCGCCCGCCACCACGCCCGGCTAATTTTTTGTATTTTTAGTAGAGATGGGGTTTCACCATGTTAGCCAGGATGGTCTCGATCTCCTGACCTCATGATCCACCCACCTCGGCCTCCCAAAGTGCTGGGATTACAGGCTTGAGCCACCTTGCCCGGCCTCAGGTATTTCTTTATAGCAATGCAAGAATGGCCTAACACACCCCGTTTACAGCATTCACATGCTAGAACAGAGGACACCATCTAAGCTCAACCCCCAAGGAGTTGCTGGCACTCAGCAACATGCCTTCTGACACCAACTCTGTGTAGAAGCAGTTAACTCTTGAATATGAACGAATCATGGCACTGTTCTAAATCTGGTTCATACAAGACTGATTTTCCACACTGAAATGGGCTTCCTGTGAGAAGGAAAGATGCCCACATAAGTTTGTAAAATGAGGAATAAGACATTTTAAATTTACATCATGGGCCTGATAATACGCTTTCTGTGATTCTAAGTGACTTGCTCCAGTGGAACACCTCAGTTGTATATTCATTATCACAAATAGTCTACACTTCTCACTTCAAGGCTGAAATGCTATGCTGTTTAACGTGCACTTCTCAGAAAATTGTCTCCAGAGCAACAGCTCATCACCAGAAATTTGGCTCTGTTCCAACCCTTGCTTTTCTTCACTTGGCAGCAAAGAAAATAGTTGATCTAGTATTGGGAATATTTAAACCATATCCAAATGGTTTGGCTATTATTTTAAAAATAAAATAAAACAAAACATTCTGGTGATGATGTGGAGAAAAGGAAACCACACAGTGTTGGTGGGAATGTAAATTGGTTGTAGCCATTATAGAACTAGAACTACCTTGCAATCCAGGAATCTCACTTCTGGGTATATATCCAGTGGAAATGAAATTGGGATCAGATCTCAAAAGAATACCAGTACTTCCACGGTCATTGCAGCATTGTTCACAAAAGGCAAGATATGGAAATAATCTAAATGCCTATCAACAGATGAATGGATAAAGAAAATGTGGCATATACATCCAATGGAATGTTAGCCTTCAAATGAAAGAAATCCTGCCATTTGCAACAACATGGATGAACCTGAAGGACACTATGCTAAGTGAAATAAGCCAGACACAAAAAGACAAATACTGCATTATCTCACTGTCTTAGTCCATTTGAGTTGCTATACCAAAATACCATATACTGAGTGGCTTAAAAACAATAGAAATTTGTTTCTTATAGCTCTAGATGCTGGGAAGTCCAAGATCAAGGCGCCAGCAGATTCACTGCCTAATGAAGGCTGCTCTCTGCTTTATAGAGGGCCCCTTCTTGATGAACCCTCCCATGGTGAAAGTGGCAAACAAGCTTTTCATGGCCTTTTTTATAGGGGCACTAATCCCACTTCTTAATACTATCACATTGGGAATTTGATTTCAACAAATGAATTTTGGAGAGACACAAACATTCAGACTTATAAGCACTTACTTATAGGTGAAATCTAAAGTAGTCAAACTCACAAAAGTGAAAGAGTAAAATGGTGTTTACCAGGGTGGGGGAGAGGAAAGTGGAAGGTGATAGTCAAAGGGTACAAAATTTTAGTTTTGCAAGATACATAATTTCTAGAGAATTACTATACAGCATAGTGCCTACAGCTAACAGCATTATATTGTATACTTAAAATTTGCTAAGAGGGTAGATCTTATGTTAAGTGTTCTTTATTTTATTTTATTTTTTTGTTTGTTTGTTTTTTTTTATTATACTTTACGTTTTAGGGTACATGTGCACATTGTGCAGGTTAGTTACATATGTATACATGTGCCATGCTGGTGCACTGCACCCACTAACTCGTCATCTAGCATTAGATATATCTCCCAATGCTATCCCTCCCCCCTCCCCCCACCCCACCACAGTCCCCAGAGTGTGATATTCCCCTTCCTCTGTTCATGTGATCTCATTGTTCAGTTCCCACCTATGAGTGAGAATATGCAGTGTTTGGTTTTTTGTTCTTGCGATAGTTTACTGAGAATGATGATTTCCAATTTCATCCATGTCCCTACAAAGGACATGAACTCATCATTTTTTATGGCTGCATAGTATTCCATGGTGTATATGTGCCACATTTTCTTAATCCAGTCTATCATTGTTGGACATTTGGGTTGGTTCCAAGTCTTTGCTATTGTGAATAATGCCACAATAAACATACGTGTGCATGTGTCTTTATAGCAGCATGATTTATAGTCCTTTGGGTATATACCCAGTAATGGGATGGCTGGGTCAAATGGTATTTCTAGTTCTAGATCCCTGAGGAATCGCCACACTGACTTCCACAATGGTTGAACTAGTTTACAGTCCCACCAACAGTGTAAAAGTGTTCCTATTTCTCCACATCCTCTCCAGTACCTGTTGTTTCCTGACTTTTTAATGATTGCCATTCTAACTGGTGTGAGATGGTATCTCATAGTGGTTTTGATTTGCATTTCTCTGATGGCCAGTGATGATGAGCATTTTTTCATGTGTTTTTTGGCTGCATAAATGTCTTCTTTTGAGAAGTGTCTGTTCATGTCCTTTGCCCACTTTTTGATGGGGTTGTTTGATTTTTTCTTGTAAATTTGTTTGAGTTCATTGTAGATTCTGGATATTAGCCCTTTGTCAGATGAGTAGGTTGCGAAAATTTTCTCCCATTTTGTAGGTTGCCTGTTCACTCTGATGGTAGTTTCTTTTGCTGTGCAGAGGCTCTTTAGTTTCATTAGATCCCATTTGTCAATTTTGTCTTTTATTGCCATTGCTTTTGGTGTTTTAGACATGAAGTCCTTGCCCATGCCTATGTCCTGAATGGTAATGCCTAGGTTTTCTTCTAGGGTTTTTATGGTTTTAGGTCTAACGTTTAAATCTTTAATCCATCTTGAATTGATTTTTGTATAAGGTGTAAGGGAGGGATCCAGTTTCAGCTTCCTACATATGGCTAGCCAGTTTTCCCAGCACCATTTATTAAATAGGGAATCCTTTCCCCATTGCTTGTTTTTCTCAGGTTTGTCAAAGATCAGATAGTTGTAGTTATGCGCCGTTATTTCTGAGGGCTCTGTTCTGTTCCATTGATCTATATCTCTGTTTTGGTACCAGTACCATGCTGTTTTGGTTACTGTAGCCTTGTAGTATAGTTTGAAGTCAGGTAGTGTGATTCCTCCAGATTTGTTCTTTTGGCTTAGGATTGACTTGGCAATGTGGGCTCTTTTTTGGTTCCATATGAACTTTAAAGTAGTGTTTTCCAATTCTGTGAAGAAAGTCATTGGTAGTTTGATGGGGATGGCATTGAATCTGTAAATTACCTTGGGCAGTATGGCCATTTTCACGATATTGATTCTTCCTACCCATGAGCATGGAATATTCTTCCATTTGTTTGTATCCTCTTTTATTTCCTTGAGCAGTGGTTTGTAGTTCTCCTTGAAGAGGTCCTTCACATCCCTTGTAAGTTGGATTCCTAGGTATTTTATTCTCTTTGAAGCAATTGTGAATGGCAGTTCACTCATGATTTGGCTCTCTGTTTGTCTGTTGTTGGTATATAAGAATGCTTGTGATTTTTGTACATTGATTTTGTATCCTGAGACTTTGCTGAAGTTGCTTATCAGCTTAAGGAGATTTTGGGCTGAGACAATGGGGTTTTCTAGATATACAATCATGTCTTCTGCAAACAGGGACAATTTGACTTCCTCTTTTCCTAATTGAATACCCTTTATTTCCTTCTCCTGCCTAATTGCCCTGGCCAGAACTTCCAACACTATGTTGAATAGGAGTGGTGAGAGAGGGCATCCCTGTCTTGTGCCAGTTTTCAAAGGGAACGCTTCCAGTTTTTGCCCATTCAGTATGATATTGGCTGTGGGTTTGTCATAGATAGCTCTTATTATTTTGAAATACGTCCCATCAATACCTAATTTATTGAGAGTTTTTAGCATGAAGGGTTGTTGAATTTTGTCAAAGGCTTTTTCTGCATCTATTGAGATAATCATGTGGTTTTTGTCTTTGGCTCTATTTGTATGCTGGATTACATTTATTGATTTGCGTATATTGAACCAGCCTTGCATCCCAGGGATGAAGCTCACTTGATCATGGTGGATAAGCTTTTTGATGTGCTGCTGGATTTGGTTTGCCAGTATTTTATTGAGGATTTTTGCATCAATGTTCATCAAGGATATTGGTCTAAAATTCTCTTTTTTTGTTGTGTCTCTGTCTGGCTTTGGTATCAGAATGATGCTGGCCTCATAAAATGAGTTAGGGAGGATTCCCTCTTTTTCTATTGATTGGAATAGTTTCAGAAGGAATGGTACCAGTTCCTCCTTGTACCTCTGGTAGAATTCGGCTGTGAATCCATCTGGTCCTGGACTCTTTTTGGTTGGTAAACTATTGATTATTGCCACAATTTCAGCTCCTGTTATTGGTCTATTCAGAGATTCAACTTCTTCCTGGTTTAGTCTTGGGAGAGTGTATGTGTCGAGGAATTTATCCATTTCTTCTAGATTTTCTAGTTTATTTGCGTAGAGGTGTTTGTAGTATTCCCTGATGGTAGTTTGTATTTCTGTGGGATCGGTGGTGATATCCCCTTTATCAATTTTTATTGTGTCTATTTGATTCTTCTCTCTTTTTTTCTTTATTAGTCTTGCTAGCGGTCTATCAATTTTGTTGATCCTTTCAAAAAACCAGCTCCTGGATGCATTGATTTTTTGAAGGGTTTTTTGTGTCTCTATTTCTTTCAGTTCTGCTCTGATCTTAGTTATTTCTTGCCTTCTGCTAGCTTTTGAATGTGTTTGCTCTTGCTTTTCTAGTTCTTTTAATTGTGATGTTAGGGTGTCAATTTTGGATCTTTCCTGCTTTCCCTTGTGAGCATTTAGTGCTATAAATTTCCCTCTACACACTGCTTTGAATGCGTCCCAGAGATTCTGGTATATTGTGTCTTTGTTCTCGTTGGTTTCAAAGAACATCTTTATTTCTGCCTTCATTTCGTTATGTACCCAGTAGTCATTCAGGAGTAGGTTGTTCAGTTTCCATGTAGTTGAGCGGCTTTGAGTGGGATTCTTAATCCTGAGTTCTAGTTTGATTGCACTGTGGTCTCAGAGATGGTTTGTTATAATTTCTGTTCTTTTACATTTGCTGAGGAGAGCTTTACTTCCCAGTATGTGGTCAATTTTGGAATAGGTGTGGTGTGGTGCTGAAAAAAGTGTATATTCTGTTGATTTGGGGTGGAGAGTTCTGTAGATGTCTATTAGGTCTGCTTGGTGCAGAGCTGAGTTCAATTCCTGGGTATCCTTGTTGACTTTCTGTCTCATTGATCTGTCTAACTTTGACAGTGGGGTGTTAAAGTCCCCCTTTATTATTGTGTGGGAGTCTAAGTCTCTTTGTAGGTCTCTAAGCACTTGCTTTATGAATCAGGGTGCTCCTGTATTGGGTGCATGTATATTTAGGATAGTTAGCTCTTCTTGTTGAATTGATCCCTTTACCATTATGTAATGGCCTTCTTTGTCTCTTTTGATCTTTGTTGGTTTAAAGTCTGTTTTATCAGAGACTAGGATTGCAACCCCTGCCTTTTTTTGTTTTCCATTTGCTTGGTAGATCTTCCTCCATCCTTTTAGTTTGAGCCTATCTGTGTCTCTGCACGTGAGATGGGTTTCCTGAATACAGCACACTGATGGATCTTGACTCTTTATCCAATTTGCCGGTCTGTGTCTTTTAATTGGGGAATTTAGTCCATTTATATTTAAAGTTAATATTGTTATGTGTGAATTTGATCCTGTCATTATGATGATAGCTGGTGATTTTGCTCGTTAGTTGATGCAGTTTCTTCCTAGTCTCGATGGTCTTTACATTTTGGCATGATTTTGCAGCGGCTGTACCGGTTGTTCCTTTCCATGCTTAGCGCTTCCTTCAGGAGCTCTTTTAGGGCAGGCCTGGTGGTGACAAAATCGGTCAGCATTTGCTTGTCTGTAAAGTATTTTATTTCTCCTTCACTTATGAAGCTTAGTTTGGCTGGATATGAAATTCTGGGTTGAAAATTCTTTTCTTTAAGAATGTTGAATATTGGCCCCCACTCTCTTCTGGCTTGTAGGGTTTCTGCCGAGAGATCCACTGTTAGTCTGATGGGCTTCCCTTTGAGGGTAACCCGACCTTTCTCTCTGGCTGCCCTTAACATTTTTTCCTTCATTTCAACTTTGGTGAATCTGACAATTATGTGTCTTGGAGTTGCTCTTCTTGAGGAGTATCTTTGTGGCGTTCTCTGTATTTCCTGAATCTGAACGTTGGCCTGCCTTGCTAGATTGGGGAAGTTCTCCTGGATAATATCCTGCAGAGTGTTTTCCAACTTGGTTCCATTCTCCCCATCACTTTCAGGTACACCAATCAGACGTAGATTTGGTCTTTTCACATAGTCCCATATTTCTTGGAGGCTTTGCTCATTTCTTTTTATTCTTTTTTCTTAGACTTCTCTTCTCGCTTCATTTCATTCATTTCATCTTCCATTGCTGATACCCTTTCTTCCAGTTGATCGCATCGGCTCCTGAGGCTTCTGCATTCTTCACATAGTTCTCGAGCCTTGGTTTTCAGCTCCATCAGCTCCTTTAAGCACTTCTCTGTATTGGTTATTCTAGTTATACATTCTTCTAAATTTTTTTCAAAGTTTTCAACTTCTTTGCCTTTGGTTTGAATGTCCTCCCGTAGCTCAGAGTAATTTGATCGTCTGAAGCCTTCTTCTCTCAGCTCGTCAAAGTCATTCTCCATCCAGCTTTGTTCTGTTGCTGGTGAGGAACTGCGTTCCTTTGGAGGAGGAAAGACACTCTGCGTTTTAGAGTTTCCAGTTTTTCTGTTCTGTTTTTTCCCCATCTTTGTGGTTTTATCTACTTTTGGTCTTTGATGATGGTGATGTACAGATGGGTTTTCGGTGTGGATGTCCTTTCTGTTTGTTAGTTTTCCTTCTAACAGACAGGACCCTCAGCTGCAGGTCTGTTGGAATACCCTGCTGTGTGAGGTGTCACTGTGCCCCTGCTGGGGGGTGCCTCCCAGTTAGGCTGCTCGGGGGTCAGGGGTCAGCGACCCACTTGAGGAGGCAGTCTGCCAGTTCTCAGATCTCCAGCTGCATACTGGGAGAACCACTGCTCTCTTCAAAGCTGTCAGACAGGGACATTTAAGTCTGCAGAGGTTACTGCTGTCTTTTTGTTTGTCTGTGCCCTGCCCCCAGAGGTGGAGCCTACAGAGGCAGGCAGGCCTCCTTGAGCTGTGGTGGGCTCCACCCAGTTCGAGCTTCCCTGCTGCTTTGTTTACCTAAGCAAGCCTGGGCAATGGCAGGCGCCCCTCTCCCAGCCTCGCTGCTGCCTTGCAGTTTGATCTCAGAAAGCTGTGCTAGCAATCAGCGAGATTCCGTGGGCGTAGGACCCTCCGAGCCAGGTGTGGGATATAGTCTCGTGGTGTGCCGTTTTTTAAGCTGGTCTGAAAAGGGCAATATTCGGGTGGGAGTGACCCGATTTTCCAGGTGCGTCCGTCACCGCTTTCTTTGACTCAGAAAGGGAACTCCCTGACCCCTTGCGCTTCCCAGGTGAGGCAATGCCTCGCCCTGCTTCGGCTCGCGCACGGTGCGCGCACCCACTGGCCTGCGCCCACTCTCTGGCACTCCCTAGTGAGATGCACCCGGTACCTCAGATGGAAATGCAGAAATCACCCGTCTTCTGCGTCGCTCACACTGGGAGCTGTAGACTGGAGCTGTTCCTATTCGGCCATCTTGGCTCCTCCCCCCAAGTGTTCTTATCATCAATAATAATAAGGAGGAAGCAGGAGGAAACTTTTGGAGGTGATGAATAAGTTTCTGGCCTTAATGGTGGTGATAGCTTCATGGGTATATACATATCCCCAAATTCACCAAGTTGTATGCATTAAATATGTATGTCTTTTTACATGACAATCATCTCAATAAAGTAGTTTAAAAATAAATAAGTAATGAATAAATAAATACATCCACATCCAATGGTATAACAGAGCACTGAGAAATGTACAGCCATGTGACTTGCATGGACATGACACAGCAGATGATTGTCATGCACTTGAGTACTTGGACATGAGCTTTTACCATCACCATGAGGAGAAGCAGAAGGTCAGCCCTCTGGCCTCAGTCAAAGGGGTAGAATGTGGAGCAGAAATACCCCAGTCAAGACCAGCTGACTCCAGCCAACATCTGGATGCATAAAGCAAGGCCAGCCAAGATCAGCAGAGCCACTAATCCAAACCCAGCCAACCCTCAGTCAACCCACTTAGTTTATTTTGGCTTGGCACCTAAATCAACACTTACTGCTGTATGCCACAGAGATTCTGTAGCTGTTATACTGCATTTTTCTGGCAGTTAACTAATACTGTACCTAAGAAAAAATACTGGAGAATAGAAACGTCTAATATAGAGTTTTAAGTAATTTGCAATGACAAATGTAATGTAAAACACTCCCTTATTTCCCCTACAACATTTTATATTATGTATACATTCTAGAAATTTTCCATTTCTGACTGATGCTTCTGTAATGACAAAATGTGTTGCTTCACATCTGAGGGCACAAATTTATATACCCAGGCACAAGAGCCAGGGTAAGTTAGCTCTCCTAAAACGTGCAGGAGTCTTAAGGAGGCTTATGGGTTCCCTGGACCACAAAATTAGGAGTTTTCCTAATTCCAAGCACTAGAGATTGCCCCAGGTGATACCAGCTGTTTAACAAACATACTGTTCAACTGCATGTCTTAACAGCAATTGATGTGGTTTGGATCTGTGTCCTCACCCAAATTTCATGTTGAAATGTAATCCCCAATACTGGAAGTGGAGCCTGGTCGGAGGTGATTGGATCATGGGGGTGGATCCTTCATGAATGGTTTAGCACCACCCTCTCAGTGCTGTTTTCATGATAGTGAGTGAGTGAGTTATCATGAGATCTGGTTGTTTAAAAGTGTGTAGCACCTCCCACCTCTCTCTTGGTCCTGCTCCTGACATGCAAGAGGCCTGCTCCTGCTTTGCCTTCTGCCATTAGTAAAAGCTGCCTGAGGCCTCCCCAGAAGTAGATGCCACCATGCTTCTTGTACAACCTGTACAGGAAGCCAATTAAACCTTTACATGAGCCAATTAAACCTCTTTTCTTTATAAGTTACCCAGTCTCAGATATTTCTTTATAGCAGAGCAAGAACAGACAGATACAGAGATCAACAAGGAAAGTGGAGGAGACATCCAGCCTGATGGTTAAGATTGAAAGCATATGAATGATCCTGCCTGGGTTAAAACCTGGCTCCAACAACTATTACTTTGAGCCAGTTATAATTTTGCTATATTCTCATATGATTAAGCAAATGTAAACATCAGCCACTTACATAATATACATATTTATACATTTATATGAATACATTATATAAATATAGCTACCAAATGAGTATGACTGTCTTCTTTATCTTATGATATAGCATCATTTGCAAAATTTGGGACAGTCCTTACACAATTTCAAATCATGGGAAATCTTCACAAAGCATACTAAAATTCTCTCCCACTTCATCTGGATCCCATACCTGAACACCCCCTAACACTTTCTACCTTCCAGCAATTGCAACCACTAGTTCAGGCCCATGGAGAGTGAAACTTGTTCTGGATATTTTTGTCTGCCCCTCTAGATCCACTGTCTGACCTCCTCTCCTCTGCTCTGAGCTCCAGGATGCCAGCCTTTGTGTACCATGTTGGTAAGCTCCAGTGCCCTGCTTCTGGTTTGGAGGCCAGCAGCCCAGAGGGCAGGAAGATGAGGTCAGGGTATTTATTTCTCTATCCCCCTTCCTAAGAGCTCACGTGAGCTGGCTGTGTCTTTACACAAAAGTAATAGGCATCAAGCAGCACTACACAGCTCTTTTGCACTCATGTGTTGTATGACAGAATCCACTCCCTCCCCTTGCCCATTCACACCTAAGGTTGATAATAGATTCAGACTTTTAGGATTCTAGACTATTGCTTGCTATTTTCCTATATTATCTTCAAGTTACCCAGTTTAAGCATGATGTCTACTTTCTGCCTGGATCCTGATTGATACAGTAATAGGTATCAGAGTGCCTCCAGGAAACAAAATTTCAAAGTAGGATATTGATATTGTGTTGCTCACGTAGTAGAGAAAGGTATAGACACCTTCCTTGCCAGATGATAATGGGACACAGATGACCCACGGCACCAGTAGCATCAAGATTATTCACTCTTAATGGTCTGGATATAAAATGCATGTGGACATAAAGGCATTGAGGTGTTGAGAAATTGTGCCAATTAATCACTAAGGAAGGTATAGTGTTTATGAAGGGTAAGAGGCTACTTCTGATGGCAATGGAGTGTGCACACAGGAAAAAGAGACCTTAAAGGCTGAAAAAATATGTTATGGGGTGAATTTTGTCCCCCCTCAAATTCATTATGTTGAAGTTCTAACCCCCAGTACCTCAGAATGTGACTGCATTTGGAGTTAGGGTCTTTAAAAATGGTGGTTAAGGTAAAATGAGGTCATATAGGTAAATCCTAATTCAATATGATTTGTATTCTTATAAGAAGAGAAGATTATAACAAAGACACACAGAGAGATGTTCATGTGAAGACACAAGGAGAAGATGGACATCTACAAGCCAAAAAGAGATAGCTCAAAAGAAACCAACTCTGCTGACATTTAGATCTCATACTTCTAGCCTACAGAACTGTGAGAAAATGCATTTCTGTTGTTTAAGACACGCAGTCTGTGGTACTCTTTTTGCAGCCAGAGTGCACAATAGAATGTACATAAAAACATGCATGAAAATTGCAACATGTTCATGGCTTTGAAGGAGCCCTTTGTCTTCTGAGGTTGAAGGGTGGATAAGCCTGAGAACATCACCAAGTTATAATGGCAAGAGACGGGAGAGTATGCATAAAGGGGCAAGGCTAAGGGTATTAGACCAAGGAAGACTAAATATAAGATTTGATCAGATCAAATATATCAACACTCTTTGAGGTGTCTGCTATATACCAATTATATTTCTGGGCTTTAATTCTAATTTAGATAAACTGTTATCACCCCTAAACCTGCCTTGCTACTTAAATGGATCCCATTTGTATTCTCAAACTTTGCATTACAGAACAGTGAGAAATATAGCAGGACATGCTACTTGTATATTCAGGTACATCTCTGTTTTATAGGCCACTAGGAGTAGATGTCCTATAAACCTTACTTATCCAGATAACTGAAGTTTAACTCTTTAAACCCTGACATTAAAGGAAATCAACAATTTTATGGCCATCTTCTAAAATATTACATAATTGTCTGGTTTTAGAAGCAGAGAATATTAAATGCAATTCAACTTTCATCTTCATACTAGATTTATAAAACTGTACTTAATAAATTGAAAGTGTGAAATCCAAGGTTTATATAGTTAGACATATTGCATCTTTAAATAGAAGGCAGTTTAGAAAAATACATCGGGGGAAGGCAAGATGGCCAACTAGATACAACCAGGTAGAACAGCTCCCACCAAAGGACTGCGATGACTGGTGTGCTCCTAACAAATCTTAAGAGGGAAAAGGCATCAAGAGTACACAAATGGAAGATATGCAAGCTGAGCTGAAGGGGAAGAAAGCTGAGGACCCTACAGAGGGCTATAGCACACCAAATTCATTCCTGGCCCCCAGTGGCTCTGAGGTAATAGGTGGGTTGAACTGGCAAGGAACAACCTGCTCTCACCATGGACCTCTGGAACCCCAGGATGAAGAGAAACCTCAACCACCATGGACACTTGAGTTGGTAGAGAGAGCTGCTTAGAGAAGTGGTAGGGGCAGCAAGCCAGCTGATATGGAGCCCAGAGGGTTTGATACGGGAGCTTCTGTAGCAGAGCACAGGCAGGGACACCCATCCCCCTAGGCTTGACTTGATCCCATAGGAGACTTTAGCGCTAGGGGATCTGTCAGTCTTAAACTCTGCTGGATTGCCTGGTCCATCAGACAGGGCTGGTCTGACCTCAGCACCCCTTGGTCTGCTGGCCTCTCCCAGGACCCCAGCCTGGCCATGCCTGCTTGCAGGGCTGTCTTGGCTGCCCTGTGGGACCACACCATAGCTTCTGCAACAGTGGACCATGCCTGAGCAGCAGAGAACTCCAGTGAGGCAGTTGCCATGCACCAGCCCTCCCACTCCCTCCCCAAAGCACTGCTTCCCCCAGGCCCACAACAACTCCCCACATTGCTTTGCTGACATGTGTCTGCACAGGTGAGTTTTGCTTTCCTGGTCCCACCATTGCCCAAGGAGTGCAGTCCACCCACCCTCTCCCTTCTTATCACCATTACAGATGGAGCCTGGACAGACACAGAACTAGCCATCCCTGCCCCTACCAGCATCCAGCCCTCATGCTAACACTGCCATGGGAGTGAAACTAGGCCCAGAGGACAGCAGATCCTCCCTTGCTCTGAGCTACCACACATGCTTGTGGGGCACAGAGAAGGCACCCAGAACTACAACTGCCAGTGCCCCACCCCTGAGCCAACACCACCTCCAGTATGACCATGCACACAGTCATCAGCAAGGGCCCCTGCCCCCCACAGCTGTGTTGCCTCCACCACGGTGCTGAACACCTGCAGAGGGGCAAGCACCCTGGCACCCACTAGCACTTTGCTGCAGCTGCTGCCACCACTGCTGTGGACATATGTGAAAGAGAATGAATCCCACTGTCACTACACTACAAAACACTTTTGCTGATATTGCCCATTGGACTGTAGGAACCAGTGATTGAGGAGCACTTTGGCACCCTCAGTGCAGTGGATTCCTAACTTCAAGGAGACAGAGAACAAAGTCAGGGCCTAATACAAGTCCCCAGAGTTAGAGCATGCAGTCCAGGAGTTGGGAGCTCAGCGTTGGCCTCCTTAAATCTTCTAGAAATGAAGCCAGTTGATTGAATCCACTTTATACCACAACCAAACCCTCAAGTTCATCAAATAGGATTAAAAAAAAAAATCCAAAGGCCAGCAACTCAAAGATCGAAGGAAGATAAACCCACAAAGATGAGAAATTAGTGTAAGAACCCTGACAACTCAAAAAGCCAGAGTGCTTATTTCCTCCAAATGACCACATCAACTCTCCAGCAAGGGTTCTGAACTAGGCTGAGATGGCTGAAATGACAGAAAGAGAATTCAGAATATGTACAGGAATGAAGATCATTAAGCTACAAGAGTTCATTGAAACCCAATCCAACGAAGCTAAAAATCATGATAAAAACAATGCAAGAGGTGACAACAAAGTAGCCAGTATAGAAATTAATATAACTGACCTTACAGAGCTGAAAAACACACTACAAGAATTTCATAATGCAATCACAAGTACTAATATTAGAATAGACCAAGTGGAAGAAAGAATCTCAGAGCTCAAAGATGGTTTCCTGAAATAAGATACTCAGACAAGAATAGAGAAAAAAAAATGAAAAGAAACAAACAAAGCCTCTGAGAAAGAGAGGGTTATGTAAAGAGACCAAATCTATGACACATTGGTGTCCTTGAAAGAAATGAGGAGAATGGAACCAACTTGGAAAACATATTTCAGGATATCTTTCATGAGAACGTCCCCAGCCTAGCTAGAGAGGCCAACATTCAAATTCAGGAAATGTAGAGAATCCCAGTAAGATATTTCACAAGAAGATCATCCCCAAGACATATAAGCATGAGATTCTCCAAGGTCAAAATAAAAGAAAAAATGTTAAAGGCAGCTAGAGAGAAAGGTCAGATCACCTCCAAAGGGAAGCCCATCAGATTAACAGCAGACCTCTCAACAGAAACCCTAAAAGCCAGAAGAGATTGGGAGCCAATATTCAATATTCTTAAAGAAAAGAAATTCCAACTCAGAATTTCATATCCAGCCAAACTAAACTTCATAGATGAAGGAGAAATAAGATGCTTTTCAGACAAGCAAATGCTGAGGGAATTTGTTACCACCAGACCTTCCTCCTGAAGGACGCACTAAATATGGAAAAGAAAAAAACATTACCAGCCGCTTCAAAATGCACTGAAGTACACAGAGCAGTGACATTATAAAGCAACCTAATAAACAAGTCTGCAAAATAACCAGCTAGCATGATGATGACAGGATCAAATCTACACATATCAATGCTAACCCTGAAAGAAAATGGGCTAAATGCCCCAAATAAAAGGCACAGAGTGACAAGCTGGATAAACAACCAAGATCCATTGGTATAATTATCTTCAAGAGCCCCGTCTCACAGGCAATGACACCAATAGGCTCAAAATAACGGGATGGAGAAAAAATCTACCAAGCAAATAGAAAACAGAAAAAAGCAGGGGTTGCAATCCTAGTTTCAGACAAAACATACTTTAAACCAACAAAGACAAAAAACAACAAAGAAGGACTTTACATAATAGTAAAGGGTTTAATTCAAGAAGATTTAACTATCCTAAATATGTATACACCCAACACAGGAGCACCCAGATTCATAAAGCAAGTTTTTAGAAACCTTCAAAGAAACTTAGACTCTCACATAATAATAGTGGGAGACGTTAACACCCCACTGACAATATTAGATAGATTATCAAGACAGAAAATTAACAAAGATATTCAGGACCTGAACTCAGCACTGGATCAAATGGACCCAACAGATATCTACAGAACTCTCCACCCAAAAACAAGAAAGTATATATTCTTCTCATTGCCACATGGCACATACTCTAAAATCAATCACATAATCAGAAAAAAAACCACTCCTAAACAAATACAAAAGAACTGAAATCATAAAAAACAATATATCAGACCATGGTGCAAACAAATTAGAGATCAAGATTAAGAAATTCACTGGAAAAAAACATGAAATTACATGGAAATTGAATAATCTGCTCTTTAATGCCTTTGGATAAATAATGAAATTAAGGCAGAAATCAAGAAGTTATTTGAAACTAATGAGAACAAAGATACAACATACAAGAATCTGCAGGACACAGCTAAGGAAGTGTTAAGGGGGAAATTTATAGCACTAAATTCCCACATCAAAAAGTTATAAACATCTCAATTTAACAACCTAATATCACAACTAAAAGAACTAGAGAACCAAGAGCAAACCAATTCCAAAGTTGGAGAAGGCAAGAAATAACCAAAATCAAAGCTGAACTAAAAGGTTTCAGTACCCTTCATGAAAAACCTTTCAAAAGATCAACAAATGCAAGAGCTGTTTTTTTTTTAAACAATAAAATAAACTGCTAGCTGGACAAATAAAGAAGAAAAGAGAGAAGATGCAACTAAACACAATCAGAAATGACAAGGGGATTATTACCACTGACCTACCAAAATACAAATAACCATCAGAGAATATTATGAACACCGATATGCACACAAACTAGAAAATCCAAAAGAAATAGATAAATTCCTGGACACATATACCCACACCCAAGACTGAACCAAAAAGAAATCAAGTCCCTGAACAGACTAATAAAGAACTCTGAAATTGAGTCAGTAATAAATAGCCTATCAACCAAAAAGAAGTCCAGGACCAGGAAGATTCACAGCTGGATTCTACCAGATGTACAAAGAGGAGCTGGTACTATTCCTGCTGAAACTATTCCAAAAAATTGAGGGGGAGGGACACCTCCATAGTTCATTCTATGAGGCCAGTATCATCTAGATACCAAAACCTGGTGGAGACACAACAAAAAAGAAAACTTCAGGCCAATGAACATCAATGCAAAAATCCTCAACAAAATACTGGCAAACCAAATCCAGCAGCACATCAAAAAGCTCATCCACCACAATAAAGCAGGCTTTATCCCTGAGATGCAGGACTGGTTCAAAATACACAAATCAGTAAGTGAGATTCATCATTTAAACAGAACTAAAGACAAAAACCACGATTATCTCAATAGATGCATAAAATTCAAAATCCCTTTATGTTAAAAACTCACAATAAACTAGGTATTGAAGGAACATTCCTCAAAATAATAAGAGCCATCTATGACAAATCCACAGTCAACATCATACCAAGTGGACAAAAGCTAGAAGCATTCCCCTTGAAAACTGGCACGAGACAAGGATGTCCTCTCTCACCACTCCTATTCAACATACTATTGGAAGTCCTGGCCAGGGCAATCAGGCAAGAGAAAGAAATAAATGGCATCCAAATACAAAGAGAGGAAGTCAAACAATCCCTATTTGCAGACGACATGATCCTAAATCTAGAAAACCCCATAGTCTAAGCCCAAAATTTCCTTAAGCTGATAAACAACATCAGCAAAACTTCAGAAAAGTCTTAGGATACAAAATCAATGTACAAAAATCATTAACATCCCTATATACCAACAACAGTCAAGCCAAGAGCCAAGCCAGGAACACAATCCCATTCACAATTGCCACAAGAAAAAAAAATACTTAGGAATACAGCTAACCGAAAAAGTTAAAGACCTCTACAAGGAGAACTACAAAACAAAGATGACACAAACAAATGGAAAAACATTCCATGCTCATGGATAATGACAAGCAATATCTTTATAATGGCCATACTGCCCAAAGCAATTTATAGATTCAATGCTATTCCTATCAAACTACCATTATTGATATTTCTCCACAAAACTAGAAAAAACTATTTTAAAATTCATATGGAACCAAAAAAGAGCCCGAATAGTCAAGACAATCCTAAGCAAAAGAACAAAGCTGGAGGCATCATACTACTCAACGTTGAAGTATGCTATAGGGCTATAGTAACCAAAACAGCATGGTATTGATACAGAAACAGACAGATAGACTGATGGAACAGAATAGAGAGCCCAGAAATAAGGCTGCACACATACAACTATCTGATCCTTGAAAAACCTGACAAAAAACAAGCAATGAGGAATGGATTCCCTATTCAATAAATTGTGCTAGGATAACTGGCTAGCCATATGCAGAAGATTGAAACAGGACACTTTCCTTATGCTATATATAAAAATTAACTCAGTATGGATTACAGACTTAAATGTAAAACCCAAATCTATAAAACTCCTAGAAGGCAACCTAGGCAATACCATTCTGGACCTAGAAACAGGCAAAGATTTCATGATGAAGATACCAAAAGCAATTGCAACAAAGACAAAAATTAACAAATAGAATCTCATTAAACCAAAGAGCTTCTGCACAGCAAAAGAAACTACAGACTGAACAGACAACCTACAGAATGGGAGAAAATTTTTGCAAACTGTTCATCTGACAAAGATCTAATATCCAGACTCTACAAGGAACTTAAACAAATTTACAAGAAAAAATAACATTAAAAAGTGGGCAAAGGACATGAACAGACGTTTTTCAAAAGAAAGCATACATGCAGGCAACAATCTTATGAAAAAAAGTTCAACATCACTGATTATTAGAGAAATGCAAATCGAAACTACAGTGAGATACCACCTCATACCAGTCAGAATGTCTATTATTAAAAAGTCAAAAAGTAACAAATATTGGCAAGGTTGCAGAGAAAGACACACTTATACACTGTTGGTGGAAGTGTCAATTAGTTCAGCCATGTGGAAAACAGTGTAAAAATTTCTTTTTCTTTTTCTTTTTTTTTTTTTTTTTGAGACGGAGTCTCGCTCTGTCACCCAGGCTGGAGTGCAGTGGCGTGATCTTGGCTCACTGCAAGCTCCACGTCCCAGGTTCACGCTATTCTCCTGCCTCGGCCTCCTGAGTAGCTGGGACTACAGGCACCCGCCACCATGCCCGGCTAATTTTTTTGTGTTTTTAGTAGAGACGGGGTTTCACCGTGTTAGCCAGGATGGTCTCGATCTCCTGACCTCGTGATCTGCCTGTCTCAGCCTCCCAAAGTGCTGGGATTACAGGCATCAGCCACTGCGCCCAGCTGACAATTTCTTAAAGAACTTAGAACTACCATTCAACCCAGCAATCCCATTATTGGGTATATACTCAAAGGAATATAGATCATTCTACCATAAAGACACATGCACATGTATGTTCATCGCAGCACTATTCACAATAGCAAAGACATGAAATCACCCTAAATGCCCATCAGTGGTAGTCTTGGTAAAGAAAATATGGTACATACACCATGGAATACTATGCAGTCATAAAAAAAGAACAAAATTCTGTCCTTGAAGTAGACACGAAGTAGTAGAGGGAAGTTTATAAGATAATGAGGGTCCATGAAGTCTTTAATTGTGCTTGTAAAGCAAAGAATAACAAAAGAAAAGAAAGAGAAAGAGAAATGCATCAGCATATCCAATATCAAAGGATGAAACAAATAGTTGAGGTAATCTTTATAAATGGAAAATAAGGATATCACAAGAATATAACCTGGATAAAAATGAACACAAGCCTAAAATAATCTTATTATAAGTATAACATTAATTAAGCGTCCACTGTCATCAAAGGGTTGCAATGCAATATATGGGACCCAAGGGGGATGTGCCCCTGTCCTTGGTCACTTAATCACATCCTACAAGGCTTTTGTAGGGCTTCAACTCACCTCACTTTCCTTCTTGCCCTCTTTTAAATGATCATGCCAAAAGAAAGAACAGTGGTACTTTATAAAAATTTTTTATTTCTTCCTGAAGAGCCCCTCTAGGGAAAAGCTAGACTCCAACTTGCCACTTACCACTCTCATTATCTTACACCTTCCCTCTACTATCTATTGCTCTCATCTTGTGCCTTTAGCTTCTTTTTCTTCCTTCTTATCTCTTCTAACTGTGTTCCTGCTTCCTTTCCCAAACTGATAACTTCTGTCCCAAGTAGTTTCATTGTTGCACCAACATTGGCCAACAAAAGTGCATCTCGTCTTCTAATTATTTAAATGGCCAATTGCATTGTTTCCTAGGATCTTGGGTATATTATGTTGATATTCAGAGATGCTCTCATTACTATTTATTTGAAATGAAAGAATTGGATTTAGAAGCCCTCTGGAGAGTTAAGAGTGCATGAAACAAGGATATTATAATGAATTTGAGATATGAGTCCCATGTGTACGCACCTTGCATTTTGATATAACCCATTGGATCAGTCAGTTAGATGCTAATATGATAACGCATTTACTGAAAGATGCCTTTAAAATATCACAATATATGAATAAAGGAGAACTACTAATCCACCCTTATATGTTCTCTTTGCCAATATTTGAGGAAAATTTCAGACATGGATGATAGGCAGAGAAGAAAAACATTCCAAGCACTGGTCAGTGCTCAATGACACCAATCTATTAAGGTTTGATGAAGACCTTAATTGTGCTTGTTAAGCCCAGTGGGATCCATCAGCTAGCCATGCATTTGACTGAAAGCCTTGAAATGAAGTCTTTTATGCAAAGTGGAATGTTCTTTAGCGACTGCCTTCATAGGAAACTTCAAAACCACAGGATATTCTGATTCTTCTTAAATCTCAATTGAAGCATCTACCATGCTTATTTGATTATTATTTCTGCTGTCATTCTGAGACATTGTGGCCACTGTAAGGACAAGGCCATTCTGAATGTTCAGTCAATCCTATGACTATCAATTTTTGGTCATAATAAAAACATTTAAAATGAAAACAATAGTTAACAGAGCACAGAATCTGATCATGCCAAAAAGAAGGCATGCTTAGTTCTTGTACATAAATTGTCCATTTCTCCCTGACATTTCCCGGTAACTGGTTAAGAGAAGGCAGAATCAAAGAACAGGCAGACTCAAAGCTCAAAGCTTACCTGGCCACAGGTGACCATATTTACAAAAACCTAACTGTGATACAACTTGCCGGGGAAAAGTTTTGTTTTCTGATCCCATCCTAGAGGCACAAGTTCCCTGAGCATAAAACTTTGACTCCAACTTGAGGAAGCAGAACTAATATGATCATCATCATGATCAACATTACACATATTGTCTAGACCTGAGCCATCCAACATGGTAGCCACCAGGCACATGTGGCTCTCATACTTAAATTAACTAAAGTCATACAAAAGTAAAAATTAATTTCCTTCATAGCATTAATCATGTTTCAAGTGTTCAGTGGCCACATGTGGCTGGTGGCTATTCTGTTGGACAGTACAGAACATAGAAGACGTCCATCATTGCAACAGTGTTGGTCTAGATGTCTCCTAAGGCAGGCATTTCCCACATGTTATATCACTTAATTTTCTCAAGAAACTGGTGAGGAAGAGTTTATTGGCTCTATTTTTTATATGCAGAAACTGATGTTCAGAGATGTTCTCAGCTATCTGTTCTTAAATGCACATCCATTCATCTTTGAGGAGTCTGCACTGACAGTGTATCTCCATGCCAAGACAACTTTTCCCCTCACACCATAGGCTGGGAAAGAAATGAAAGTCTGAAACCCTCCCCTGCTAGGACAGCCAAAGGTAATGGCTTAAGTCCATTTTCAACTTCAATGTTGTTGAAGAAAAAGGAAAGGAGGCATTATTATTTTTCTAATTAAATAAGCCATTCTTTCTAAACATTCCCTCCAGAACTGTTCTATTTTGTTTTGCTTTTTAATATGTGAGGTTGATCTGCTCAAGCCCCAAGCATGCTTTTCCATCTGCTTCTTTTTCCCATTTTTATATTTCCTTTAAGTACAAGTGCTAAATTTGTGCCATATTTTTATTAGTTTTACACCGATGTTGTTGACATTTTTCAGAACTATTTGATGCCTGAGAAACTTGTGAACCTTTTATTTGCTCTTTTGAAACGTAGGGAAAAGAAACTAACACGGTGAAGGAAGGATTATGTTGTTTGTATCTAGAAAAACTACCTTGTACCCAGTATATTTCCAATGGGTCTGACGATCCCTATCTTTTAATTAGTCATTCATTAAGCTCCTATTTGTCCATGTAGGGAAATATTTTCTATTATATTCTCCCTGACAGAGTTCCCACTCCTCAGAATTTGTTGGGAAAAGAAATTCAAGGCAAAGAGATGATTAAACTCATCCTTAAAGTCAAATCTGCTGGCTCCCTCCTCTCCTGCCTGACCCAGCTCCATCCCCATCACAGATTCTCCCAGGCATCTGATGTGGGCAGCAGAGGGGGAATCACATGAGCTACAGCTGAGTTCACAGGAATGATTTGTGAGCCTCAGTATTTGCACATGTGTGGTCATGGGGGACCTCTCTGGCCGGGCCAGCCATTTTCCCCCCACATCTGTTGGTTAATCGGAAATCCAAATGTGCAAGACAGCACTGGGGAACAGAGGCGGGATTTGTAACCCACTCTCACGCTGAAAACAAAGAGTATGTGACTCTGATTTTTAGCTCTTTCTAGATAAATTTGCACAAATGAAATTTATCATTGAGCTTTTGAATAAAAACCATGGCACTGAGCATCATGGAGAGAATGACTGGAGACTTGGGCAGGGGCTGCTCAGTACCATCTGAAACCATTGCCAACAGTGATCTGTTTCCCCTCTCCATCCACTTCCCATTTCTCCTTTGTGTTTCTGTCCATTCCTTGCTTTGCTCTACCTCCTCTTCTCTTATTCTTTCTTCCCTACTTTTGCTTTCCCTTGTCTCTGATTCCCAGAAGAATCCTGGGAATCAAATTTTAGGTGAGCAGACACCTCTGAGGAATCTAGTGAGGATCCTGCATGGATGTTTACCTAACATCCAAGCTCCATTCTTTGGGTATAGCAATGTCCTTCCCCTTAGACCTTCTTAAAAGGCAGAAACTCTCTCCTCTAAATAAGGTTACATTAGGTTAATGATAGTTTCTGCAATTTTACTATAAAATATTTCTCTAGGGAGGTAGACTGTCTGAGACAAGTAAGGGACAAGAAATGGTAAGAAGGCAGAATGCTGAAAATAAACGTAGTCCACCTCCAATTTTGGCCTGGGACTTGCTGAGGGCAGTGAGAAGCCATACTTCCATGTGATGCTGCTCCCTACAACAAAGAATTTCATCACCCCTACTCTTGCCAGGATTCTTAATGTCTCAAGGAACATGTGGGGTCCTAACAAAGGAGGGATATTAAATACGGCTTAGAGAGTCCTGGCATCTTGTTAGGGAGGGCTGCTGTAGGGAGTAATCCAGATGCACATGAGCTGTTGCTCTTCTAGTGAGGGAAAAAGAAGAACAAATAAAAGCATTTGGCAATGATCTCAAATGGCGCTCTGTTGCAGGCTGGGCCAGTGATCAGCCAATCTTCACCTGAATATCCACATCTGTTCTGTGAGCTCCTGCCCTGGTGATACTCATTGCTAAGAATTTTAAACATCATCCCTTGTTCAGGGATATGTAAAAATATCATTCTGTGGAAAAAAATCCAAGACACTGGCTACACCAAATGCTGGCAAGATGAAGAGGAACAAGAACCCTCATCTATTGCTTATAGAAATGTAAAATAATACCATCACTTTGCAAGAGAGTTTGGCAGTTTCTTACAAAGGTAAACATAGTCTTACCATACAATCTAGCAGTGGTGCTCCTGGTATTTACCCAGAGGAGTTGAAAACTTAAGTCCACACAAAAACCTGCACATTAATGTTTACAGGAGCTTTACTCATAATTGCCAGAACTTGGAGGCAACCAAGATGGCTTTCAATAGGTGAATGAATAGACAAACTATGGCACACACAAGCAATGAAATATTCAGCCACAAAAAGAAGTGAGCTATTGGGAACAAAAAATAACCTTAAATGTATATTGCTAAGTGAAGGAAGCAAATTTAGGAAGGCTACATACCGTACTATTCTAACTACATGACATTCTGGAAAAGGCAAAACTATGGAAACAATAAAAAGATCAGTGGTTGTCAAGGGTCCATGGAAAGGAAGAGGGATAAATAGATGGAACAGAGGGTATTTTGGGGCAGTGAAACCATTCTATGTGATACTGTAATGGTGGGCACAAGTCATTTTACATATGTCAAAATCCACAGAACATACAAAACTAAGAGTGAATCCTAATGTAAGCTATGGACTTCAATTGATAATAATATATCAATAAATATTGCATCTTCAATTATTGCAAATTGTATTAGTCTGTAACAGATAACACAAAACGGCAGCTAGCATCAACTTAAAGAGAAGAGACTGGCTCATGGGAATAGAGGGTTTGGGGCTAATTAGAATGTTATCAAGACCCGCTTTTTTCCCATCCAGTTGGCCATCCAGCATCCATCCAACCTAGGGTGTTCTTTTGGTCCAGTCATCTGGACTTCATGCTTTCTTTCTGTGATGGTTGATTGGATTGAAGAATGCAAAGTATTGTTCCTGTGTGAGTCTGTGAGGGTGTTGCCAAAGGAGATTAACATTTGAGTCAGTACAAGGAGAGGCAAACCCACCCTCAATTTGCATGGGCACCATGTAATCGGCTGCCAGTGTGGCTAGAATAAAAGCAGGCAAAGGAACATGGAAAGACTAGACTGGCTAAGTCTTTTGGCCTCCAACTTTCTCCCGTGTTGGATACTTCCTGCCCTCAAACATCAGACTCCAAGTTCTTCAGCTTTTGAACACTTAGACCTACACCAGTGGTTTGCCAGGGGCTCTCAGGCCTTCAGCCACTGACTGAAGGCTGCACCTTCAGCTTCCCTACTTTTGAGGTTTTCGGACTCAGGCTGGCTTCCTTGCCCCTCAGCTTGCAGACAGCCTATTGTGGAGTTTCACCTTGTGATTGTGAGTCAATACTCCTTAATAAACTTCCTTTCATATATGCTTCTATCCTATTATTCCTGTCTCTCTAGAGAACCCCAACTAACACACTTTCTTAATCTAGTACAATTGCTTCTGAAAGCTGTCTAGAAAGAGCAAAGAGAGACCTTTCCCAATATTCACAGCAAAGCTTACTTTGAAGTTCATGGACCTAGACCCCATCAAGTGCCTCCTCCTGGCCCATTTAGGGGTAAGGCATATGGGATTACCCTTAGGCCAGTCAAGTTTGCCACAACCTACAGGTGAGGCCAGCCACAATCAGGGTGGTGTGTCCAGTGCACAGCTGAGTAAATTGGAGTCTCTCAGGAAGGAGGCAGGGGGCAGGAGGCAGGCTGCTAAGTAGGCATCCAACAACATTTACTATAGTGGCTCCATTCCACCCACTTCCAGTGGCTGGGGAGAATGTTACCCTCTTAGGATCGCAGCACCTGCCGGACAAATGATACCCAGTGTGGTCCTCCACAGGCTGTTACCTGTCTGCGAAGAGATAACTATAGAGATGAGAAAGAACCAAATAGTCACTCTGACAGAATAATTTTATGCTTGTGGAATCTAATAACAATGAAATGTGTGTTTATATTTTGCATGTCTTTATTTTCACTTTTATAGTCACTTGGCTATATTGTACTTCACAAAACTTTTAGGCCATGATGAATTTTTTAAAATTTAAAAGCTGGTCCTCCACCATGGAGTATTTGGAAAATGCTGTACTAGAGGTGAGCCCCAGGTCAGGAGCCACACCTGATCCCTGGGTGTCTCAGCAGCAAGGACAGTGCCTGGCATGCAATTGACTTTCACTATTTGTTGTCGGAATAAATGAACAAGGGACAAAGCTGGGGTCGATGTCCAGGTTTTCAAATC
Source organism: Homo sapiens (assembly GCF_000001405.40). Lineage (NCBI taxonomy): Eukaryota > Metazoa > Chordata > Mammalia > Primates > Hominidae > Homo > Homo sapiens. Next base: position 21,870,940 of record NC_000020.11, on the reverse strand, counting down.
CTAAGTCCAATGCTGCCCCACTGTGCCACACATCTGCTGAGAAGATAACGATGTCCCCTGACCCTGGGAATCCTTTTCACCATTAACATGGCAAATGGTCTAAACTGGAGACAAAGTCAAGAATGTCTATAAAAAGATTCAAATCCCTCCTATGTAGGAAATTGTGAACAGAAAGGAATTGATGACAACATGGGATGCACACCTCTGAAAAAGCCCCCTCCTCCAAGGAGGAGCAGCCTCCCCTGCCCCTGACTGCAAAGCAACTGCTGGGTTGGTGGGCTATCAGGGTGGGTGTCCTGTTCTCTTATCACTGGCTCCAGAATTCGGAGAGAGCCAGGCAGGCTTCCTTAAAAGTCACATTTGCATTTGAGAAATGTGTATGGTGTGGGAAGGGAGAAATATATTCACTGTTCCACTGAGAATTATGAAAATGCCCTTTATTTGAGTTTGAGACAAGACTATCGCCAGCCCTCTTAACTCTTGAGAAGGACTTGAGAACCAATGCCTGTTCATTAATATCATGCACCCTGCTATTTTAATTAAAACACCAACATGGTGTTGGAAAATCCAATGATAGATTGCCCTTTTGCTTATAAAGTAATATTTTAAAATAAATCTCTCAGTGAAAAAAGTATCTTGGCATGCCCAAAGTTGTCCCTTACCCCCATCCTGCCGGTGGAGGAACATGTCACCATTTTTCTAGGTTTTCTTTCTTTTTAAATGGAAACAGTAATGCCTCTGCCTGCTTGTGAAACCTTGTTAATTAGAAACAAAAACTTTTCTCTCTCATCTTTTAAAAGCCATAGAAAGCCTAAATGAATTGGTGAAAAGGATTGCAGTAGGGAAAAAAAAAGGAATTTCAACATACTCTTCACCAAAGCCTCTTTAGACAATCCATGTCCTTTAATCTGTTTGCCTTTAAGTAGTCAAGGAAAAACAATGCATTTACATGAGTAAACAGCTACTTTTATTTCAAATAGGGATTTAATCTGTTTACTTAAAGGATTTAAAGCAAATAATTTAAAAAGCCTTCCAAGATGCCAGCTAACATAGTGCGACCCTCATCTCTAGAAAAAAACACAGAAATTAGCTGGGCTTGGGGGCACACACTCATAGAGCCCAGGAGGTGGAGGCTGTAGGGAGCCATGATCACACCACTGCACTCCAACCTGGGCAACAGAGTGAGACCCTGTCTCTAAAAAAAGAAAACAAACAAACAAAAAACCCATAACAAATATGTAAGAGTCTATTTTGGTTTAATTTGTTGCAGTCTATAGATATTCCATCTAACTCTGTATCTAATTATACGAAACGAAATAATATTTTACATATCTATATTTGATTACAGAATATTCCTAGTGGCTCACATCCTCTATCATTGGACACTCATTCATTCCATTCATGTGTGACCTCTGCTTTCAGACAGGTAAATTCTTCTGGCCCTTTCAGAAGCTGGAGAAGTTTCTGTAAAGATCCTAAGGAAAGTGGAAATCAACAGCAAAGCCATCTTTCAGGAAAAGATCTGGGCTATAAAATGGTCTAGAGACACAAGTAAACTCCAGTATGTTCCCAAGATTAATTTATGTTCAACTGTGGTTCATAAAACAGTCAGGAAATCTCAAGTGACCAGAAATTTGTGAATTCCAGTTACTTCCTGATTTCAACAGATGTAAAGACTGAAATGAGTATTAGATTAGTTTTTCCCCACACTCAAATTAACAATCTTAATGTTCAAGGCAGTTTTTAATTTACATATGGTAATGAATATCAAAGTGCCAGTGTTGCAAGCCCATGCAACATGTTAATCTCTGATGGCGCTTTGTAAAAGTAGCCTTATACATTCTATATTCCTGGATTGTGATGCATTCTTTGGAAATATTCAGAGAATTGCTGCAGCATTTCCTTGAACATTAATGACTAAATCCAAATACTCATTTCCATTCAAATTTGGCAACTGTTGTTTAGGAATAAATGAGTCTTACCCAATTACTTCATTGAAGTGGCAGCCAAGTGACAAGACGGTTTTCCCCTTTGGCCTCCTAGAGCAAAGCTTTTGGTTATTGTAGCATTGTATTCTCTTTAGTGATACCTGTATGCTGTTGTTCAGCATTGATTAGCATGGTGTTGAAGGGTATTAATATGCTCAGTAGTATTAGTTACCTAAAGTGACAAAGTCCTTCACATCAATGAAAAAGACCTTCCTAGTAATCTGTAAAGAGAAACTGAAATTTTAGAGCAGGGAGTTATCTGGAAAATTACCTTTTATGGTATGAATATTCTAACTACCCAAGCCTACAAAATGTATTTTGTTGAAAACTCTTAGAGTTGCCTTATTATAACAAGATACAAACTATTTTCAAAAAAAAAAAGTACTTTGGGAGGCAGAGAACTGAGACTGATACAGAGAGGCCAAAACAGAGAGCAAGGGTAGCTGTTGGAGATGGTGATCATTTCCCAGTACCTAGAACTAGTTCACATCTGACTCTGCTATTATCATTTTCCCTGAGCTGTCACAATGGTGCCTTCAATAAAATCTATTTGATATATGAGCATGCTTGAGTAGTGTTCTGTTCCTTAAAACCAGAGACAAGAACACTGCCTAATAGCAAATGTTTATCTCAGGGCCAGACATATGGTAGGATCTGAGCAAATATTTCTGGACTAGATGGATCACATAAACACATTTGATGTCCATACTTATCGACCAGTCTGCTGTCTTCTTCAGGCTTACTAGAAACAAGGGTAATGCCTTGGCTATTTTCAGTCTTTCCTACAGTCACATTTTTGAGTACTGAAACAATAGAAAAAAATGTGATAACGCTAAAGGAAGAAGCATTCATCGTAATTCATAACAAATGCATTTGGTAAAAGACAAATCTGCTCACCATGTATATTTAGTGCTCCCTCATCCCAGTGAAATGTTCTTTTGAATCAACCTGCCAAATATTTGACTCTCTAGTAGTATGTATAAAAATCCATTGGCGACACCTTCAAAGCTAAGGAACTACTGCTCGTCTACAAGAAAATCCATTCATGTGTGACCTCTGCTTTCAGACAGGTAAATTCTTCTGGCCCTTTCAGAAGCTGGAGAAGTTTCTGTAAAGATCCTAAGGAAAGTGGAAATCAACAGCAAAGCCATCTTTCAGGAAAAGATCTGGGCTATAAAATGGTCTAGAGACACAAGTAAACTCCAGTATGTTCCCAAGATTAATTTATGTTCAACTGTGGTTCATAAAACAGTCAGGAAATCTCAAGTGACCAGAAATTTGTGAATTCCAGTTACTTCCTGATTTCAACAGATGTAAAGACTCTATTCTCACAGCTGAGCCTTGGGATCTCTTCTTTTCAGGACAATGCTGCCTCTCTCACGCTAAAAACTGTCATAAAGAGGAGGAGCTCAGCTCCTTCTGGACTAGCTGCTTGACTCACCATTGATTTCAAAAGGAATCTCAACCTTGAAAGCCTTTTTATCTAATTTCAGTGGTGAGGATGACAATAGCAATAATGATGAAATGGTACATACAGTACTTACTGCATGCCAGACACTGACTGCCTCCATGTAATCATCACAAAATCTGTATTAAAAAACATATGAAGCTTCCCTATTTTATGGAACAATAAAAGGATAACTTCTTACTCTAGGAACAGAAAGAGAAGGCTGGACTTGTGTAAATATCCCAGCTTAATTTATAAATGGTACAGATACCTGGAGATAACTGGCAGCTGACAATAACACTTCTGATGCTAGCTACCTTGTTTCCCCCACTTTTTTGATGTCAGTTCACTCAATTTGACAATGTCAGTTGAGGATTTACCACATAAAGCATTGCTCTGTGCACAGATAAGTCAGAGAGGCAGTTTGAGGAGCTGGACTCTGTTCTATCGACATGTGTTCCCAAGGTCCTCTCATTTGGGCTGAACTTTTCATAGAATCAGATATGGAGCCTACTGGAAAAAGAAAAGTCTCATAGGGAGAGTTCAGATCAGTCTTGGTGGAATAGCTCCAATGGCCAACAGTGGCCTATCCAGTGATGAATCCTTGAAGGAGGTGATCCAACAGCCAGCAGGAACAAACCACAGCTTGGTCAGGAATGAACTGCAGGCCACTCAAGCTGAACAACATCTCAGCATCTGGCTCCATTCATGGGCTATCACCTGCTTATCCTAGAGATGATTTAACATTTAGGGAACCAAACCAAATGTGAGGAAGGAGCAACTATCAATTGCATGAGAAGGCGGCCTGAAGGGCCTGCCGTCACTTGCTCATTGAGTTATTTGCCTCATCCATCTTGCCTGCCCTTGACCTTGTCTTTGAGCCCCTACTCACATTGGGCCTTATAAACTTTCTAAGAAAAACTCTGGGGTCTGGTGGAAAACAGAAGACATAGGAAAAGTGGAGGCAAGTGGCCATGATGTGAAACCTCAAATATAGCAAGAGCCCCATTGACAGCACTGGAACTGAATTTCCTCCTCCTGGCTGCCAGCCTGGGGTACTGGGTTCAGAGCAAGGCAGATGGCACTGAACCTCCAAGCTGTGAAAGTTTAAAAGGGCTCCATGTCTGGAGTTGTTTTCTACACTAATAAATTCTGTGTCTTGGAGGACTAACACATGGAGCTCTCTCTCTCCCACCCTGACACACTATACCACACCACAGGTTCCTCTCCTGTTGGCATCACCTCCACCTATAACGTTTCCCTGCCTAAAACAGTTGGTTTCTTACATCCCAGCCAAGGCAGTTTTTGACCATTTAGTGATCCCCCTTTGCCACATTTCCCCCTTCTCCCTTGCATGTGCTACCTGCAGAGCATCAAAGGGGATCATGAGTGGGGCTGAGTGCAGGGCAGGAGGACCTCAGCTTCCAAGAGCCTCCGACTTCAGGGTTGATGAGTCAGTTGCTGGGAGACCTCAGCACCCAGTGCTGTGAGCCAGAAGCTCAGGCCTCCCTTTGTCAGCCCTTTTACAACCCCTTCTAGGCTAGACCTCGAGGCTGCCACAAAGGCTCCCAGCCAGGTGTGTGTCCTTCTCCCTTGGAGCTGCAGCAAAACTCTTCCAGTGCTTCCAGTTTCTTCCTCAACCTCAGTGCTATGGACTGAATTGTGTCCTCACCAAATTCATGTTGAATTCCTCACCCCCGGTACCTCAAAATATAACTATATTTTTTGTATTTTTAGCCAGATGCAGTGGCAGGCACCTGTAATCCCAGCTACTTGGGAGGCTGAGGCAGGAGAATGGCATGAACCTGGGAGGCAGAACTTGCAATGAGCCGAGATAGCGCCTCTGCAGTCTGGCCTGGGTGAAAGAGCGAGACTCCGTCTCTAAAAATATACATATATATATATAAAAAACTATATTTGGAGATAGGCTATATAAAAAAGTAATTAAGCTAAAACAAGGTCATATGGATGGGCCATCATCCAACATGACTGTTGTCCTTGTAAGAAAAGAAGACTAGGACACACGCTCACACACACAAAGACCATGTGAAGACACAAGGAGAAGACAAGCCATGGAGCAAGGCCTCACAGGAAAGCATCCCTGCCAACACCCTAGTCTTAGACTTCTGGTCTCCAGAACTGTGAGAATTTACATGTCTGTTGCTTAAGCCTCCCATTCTGTAGTACTTTGTGCAGCCCTAGCAGACTACCACATTCATAAGTCCAACATTGAAGCAATGAGGAGAAAATAGGGTCTTCCATGTAACTGGTCTTCAGTGCCCTTTCCCAGCTGAAAACATAGTTAAAAACAGAGGCTTTCAGAGGCAAGTTCTTGGTTTTGCACTTTCAGGCCAGAAACCCACTGGGAGTGCCCGGCTCTGACTCCTCTTTTGCTGCTGAATTGTTCACTCTGGATCAGGTGGGATACCCCCACTCCCCCCAGCCTCTGCAATAGAAACCATCTCCCTCAGAGACAGCGGCAGGACCAGAATCTGACCCTGCTGTACCCATGAGTGCCAAATGGATGAGAACATGCAGCCTTTCATTGGGAATATTCCACAATCGTAAAAGGAAATTTGAAGAATAAGCAAAATTATTTACATGCCTGTCCTGCAAAAATGCATCTTAACCCTACCTCCTACTGGCCTCCTCCTCATCCCCTCCCTCCTCTGCCATGTCCAGAAATAAACCTGGAACTCTCTTGAATTCATTTGTGCTCTTCGCCTCAATCACTTTTCTCAGTAACTCATTCCACATGTACGTTACCCTCTGCAAGGAAGAGTCCTGTCTGAGTTCTCTGTTCACTCTGAGTTTCCTAATTTTATGAACAATTTCCTAACAATAAGGCCAGTTAGACCACAGGATCCTCATCCAAGGAGAGTGGCGGAGTCCTCGTCAGGGGTCCAGCTCAGCTTCGCCTAGACAAAGCACTGGGGAACTCTGTATGGAAGAAGAGATGCAGACAGCCCAAGCAGGCGGCATGATCTAATTCTGTACATATTTTTTCATCATTGAGTTCTAGGATGCTGAGGGGATTCAGTGACAATAAAATTACTGCTTTGCCATCTTCAACAAAAGTGAAATAAACTGCTTCTTTTTCCATTTTGAGAAGTTTACAAAGGGACAAGTCACAGCTGATTAATAGGACTTGTTTTAACAGTTATTCAGGGCCTTGCTTTCAATGTTTCATTATTGGAGCAATATCTGGCAAGTGCTTACTTCATGCTTCAAACTGATGGATTTCAGGAAAAGCCAACGTAAAGAATAAAACCAATACAATTTTAATGGATCAAATGCCCACTTACTAAAAACCACAGTTCTCAGATCCACATTTTTATTAAAGCAGACTTTCATTTAGTGCCTCAGATTTTACTAAACCCAGCATTTTTCTAAACCAAAGAAATCTTATGACCAGCAATAAATTTTCTCCAAGAGATCATTTTCCAATCAGTTCCATTACAGCAAACCTATGCCATTACACTTACCTCCAAAATATACAATTGCATGAATTAGTGTATACCAATGAATTTTTAATTTTTTGCCTGTTAGTTCAAACCACATGAAATATCTCTGCAACCGGATATTTTTATTGAGACCAAAGCATATGCATTCCAAACAATGCATTTCTACTAAGATTCTTCTGAAGCTTAATGAAAAAAGTTTGTATTATCTGTTATCAATATGTTATTATTCAAACCATTCTTTTACTTGATTCTGCTCACTCTAATCCATTTGTGCACAGTTTGGGCCAACTTCTATAATATCCTAGCATATCTTTCCCATGGAGATCTCAGAAGACAGCAAACAATATTATTATTGATATTGCATTATTTTATAGATTGTAAAATGTGTGAATCACAGAATTTTGGAGCTGGAGAAAACTTATGAAGAACTTTACTTTCAGTGACCACAAACTTAGAGTTTTCTCTTAATTTTATTTTTATGTATTTCTTACATGGCCCCTGGTCCTAACAACTCAGGGTAAAAAGCAATTTGATTATAGCAAGAGGGGATACTAGCATAGGAAGGGGTAAATTAGAGATAACCAGATTATTCCCTGGGCCAGCTTGACTTGACAAAGCATTTAGAATTATCTCTCACCTTTTCCCCAGAACTGCAACTCTTTAAAGCTGTTCGTTGGAAGTAGCCCTTCCTAGTTGCATTTTTCTTCCACCTCCTGGCCAAGACAGAATGCTCATTCCCAAATTCCCTGGACACAAATAAAGCCAAGTCTTTCCAGGCCGGCTTTTTCCAGGCTGGCTTCCCAGTTGTGGTCATTACCACCACACAGGCACACATGCATACACACACACACACACATGCACACACACACACAAGCACATACACACATGCACATGAACACGTACACACGCACACACAAGCACACACACATAATATGCGCGCACACACCCACACACATGTACAAATACACACATGCACAAACACATGCACACATACACATGCACACAGGCGCACACACCCACACACGCACCTACAAGCACATACACACATGCGCGCATGCACACACACGAGTGGGGTTCTTGTTACAGTGTGGATTGTTTCTCATTCTTACATAACCTATTCCAACAGCTTTCTTGAACTTCTTTCTTTGGCCTGCGACCGAGGGCAGTGCCTAGAAGTCTCTGTTTTGAGCTCCTAGCTCAATCCCCTCCCCCTCTGGGCTTGAGGCTGAGGTGTAGGTCTCTACATTCCCTGTGACAGCCATCCTGTAATCCCAGCTCCCCTGCCTTGGTTCCAGGTGGGAAGACAGCCCAGCTGAAAGCCTCTCGCTTTTCAACTAGATGCAGTTCCTTCCCAGCCTGCAACTGCAGCCAGGAGCTCCCCTCCCCCAACCTCAGTCACCAGTTCCGGTCCCAAACTGGAAGTGGAAAAGAACCATCTAGATCAAATGTTTTTGTTTTCTCGTCTCTCCAGCTTGTTTCTATATCTTCCTTTCTTTGAGATTTTTTACAACTGCTTGTCAAGATTCCTGAGACCTAATTGCAGGCACATTCTGACTCGGAATGAGCTCCTGGCTAGGAGCCTGTGTCACACGGAGCTGCAGAGCCCAGAGGCTCGTCCGGCCCACGGTCACTACTGGTTGGGTTGTCCAGGCCCAGACTCTGCCTAGGATTCTCCCCAGGTGGCAGCTCTTAGTTGTCACCCCCACCTGTCCATCCCTTCAGTATTCAAACCACCACCACCCACACTTACACCTGACTGGGAAACTCTCTGCATGGCCCCAAAGTATCTGGACTGGTATTTTTCAATTTGCTGCATTCAGATACCACATTTTCGTACATTATATCTCTTCCTTAGAGTCCAAAAGCATGTGGTACTAGAATATTCACTTCAAATTACACTGATAGGGATTTTGAAGGGAAGAATGTTTTCACAGTGTGGCAGGCATGAGTCTCCATCCATAAACTCATATGTGCTAGAAATATCTTTCTTTTTAAAAAAAATTATTTCCATAGATTATTGGGGAACGGGTGGTGTTTGGTTACAGGAGTAAGTTCTTTAGTGGTGATTTGCGAGATTTTGGTGCTCCCATGACCTGAGCAGTATACACTGCACCCAATTTGTAATATTTTATCCCTCACCCCCTTCTCATACTTTCCCCCGAGTCCCCAAAGTCCATTGTGTCATTCTTATTCCTTTTCATCCCCACAGCTTAGCTACCACTTACGAGTGAGAACATACGATATTTGGTTTTCCATTTCTGAGTTACTTCACTTAGAATAATAGTCTCTAATCTCATCCAGGTTGCTGCAAATGCCATTAATTCATTCCTTTTGATGGCTGAGTAGTATTCCATCATATATATATACCACAGTTTCTTTATCCACTCATTGATTGATGGGTATTTGGGTTGGTTCCACATTTTTGCAATTGTGAATTGTGCTGCTATAAACATGTGTGCAAGTATCTTTTTTGTATAATGACTTCTTTTCCTCTGGGTAGATCCCCAGTAGGGGATTGCTGGATCAAATGGTAGTTCTACTTTTAGTTCTTTAAGGAATCTCCACACTGTTTTCCATAGCAGTTGTACTAGTTTACATTCCCACCAACAGTGTAGAAGTGTTCCCTGTTCACTGCATCAACGCCAACATCTACTGTTTTTTGATTTTTTGATTATGGCCATTCTTGCAGGAGTAACGTGGTATCACGTTGTGGTTTTGATTTGCATTTCCCTGATCATTAGTGATGTTGAGCATTTTTTAATGTTTGTTGGCCATTTGTGTATCTTCTTTTGAGAACTGTCTATGTCCTTAGCCCACTTTTTGATGGGATTGTTTGTTTTTTCCTTGCTAATTTGTTTGAGTTTATTGTAGATTCTGGATATTAGTCATTTGTTAGACGTATACACTGCGAAGATTTTCTCCCACTCTGTGGGCTCTCTGTTTACTCTGCTGACTGTCCTTTTGCCATTCAAAACCTCTTTGGTTTAATTAAGTCCCAGCTATTTACTTTTGTTTTTATTGCATTTGCTTTTGGGTTGTTGGTCATGAATTTCTTGCGTAAGCCAATGTCTAAAAGGGTTTTTCCAATGTGAAATATCTCTATTTCTTTCTAATCAAACTTATTACTGACTATGAGTTCCCCATCCCATCTAACTGATGATGCATTTAATCTCAGCTGTTCTTGTGGTTTCCCTGTCAACCCCCAGGCCCAGGTCAACACCAAGGCTTTGGGAAGAGCTGGAGACCAGATGGGAGGTCCTATCTTTGGTCATCTCCCCACACAGGGTATAGCTAAGAACATCTTCCCTGTGCTCATGGTTCCTGAAGGTATGAGGACTCGCAGATACCACTTTGGGAACAATGAAATTAGTGTCTGGGTCCCTGCCTTTGTTGACAGCTCACTCTGCTTCCCTGCCAAAGGTCTCCCAAGAAAATGGCAGAACCACCTTCTTAGAGACTCACAGGCCTCCTCCTGTTCCCACTCCTAACTCAAAATCTCTTTTTAGTCAGACAGAAAACCATTTCTCCAGCCAAGCCTGCCCTCTTCAGTGGGTTGAGGCTTTTGGAAATAAATGCCAGGAAGCCATGAAGGTCCCTATGCTCTCTGCCCTGCCCAGCCCCGCTCCACCCCGAACCTGAGGCTAGGAAACCCAAACCTCTGCGAGTTTCAAAGGTAGCGAAAAAAAAGGGGAAACATAATTGTGAACTTATATCTCAAATTATTATCCAACCTCTTTAGCAATGCTGCATTTAACAATGTTTTATTGATGTACACATATAGCTTTTACAATAAATCCTTGCAAGAAAACAAAATAAACGTACTTCATCCTTAAAAATGCCAAACTGGGCATCTTTACAGGAATGCAGCATGGAACTAAGTATACTCTGTATCTGTTACTTATCTAGCTGGAAATAAGGAAAGGACATGTGGCTAAATAAATAACGTCGTGCAGACCAACAGTGATGAAATAGATTTCATTCTGTCTTTCAATTGGCATATTTTTTTTGAAAGGATGACATGAAGAAAGGACCCTCCACAGTGTTCCAAAGGGACTCAATCTTCAGGAAAGTCAAAGATTGCTAAAAATCTGCTGTGGGTCAGTTGTTTTTTTGTTTGTTTGTTTGTTTGTTTTATTATTATACTTTAAGTTCTAGGGTACATGTGCACAACGTGCAGGTTTGTTACATATGTATACATGTGCCATGTTGGTTTGCGAAACCCATTAACTCGTCGTTTACATTAGGTATTTCTCCTAATGCTATCCCTCCCCCATCGCCCCACCCCACGACAGGCCCTGGTGTGTGACATTCCCCACCCTGTGTCCAAGTGTTCTCATTGTTCAGTTCCCACCAATGAGTGAGAACATGCGGTGTTTGGTTTTCTGTCCTTGCGATAGTTTGCTCAGAATGATGGATTCCAGCTTCATCCATGTCCCTACAAAGGACATGAATGCATCCTTTTTATGGCTGCATACTATTCCATGGTGTATATGTGCCACATTTTCTTAATCCAGTCTATCATTGTTGGACATTTGGGTTGGTTCCAAGTCTTTGCTCTTGTGAATAGTGCCGCAATAAACACACGTGTGCATGTGTATTTATAGTAGCATGATTTATAATCCTTTGGGCATATACCCAGTAATGGGATCACTAGGTTAAATGGTATTTCTAGTTCTAGATCCTTGAGGAATTGCCACACTGTCTTCCACAATGGTTGAACTAGTTTACAGTCCCACCAACAGTGTAAAAGCATTCCTATTTCTCCACATCCTCTCCAGGACCTATTGTTTCCTGACTTTTTAATGATCGCCATTCTAACTGGTGTGAGATGGTGTCTCATCGTGGTTTTGATTTGCATTTCTCTCATGACCAGTGATGATGAGCATTTTTTCATGTGTCTGTTGGCTGCATAAATGTCTTCTTTTGAGAGGTGTCTGTTCATATCCTTTGCCCACTTTTTAATGGGATTGTTTGATTTTTTCTTGTAAATTTGTTTAAGTTCTTTGTAGATTCTGGATGTTAGCCCTTTGTCAGATGGATAGATTGCAAAAATTTTCTCCCATTCTGTAGGTTGCCTGTTCACTCTGATCATAGTTTCCTTTGCTGTACAGAAGCTCTTTAGTTTAATTAGATTCCATTTTTCTATTTTAGCTTTTGTTGCCATTGCTTTTGGTGTTTTAGTCATGAAGTCCTTGCCCATGCCTATGTCCTGAGTGGTATTGCCTAGGTTTTCTTCTAGGGTTTTATGGTTTTAGGTCTAACATTTAAGTCTTTAATCCATCTTGAATTAATTTTTATATAAGGTATAAAGAAGGGATCCAGTTTCAGCTTTCTACATATGGCTAGCCAGTTTTCCCAGCACCACTTATTAAATAGAGAATCCTTTCCCCATTTCTTGTTTTTGTCAGGTTTGTCAAAAATCAGATGGTTGTAGATGTGTGGTGTTATTTCTGAGGCCTCTGTTCTGTTCCATTGGTCTATATCTCTGTTTTGGTACCAGTACCATGCTGTTTGGGTTACTGTAGACTTGTGGTATAGTTTGAGTCAGGTAGTGTGATGCCTCCAGATTTGTTCTTTTTCCTTAGGATTGTCTTGGCAATGTGGGCTCTTTTTTGGTTCCATATGAACTTTAAAGTAGCTTTCTCCAATTCTGTGAAAAAAGTCATTAGTAGCTTGATGGGGATGGCATTGAATCTATAAATTACCTTGGGCAGTATGGCCATGTTCATGATATTGATTCTTCCTATACATGAGCATGGAATGTTCTTCCATTTGTTGGTGTCATCTATTATTTCGTTGAGCAGTGGTTTGCAGTTCTCCGAGAAGAGGTCCTTCACATCCCTTGTAAGTTGGATTCCTAGGTATTTTAATCTCTTTGTAGCAATTGTGAATGGGATTTCACTCATGATTTGGCTCTCTGTTTGTCTGTTATTGGTGTATGGGAATGCCTGTGATTTTTGCATATTGATTTTGTATCCTGAGACTTTGCTGAAGTTGCTTATCAGCTTAAGGAGATTTTGGGCTGAGACAATGGGGTTTTCTAAATATACAATCATGTCATCTTCAAACAGGGATAATTTGACTTCCTCTTTTCCTAACTGAATACCTTTTGTTTCCTTCTCTTGCCTGATTGCCCTGGCCAGAACTCCCAACACTATGTTGAATAGGAGTGGTGACAGAGGGCATCTCTGTCTTGTGCCAGTTTTCAAAGGGAATGCTTCCAGTTTTTGCCCAGTCAGTATGATGTTGCTTATGGGTTTGTCATAAATAGCTCTTATTAGTTTGAGATACGTTCCATTAATACCTAGTTTGTTGAGAGTTTTTAGCATGAAGTGCTGTTGAATTTTGTTGAAGGCCTTTTCTGCATCTATTGAGATAATCATATGGTTTTTTTCTTCGGTTCTGTTTATGTGGTGGATTACGTTTATTGATTTGCATATGGTGATGCCAGGGATGCAGCCTTGCATCCCATTGATGAAGCCAACTTGATCTTGGTGGATAAGCTTTTTGATGTGCTGCTGGATTCGGTTTGCCAGTATTTTATTGAGAATTTTTGCATCGATGTTCATCAGGGATATTGGTCTAAAATTCTCTCTTTTTGTTGTGTCTCTGCCAGGCTTTAGTATCAGGATGATGCTGGCCTCATTAAATAGTTAGGGAGAATTCCTTCTTTTTCTATTGATTGGAATAGTTTCAGAAGGAATGGTACCAGCTCCTCCTTGTACCTCTGGTAGAATTTGGCTGTGAATCCATCTGGTCCTGGACATTTTTTGGTTAGTAAGCTATTAATTATTGCCTCAATTTCAGAGCCTGTTATTGGTCTATTCAGGGATTCAACTTCTTCCTGGTTTAGTCTTGGGAGGGTGTATGTGTCCAGGAATTTATCCATTTATTCTAGATTTCCTAGTTTATTTGCACAGAGGTGTTTATAGTATTCTCTTATGGTAGTTTGTATTTCTGTGCGATTGGTGGTAATATCCCCTTTATCATTTTTTATTGTGTCTATTTGATCCTTCTGTCTTTTCTTCTTTATTAGTCTTGCTAGTGGTCTATCAATTTTGTTTTCAATCTTTTCAAAAAACCAGCTCCTGGATTCATTAATTTTTTGAAGGGTTTTTTGTGTCTTTATCTCCTTCAGTTCTGCTCAGATCTTAGTTATTTTTATTTTTTGCCTTCTGCTAGCTTTTGAATGTGTTTGCTCTTGCTTGTCTAGTTCTTTTTTTTTTTTTTTTTTTTTTTGAGACGGAGTCTCGCTCTGTCGCCCAGGCTGGAGTACAGTGGCACGATCTCAGCTTACTGCAAGCTCCGCCTCCTGGGTTCACGCCATTCTCCTGCCTCAGCCTCCCGAGTAGCTGGGACTACAGGCACCTGCCACCATGCCCAGCTAGTTTTTTGTATTTTTAGTAGAGACGGGGTTTCACCATGTTGGCCAGGATGGTCTCGATCTCCTGACCTCATGATCCACCCGCCTCAGCCTCCCAAAGTGCTGGGATTACAGGTGTGAACCACCGTGCCCAGCCTTCTCTTGTTCTTTTAATTGTGATGTTAAGGTGTCAATTTTAGCTCTTTCCTGCTTTCTCTTGTAGGCATTTAGTGCTATAAATTTCCCTCTACACACTGCTTTGAATGTGTCCCAGAGATTCTGGTACATTGTGTCTTTGTTCTTATTGGTTTCAAAGAACATCTTTATTTCTGCCCTCATTTCGTTATTTACCCAGTATTCATTCAGGAGCAGGTTGTTCAGTTTCCATGTAGTTGTGCAGTTTTGAGTGAGTTTCTTAACCCTGAGTTCTAATTTGATTGCACTGTTGTCTGAGAGACAGTGTGTTGTGATTTCTTATCTTTTACATTTGCTGAGGAGTGCTTTACTTCCAACTATGTGGTCAATTTTGGAGTAAGTGTGATGTGGTGCTGAGAAGAATGTATATTCTGTTGATTTGGCATGGAGAGTTCTGTAGATGTCTATTAGGTCTGCTTGGTGCATAGCTGAGTTCAAGTCCTGGGTATCCTTGTTAACCTTCTGTCTTGTTAATCCATCTAATATTGACAGTGAGGTGTTAAAGTCTCCCATTATTATTGTGTGGGAGTCTAAGTCTGTTTGTAGGTCTCTAAGGACTTGCTTTATGAATCTGGATGCTCCTGTATTGGGTGCACATATATTTAGGATAGTTAGCTCTTCTTGTTGAATTGATCCCTTTACCATTATGTAATGGCCTTGTCTCTTTTGATCTTTGTTGGCTTAAAGTCTGTTTTATCAGAAACTAGGGTTGCAACCCCTGCTTTTGTTTTTGTTTTTGTTTTTGCTTTCCATTTGCTTGGAAGATCTTCCTGCATCCTTTTATTTTGAGCCTATGTGTGTCTCTGCACAAGAGATGGGTCTCCTGAATACAGCACACTGATGGGTCTTGACTCTTTATCCAATTTGCCCGTCTGTGTCTTTTAATTGGGGCATTTTAGCCCATTTACATTTAAGGTTAATATTGTTATGTGTGAATTTGATACTGTCATTATGATGTTAGCTGATTATTTTGCCCATTTGTCAATGCAGTTTCTTCCTTGCATCGATAGTCTTTACAATTTGGCATGTTTTTGCAGGGGCTGATACTGCTTATTCCTTTCCATGTTTAGCGCTTCCTTCAGGAGCTCTTGTAAGGCATGCCTGGTGGTGACAAAATCTCTCAGCATTTGCTTGTCTGTAAAAGGCTTTCATTTCTCCTTCACTTATGAAGCTTAGTTTGGCTGGATATGAAATTCTGGGTTGAAAATTCTTTTCTTTAAGAATGTTGAATATTGGCCCCCACTCTCCTTGGCTTGTAGAATTTCTGCCGAGAGATCCACTGTTAGTCTGATGGGCTTCCCTTTGTGGGTAACCCGACCTTTCTCTCTGGCTGCCCTTAATATTTTTTCCTTCATTTCAACCTGGTTAATCTGATGATTATGTGTCTTGAGGCTGCTCTTCTCGAGGAGTATCTTTGTGGTGTTCTCTGTATTTCCTGAATTTGAATGTTGGCCTGCCTTGCTAGGTTGGGGAAGTTCTCCTGGATAATATCCTGAAGAGTGTTTTCCAGCTTGGTTCCATTTTCCTCGTCACTTTCAGGTACATCAATCAAATGTAGATTTGGTCTTTTCATATAGTCCCATATTTCTTGGAGGCTTTGTTTTTTTCTTTTACTCTTTTTTTCTCTAAACTTCTCTTCTTGCTACATTTCATTAATTTGATCTTCAATCACTGATACCCTTACTTCCACTTGATCAAATCGGCTACTGAAGCTTGTGCATGCATCACATAGTTCTTGTGCCATGGTTTTCAGCTCCATGAGGTCATTTAAGGTCTTCTCTACACTGTCTATTCTGGTTAGCTATTCGTGTCATCTTTTTTCAAGGTTTTTTGCTTCCTTATAATGGGTTCAAACATCCTCCTTTAGCTGGGAGAATTTTGTTATTACCGACCTTCTGAAGCCTACTTCTGTCAACTCATCAAAGTCATTCTCCGTCTAGCTTTGTTCCATTGCTGGCGAGGAGCTGTGATCCTTTGGAGGAGAAGGGGCACTCTGGTTTTTATAATTTTCAGGTTTCTGCTCTGGTTTCTCCCCACCTTTGTGGCTTTATCTACCTTTGCTCTTTGATGCTGGTGACCTACACTTGGGGTTTTGGTGTGGATTTGTCCTTTTTGTTGATATTGATGCTATTCCTTTCTGTTTGTTAGTTTTCCTTCTAACAGTCAGGTCCTTCAGCTGCAGGTCTGTTGGAGTTTGCTGGAGGTCCACTCCAGACCCTGTTTGCCTAAGTATCACCAGCAGAGGCTGCAGAACAGCAAAAATTGCAGAACAACAATATTTCTGCAGGGGCAGCCAGCCTTATGAGGTGTCAGTCAGCCCCTACTGGGAGGTGTCTCCCAGTTAGGCTACACAGGAGTCAGGCACCCACTTGAGGAGGCAGTCTGTCCATTCTCAGAGCTCAAATACCATGCTGTGAGAACCACTGCTCTCTTCAGAGCTGTCAGACAGGGACGTTTAAGTCTGCAGAAGTTTCTGCTTCCTTTTATTCAGCTATGCCCTGCCCCCAGAGGTGGACTCTGCAGAGACAGGCCAGCCTTGTTGAGCTGTGGTGGGCTCCACCCAGTTCAAACTTCCTGGCCGCTTTGTTTACCTACTCAAGCCTCAGCAATGGCAGACGCCCCTTCCCCCAGCCAGGCTGCCACCTGGCAGTTTAATCTCAGACTGCTGTGCTAGCAGTAACCAATGCTCTGAGGGCATGGGACCTGCTGAGCCATGTGCGGGATATAATCTCCTGGTGTGCCATTTGCTAAGACCTTTGGAAAAGCACAGTATTTGGGTGGCAGTGTCCTGATTTTCCCAGTACAGTCTGTCACGTCTTCCCTTGGCTAGGAAAGGGAAATCCTCTGACCCTTTGCTTTTCCCGGGTGAGGTGATGCCCCACCCTGCTTTGGCTCACCCTCTGTGGGCTGCAGCCACTGTTCAACCAGTCCCAGTGAGATGAACCAGGTACCTCAGTTGGAAATGCAGAAATCACCCATCTCCTGCATCGATCACACTCGGAACTGCAGACCAGAGCTGTTCCTATTCAGCCATCTTGCAGGATCTACCTGAGGGTCAGTTGTAATAGGGAAGCCTGTAGATCTTGTGAAAGACATTCATAAATCATGAGGTGGTAGGGGAGTGTACTTATACTTATTTTATAGAGCTACGATGTATGTGCAGTCAGGCACACACATCTGAAATGTACACCTTGATGAAGTTTTTACATATGTTCACAACCCTGTAATCAATCACCACCAAGTCAAGATGCAGGCCATGTACAACCCCCAAGAAGGCATCTTGTGTGCCTAGTCAGCACCTCCCAAAAGATAGCCACTATTCTGATGCCCATCAGTATAGATTGGTTTTATGTGTTCTTGAATTTTATACAATTTGTACTCTCTCTCTCTGTAAAGTCACATTTTAAAATATTGTACTCAATTCTTAGTACTTAATTACTTAACAATGCTTACTTAATACTAAATAATTATTAATACTGATTCTCTCAGACACAAACCTTTCATTGTTTGTTTAGCATCCATGTCAAAATCTGAATGCATTATTATTTTATTTGCTATAAAAGTTATAAATATATTCATAACATTTTAATCTATATGTCATCATTCTTATCCATGATGAAAATTTCCACTTGAAATATTTTCTGATAAAGCAGAAATATAAACTGACACTAATTTTAGACCTTTTCTTCTGAAATGGAAGAACCAAATTGAAATGTTTTCCTTGGTGAAACAACCAGGCATAATTTCCACTTCAGGTCAAACTAGATATACTGTATAGTAATAAACTTTTTAAAAAATGCTTTTAAGTCCTGCTATTTAATGTTAAAGAATATAAATGTTTAAACGTATTATAAATTTAACTTGCAAGTAAATTACTGCCAAATTTGGGTACATCTCAGGCTCTACCAGAACCATTCTCTTATAGAAAAATAGACAATGTTTGTTGAAAAGTTCTACTGAAAGAGAAATGATGCAAAAATTACAAGTAACATCATTTGATAAAATTCAATTCACACTGTAGGTTGCTCAGCAAAGCTTTTAGAGCAGATTTGCTGGAATGACTTACCACTAATAATGATAAGTTTAATAGTCACAGTAATCATAATCTTGGCTTGTCCATAGGTAATGCAAGAGCTGTAATGCTGGAAACTTATGTTACACTGGGTATCTACCTTTTCCAGCTCAAGGAATTTCATTACATTTGCCACTTCGGGCAAGCAACAGAGGTGAAGATGCTCTTAAATTTGGGGAAATCTTCATTTCAGATAACTACAAAAGGTTGAGGCAGCTGAGGAGGAACAGGTCTTGGAAGCAGACCCATCCATAGTGGGGGACTGGGGGTCCAGCACTGGTGAGGCAGACCCAGACAGGGCTGGAAGACACCTGATTCAGCATCAGAACGTGATGTCAAGGGGTTATGGGGAAGTTTAAAATCTTATTAGGACAAAAAGTTATCAAAATTTAAAGCTCTTAAAAATTGAGCTGTATCATACAATAATGGTGCCCTAAATCTGAGGAAATATAGAATTTACAAATATTTTTATTTTACCCTGGCCTTTATCATAAAATTCTAGTTAAATTGTTCCAGCCAGGCCTTAGCAGTGCCACATAAGTTCACATCTGAGGCAGGATAACTCACTCAGCACCCCCAGTCCCAGGCCTACACAATGGAGTAGGGGTAAATGATAAGGCTATGATGAACCTCCATGGGCTCCTCCCTTTGTAGAGAAGCTCTTTCATGGAAGAAAACTTACCCCTGACTCCTTATCTTCAAGAAGACCACAATCTAGCAAAAGCAAGATGCTGTCTGGGTACTGGTTCATAACAAGCCAACATAGGGTCGAGTGAAAGGTCTGAAAATACGAAATATATGGATATAGAGAAATATGTATTTGCCAAATGCTGTATTTACTTATCTTGTTTGTCAGGGGTCCCCAACCCCCAGGCCACAGACCTGTAACAGTCCGTGACCTGTTAGGAACTGGGTCACAGAGCAGGAGGTGAGTGGTGGGCAAGCAAGCAAAGCTTCATCTACATTTACAGCCACTACCCATTATTCATATTACTGCCTGAGCTCCACCTCCCATCAGATCAGCATTGGCATTAGATTCTCATAGGAGCATGAACACTAATGTGAATTCCACATGCAAGGGATCTAGGTTGCATACTCCTTATGAGAATCTGATGCCTGAAGATCTGTCACTGTATCCCATCACCCACAGATGGGACCATCTAGTTAGAGGAAAAGAAGTTTAGGGCTCCCACTGATTCTACATTATGGTCAGTTGTATAACTATTTTATCATATATTACAGTGTAATAATAATAGAAGTAAAGTGCACAATAAATGTAATGCACTTGGATCATCCCAAAACCATACCCCACCCATCCATCTGTGGAAAAGTTGTCTTCCACGAAACCAGTCCCTGGTACCACAAAGGGTGGGGCCCGCTGTTGTTCATTGTCCAGTTTCCCACTGGAATATAAGTCCTATGAGGTCACTTTATTCATCTGCTATGTTCCCATGACCTGCACATAGTAGGTATTCAATAAATGTTTGCTGAATGAAGATAAAATAAAATAAAAGGTCGTGGGAAAAGGCCAGACTTCATCTCAAGAGGACACCAGACCAGAAAGGTAGATGGCCCTGAGAGAATATAAACACAGTAACATGGCAATCGCTTCTGCCTCAGGTCAATCCGAAGGACAACTGAGAAAGCTAAGCAGGCAAGCAACTATCATTAGGAGAGTGTTTCCAAGGCTGAGTCAGGGACAGACAAGCAACAGAGAAAAATTAACAAAGCTGAAAGTTGTCTTTGAAAAGCTCAACACAACTGACATACGTATACCATTAGCTAGGCTGATCATGAAAAACAAATGAGAACGTAAATTATCAATATCTGAAATAATAAATGAATTACCACTTCAGACTCAACATTCATTAAAAGAATGAAAAATATGAACACCTTTATGCTAACGAATTTGACAACCTAGTTGAAACGGATGAATTCCTCAAAAAATGCAACTCACCAAAACTGACAAAGATGAAAAAGAAAATCTGTATAGCCCTATATCTATGATGAAAGTCAAGGACAGGCTAAAAGTCCAAGAATCAGGGAAAGGCAGAGCTTGTGCCACAAGTGACTAGGGGGGCAGGCAAGTCTCAGGTCTCAGGCATAGAAAGAAGACAGACTTTGAGGCATCATGTAGGTACTGTGTGTCCCAGAGCAGGAGTCCCATTGGCAAAAAGACTGGGCACAAAGTTAGAATCAGATTCTTGGGCTTGAGCTGCAATCTGAAAGATAAGGCAGGAGCTTCTTAAATACTCAGTTTCTAAGTGCTTAACTGTGTTTTTTGAAAGAGTATCTAGACTGAGCCTACTAGGAGGTGCAGGAAGTGGCAAGCAGTCTTAGTTAAGGGGCTAGCAGGCTGTCTAGGCTGGGACAACTGGAGAGTTCTAATTAACTTCTAGTGAAAATAACCTAGGAGATGGAATAGGGCACTGAATTTACATAACAACTTTTTATCCATTAATTTTTATTATTTTTAATTTATTTATTTACTGTTATGAATTTGACTGCTAAACTTTTTATTATTTATTTATCCTTCTAGTTTTTCTGGCCCAAGTTCCAGAGCCCTCCTTGACTCTGCTCTTTCCCTCATGCCACATGCTTTCTGTCAGAAAATCCTGGAGTTGCTTAGTCATGATCACATGAATCTGATATCTTACCCCCACCACTTTCCAATTTAAGACCACATTATTTTTTTCCTGGATTACTGCTATAGATTCCTAAGAAATGTCCTTGTTTTTACCCTAAATTTCCCAAAATTTTGTCTGAGAAATCAGAGTGGTCATTTGAAAAGATAAGTGAGTTCATGTCACTCCTCTGCTTAAATCTCAATGCTTTCCATTCCCCTTCAAAAGAATCTCAAATCCTTACCCCATAAGGCCCAAGGTGATCTAGCTCCATAGACCCCTCCGACCTCCTCTCATACTGCTCCCCCTGCCCAATCCACTCTAGCCACACAGGCCTCTGTGTCACTCTGTGAATATGCCTAGCACATGATAATGATCACCTCAGGGTCACTGCATTTATGTGCCTTCTTCCTGGGATGCTTGCCGCCCAGAAGGATGCATGTTTACCTTCTTCATCTGTTAAGATCTACCCTCAAATGTCCCCTTCTCAGTGAAGCTTCAGTGACCAGCCTGTATTCCCAGTGCCTACAACCAATATGCATGCAATAGGTGTTCAATAACTATTTTCTAAGGACTGACTAGAATGAATGAATACCTAAGACCACAAAAAGAAGGAAACTGGTGACACCTGGGTCTCCTGAAAAACCAGAAAAGTGGGCCAGGTGCAGTGGCTCATGGCTATAATTCCAGCACTTTGGGAGGCTGAGGTGGTAGGACTGCTTGAGCTCAGGAGTTCAAGACCAGCCTGGGCAACATAGTGAGACCCCATCTTTACTAAAAATTAAAAAAAAAAATAGCTGGGCATGGTGGTGCACTTCAGTAGTCCTGGCTACTCAGAGGCAGATGCAAGAAGGATAGCTTGAGTCCAGGAGTTTCAGGCTGCAATATGCTATGATCACAACACTGCACTCCAGCCTGGGCAACAGAGCAAGATTGTCTCAACAAAGAAAAACAAGCAAACAAAAAGCAAATAAAAAGACAGAAATGTGTTTTATTAGGTTCACCCAGTATTTTTAAAAATTTGAAGTCATTGACAACTTTTTCTGCAATTTTTGGATAGTGGTAAAATACACATAACGTAAAATGTACTATCATAGTTATTTTTAAGTGTGTAATTCAGTGGCATTAAGTACATTCATATTGTGGTGCAACCACCACCACATCCATCCCTAGAACTCTTTTCATCTTGTGAAACTAGAACTCTATACCTGTTAAACAATAACTCACCATTCCCTCTTTCCACCAGCCCCTAGTAAACGCCATGTTTTCTGTTCCTATTATTTTAACTACCCTAAGTACCTCATATAAGTAAAGTAAAATCATATAGTATCTGTCTTTTTGTGATGGGCATATTTCACTTAGCAGAATGTCCTCAAGGTTCATCTATGTTGTAGCATATGTCAGAATTTTCTTATTTTTTAAGGCCATGTAATATTCCACTGTATGTACACATATTCCACATTTTGCTTATCCATTTATCCATTGATGGACACTTGGGTTGCTTCCATATTTTGACTATTGTGAATAATGCTATTGTGAATAATGCTATTGTGAATATGGGAATGAAAATATTTCTTCAAGACCCTGACTTCAATTTTTTTGAATATGTACTCAGAATTGGAATTGCTGGCTCATATGGTAATATTATTTTTAATTTTTTGAGGAACTGCTATACTGTTTTCCACAAGGGCTGTACCATTTTACATTCCCACCAGCAATGCACAAGAATTCCAATTTCTCTACATCCTTATCAATACTTGCTATTTTCTGTCTTTTTTTAGAGTGCCCATTCTGATTGGTGTGAGGTGATATCTCGTCATACTTTTGATTTGCATTTCCTTCATGATTAGTAATGTTGAGCGTCTTTTTTATGTGCTTATCGGCCATTTTTATATCTTCTTTGGAGAAATGTCCGTTCAAGTTCATTGTCCATTTTTTAATCAGGTTGTTTGTTTTTCTTGTTAAATTGTAGACATTGTTTACGTAGTCTGGATATTAATCCCTTATCAGATATATGATTTGCAAGTATTTTCTCTTATTCTTTAGGTTGCCTTTTTTACCATATACATAGTGTCTTTTGATGCACAAAATTTTTCATTTCCATGAAGGTCAAATTGTCTATTTTTTTCCTTTGTTGCCTCTGCCTTTAGTGTCATATCCAAGAAATCATTGCAAAATCCAGTGTTGTGATGCTTTTCCTTTATGTTTTCTTCTAAAAGCTTTATAGTTTTAGGTCTTACATTTAGGTCATGAATTCATTTTGAGTTAATTTTTGTATGCAGTGTAGGGTAAGGATCCAACTTCACTCTTTTCCATCTGGATATCCAGTTTTCCTAGGACTGTTTGTTGAAGAATTTCTTTTCCCCACTAAATGGTCTTGGCACCCTTGTCAAAAATCACTTGACCACATACGTGAGTGTTTATGTGTGAGCTTTTTATTATTTTCCATTGTCTATATATCTGTCTTTATACCAGTACCAGACTGTTCTGGTTACTGTTGCTTTGTAGTAAATTTTGAAATCAGGAAATGTTGTGAGTCCTCTGGCTTTGTTCTTCCTTTTCAAGATTGTTTTGGCTATCAGGGTTCCTTGAGATTACACAAATTTTAGGAGAGATTTTTCTATAGCTACAAAAAAATCATTAAGATTTTGGTAGAGATTGCATTAAATGTGTACATCAATTTGGGTGGTATTAACATCTTAACAATATTAAGTCTTCAATTCTATGAACACAGGGTATTTTTCCATTTATTTATATGTTCATTGATTTATTTCAACAATCTTTTGTGTAAGTCTCTCACCTCATTGGTTATGTTAATTCTTAAGTATTTTATTCTATTTGATACTATTATAAATTGAATTGATTTCTTAATTTCCTTTCCTAATTGTTGTCAGTGTATAGAAATGTCTTCTATATGTTGACTTTGTATCTTGATATTTTTGCCGAATTCATTTATTAGTTCTAAAAGTTTGCTTGTGGAATCTTAGTGTTTTTGACATATAAAATCTGAAAACAGAAATAACTTTACTTCTTCCTTTTTAATTTTGATGCCTTTAGTTCTGTTTCTTGCCTAACTGCTCTGGCTTGGACTTCCAGTACAATGTTGAATAGAAGTGGTGAAAACAGATATCCTGGTCTTATTTTACCAATTTTAGAGGAAAAGCTTTCAACCTTTCACAACTGAGGATGATGTTCACAGTAAGTTTTTCATATATAGCTTTTATTATGTTGAGGTAATGTGATTTTATTTCTAACTTGTTGAGTGTTTTTATGATGAAAACATATTGAATTTTGTCAAATGCTTTTTCTTCAGCAATTGAAATGATCATGTCATTTTTATCCTTTATACTGTTAATGTGATATATTACATTGAACCATTTTCATATGTTGAACCATCCTTGCGTTGCAGAAGTAAGTCCCATTTGGTCATAGAAAATAATCTTTTTAAAATACTGTTGGATGTAATTTGCTAGTATTTTCTTGAGAGTTTTCACATCAATGTTTATAAGGAATATTGGTCTTTTTTGTAATGTCTTTGTCTGGCTTTAGTATTAAGGTAATGGCTTTATAGAATAAGTTAAGAAGCATTCATTCCTCTTCAATTTTTTGGAAAATTTTTGGGATGATTGGCATTAATTTGTATTTTAATGTTTGGTAGAATTAGCCAGTAAAGCCATGGAGCCCAGGGCTTCTCTATATCAGGAGATTTTCTTACTAGTTATAGGTCTATTCAAATTTTTTATTTTCTTTGTTGTTCAGTTTTGATACACTGTGTATTTCTAGAAATTGTCCATTTCATTTCAGTTATCCAATTTGTTGGTGTACAGTTGCTTATATTACTTTCTTATAATCCTTTTTGTTTCCACAGAATTGGTAGTAATATTCCCACTTTCATTTCTAATTTTAGTAATTTGAGTCTTCTTTCTTTTTTTCCATCTAGCAAAACATTTGTCATCCATGTTGATTTTCTCAAATAACCAAATTTCTGTTTTATTGGTATTTTCTAATATTATTCCATTCTCTATTTTGTTTATTTCTCCTCTAATCTGTTATTTACTTTCATCTTCTCTCTTTGGATTTAGTTTGCTCTGCTTTTTCCAGTTCCTTTAGTTGTAAAGTTAGGTTGTTTGGTATATTTCTTGTTTTATAATGTAAACATTTATAGCAATATATTTTCTCCATAGCATAGCATTCAGTATTATCACATATATCTTGATATGCTGGGTTTTCACTTTCATTCATCTCTAAGTATTTTCTAATGTCTTTGTGATTTATTCTTTGATCCAATGGTTGTTTAAGACGGTGCTATTTAATTTCCACAAATTTGTGTGTTTGTTACTGATGTCCAACTTCTGTTGCTGATGTCCAACTTTATCCCATTGTGATCTAAAAAGATACTTAGTCTGACATTTATCTTTTTTAAATCCATTGAGACCTGCTTTGTGGCCTAACATGTGGTTTGTCCTGGAAAATTTTCTATGTTCACTTGGGAAGAATGTGTATTCTGCAGTTTTAGAATTGTGTTCTGCATGTGTACGTTAAATCTAGTTGGTTGATTGTGTTGTTCATGTCTTTTTTTAATTGATCTTCTGTCTGGCTGTTCTATCTATTATGGAGAATGGGGTATTGAAGTCTGTATTATTGTAGAATTGTCTATTCCTTCAATTATGTCAATTTTTCCTTTACATATTTTGATGAACTGTTATTAGGTGCCTAAATGTTTATAACTGTTATACCTTCTTGCTGTATTAAACTTTTTGTTAATATGTAGTGTTCTTCTTTATCTCATGTAATCTTTTTTGATTTAAAGTCTATTTTGTCTAATATCAGTATGCTACCTCTGCTATCTTTTGGTTACTATTTGCTTTTTAATTCTTCCACTTTTAACCTATTTGTGTCTTTGGATCTAAGGTGAGTCTCTTAAGGACAACGTATAGTTGAATCATGATTTTCTTTAACCATTCTACCAATTTCCCAATCTCTGTCTTTTAATTAGAGAGTTTAATCCATTTACATTTAAACATTTACATTTAAAATAATTACTGATAAGGAGGCAATTACTTCTGTCATTTGGCTATTTGTTTTCTATATGCCTTTTTGTCCCTCATTTCCTGCTTTACTGTCTTCTTTTGTGTTTAGTTGTTTTTTGTAGTGAAATGTTTACATTTGTTTCTTAGTTTCTTTTGTGGATATTCTTCAGCTATTTTCTTTGTGATTGCCATTGAGGATAATATTTAACATTCTTAAGATATAAGGCTGTAATTTGAATTATACCAGATTAACTTCAATAACATACAAAAGCTCTGCTCCATCTCCAGCTCCAACCCCTACCCCTTCAGCTGTTATCACAAAATTACATCTTTATATGCTGTGTGTCCAAATATATTAACTAACAATTTTTAATGCATTAGTCTCTTAAATTATGCAGAAGACAAAATGCAGAGTTATGAACCAAAGTAGCAATAATCTTAGCTTTTAGTCTAATAATTTCTAATATACTAATCTTTTAAATTATATAGAAAACAAAAAATGAAGTTACATATCATTGTTACAGCAATATTAGCTTTTATAATTGTCTATTTATCTACTTTTACTGAGATTTTTATTTCTTCCTGTGGCTTCAAGTTACTGTCTCCCTTTCATTTTAACCTGCAGGATTCCACTGGACATCTCTTGCAAGACAGGTCTGGGGATAATTCCCTCAGCTTTTGTTTATCTATGAGAGTCTTAATTTCTCCCTTACTTTTGGAGTACAGTTTTGCCAGATACAGGATTCTTGGGTGAAGAAGTACAGGATTCCTGGTTGAGGAAGAATCTTGAAGATTGGCTTTCTGAGTCTGTGCCTGTCCCTGAGCATGTACGATGACTTTCTCATTTCCCCAATATATATGGTTGCTTTTGAAAGTCCTAGTCTTTGATATCTGGCTCTCAAAGGAGAAGAAATAGAAAACTGAAGTGGGTAACAAAGGTGCCAGCTTTTTAAATACCGTGGAACTCAGCTCATCCAGAGGTAGACGGGCTTGCAATAATGTGGGAAGATGCAACAACAATAATGGCTTTTTCATTGCCAGCACCCCTGTGATCAGAAGCAGCCATCAGCAGTCAGAGTACAAATCCCTGATATTTGGAGGGCAGGATCCTTTTGCCCACCCTGCCTCCAACAAGCTGTGTGCAAACTTCTCCAGGAACACATGCATGCTGCCTGCTCAAGAGAGGAGGGTCCAGAGGTGAAAGATAGGTAGCAGCTACTGTGCTAGGAGCAGAAAATGATCAAAATTAAACAATTTACCATCCAAGCCTTCCCCTAGAAGTTGCAAATATTCAATAGACTCCAGAATCCCAAAATAATCATGTCAGACAGATATTGCCAATGCTATTATTGTCTAGATGGGGAGAGGGATTTCTGGTATTTCCTACTCTATCATCTTCTCAGAATTCTTCTGACAACTTTTAAAACTCAAGAGAGGGCTGGGCACAGTGGTATACATCTGTAATCCTATTGCTTTCGGAGGCCAAGGTGGGAGGATCCCTTGTGGTCAGGAGCTCAAGACCAGCATGGGCAACATAGAGCTATCCCATCTCTACAAAAAAATAATTAAAATTTTACCTAGGTATATGGTGGTGCATGCCTGCCATCCCAGCAACAAAGAAGACTGAAGTGGAAGGATCACTTGAGCCCAGAAGTTGGAGGCTGCAGTCAGCTATGATGAGGTCACTGCACTCCAGCCTGAGTGACATAGTGAGACCTTATTTCAAGAAAGAAAAAAAAAACCCAAAAGAATTTTTACTTCTCTTAAAAATGAGAAGATTTGGCAATATAGAGAGTATATTGTCACAGAGCAGCCATCAACTTAGTTGAGTATGACTAGTTACAAGAAGCCACTGAGCCTTCTGTTTCACCATATTGTCTTACACATGGCCCATTTAACTACTTTGTATTGCCTGCTGGACCTTGTAAGTAATCAATAAGGAAAGCACCATATCTGCCTCCCTTATTGATTATAAATTTTCTATGAAGAGGGTAAATCAATATTTACTAAATAATCCTGTCACAGGCAGAATTCTAAGATGGCCCTCAAGATTAAAGCCTCTGGTGTTCACACACGCCCTCCCTGTTATTCAGCAAACACCAATATAGGTGCCGCTGTGAAGGAATTTTGCAAATGTAGTTAAGGCCCCAAATCAATTGATTTTAAGATAGGGAGATTATCCTCTAAGAGCCTGACCTAATCAAATGAGCCCTTTAAAGGGATTGGGCTTTTCTTGGTAGAAGATATTTGAAGTTTGAAAGGGCTACCATGTGAAGGAGATTGTGGTTAGCTTAAAAACAGAGGCGTCCATGTGGTGAGAAATGTGGGTGATATCTAAGAACTGACTGATCCCCTGGCTGACAGCCAGCTAGGAGCTAAGGACCTCTGTCCTGTAACTGCAAGGAATTGACTTCAGCCAACACCTGAATGAGCTTGGAAGAAGGTTCTTCTCAGAGTCCCCAGAGAGAAACAAAACCTGCCATCCTCTTGACTTCAGACTTGTGAGAACCTAAGCAGAGAACCCAGCCACCCCATACCTGGAAGTCTGACCTACAAAACTGTGAGCTAATATATGGAAGTTGTTTTGAGCCTCTATGTTTATAGTAGTGTGTTATGCAGCAATAGAAGACTAAACAAGTCTTTTATTTTTCATCAAGGATAAGTGGTTAAAATAAAAAACATGTTCATGTTTCTCTCTTACATCATCTTTTTTTCCTAAACAAGTGAAAAAGCCACTGATTTTAAAAATCCAGTGTCTAGGCTGGGCACAATGGCTCATGCCTGTATTCCCAGCACTTTGGGAGGCCGAGGAAGGAGGATCACTTGAGTCCAGGAGTTTGAGACAAGCCTGAGCAACATGGTGAAACCCCATCTCTAAACAAACACAAAAATTAACCAGGCATGGGGGCACATGCCTGTGATCCCAGCTACTTGGGAAACTGCGGTGGGAGGATTGCTTGAGCCCAGGAGGCGGAGATTGCTGGATCACACCACTCCACTCCAGCCTGGGTGGCATAGTGAGACCCTATCTCAAAAAAAAAAAAAAAAAAAAAAAATCTAGTGTTTATTGAGTTTAGCTTTATATACAAACCTCACCATGAAGTTTCCCTTTTTGTTTAACAGAGTCCTTTGGTCTTTGGATGTATATGGTGATATTGTGCCATTTTTAACATTATTTTCTAGGTTTATAATATAAAGTGAAGGATAACATCTGTATAAAACTAACTGATACCAACTAGAGTAGGCTAAAAAATATTTAAAATGGCCAGCTGACAGGAGTGGTTCTATTTCTATAAAATCTTCCCTCAGAAGATATGCCAGTTCGGCACAAGAATTGTATGGCACCATATTCAAATGCATACATCTTTGTTTAAATGACACTGCAGTCTATCTGGAGACGGATGTTCAAACAACAGCCTGCATTCTGTCTGATGCTCTACTGGATCCTGAATTAGAGAGCTCCATGACTCATTCTTTTTTGGTGAGGAGCATAGAAAACAGAAGAGAAATGGTCTGGCCTCACATGCATGTGCTTTGAAGAACTTTTCACCCAGAAGGCTGCTGGAGTAGGGATGACAACTCCAACATGAGTCAGCTGCCCACTTCCAGATGAGAGCTCTTGGTACACATTTCTGCCAGCTGCTGATTGGTAAGTAGTTTTCAGCTACCCTGAAAGGCATTTAACCCCCACGGTCTAAGAAATATGTGCTGGGTTTTCCTAGAAAATATATGTCATGCAGATGGGCAGCAATACTGAAAATATTGAAAATGGTTCCCATACATCCGGAGCCACTTTTGAAAGCTGAGTCTCAGTTCTGTGATATGAAATTAGGCATCACAATAAACCATCATGGGCGGCGAATTCAATATAATACCTACTGATATTTATGGGATCATAAGGAAATGTCCTAAATAAATAAATGTCTCTTTCATTTCTGAAAGGAAGAGAAGAAATGAAACAGAGAGGAGTGGAAGTTCAAGAAGGGGAAGAAAAGGCAGGGAGCCCCAGTCACTCCCAGCTCAGCTTCTGGGACCTCTCCTGGGCTAGCTTAGGGTCCCCTGTGGCTCTGTGCCTTCCGCCAGTCTATGCTCCCTGACCTCAGCACTCGTTACACTTCGTTTTTAATGTTTGTTAAGTTGCCTGTTCAACCCAACATGCTGTAAATTGTATGAGAGCAGGAAACTTGGTTTGCCTGGGTTTTCTTAGGACCAGGAGGAAAGTATCCTGGGTTCCCTGAAAAGTAGAACTTGGGACAAGGAAATGAGGGTGAGGAGTTTGTATGGGAGGTGATCCCAGGAGGAGAGGGAGAAGAAAGGGGAAGAGAGACAGGGAAGGGAAGGCAGCCCAGTCAGGATGAGTGAGAGACCAGGTTATTAGTGTGGGCATCTGGGGTGCTGTTCCCTGGGAGCCAGCGCAGACATGCCGCAGAGTCGTCCCACTGGGGAATGAGGAGGCCGGGGTACTTATCCTCCAACCCTATCCTATCATTACCAGAAGGTTCCTCCTGCAGTACATGGCTCCCAAGCGTGCAGCCTGCCTTGCACAGCCGGAGAGGAAGCCCTAGAGCAGAGGGTGGAGGGCGCTCTCCCCCGGGACACTGTCCGCGTGTGCAGAAGGGATGAGTGCTGGGGGAGTGCGGGCTGGCACCAACAGCCTCGGCAGACATTTGTTAAGGGAATAAATGACTGAATGAGAAAAGCCACTGATTTTACTCCAATTTCCTTTCCAGGTTATGATCTGTTATGTGCATTGCTTTGATTTTTTCTTCATCTTCTTAACTGAGAGATTTCATAAGGAACATAAAGTGCCCAGTCTTAGATGCAAGCTCACTGGCTTCCGTCCATGCAAACACCTGCATATCCCCACCCAGATCAAAATAGCAAACTTTTTCATCACCCGCTTAGGTTCCCATCTGGCCTTTGTTAGTCAATGCCAACTTCCACCCAGAAATAACCACATTTTGAGGTCTATCACCATAGATTAGTGTTGCCGGTTCCTGAACTTTCTATGGAGGGAGGGCTTTATACAGTACATCCTTATTCGTGTCTGATTTCTTTTCCTAAACATAATCCATACATCCATGCTACTGTGAGTACTGGTTGGTTTTGGTTTTTTTTTAATTACTGTGCTATGTTCAGCCAATTCACTTTTGCAGTCAAAACAATGAATGAGTGAATTGCTGTGTTGCATCCAGCCCTGCCTTCTGGTAATGCCATGGGGCACAGCACTAGCTCCTGGAAGTTCTGCCATGAAAAATTCTCATTTTCCCCCACCAATGGCCTGGTATTTGGGGAATTATACCATCTTCCTGCCTATAGGCAGCTTGTATCTTTCTCACAGCCATGAATCAGACGATGTTTTACATGACCTGTCCAAAGTGGTTTGAGCACTGGAAAAGATGGGCTAAATTTTAAACCCAGATCTACCACTAACTAGTCAGGAACCGCTACACAAGTCATGTTAGGTCTTTGGTGTTCAATCTCCTCATCTGTAAACAAAGGCATTGGGCTGAGGCTTTCTATGGTCCCTGCTGCCCTGTCCAACATCATCATTCTCACGTACTTTCACAAGCAAATGGTGCAGCTCACTTACAGAAACACCAGCTCCTACCCTTCAATCCAATTCAGCAGGTTTGCTTTGGATAAACAGCAGTACTCACCTCACGCAGCAAAATCCTACAAACTGCATCAAGGTGAGAGCTTGCAATGGGATGAAGCTGGGGTCTGGGATCTGGCCTGGCAGCCTCAACGTTTTTGAAGCAGGAAGGAGAAACAGAGGCTCCATCCTCTGGGGAGGGGCTTGTTAACAACAGCAAATAAGGCGCAGAAGCAGGCTTTTTGATATGTTAGATGGAGGGAACAGGATTTTTACTTATGAGTTGAATGGGGATGAATATCTGAGCTCTGTCTTTCCTTAAGCATAAACCTGCGTATGTATTTTCACTAGAAAGCGAGCATCGAGAGGGTTTGCTTCTGCAGTTAATGCAATGAGTGACCCTTCCCCTGCCCTCTCCACCCCATCCATTTTCACCTTAGTGTGCTCCAACTCACTTCCCTGGTAGTTGCAGCTGCCCAGATAGACACTCCCGCTCAATCCTCCTCCAGGGGGATCCTCAATCCTCCTCTAGGGGATAATTCCGTGGTTACGTATTTTATACCATTTCCCAAGGTCTCCCTGAGGAACAAGCACTAGTCACCCCCAACTTGGTGACACAAGCATGTGCCCTGTACAGGCTGCCTTCCCCACTCTGCCTGCCACACTCCTCCCAAATGTACTTTTTCCTCCCAAACCCTCATCTCAGGGTCAGTTTCTGAGGGAACCCAGACCAAGGCAATCTCTTTCCCTATTAATAAAGTGCAAATCAGAGAAGTAAGAAACACCGTAGTGCTTCCAATGGCCATGATTTAACTATGAGAAGAAGAAAGTTGTGAACAAAGAGTTTTTAAAATTTGTTTTATAAAAGAAAATCTTACTTTTATTCTAAAAGCTTTCTCATCTAGATAAATAGGTGGGAAGACATCCCTATAAAAGGTAGGTTTCCACCAACTACTGTTTGTAGGAAGAACTGACCGAGTGGTGTCCTCATTATCCCTGCCTTCAAATCCACAGATGTCTAGTTGGCTTCTGAGATTTGAGCTTCTGTCCTGAACCCTGCAGCACTCTGGGTGCCTATGGTCAGTGACATGGGGTGTGAGGGAGGCATCGTGACAGAAACATTACTCTTGAATTCCACTTCTTCTAAGTCCGTTTACACTCATGCTTCTTTGCAGATTCTTCCAGGTTAACAGGTGGAAAATCTGCCTTTGTTATTGAAGCTACTGAGAACTTCTGGGGACAGAGGTGGGGGTTGAGAAGAGAGAGGCTGGGTTCATAAGCAAGGGCTGAGAGAGCACCATGAACCCCTCCAATCCTCACCATCTTTATATACTCCAGATATTTCAGACCTCAGCTCTGTAGCTGTTTTTATGAGGGGAGAAACAGCACACTAGGGGGAAGAGATGCTAGAACAATTGACAACCAGACTAAAATTCAAAGAGTTGTGGGCAAGGAGAAAATGTAACGTGGGTGCCCCACCCTCCGAGCCTCCGCCAGTTAGTTGAAGCTCGTCTCATTAACCGATGGGATCCTTATTGGCAGAGTGCTGAAGGGACTGCTCTGTGTTGCAGGAAACTGAAAGCCAACCCTGGGCTCCCTGAGCCTGCTACAGAGACCACGTGTGCCCAGTGGTGATCATCTGGTCTCAGTCACTTCATGTTTTATTGTTTCCTTATGATGGTTATTCAATTCATTGTACTTGAAAATATTAATGTTTTCTATTCTGTATGGATATTTTAATTCTTGGCTTTCATCTCTATAGTTGGGTTTGTTTTAAAAGTGCAGTTTAAAAAATTGAATCCACCAAAAATTCACCAGATCTCTTAAATGTGGTCCCCACTACATTTTTGAAGTTGTGACTTTAAGGCTGAGAAATTTTTTCTAGGGAATGCAAGTTCATCTTGAAAGGGAACAAGGTGAGGCTCCATATGGTGATCCTCCAGGCAGGCGGTATGTGGGGCTGAGCCTGGATTCAGGCGGCAGCACCCCCATCTCCTCTTCAGGAACAAGCTGCTCCCAGTTAATTCCTTACACCTAGAGAGGGCTTCACAGTATGCAAAGTGAGTGTCAGCTCATTTCTATTTAGACAATCGCTGCAACATGGGCATGGATCAGGACAGATTATGTTGTCAGCACTTGACCAGGGAGGACACTAAGGCTAAGAGGAGTTAGGTGACTTGCTTAAGGTCACACAGCAGAAAAAAGGGAGAAGGCACATAACCAAGACTTGAATCCAGAGCATCACCAGAGAATTTTGGTGATCTCTCCATTACTACCAGCCTCTTGCCTTGAGGAATATTGGTCCAGGGGAGTATGTGTACTAAGGATCTAAATCACTAGACAGAATATGCATATAAGGGCACACATCTGCTGGACAGACTTCTGCTTCCTCCACCATCTCCTGAACTTAATCTGTTTTATGGCCAGTCATGAAAATTTCTTTAGTGCTAAAGAGTAGCCCCCTTTTATCAAATGGGAAGTCTCAATATAATCTGTGCCCCAACAACATCAGTGGTATCCAAAGTGTATTCTGCAGACCAGCAGCATCGGTTATCTCCTGGGAAGTTGTTAGATATGCAAATTCTTGGATTTCACTCTAGTGCTAACCAGAATCCCTGGGTGACATCCAGCTATCTGTGTCTTAGCCAGCCCTCCAAGTGACCCTGATGTTTACTAAAGTTGAAATTGTACTTTGCATTTAGGAGATGTTTATACACTTTCAAAGACACAAATCCTTGGCTGAGTGGGCTATTTATAG
Organism: Homo sapiens; assembly: GCF_000001405.40. Taxonomy (NCBI): domain Eukaryota; kingdom Metazoa; phylum Chordata; class Mammalia; order Primates; family Hominidae; genus Homo; species Homo sapiens. Next base: position 21,836,403 of record NC_000020.11, on the reverse strand, counting down.
TCTGACATAAGCTTCCCAGACAACAAGGGCTAAGATAGCTCCATGCTGAAATTCCCAAATTGGACTAACATGGATTGAATAAAAGGGCAAAAATAGTATCAGGAATAATGAAAATCATGGAGCTTAAAATCGTCACTGGAATACTTGGGCTTCTTAATAGAAATTACAGGGGGAAAGAACTTCTGAAAAGCATATAGAAACTTGCAGGAAGAGAACCCTGAATTTTGGGGAAACATCTCGGAGGACTGAGATTTTAAACAGCATGCAAACTAACCTTAATTCATCCTGAATAGGACCATCAGCCTCCTTACCACACCATCTGCACCCCTCCTTGTACTCCAGTGGGGCCTCTCTACCTGTGCTCCCAGAGATCTTTCCTTTCTGCTAAAAATCTTGGATAGATATAAAGATTTTTATACCCTTATATCAAGGATATAGATATAAGCCACCACAGTGTGATAATATTCAGTCTGTTCTTTCTTTTAAGACTCTACGTTTCATTGTAAAAATTTGATGTCAAATATTTAAGATAGAACTTTTAGAAGTGCATGCTTCTTGTTTTTTACGTTATTAATCTTAATTTTTATACCTCCATATTTCTAATTATGCCAATTTCTTGGCTAAAAGACATCATCTTCTTGCTTGTTTTAGCATTGAGGCTGATTTTGGAAATATTTGAAATGTAATCAATAAGAGGGAATTTATCTGGCTGTCCTGAAATGCACTATATTGCATTTTCTTGTTTTGCAGCACTTCTCAAAATCATCTAGAAATAAATCTTAGAATTGAAAGTCCTGTTCTTGGTTTGGCTTTATTACCATGAGTGGTGAAGAGAACATTTGAACTGCAAACCGACCCCATCGTGGGTAGAAAAATTCTAATCATCCTTTAACTCTAGATCACTGATCTTGTATTCACAAGAACTGGTGACCAGTTCTGACTCTGACACTTATTAGTTAATTCTCTGCACCTCGATGTTCTCATCTGGAAAAAGGGAATAATATAGGATGTGTACCTTACAGGGCTCTTGTGAAATTCAGTTTTTTGAATAATATAATATATATATGAAAGAGCTTTATAGACTGAAAGGTATTTATCTTATTTATTCTGGTGTTATTATTACATTAGTATAAATTATTATTATTATTTGTTATTATTATTATTTGTTATTAATTATTATTATTATTTCTTCATCCAGGCAATCTCTCTGGAAGATATTTTTCTAGATATGGACTAGCATCTTTTATGAGATCTTGATTTGATGACTGACCTCTGTGATCTGTTCTTTGTCTAGGAGTCTCTGATTTTGACTGTTCAGGGAAATAGGCTATGCCTTTGGTGGCCCCCCTGGTCCCCCAAGCACCCACCAATCCTGAACATGCAGCCTGATTCTGGCTGAAAGCCCAAGTGACCTTCTGCCTGAGGGCTTTCTCTGGCCATGGAGCTCTAGGGTAGATTGAGTGTTCCAGGGGCTTACGCCTCCAAGAGCACCCTCAATTGATGACGGATGGGAACTGGATAATAAATACCCCCATCTTCCTTGCCCCTCAATTGAGACCACTCTGCAGTATGTTGTACCCAGCCTCCGTGTGACTGTGCTCCAAGTGCCCACAGTGATCACCTGCTCATTAAAGCACAGGGTGCTGTCTGCCTTCCCTGTTCCGCCCCACCCTCCACTCCCCTACCTGTGCATCTTGAGGCCACCTCTTGAATAAGCCACTTGCATTCAAATCCTTGTCTTAAATGTGTTTCTGGGGAAACCTAAACTAAGACAGAGGCTTTTATTAGAGTTAAGGGCAACATTAAAGACAAAGAAGAGCCAAGGAGCAGCAAGCAAGCACAGGGAGGCGTAGACAGTTTTGGCAAAGTAGAAACATGTTGAAGAGTCCAAGTTCTGCAGGTTTTGCATTTAACGGAACATTCCTACTAGCAAGGGTGGCACTACATAAGTGAGAGAAATATTGGTCTTCAATTGCACAAAGATAAATGTACAAGAATGCTTACTGAACAACTATTTGTAATAGCAGAACAATGGGAAATACATAAAATATTAATTTATAGAAAAATAGAAAATTATGACACCTATATTCTATAGAATATTACACTGTCATTAAAAGTAGTAGAGTGTATTTTTATATACTGATAGGGAAAAATGTTCTTGATATATTGAGTCAAAAAAGGCAGAAAAATCTTACAGGATGGCCCAATTTTTTATTGTTATTAATTCATCTTTAGAGACAGAGACTCGCCACATTGCTCAGGCTGGTCTGGAACTCCAGGGCTCAAGTGATCCTCCCACCTCGGCCTCCCAAAGTGCTGGGATTACAGATGTAAGCCACCATGCCAGCCCCAATATTTATTTTAGATACGTCTATCTGTGTGCTTGTACCTGGATTTACATTGTTTTAACAAATGAAAATACACACACCACACAATTTTTTTTGTTTGTTTGTTTGTTTTTTGAGACGGATTCTCACTCTGTCGCCCAGGCTGGAGTGCAGTGGTGCAATCTCGGCTCACTGCAACCTCTGCCTCCCGGGTCCAAGAGATTCTCCTGCCTCAGCCTCCCTCATACCACCATGCTCGGCTAATTTTTTGTATTTTTAGTAGAGATGGGGTTTCACCATGTTAGCCAAGATGGTCTTGATCCCCTGACCTCATGATCCGCCCGCCTTGGCCTCCCAAAGTGCTGGAATTACAGGCATGAGCCACCACGCCCGGCCCCCACTCTTAGTAATAGCTCCAAGAATTAAAATTAGAAGAGAGCTGAGGGAACGGGAAGCTTTTATTTTCCTGTATTATCTGGACTTTTGCAACACAAATGTATTTTACACTTGTAGTTTTAAAAAATGTATTTTTACAACTAAAAATAATAGCTTTAATTCACTGTAAAGCAATGAATGCCATATGGTAATACATCATTTCTGCCTGGAAAGTCAGGGCCAGCTTGGCAGAGGAGGTGGCATCTCTTCTGGATCATGAAGTGTGGCTTTCAGTTAATGCAGCAGTAGGAAGGGGAGCATCTCAAATGGCAGAAATAACAGGAGAGGAGGTGCATGTGGTCAAACAGAGAAGCATGCCCCTGGCCTAAGAGCTCATGTGGACAGGAGCAAGGGAAGTGTGGTGAGGTGTCCTGCCAGAAATAGTGGATTGAAGTAAGATATGTGAGGCCTTGACTTCCAGGCCAAGAACATTATAAGTAGAATTTGTAAAGCCATGGAGCATTTTTGAGCCCAGGAATGATGTCATCAGAGCTCTGATTTCAGGACTTTTGTCTGGCAAGAGTGTGAAACGATAGTGCTATGGTTTGAATGGCCCCTCCAAAATTCATGTTAAAATTTCATTGCCATTGTAACAGTATTGAGAGGTGGGGCATTTAGGAGGCGGTTCGGTCACGAGGGTTAGTATCGGAGGAGTAGGTTCCTGACAGAAGGATGAGCTCAGCCCCCACCCGCTCTGGCTCATGCAAGTGTGCTTCCTCACCACGGGATGCCTTCCCCCACAGTATGAGGCAGCAAGGAAACTCTCACCAGATGCAGCCTCCAGAACCATGAGCCAAATAAATCTCTTTTCTCTATAAATTACCCCACCTGTGGTATTCTGCTCTAGCAATACAAAAGAGACCAAGACAGATGGATATTAGGAATAAAGCATAGAGACCAGGAGGCTATTATAACAGTCCAGACAAGAGGTACCAAGGTGTTGGGCAATGTAGCCCACAGTGAGGTCCTGTGGGGGGCACCCCAGTGCAGAGCTTGTGCAGAGAGTGGACTCAGATCCCACAGGGCTTAGAGGCCAACCACCAGAGAGCAGGAAGGAGTCAGAGGTGTTGCCACAACAGCCCTTAGAAGCCAGACAACTCCATGCCATCAGCAGAAGAAGGGAACCAGGTGGCAGGGTGGCAGGTTTTGTTCTGTTGTGTCTGAGTTAACCATGGGGCTAAAATACATCCCATCCCGGTACAGCATGTATTTTGGATCACATTTCAAAGGAGCGCAGAAATTAAGCAGAGATTTTAATCTCTAAAAAAAAACACTCATGCCCTTTAGGTCAGACCAAAACTACATTTTTTTAAGTGCATGTAGACCCATTTCCTTTTTTCTGGAAAATTCCCTCTTTTACTCTCTCTTGCTGGAGCCTAACAAAAATTAACCAGTCACACTTCCTCCACTGTCAGAACTTGTCACCTCCGAGAGAAAATAAAATATCCAAGCCCACAGAATATCAGCGACTTGTCCCAAACACCATGGCGGAGAAGCAATGCCTTGTGTGACTTTTGAGGTCAGTTGCCACTGTTGTGTCTACTGCGTTGTACTATGATGGTATTTGGGGTAGGAAGAGAGCAACGAGGAGAGGCAGGAAGAAAGGGAATGAGGGCTCCTTGGCCCTCCCAGCACCTGCCAGTGAGGAAACTCTGCCAGCTGTGTGTGAACGTGGGGAATCCCTTCCCTGTGGTGCAGGCGCACAGTGTGTGCGGTGTCACTTCCAGCTAATACGCATACAGAAATGATGAACAGCAAAGAAATGCAAGGATGGGATCTCATGACCTTGATTTTTTTAAGTTGAGTTATCTGTGCAGTTTGAATGCACTCCTGCACTGTCTCATGTACTGTGTGATGGTATGATTTTTCTTCTCATTCTACAAAGAAGAGACAACACATGCTGAAAGGTGGAGTTCAAGAATGGACTGAAAGCCCTTCGGAAAGGCCACATTGTGCCCCCCTGAAGCTTGTTTTTCTTGGGAGATGGTGATAATGAAATTCTCTCAGAACTCTGGACCCTGAGGAAGGCTCAAGAAAGATACGAACTGTAGCTCTGGTTCCAACAATAATGTGAGTTACTCTATGTAAGAATGTAACAGACTTGAGTCTGAACAAGTGCTCTGTGTCTTAAATTATGTTAAATAAAATCTTATTTTTTCATGGGCTTAGTATTTCACTTCTCTTTTTCACATAGCCCAATAATAATAGTAATAAAATCAAAATTTTGATTAAGACCTTAGAATTTACGAAGTGCTTGCACATAACTTATTTAAGGGAAATAACCTGATATTTAAAGAAAATTGTTATGATTCCTAAGTTCCTATAATTCTTTAAATTGCAATGCTTAGCTTCTAATTTCTGTTTGCTACCTACAGAAATGTTTATGTGAGAGTTTCACTAAAATGAGGCACAACTAAACTAATTTAGTCCTCAGAATTTGATCATAGAATCTCTGTTCATTCCAAATGCTTTTTTTTTTTTTTTTAAGATGGAGTCTCACTCTGTTGCCCAGGCTGGAGTGCCATGGTGCTATCTCGGCTCACTGCAAACTCCGCCTCTGGGGTTCATGCCATTCTCCTGCCTCAGCCTCCCGAGTAGCTGGGACTACAGGTGGCCACCACTACACCTGGCTAATTTTTTGTATTTTTAGTAGAGACGGGGTTTCACCATGTTAGCCAGGATGGTCTCGATCTCCTGACCTCGTGATCTGCCTGCCTCGGCCTCCCAAAGTGCTGGGGTTACAGGCGTGAGCCACCACGCCTGGCCTCTAAATGTTTTAAAGCAGGATGATCATTACTAATTGATAATAGCATCACATGGTGAGGAAGCACATGTGCATTAGACAGAGAGGGTGGGGGCTGAACTCATCCTCTTATCGGGAACTTCCTCCTCTGATAACTAACCCTCATGACTTAATCACCTCTTAAATGTTGTACCTCTCAATACTGTTTAAGGGCATTAAAATATTAGATAAATTAGTCAAAAATGCTTGACATAAACTTTCTCATATCTTAATTCCAAAAGCTGGAAAACACTCAAACTAAAATCTAACACTCTTAGAAAATGAGTTAAGATATATAGGGAGGAAACTGTATGGTTTTCTACTAACAGCCAAAAACTTTCACACTATATGACAACACCATAAATAAAGTTAAGATGAACTACAAAACTAGAGAAATATTTACAATGCATGTAACAAAGATTTAATCGTCCTAATACACAAATAACTCTTAAGTTACTAAGAGAAAAAGAACACCCAACAAAAGACATGGGCAAGAAACATAGACCTTTCACAAATAACCAGAAAGAGCCAATGAGCTTAGATATATTTTCACTATAATGAAGCTACCAAGGAAATACAAAGAAAAATAAAAGTGATACATATGGACCTGTCAGACTGGCAAAGGTAGATTCAATCAAGCATACCATTTGGAAGAAATAGGCGCTTCTATGCATTTTTATGAGGATGACAAATTGGTAAACTTTTGACCTGGTACACTTTTATCCAGCTGACCCATTTCTGGAAAGCTGTATAACAAGATTCACATTTAGCATTGCCAAAAGGGATGCTATGGTTTCTGTAAGTAAGAAAGAGAGAGAGAACCTGAAATTCCCTGGTGATTCTGTCCCCCAGCCCAGCCCTTTCACACAGTAGGGACATGTCAGGAGGGGCACAGGGGCCTGCTTCTCTCTTCTCTGGTCTCTTGTCGTCTAGAAAGGCCTCAAATGAATAAGAGTATCTCACCGTATTGGGCTTGGCCCTGTATTTAAAGGTAAATGTATTGTTCATTTTTCACACAGCACATGACCCCCGCCAAAATGCAAGCCAGCTATTTCAACAAGTGCTTGCTTCAGGAAACAACTGTCTTATCCAATACAGGAGAAAAGACTGGCTATGCTGGACTAATTGGAGAGGCCACGTCTTTCTCCAAAGTGGCACCAAACTAATTTTGCATGGTGATATTGACTCCTTGAAAACTTTACTGGACATATCGCCTTTCCTGAAACCCCCATGAAATGTGACTTCACTGAAAAAGAATGTCAATCACGGCGAGGGTTTATAGTACTGAAAATCCGGGAATAACATCTAGATCCAGCAGCAGACATTTGAAAAACATTGGGAACATTCATTCAGGTGAATACTCTACACCCATTAGAATAGAAGACGCCAAGTATTGTATATTGTTATGAAGGTGTCCAATACGTTGAGATACAAAGGAGGCTACATAAGAGCAGGTAAAATGTGAGTCACTTAGGCAATGTTTAAGGTGTTTTCAGAATAGATGAATATATGAAACTGAGCATGTTTATGTGTTTATGTGTGTATGCATATGCATGAGATATATCTAGAAGGATATTTACCACAGGATAACTGTGTTATCTGTGTGGTAGCATTTAGGGTAAATTTTGCTTTTAGGTTTTCATTTTATCTTTTAGTTTTTTGGTCATTTGAATTTTTCATAGCCAATATGTATATATTATAAATCAAAAATAAATAATACAGCTATTTCCATTTTTATGTAAAGTTTTTTTAAAACTTTTAGATTTTTTTTAAGTAAACTAAGGCCAGGCATGGTGGCTCATGCCTGTAATGCCAGCACTTTGGGAGGCTGAGGCAGGAGGATCACTTGAATCGAGGAGTTTGAGACTACAGTGAGTTATGATCATGCCACTGCACTCCAATTTGGGTGACAAAGCAAGATTCTGTCTCCAAAATCAATAAAAATATTTTTTCAAAAAAGTAAACTGATACTAATAGGACAATCTTCACAGGAGCTTTCCAAGGCTTGCCTACCAGTGATAAGGCATGACACCTGCCAACGACCACAAGGAATTCCTGCAAAAGACCCTGACAAAGTGTAGCAAAGAGGCCAGGCCCAGAAACTCATGCTGTAATCCCCACACTTTGGGAGGCCAAGCCAGGTGGATGACTTGAGCCCAGCTCAAGAACAGCCTGGGCAACATGGTAAAACCTTGTCTCAACAAAAAAATACAAAAAATTAGCTAAGCATAGTGGCACATGTCTATAGTCCCAGCTAGCCAGGAGGCTGAGGTGGGAGGATCACCTGAGCCCAGGAGGTAGAGCCTGCAGTGAGCTGTGATCACGACACTGCACTCCAGCCTGGGTGGCAAAGCAAGACCCTGTCTCAAAAAAAAAAAAATGTAGCAAACAAAAAAATCTCTGTTTCAGGATAGCCCAGCATTGAAGATATTTTATTGTTGTTCTCTTTTCTCTGTTCTCTGCATGAGAAATATTGATGATCTCATACAAACTTCAACAAACACATATTGATTACCAAGTATATTGCTAGGAACTGAAGATATGGAAATGAGCAAAATGCTTTCCTGAAACCCTTAAGAAGCTTTTTGGGGAGATGATCATACAAACAAATAATATCACTGATAATCTGCTCTAAAGGGAGAAGCAATTAATATTTCCTAGAGGATTGAAGTAAGATTTCCCAGACAAGACGGCATTTAAGTTGGGTCTTCACTGAACAGAGGCGAGTTAGATAAAGCAGGAAAAGGGAGGCATTCCAGGACAGGGGCCCTGCCCAGGTAAAGACCGGGTGCAGGATTATATTTTCTATTTCATGACCAGAACAAAGAGTAGAGGGCAAGAGGGCATCCAGGAGGTTGGAAGTGAAGGTGGGGACCAGAATTCTGCTAAGTGGTTTGGACTTCATGCAGCATTTAAAAGGTCTATGAGAGGAGGCCAGCATCATCAGGTTTGTTCAGCTGGAGAGAAGGACAGAAAGTCCCAGAATGGGACCACCTCTGGCCTGCAGAGCTGTGGGCAAGTGTCCCTGTCCGTTCTCCAGCTTCCCAAAATTTCAGATCGGAAGTAGTGGGTAAACACACATCGGTTGAATGTGAATGTATGACCTGGATTTATGGAAGTTTCCACTGGCCTAAAAATGTGGGTGAAAGTGAGAAGCTAGTCTAAACAGTGGAGCTAATGTCCCCAGAGTAGAGACATGGGGGGATCTTATCCCTAGGAGTGGCTTCAGCCTCTGACTTGGCTCAGCAGCCCCTGTTCTTAAGGCTGATGGACACAAGAGAATCTGCATACACCTTTCTGCTCCCTCTCGTCTGCTCTTCTGTGTCACCTTTCTCATGGCAGCCCTACTGTAATCTAAGTTACTTTAAAAAGAAAATAAAATTCTTACATGTCTGTCACCACAGCTCTTTGCAGTGAGAAATGGAAGGTGTGGCTTCTTTGAAAGAAAAATGACAGGACAGAGAGAGTATTGGGTAACCACAAGGTGTTGGCATGTAGGAGTTGAGTTTATTCACCAAGAGAGACGGAAAACCCTGGCTGCCCTTCCAACTCTTTTTATAATAAGTTTTAATCGCTGTTTATGCTTTCAGGATGTGGTGCTTGGCATGAAAACTAGTCCCCTTGCAGTCCACATTTCAGGGGAGGCGCTAGGCGACTGTGAGTAAATACCACGACAATGGAATTCCACCGAACCCAAGTAGGTCTTTCATCTGTTTGCGGGACTGACAAGCAGGTCTGGCTTTTTTCAGCCTGCAGTGGACGCACAATGAGGAAGCTGAGGCTCTGCGGGCTTGTTTGCAGAACTTACCTAGGAAACTGATACCCTCTGAAAGTGCCCCTTCATTCCAATGTCACTCCAGATCAGGCAGGTAAAAGGATTACTCTGGTGTCTCTGGCCTCTGCCCCATTGTCTGCACAAGTCGGCACTAAATGGGGTAACTTAACCCCCAAAGAGATAACCAACTGCTGTGTGTGTACTCACATTTAAAGCTGCCAATTCCCATGAAGTGACTGGGTTGTTTCCTGGGCCTTTTGCTTCTAACATGTTGGTAGCAGAACCTTGAGATAGTTCTGGACCAAAGAGGTTAGGTTGTCTAAGAAGAAGTCCAGGGTCCTGCCCCTAGATCCCTCATGCCAAATAAATCCACTGGGAGGTGTTAACAAAGGGAACCCATGTTAAGACAATACACACATCTTTCAAGAAAATTTTTTTTTAATTGTGAACTTGACTTAAAAATCTCAATATGCTTTCTTTGAAGAAAAATTTGTTTTTAACCCCAAAGAAGAGAGAAAATGCATTTTGAGGCTGTGATAAAGCTTGTGGTTTCTGTTTTGATGAAACAAGCAGAAAAGGCCAAAGTCTGACCCAAGCTCTTCCTCTGTGTATGACTCTGAGGGCCTCAGGGGTCTGCCCCACCACCAGCAGCCAGCCTAGACTCACCCCAACCAGCACCAGCCAGCCAGAAAACCCAAAAACTAAATCTCCTACCATTAGCCTGGACATTCTCTGGTTTTCCTTTATTGATAGAAATCTTCCACAAAATAAATAACATTTACTGTGTTTTTGAAACAGAAACATATAAGAAAGCAAAGATCATTCATAATTTCACTATCCAGGTAACCTTGTTGACAATTTTTCTTTAAAAATGTAAGTAACATAATATACACATGGTAAAAAACACTCAAACATAAGGAAAGTAAAAATAATTTTAAATAAAATAAACCTTTACCTCAAAGGTAACTGCTATTAACATTGTGTTGGGTTTGCTTCCAGACCAGAAAAAGAAATGTGCAGTGGCCCACGCCTGTAATTTCAGCACTTTAGGAGGCTGAGGCAGGCAGATAACCTGCAGTCAGGAGCTCAAAACCAGCCTAGCCAACGTGGTGAAACCCCATCTCTACTAAAAAGGAAAAAAAAATTAGTCAGGTGTGGTGGCGCATGCCTGTAGTCCCAGCTACTTGGGAGGCTGAGGCATGAGAATTGCTTGAACCCGGGGGGTGGAGGTTGCAGAGAGTTGAAATCATGCCAGCTGAAATCCAGCCTGGGCAACTCTGTCTCAAAAAAAAAAAATGCATGTGCATTCATATACCAGCAAAATATACACAGCCTTTTATAAGCAACATCAAGAAAATAGCAAAACACCCACCCTATTCTACATCCTTCCCTTCTCACTTAGTTATACATTTTGGGAGCTGGGCACAGTGGGTCACGCCTGTAATCCCAGGACTTTTGGAGGCTGAGGTGGGTGGATTACTTGAGGTCAGGAATTCGAGACCAGCCTGGCCAACATGGTGAAACCCTGTCTCTATTAAAAATACAAAAATATTAGCAGGGCGTGGTAACTTGCACCTATAGTCCCAGCTACTCAGGAGGCTGAGGCACAAAAGTCGCTTGAACCCAGGAGGCAGAAGTTGCAGTGAGCCAAGATCATGCCACTGCACTTCAGCCTGGAAGACAGAGTGAGACTCTCTCTCTCTCTTTCTGTATATGTATGTGTATATATATATACACACACACATATATGCACACACACATCTTGGGGAGTTTGTCACATCTACTGAATATGGATCTACCTCACTCTTTTTAATGGCCCATTCTATGGATGCATCATAACTAACCTGTCAAGTCTCCCATGGGAAGCTTAGAAAGGCTGCATGAACTGTGGCCCATCCATTCCTCAGTTTCCTCATCTGCAAAATGGGAGTGACATAGTAACTGAGTGGACACACAGAAAACACTTCAGCGAGCATGCAATACACACAGTAAGCCATTAATTTTACTAGCCATTAGTATGAGTACAGTTCTCCACTAGAAAGTTTTTAGACAAATATTAGCCATTATTTTAGGTAAATCTGAAAGATGTCACTACTAAAAGTAGACCAACGTGAAAGCCTGCCCTGTATTTTTGAGCCAACCCCTTCAGAACACCTAGAAAGACTGAAATGTCTATGGCCCATTGTGATGACAGCATTACATTTTCTAAAACACACAGAAATTTCCCAAATGAAGCCACAGCTTCAGACAACATTGTCAGAAGGCATGTTAGTCAAGAGAAATCATGAAGAATACTGTAGCCAATTGACAATGCAAGGAAAATCACAGTGACAGAATGTAATTACCTGAACTGGAACTCAGCCAAGGTGTCTATCTGCCCATCAAAATGAAATTAGAACAGATGTGTGGGGAGAAGGTTTAGTTTTGGCCAACATTTCCCAAGATAATCTTTCCATCAGTAGTAAGGTCATTGCATCCAGGCATTAAGGAGAACCACAGAAGGTTAGGTCTTGAAGAAACAATTTCTAAGAGACCAGTTAGTTTAGCCCCATCATTCTACAAACGAGAGATTAACTGACTTCCCCAAGTAACAAAGCCAGTTATCAGAAGAGCCAGGGTTAGCTGAAAATCTCTTAACATCCAAATCAGTGTTTATTCCATCAAATTACACTGGCTTATTTGTATAGAATCCTAGGGTACCCATTTGCTACTCTTTATCAAAAATAAATCAAGACATGTGTGAATTGGGGAATAATTAAATCTTTTAAATTAGTCCCTGTCAGTGATGTCATACAAGTATTTAAGAACCTAAGAGATTAGGACATTTTTGCTGTTATTAGAGGGCAGTAGTTGAACCTGCTTTACAGCCTAGGGGTCTTCACCTAAAGGAGAGGCCAAAATGATGGAATTCTAGATCTCCGTCCCTCCCTGTTCCCACTTTGACTTCAATGGTACTGTTTCTGCAACATTTTATATATTAGATGGTTTTACTTAACATATATTGATATAAGGATTCACTGCTAAAGCAAAAGATTTCAATGCTGTTGTTTTTGGCACAAGATTCCAATGCTATGTAATTTTTAAAAATTCATTTGGGAGAAAATTTGGAGAAATTTGAAGGAGGAATATTGAATGTTCCCAAAAAAAGACAACAGTTGTCTAAGTAGGTCTAGCTTTAAGAGAGTTGTTTTCCCCTTATACCACTTTTTATTACAATGATGACCTGGCATTTCCCAAAAGCCGTTTATTGGGAATTCATAAAATTTATTTAGAACCAGCCAATAAGGAGAAAAAAGCCCAAAAGCTGAGGAGCTTTACAGGTGAATGTACAGAATTTATTCACGTGGTGTCATTGGTACATCAGCCTTAAAACTATATCTCGGTACACTTTTTGGTAATAGTTTCTTAAAATTTTCCAAAGAAGATGACAGAAATCTTCTGGAGGGACATTGCAGCAAGATGTGACTATATGTAACACTACTGAACTGTACATTTAAAAATGGTAAAGATAGTAAATTTTATGTTTATGTGTGGGTCCTTTAATCAAAACTAAAAATAAAATAAATTTAAAATGAAGAAGGGTGCCCTTCAGTTCTTTCTCCTTCCTGTTGTCTGGAATGCAGATGTGATGTCCGGTACTCCAGCAGCCATCTAAAACCATACAGTGGAAGCAGCATGCTGAAGATGGTAAAGCAACAAGATACTGAGTAAAGAGCAATAAGATGTTATGTAACAGAATCTGATCTCTGACATTGAAGGCACCATGCCAAACCCTTCATGGCCTACCTCTAGGTCCATTGTGTAAGAGAAAAATAAATTTCTATTATATCTAATTTTTTTAAAAATTACCAAAGAAGATATTTGTGTCATATGTATTAATCATATCAAAAGAATGAGACTGTTGTCCCAAATCACTTTTATCCTACTTATTTTCCTCGAATGTTCAAATAGACCCATAATACACAGCCATATTTCTCAAAGTGTTGTCCCTAAATCAGCAGCATCAGCATTACCTGGAACTTACTAGAAATGCCCCTAGATATCCTGGCTTAGACACAGCAGGTGCTGAGCCTGGCAATCTGTATGTTAGTCATCCTTCCAGGGTATTCTGATGCACAGCAAAATAAGAGAACCATTAACACAGGGTAACACAAAGTATTCCTGTTTGTATAGTGTCTGTGATAAGAGCTGGGGGCCTGCAATCAAGAGTCCTGGGTTTGAATTTCTTCTTTATCACTTAGCATCTATGTAGCACTTGAAAAGTGACTTCATCTCTTTAAGCCTCAATTTCTCCAATTGTATCATGGACAAGAATTAACATTATCCATATCCAGAAGTTGTTGAAAAGACTTAATAAGAAAATTTGTGTAAAGCTCTTAATTGGCAAATGTATACTATTAAATGAAGGATAAGTAATAGAATCTTATTCTTGTTTCATGCTCTACAGAGCCCCACGGCTTGACACAAAACAAGCATGATAAACAGTTTCAAGAAAATGGAGGAATGCTGGGGAAGCTCTTTAGAGAAAAAAAAAATGAATAGAACTGAAGGAGACTTAAAACTATTTGCAAGAAAAAAAGGAAAACAATATTAATCATAATAGGTAACATTTATAAAATGCTTACTACATAACAGATGCTATTTTAGCCACTTTGCTTGTTTAACTTATTAAATCCTCATAACGATTCCCTGCTACATATACTATAGTTCTGCCTGTTTTATGAGGAAACTGAGGCATGGGGACCTTAAAAGATGAACCCAAACTCACACAGTCCCCGAGAGGGAAGGCCAGTTTCCATCGCAAGAATTTAGCTCTAAAGCCCATTCTTAACCATGGCCCCTGCAGTCTTGGGTATATTTCTGCCTCTCTTCAGTAGGATCACAAATGGAATGATGACCTCTTACTTGGGTTAGAATGAAGGGGAAACTCAGTTTATTGATTTCTACTGAACACTTGCAGTAGGTGAGTGTCTTCATTTGGGGCCCCCAAGAAGTATTACTGATGCAAGGATTTGAGTGTAGCTTATTTGGGGGTGTAGGGAACACCTTCAGGGAAAGGAAAGTAACACAGAAAAGGGAAGGCAGATTACAAAAGCGGGGCTATTACACCAGCTATCAAGGTGGTGATTGGAGCTAATTCTGCAAGGGAAACTGAAAAAGTCACTCCTAGAATTATCCCCCACAATGGAGAGGGAGCTGGGATAGTTAGATCTTGAACAAGGGCTGCCTTTGTAGGTGTTAATTTCCTGGACACTTCTGGCTTGCCGTGTTGCCCAAGAGCAGAATCCTTCCAGGATTTAAAAAAAAAAAAAAAAAGAGTTTTAAGCTGAAGTTACTTATTTGTAAGGTAGCATTATACAGATCAATCGTTTTTACCCATGAGCATGCCTCAGAATCCTCAGCATGTCAAAATGTAAATTGCTAGGCCCATTCCCAGAGTTTCCGATTGATTAGGTCTACTTGGGGGCTGATACTTTGCTACTTTGCATTTCTAACAAGTACCCAGAGAATGCTGATGCTGCTGGTTTTGGACCACATTGTGTGAGGCCATCTGTTTTCACAGCCAGGAAGGATTGCCACAGGCTTCTGAAGAAGCCACTATACAAATTGTGTGTGTGTGACAAAAATATTTAGAGGGAAAATGACAAATAGCTCAAAGGCTCACTTTGATCCTGAAACTTCTAACTAAAGAGGAAATAAAGCATCCCACTTGGTTGATCATCAGTCTTGGCCAGGTACGCAGTCTTTCCCCGGGTCCCCAAGGTATGGAATAATTCCCTGGGCCCTAAAAGATCTCTCTTACAGAACAGAAAATTATATAAGCCTAAGTAAAAATAAATAAATAAATAAATTTACTTTTCAAAACTACACTCTTGTTCGTTTTCTGTTTTAAAGGAGAAGTCGTAAACTGCTTGTTGACACACATGGAGTCATCAAGAACTCATTCCTCTGTTAGCTGATCCCGAATGCCCCACATTTCTGAGAAACCAGCCCCTGGAGCCACCAATTTGCAGACTCTGTGCTAAGATTACAGTGGACTCACGCAGGATAATAATCTGTATTTTGATGAAACTCAAAATTATCAAAATACCATCTTATGGTTTGCTGAATACTATGCAGAGGAATCATCTTAAGTTACGAATTTCCAGAATCAACAGTGTATCACTTTACTAATCCAGGAAAGCAAGTCAAGTTTTAGTAATTTGATAAGGCACTGAGAGAGGCTCCTGGTGAGTTTACTTTCCTGGCACACCGGTGAGGCGTGATTAATTACTAACCATCTTTCATATGTCTCTACCATTTGACTTTGGATATTGTCCAACGACCCGGAATTAAGAAGCTCTCATTCCTAAATAAAAGTTTGCAATACAAAGCATTTTATTTCATCATATGAACATTTCTAAGCAATTGCTCAAGATTCAAAACCAATTAGGTTTCTAGTGTGTGTGTATTATTTTTCTCTGTTACTGCTAAAAATTAAATGTTTGAAATATCCACAACTGAAAAAATATATAATAAAAATTAAAATTTAATGTCACAAATTACTGGTCATTAAAAATTTAATAGTGGAAATAAAATTACGGAAGAAGGTAGAGAAATGTTTCAACTCAGTCCTCAGACTTTCTCATGCATTTGTTTGAAGGCCACTTAAGACCAATCCACAACTGAGTGCTCCATAATGCTTTTATTTTGAATAGGCTGGCTTGGTCTAGCAATTATGATACCTTTTATTATTTCACTTCATATTGCTCTTTGAGATATTTTGGCACACTCTTTTTATACCCTAAACGTTAATTATTTTTAATTTGGACAAAATGATGTCATTCTTAACCACAAGCTATGCTTTCTAAAAATTGCTGAATCTTCATTTTAAAAGGTGGAAAAATCACAGTGGATTGCTAATTTGATGAATTTGACTTGAAACACTGTTCTTTAAATCCAAATGTAAGTTTCTTTCCAAATAAAATTTTTGCTATTAAACCAATGCTGTGACTTCATGAAACTATTCATACAGTCAAGAGATTTCCTTTTTGTCATTGAACTCTACATTCCTGTATGTTATTTGATATTTGATTTTCCTAAGAATCCTGAAAAAAATTAAAAACACTCCTTCTCTGAGAATAGTTGGTTGCCCCAGTGTCCTTGCTTATTTTAGAGAGAAGTTGATTTTGTTTCAAAACAATAAATCTGCATAATTATGAGAACAGAAGACGCTTATGGCCCTCTCATCTGATGATCTGATGCAAACTGATGGAACTTGATATCATATCAAATAGTGTTTACTCTCAACAGTGGGGTCTGCATAATGTTGCCACAAAATTCTGTTGATTTAGTGGGTCTTGGTGAAACTATTTTTTTAATTGACATATTCATGGGGTACATAGTGATGTTTCGATACATATAATGCATAGTGATCAGGTAAGGGTAATTAGCATATCCATAATCTCAAACATCTGTTATTTATTTGCCTTGTGAACATTCAATATCCTCCTTATAGCTATTTGAAACTGTCCAATATATTAGTGTTAACTCTAGACATCCTACAGCTATCCAACACTAGAAATGATTCCTCCTATCTAGCTGTAACTTTGTATTCTTTAACGTATCTCTTCTTACCTTTCCCTTCCCTTTACCCTTCCTAGTCTCCAGTGTCCTCTGTTCTGCGTTTTACTTCTGTAAGATCAACTTGTATTAGCTTCCACATGTAGGTGAGAACATGCAGTGTTTAACTGTTCCTGGCTTGTTTCACTCAACATAAACTTCAGTTCCATCCATGATGCCTCAAATGACAGGATTCTTTTTTAACCACTGAATAGTATTCCATAGTATGTATATATACCACATTTTCTTTATCCATTCATTTGTTGTTGGACACCTAGGTTGATTTCATATCTTAGCTATTGTGAATAATGCTGCAATGAACATGGGGTTTGGAGGTGTCTCTTTGATATACTGATTTCCTTTTCTTTGGATAAATGCCCAGAAATGGGATTGCCAGATCATATGGCAGTTCTAATTGTAGTTTTTTGTGGAAACTTGGTGGGCTTTTTTCTGTTGAGATGTTTGAATTCCTTGTACGTTCTGCAAGTTTCTATTGCTCGCAGAAGCCACTACAATGAATTGCTTCTGTTTAAAATATGGTACTTTCTGTGTGTCAAGTTACTCCAGGACTATTCCACATAGCAGAAGGAATGCTAAGCATAGAAGAACAATAAAATCCTTCTTACATGAAAGTTTTGCAATCGACCTTCACACTTTAGTTGTGATTTTTTAAAAGGTAAATTTACTTACTCTCTTGTTATTCCTCAGCAGAAATATTACCAAGGAAATTCCTGCACACTTGCTACCTGTACTTATAGAGAAATTTTGTCTTTAAAACCTCAAAGAACTCTGTGATATTCATAGTACTTTCACCACTTGCTGTGGGAGAGAAAAGTGAACACCTATATGTGAAAACATCAGACCTAGAACCTACTTCTGTAGTAAAATCACAGAGTATGCAGAAATAAAAATATGGTGCTTTAAAAACATGATTTCTTTTCAAACATACATTTACTATGCAACCCACTCCTGAGTATTTGTCCTAGCAAAATGAAAACTTATATTCACACACAAAGAAACTATAAGCAAATGTTTATAGCAGCTTTATTCATAAACACCAAAATTCTAAACAACCCACATGTTCTTCAAGGGATAAATGGTTAAATAAACTGTGTGGTACTCCGTGACATAGGATATTATTCTGCAATACAAGAAAATGAGCTACTGATACATAGCCACATGGTCAACAGGTATCCAATGCTGAGTGAAACAAGTAACAGACCATACAGGATATTGCCTTGTTCCATTTATTTTTCCACTTTGGAAAAGATTAAAGGGACAGAAAACACATCAGTGGTTGCCAGGGATTGGAACGGGGGGAACAGATTGTCTATAATGGGAAGCAAGGAAATTTAGAGGGGGATGGAACTGTTCTATATATTGATTGTGGTAATGGTTATATAATTATTTATTATAACTACTTTTTTTAAAAAATTATTATTCTCCTACAGTGAAAAATATTGTTGCTTGCTCCAGGAAGCACTCATCTGCCTTGGTGCTTTTTCCTCCTCCTTAACCTTGGAGAACTTGGACAATCACAGAATTTCTAAGTTTTGTCATTCAAGTAATCTCCCACTATTCCAGAATCCACCGTAGATGTTCATTAGAAAAGGAGATATGTCTAAAATATCTCTACAATATGCCCAAAAATATGTCTAGCCTTGCTCCAGACCCTCAGCAAGAGAGAGCTGACCTTTCCTCAAAACTCACAATGTGATCCAGGACTTCCCTTGTCTTGGGCAGCACACGCTTATATGAGCTAATTTAGGAAAACGATCCCATTCTTGCTGTAGTTGGAACCCCCCAAGTTAGTTCCATGCACACTGCTGTTAGGCTACCACCCCTTCTCGAACTTGGCCTGCTGAGCATTGGAACCTACCTTATGAGACGTTGTGCTGATCCCCTCTAAATGCCGTTTTATTACATTCTGCATTAGCCAACATGCTAAGCCTTTGATTCAGCTGCCCAGATTGCTAATGGCAAACTTGATCAAAGTCCACCTGTGTTTTCACCCACCTTCATGATGAAAATGTTAATCCGTCAAATCACGTGAGGATGAGATGCCATTTCCTGTCCACCAGATAGAAAAAGAATAGATTTTAAAAATCAGAGAGGATCCAGATAACATGTTCTCCCTTAAACGGCTGGTAAAATTATAAATAGTTAAAGACCTTTAAAAGGCAGTGCAGTTGTAGCTACCAAAGGCAAAGGATTTGCTTCCGAAATTTTACTTCTAGAAAGTTGTCCTAGAAAACGATTCACATATATACAAAATTATACATATGAGGTGTATTAGTCCATTTTCACACTGCTGATAAAGACATACCCAAGACTGGCATTTGACAAAAGAAAGTTTTATTAGACTTACAGTTCCACATGGCTGGGGAGGCCTCACAATCATGGCAGAAGGCCAGGAGGAACAAGTCACAGCTTACATGGATGGCAGCAGGCAAAGAGACAGCTTGTGTGGAGAAACTTCCATTTTTAAAGCCATCAGATCTCATGAGACTCATTCACTATCACAAGAACAGCACAGGAAAGACCCGCCCCCATAATTCTATCACCTCCCACTAGGTTTCTCCCACGATACATGGGAACTGTGGGAATTACAGCTCAAGATAAGATTTGGTTGGGGACACAGCAAAACCATATCACAAGGATATTAATTGAAACACTATTCAAAATAGCAAGTAATAGGAAACAATTTAAGGAAGTCGTTAAATGTTTATACAATTATTATAATAATAAATACTTGGGTAGAACTTACTATGTGCCAGGCGTTTGTTCTAGGGCATTCCTTGCATTGTTTTATTTGAAGTAGGTGTTATTATTATCCCCATTTCACAGATGAGGCACCTGAGGCATGGGAGGTGGTTATTTTGCCAAGGTCACATGACCTGTCCACGGGAAAACTGGGACTCAAAGCCAGACTCCAATGTACAAACTTTTCACAACTACAATCCTCTGCCTCTCTAATGATTGAGGTGGGAAGAGTTCTCAGATTCATGAGTCAGAACAAGAGCACCCAAAACACATGGTTGAATTGAAAAGAAAGGAGATCCCTGAACAGTACATATGGTTTGATTCTACTCACACTGGGAAAAGCAGAGTTGGAAGAGAAGTGAAGAGGGATTTTGAGGTTTTCTCTGTTGTATACTGAGTAACGACAAACAAACTTTAAAGTGGCTAATGCACAGAACTCATCCTCATACTCTAGGCTTAACTCACTGTTGAGGTGAAGGCCTCCATCAAAATGCCACAAGGACACGATGGATCCTGTCTAGTTTAACATCTTTTTTCTTTATTAATGCATTAGTAATATATTAATATAACTAATATACTGATGTATTATATATAATAGACATAATACATTGTAGTATATTAGTATTATATTAGTATTTTGTACTAATATATTAGTAATATTAATATATTAGAGCCTTTGACACTCATAAAACAAATGTATTTGCAAATATCTCATCGGACTAAAATAGATTAATTATGTTAATATTCTAAGCAAACAAAAGTTATTTAAATCCTCCATTTTCTTCAACAACATTCTACCCTTTAATGAGAAAACCCATGGCTTTCTAATTTCTAATTTTCTAAAACACTCTGGAAAAATGCAGTAAGAGCCAAAAGCCACTGTTTATTAATAGTTTCCTAACGTTTTCAAGATGCGCCCAGCTCTCCATCAGAGAGCTTTGTCCTCTTTGTCCTCTAGTGTTTCTTCTTTCGATCTCAACTTAAGTTTGTAGAACCGCCAGACTGGATTCAAAGACAGGGTTTGAATCCTTGTTTGGTCACTATCAAATTCTGGGCCACTAGAGAATGAGGGTGTTCACAGACACTGGGAGGGAAACATCACACACCGAGGGCTGTCAGAGGGTGGGGGTCACAGGGAGGGAGAGCATTAGGACAAATACCTAACGCATGTGGGGCTTAAAACCTAGATGACAGGTTGACGGATGCAGCAAACCACCATGGCACATGTATACCTATGTAACAAAACTGCACATTCTGCACATATGCCCCAGAACTTAAAGTATAATAATAAAAAAAAGAGAGAGAGAATGAGGGTGTTAAAATGCATTCTTCTACTGCTAACATTTGCTAAGGTACAGACATCCTGTCTGTGAGTAATTTGCATTCTGTTGGAAATAAAGACAGGCCTTCTCAAACATGAAGCTACGATTTTTAAATGTTGAGGAATCAGGTAAGATTATACCATGAATGGATGCATAAATACATGTACACTAGGGAACCATTTAGTAATTTACAAATCATGTAAATTATGCCAATGTGAATTACAAATTATGAAATGCTTTCCTGTTAATTGAAGATTTAATGTTGCTCCCAAAATAGCTTATCTTCAGCCCTAGGAATAATTTCCCCTGCAGACAGTGGCTAATGACTTATCATTTGCTACCCCACAGGCATCTATTTGTGAGTTCACTAATGACTCTAAAAGCATCACTTATGCCCCGCAACAAATATGGAATGAATTAAATATCAGTGGCTGGTTTTGTAGTGTCGCTAAGAGAAATTAAAACTTTAAAAATATGATGAGGCAAACTTACTTTCATAAATGAATACAGAACTGTTATCTTTGAAGTAGTTAAAATAGCACAGAATAAATTAAAACAATACTCATAAATCCAGTGAGCTGTTTCAAGATTTGACGATGGTGTTTAGTAAGCAGAAATTGCATTTGATTTAACTTATCTACCTATCAGGATGAAGTATGGGTAGTGGGTATGAATCTTCATCCACAAACTCAAGCGTGCAAGAAAGATGCACTTTGTGCTGAAACAGGTGAGAAAAAGTCTGGCTTCCTTTGTGAATCAGGAAAAATAAAAACACAAATCAGTATCTCAGAAAGTCATCCTTTTCCATTTGCCCTCACAAGTCCAAAGGGCCTTGTCAGCACCTCTTGCTGGGCAGGATTTTACCTACTGGATTGCAACCGTTGTCATTCCCAGGACTGTTTAGCAAAGGAGATTTTAGTAAAATAGAATTTCATATGATAACATTTTATATAAAACCCAGTGATTCATTCAAGAAATACTTATGAGCAACTACTGCATGCTGCATCCATGGGGTAATGCTAATGGTGAGACAGACCTGTTCTCTACCCTAATGGAGCCAAGGGGCTCTTGAGAGAGAAGACTACAGACCAGTAGACAAATAAATATTGAGCTTCAAATTGTGCTAAGTGCTGAGAGGCAAGGGTCACCCTCAACGGAGCACAGTGATAGAGAAAACATGAGATGGGAGTTCCCTTTGGAAGGAGTGTTCAGATAATGCCACCCCAACATGAAAACATGAAGAACAAGGAGGAGCCAGTTTAGGGAAGAATGAAAGGAACAGCATTCCAGACCAGGGAACAGCACATGAGCTGGTAATGAGCTGAGTGTGCTTGAGCAGCCGAAAGAAGACTAGTGCAGTTGAAAGGCAGTGAAAAAAAGCAGCAAAGGGAATGAGATGAGGCTGGAGGGGAAGGCAGGGGACTGGATACCTGGGACATCAAAGACAAGTTGGGATTTTACTTTAAGGGAAGCAGTTTATAACAGAGTGACTTGACCTAATTTGTGTTCTTAGATGCTCACTCTGGTTGCCAGGTGGACAGTAGATTAGGGAGGGGCAGGAAGCCTACAGGGTGACCAGTGTTGATGCAGTAGAGTAGTCAAGAGATGATGTGGGCCCTGCCTAGAGAGCTGGGATAAAGCGATGATACAGGAAACAAATCTGAGAAAAAATAGCAGAAGAATGACAGGACTTGGCCATCAGTTGGAGGTAGGAAAAAAGGTGAAGAGGGGAATGAATCAAGTTTTGTTTTCATGCTTTACAGATGTCCATGCCCTCCATCACCAAGACTTGGAACAGCTCAAATGCCCATCAATAGGAGAATGGATAAACAAACCATGGCACACTTACATAATATAATGCTACTCAACAATAAAAAGGGTGAAATAATGTACACTTAGCAACGTGAATGATCTCAGAACAATTACGCTGACAAAAAGGACAAAACAGAACACACATTTATTCTTCCATGTTTATGAGGGTCTAGAACAGGCAAAACTAATCTGTGGTGTAGATGTCAGAAGAGTGGTTGTGTCTTGGGCATGGACGGATGAGAAGGTTCATGTGGAACTTTCTAGAAATATGGGATTGTTTCTGGATAGGAGTGTAGGCTACACAGTTGCCTGCATTTGTCAAGCTGATGGAGGTGCACACTTAATATGTGTGCACTGCATTGTAAATTATACCCCCATGAAAAGTTAATATTTTTAAAACAACAAATGTTTATTATGTTATTGCTATGCAAAAGCTAAAAATATTCAAAACAATAAAGGAAAACTCTAATTGATATAGCTATTGTCATTTTGTCCACTTAGCAACTTAACATGAGTAATTAGAAATTAAAATTATAAATGTGAAAAAAAAAACCTGTCCATTTATACCCTCCATCCCACTTGTTTCTGTAAAGTGCACAAAGCTAGTTTTGTTCAGAAATAGTAAATGAGCTAGTCAGAGCTCCAGGACCTGCTTATACCTGACTGCCGTGTTTTCATCTACACCAATGAGACACTCCAGGTATTGGAATGGATGGAGGGAAGTCTATGCCTGGGTTAAAGAAGGTGAGGGTGCAGTGAGATTCTTTCTGATCCTAGGCTCTCAGCACAGCCTGCTTCTTTTTAATCCCCCAAGGTTCTGTGGTGCAGCACTCTTTATCTGCCTTTTCTTTCCTTTCCCCCATTGGTAAAAGATAGATACAGACAATTCTGAGCAGTAGGGAGAGATGGATGTCAAGGGTCTGGACTTTCAAAAAGGTAGAGCTGTTTGGGAAAGATTTCTAACAGCACTGGGCTAGGAGCCAGGCAGGCAGGAACTGTCAGGAGCTGTGTACACAGACACTTCCAGTAGGAGGAATGAGTGGCTTTTCATATTGTAACTTGGTCACTCCAGAACCTTCAGTAAAGACTCATCAAGGGTTATGGCCTGGTCTTGGCTGAGCTGTGAGGATGTAAGAAGTTTGTGTAAAGCCTGGCTGTGAGGGGCAAATGGGGGAGCAGCAGACCCAGACCCACAAGCTCACCGACCTCGGGTGGGCAAGCCACAAGCAACAGCATCCCTTAATGTCCTGTGCACCTTGCTCTGAGAACAGACGTCCCAGACTGACCCCTGAGTGTACCCGAGCTCCTGCTCCCTCAGAGGGAGGGAGAACATCCAGGACCAATTTATATAAACACAAAATCAGCCCTCCAGATCCGTAAAGGACGACTCAGGGAAACAACTCGGCTTCCTGCTAACCTTGCACTGCGAGAGCCACTGGGAGATCGGTCAGGATTTGTGTATAAACAGTAGCACCTGTGACATGACATTCGCATGTAGATGTTACAACAAAAGAGGAAAGATGATGATAGTTTTCACTTGAGCTCCTCAAGTTCTTTCAGTCTGCATTATAAACATTGCATTAGGGGTCTCAGAAGGAACCATCAACAGGCACTGAGTAAATGAGGGCATTTGTATGTCAACTCTTCCAGAAGACCCTTGCAGTCCACACTATTGGTGCTCCATTTGTACACCCTTGGCTCTCACTTTCCTGTACCAGCTGCCACTTCCTATGGCAAACACATGTGACTTTTGGCTAGAAGGCATTCTTTGGCCCCAGCAGCATGTGTGGCCCACATGCAGGGCTGGACAGAAGTGCCAGGCAATTGACATGCCCAGGAGCCAAGCTTAAACCATGAATAATGGGAGCTGGTGGAGAAATAGCCCCCAACCCCCTGCTCTTCCATGGAACCACTCTGAGGAGTGTTCTGCCCACTCTCCCAGAAGTCCCCGCAGGACTGAGCCTAGCTGCCCAGAGTGGTAAGCTCTTCACCACTGCCAAGGTTCCTCCCCTTCCCTGCCCCACTTCCCCACTCCCCTGCTCACACCCCCTGGGACCCCTTCATTCAAATCCTTGTCTCGGATGCTGCCCCTTGGGAACCCAAGTTTAACCAACCTCAAATTGTCCAAGTTCCCTACAGTTCCAAAGACAATTTTTCTTTCATTTTTCTAAGCATGATGAGGTGAGATTTACATAAATAATTCAATAAAACTATTAAATAAAGACGAGTAAAGGAAAAATGAAGTAAGATAGTTCAGTGAAGTCCAGGGTAGCATCAGTTCCCAAAAATGTGTTCACAAAGGCTTAAGTTGGGTGGCCTACAAACCTGGAGCTGAGCTTTGCAGGCAGACAAATGCTGTTATAGGATTCAGGGGAACCACAATTTTTTTTTAATCTGGTAGCTCAAAAGAAAACCATTTTTCTTCTGCCAGAGGCTCCTACAAGGAGTTTCTCTTGTGGTGTCTCATCAAAGGGTCTCTGTATGAACAGTACACAGTGTCTTCATGACACACAGGCCCAATGAACACAACGCACACTCCACATGATGCTACCCATGGGCAGTCCTCAGCAAACTCAGACCCAAATGCAACCCTGCACGCATGGTTCTCCAGGACCCAAAGCAAGAGTATGTCTGTACATGGCTGTCTGATGATGGCTCCAATTTGGGGTAGATTTAACCTATCGGAAATGGTGGTTTTCAAACTGGGTTCCATTTGGCCACTTGGGAAGGTGGCAGTGGATGGACGGTGAATCTGACATTCAGAACCCTTTCTCCCAGCAGCTCCACCTAAATCTGTTTGTATATTAGGTTGGATATAATGCCCCATTTGAGGAAAGGATTATGTCAATTTTTAAAACATGAAAATGACAAAAAGTAAAGAAGTCCTTCTTATCCATCCCAGTCTAGCGCTGGATGAAAGTCAGGCAGCACATTTGAGGCTACACTCTCTGGCAGGAAACTAAAGAAACAGCCTCAGAACACAGAGAACTGGCTCTGGCCATTCCCCTGGGACATGCCAGCCCCAGGGGCCTCAAACCGGAGCCTTATCTCCAGGACCCACAAAACTCTAGACACAGCCAGGACCTGCCAGGGAGACCAGCCTCCTCCGGCAGCCTGGGCGCTGCTGTTTCCAACACACAGTGATAACCCGGAACCCATCCTCAGAGTTACTCAGAAACACGCTCTGGAGATGGTGCCTTCCGAAAGACCTCTACTCCCAAGGACCCTGGGGACAAACTTTGCAAGAAGCTGTGCAGCCAGCCGAACCCACACCAAGCCATGGCCCTGTCCTGCTGGGGTGCAGCCCAGATGGGCCCCTCTGCAGGCACCTGCATGCCCATGCTGCTCTGAACTTCTCCCCATATCTCAACACACCGCGTCCCCTCTTCCGCCTCCCCAGAGCCCTCGGGAACCTCCTTTCTAGGCCGTCACTCTGCTCTCCATCCGCAGCCCCTCCCTGGTCCTAGCCCTCTCTGAGGCCTGCTGCAGGTCCTCGAGTGCCTCATCTGTCTCGGGGCGGGGAGGTGAGAGCAGCTCCCTTGTCATCCACAGCATCCCGCTCGGGTCCTGACACTCCTCCTGCCCCTCCCACACCCATCTCGCCCAACAGGAGACCTGGCAGCTGCGGACTGAGTGTGTCTCCCGCATTCGCATCGGGAAACCGAATCACCCATGCGCTGGTATTAGGAGGTGGGGCCTTTGGACGGAGGTTATGTTTTGAGGTCGGAGCCCGTGACTGGGATTCGCGACGGTATAAAGGAGGCCCCAGCCTGCTCCCTCGCCCACGTGAGGGCAGAGAGAAGGCGCCACCGGGAACCAAGATGCAGGCTCCACCAGACACCTAACCTGTTAGCACCTCGATCTTGGACTTTCCAGACTCCAAAACTGTGAGAAATAATGTTCTGTCGTTGCTAAGCCACTCCGTCTACAGCATTTCGTCCATAGCAGCCCAAACAGAATAAGACCCTGGAGTGCCCGCCCCGACGCCCTCAGCCTCTGTGGCCCTTTTCTGGATGGAGGTCCCGGAGGACGGCGTCAGCCCCAGGTTCTCCGCAGCCAGCAGATGACAGAGGTGTCGGGAGCTCCTTCTGCCTGACAGAGCCAGGGCTGAGGCTCTGCACACAGGCCCGGGAGTAGCCCCTCCATCCTTGTGCTCTTCACTGCCCTTCCTCCCTTCTCTCCCTTCCCTGCCAGCCCTGCTCCTACCCTGTGCCTCCTGCAGCCATCCCCCAAATAAACCGCTTGCACCCAGGACCTTGTCTCGAGGTCCGCTTCTAGGGAACCCCCAGGAAGCCCCAGCTCCCGCCTTTTACGCGAGCTGTTACGGCTTGCTGCTCTCTCGCGCCCCCTGGTGGCGGCTTCGGACTGAACCCTCTGCTAGTCCTTTGCCCACCGCCGGCTTCCCCTTGGAACACGGCATTTCTGGGGACCACTAATCCCACTTCTCATCTGCAGGTCCTGGGCTGCTCACCTCCAGCGACCTCCCTCTCCATCCCACCTTGGCAACTCTTTCACTTGGCTACACCTTGGATCTTGCCATCCCTAGAACCACCGAAATTAAAATTCACACTTCGACTCTTACCGGAAGCCCCTTTCCTGCCCCCTTAGTCGCTTGGTTGCACCCACCTCGCTTTTCCTTCTGCTCACTGAGAGCTCAACTTCCTCAACTGCAGCAGGCCCTTCTTCTCCTGTGTTCTGGGACCTCCCAGTCTATCCCATCAGCCCCATTCCTGTCCATCACATCAACTTTCTTGCCTCACTTTTATGGCACGTACCCAGTGAGACCCCAACCACTAATCAATCCAACTGCTGCTACGTGGACCCAAGCCCACACCTGCTGACAACATCGTAACACCTAGTGGGCTGGAACCACCATGTTTGATGATGGTTGATGGTTGATGATTTCCAGCATCAACCTCAACCAGGCCCTTGACACAGCCCAGGGCTCCCTTTGTCATTCCCATTTGTCTTTGACAAAGTGGATCCTTTGTCATTGACCCACTTCCTTCAAATAGTTGGCCAGCTCATAGTGCTCCTCTCGGCTCAATCCTAAGACATCACCACCCACTCCTCCCCACCAACAGATAACAACCCCTGCTACTAAGCAGACAGTAACAGCCTTCAGAGGCAGACCTGTCAGCTCCCTGTTCCAACCCAGTCTACGTGCCTGGCTCAACACCCCCCACATCCCATGCATTTCACAAATATTTATTGCACACCTATTAGAAACCTGGCACTATGCCAGTCACTGTGGCTCCTGGAGCTCCATCTCCATGCCAGCTCCCTCCTGGAGGCCACATCACCACCCAGGTGGCCACAGGCACCTCCAGCTCCACAGACTCAAAGCGAACTATCTGTCCTCCCAACCTTGTCTCCATCTACCCCACGGCCAAAACCAGAAACTTGGGAGTCATCTTTGGCCTAACTCCCCCAATTTGCCAGGCCACCTACCCCCAAGTCTGGTAGATTATACTACCCAGATGGCCTCCCACCAACTCCCATCTCCATCATATCCCACCTGTGTTACATGTTCAGTCTCCCAACGTGATCCCCTCCAATCCATTCTCCTTGGGGCACTTGAAATGACTTTTCTAAAACAGAGGCATCTGGCAAGGAGATGGCCTTGAAGCGTCTCCAGAATCTCTTGAGTGGGAAGAGGGGTGTGCTGAAGCAGGAAGGAGGGAGAAATGATTTCCTGTCCATCTCAATTCAGGTACAGTCATGTCCCCAAATTCTAAGCCATAAAGCATGATTTTCCTGGAAGTCTTTCAAAGCATCTCTGCACATGGCCCACCGTCACCCTAAAACCTTATGAATAATTAGCTACTGAGTGTTGGGAAAGTATTTCTTGTGTGGCCACAGATGTGGCTATGATGCGATAGGGGTAAAAAAAAAAAAAGAGAGAGAGAGAAAGAAAAACGCGTATTTAGATGAAGGTAAACTTTAGTTCAAATCCTGGTTGTGCGATTCATTTGCTAAGCCTCAGACTCCCCAGTTTAAGGAAAATCCTCCTTCATGAGGTCAGATAAGATTATACATGAGAAATGCGTTGCACAAGGCCTGGCTTAGGCTCTAAATAATCAATAAAATATCATTCCCTCCATGCTTGCTCTGTGATGCTGTTAAAACAGTGTTGATTATATTTATAACCTATTTGACTGTTCTTCCATATGTTTTCTTATGGTTTTATTCATTTACAGGATCCTTCAATAAAACCAAAGGATAAAAATGTAAGCTGTTACTATGTTAAAGGAGTGGATAGTATACGTGTATATACACATATGATCATATGAATATACATCTGGCTCCTTGATATTTTTGAGATTCCAGATGTGACGCATATGCCTACACACACATACACACATACACAAAACATTTAACATATTTATATTCTAGTATCACAAGAAGGAATATGTCACCATATGGCACTAGGGAGTCAAATAATTGCCTACACCCATGTACCATGTTTCAGATGTGCCATCTGCTAAACAGTGGAAGTGTGTGCTGAAAATATGCATCGTTATATTTGCTTGACAAACTGAATGGCAAAAATGTCCCAGTTGGATGAGCAAGAATGTCAGTGGTATTTACAATGTAAAAGAAAGTCTGCATTTGCATGGGGTCCTAAGTTTTCTCCCATAACTCACCTGAACAGGCAGGAGGCTAGAACACTGGTCCAAAGATGGGCATGGGGCATGGTGGGACTGATCCCATGATGATTAAGTTTATGTGTCAACTTGGCTAGGCTATGGTACCCAACAGCTGTTTGGTCAAACACCAGTCTAGATGTTGCTGTGAGGGTGTGTTTGGATGAGATTAACATTGGACTCGATGGGCTTTGAGTAAAGCAGATTCCCCATCACACTGTGGGTGGACCTTGTCTCATCGGTTGATGGCCTTAAGAGAAAAGACTGAGGTCCCTGCATAAAAGGAGAAAATTCTCCCTCTGGACTGCCTTTGGATTCAAGCCTACAGGACTGCCCTGCAAACTTCAGACTTAACAGCCACACAGTTGCATACATCATTTATTTAAAACAGATCTCTCTCTCTCTCTCTCTCTCTCTCTCTTTCTCTCTCTCTCTCTCTTTCTTCTCCCGCTCCCCCTATTGATTCTGTTTCTCTGGAGACCCTGACTGACAGATCATCAGGCTTCAAATTTGGAACTTGAGATGCAGAAAAATGAAAGTCAGGGGGCCACCCCAACCAAGACATCAACAGGAACGGGCTGGGAGAGAAAGAGATCCTATTAAAGGAAACAATACCAGGGAAAATCAAGCCATTTTTCCCCTCCATGCAAATATTTATTTTATTGCAACAAACTAAAACAATACATGAGCAAGCAGAACAGTGATTCTCTCATTGGATCCATTCAGCAGGAATTGTCACAATAAGATCATTAGCCTTCTCCACCCTTTCTTTCAGATTCCCTCTGCTCTCTGAAGTTTGACAATCCTGGACTGGAAGAAATGGAGAGGTTTGGTACTGCTCAAGGGCAGTGAGGAGGAGCTGGAGGAAGGAGGGTGTAAGAGACAGACTAAAGGAGGGGCTTGGCTGGGGACAGAAGACCAGAGTCATTTTCCATAGGCTCTGAGATTCCAGCCCAGAAGGTAGTGGGGAGTCACTGGATGTTGGAGGCCAGGGAGTAACCAGATTCAAATGTGCATTTTTACCTACAATCAGCTCATGTAGGGAGAGTCCTGAAGTGGGGGACAGTGAGAAAACTGTTCATCTATTCAAGGATGATCAGTATCTGATGCAGACTTGTGACGGTGGGAATGAAAAAATGAAGTGTGGATGGGAGACCTGGTGAGGTAGGAGCATGAGGAAGCTGATTGGATATGAAGGGAAAGGGAAGAGAGAAGACAAAGATGACTGGGAGGTACCCAGCCTGCAGGAAAGCAGCATCACAACAGAAATGGGAGACCAACTGGAGGAATTGGTGTGGAAGGGCTGTGAAGGAAGAACAAAATGCAAGAATTACTTCAAGTTGAGACATACAGACTACTCTACATCTTCTAAATCTACAAGCACCCTGTGATCCAGGGAATCTGCTTCTAGGTACATACCGCAGGGAAGTCCCCACCCCGGTCCATCGGAAGATGTGAACCAGGATGTTCACCCAGCATTGTTTGTACCTGTGGGAAGCTGCAGGTGATTGAGAGACGGAGAACTAATGCAGTAAGGAACAGTCAGGAATACCATGAAGAAGTTAATGCAACCAACCAGGTGCATCGGGCGCAACAAGGGTAGGTCTTAAAGCTACAGTGTTGAGTGAAAAAGCGTCAGGAGCCAGGGGACATCCCCCATACACATCCATGTCAAATAAAAATGCCCTTCAGAGCTAGCAGGAAGGCAGGAAAGAAGGACACACATCAAACCTGTGAGGATGGCTGCTGAGGAGAAAGGAGAGTAAAAAAGAAGCAGGAACAAGAGAGAGGACGGCGCACTCCAGGGACAACAACAGGCAAGCCTCCGCGCCTGAATGGATTTCCCGCCCCCATCCACCGCACGCCCTGCCTTGGCCCTGGCTACATTTGCACCTGCCAAAATTCATTTTTATGGATTAGACTGCTAACTTTTTAAAGGATGTTTTTATAGGCAATTATGTTGTTTCTGCTTCCCTGCAGAATGTCTCTCGATAAACACAGTGTCCAACAGTCATTAAACCTTGTTGT
The DNA here is from genome assembly GCF_000001405.40 of Homo sapiens. Taxonomy (NCBI): domain Eukaryota; kingdom Metazoa; phylum Chordata; class Mammalia; order Primates; family Hominidae; genus Homo; species Homo sapiens. Next base: position 21,804,910 of record NC_000020.11, on the reverse strand, counting down.
TGCATTCACTTATGGGCCTGGGGTGGAGCCAAAAGTCCCCAAATAGCTGAAGAACATCCTTTTTTCTTTATAGACTCAGAAAACCAATCACAAAAAATATAGGCTAGGCACAGTGGCTCATGCCTATAATCCTAACACTTTGGGAGGCCAAAGCGGGAGGATCACTTGAGCCCAAGAGTTCGAGACCAGCCTGGGCAACATAGTGAAACCCCACCTCTACAAAAAATAAAAAATTAGCCATGTGTGGTGGTGGGCACCTGTAGTCCCAGCTACTCATGGGGCTGAAGTGGGAGGATTGCTTTAGCCTGGGAGATCAAGGCTGCAGTGACCTATGATCGCACCACTGAACTCCAGGCTAGGTGACAGAGTAAGATCATGTCTCAAAAAAAAAAAAAAAAAAAAGCCAAAATACTGTCCAAGACTTTTGTTTGAGCCAATTAGATAGAATCATGGCTGTGCTTCCATGCACATGTCCAGACTCTACCTTAAGCTCTCATCCTGGACTGTTCCTGAAAGTAGCAACAACATTTTTCTTGGAGAACTGAGTCATGGTGAAGAAGATGGGGAGAAACCCAAAAGATGAGCCTCAGTGTTGTTGGGTCTGCATTTGCGTGTGGATCTGTAACCTGGACATACAGTTAGCACCAAGATTTTTGGCAAACTGGCCTCGAATGTTGGGGAAGAGAATCTCCAGTCTCCTCCCTCCACAGAGAACACACACACACACACACGCATGCATGCACACACAGGCAAACACGCACATAATGCACACCCATGCATACAAGCACACGTACATGTATATGCATGCACAAGTGCATAAACATACGTAGTCATTCATGTGCACGTGCACTTACACATACACACACACATTCACATACACACACATGCACATACACACACACAATTTTATTTATCCATCCCAATTTCTATTCATTCTTTCAATGAATGACCTCAGGATTTGTCCTCAGAATCATGGAGTGGTTTTCTTGAGATACAAGTAATTACTCTTGCAGTTCACTCACAGAGCACTGTATTACCTGATATAGTAATCCGTTCATCATCAGTAACGTCTTGGAGTCTTCAAATAGGGTCTTGATCTTAGGGGAAGTTCATATCCTCTTATTAGAGTGCTTGCTTATTCCCATTATCCCCAGCAATTCAAAAGCCTCCTCCTGAACTTCTTCTCACTTCCTTCCCTCTATCTCTAAGGATATATTCACCAGGCTTCTGCTGCAATAATGTTGAGTAATGAACAACTTCCACATCGCATTTACCTATAAGAGCAAACATTTATTCCATATGCACAGGTCCCAGCCACACCTTAGCTGATCTCAGCTGAACTCCAGGCTTTGTTTTAGGTTCCAGACTGTTCCATGTGTCTTCATTCCAGGACACAGGTTGAAGGAGCAATGCCTACTCAGGGCATGATTTTCCCATGGAGAAAGCTGAAGCTCAAAAAGCCAAGCCAAATCACGCAAGCACATTTGAACCCTCTGGCTAGACACAACTCACGCCTCTGCTCTCGGCTCATTGGCCAAAGGAAGTTCCATGAGGGAGCTGATGTCAGAGGGTAGAGTGAGATGTACCTTCTGTCTGCTGTGGTGGGAGGCACTGCTAAGTCTCCAGGCAAAGGTAGAAAGGACAGCCATTACATGGAGGAAATGAGAATTTGAACCGTAATCTAATCTACCTCAAGGATAGATTGATATTGAAACTTACTGTTGCATTTACCCTGGGCTTGATTTTGAGGACATTATTTATTAAATCCTTTCTGTGAGGACCCACAGGAGAAATTTCTCTTAATCTCAGGACTAGGATAGTTATACTACTAGCAAAAGATTGTTTTCTTTCAGTAGACATCCTGCATCATGTCTCACCCTGTGACACTTCCCTTCACTATTTTATTTGCTGCTAGGAACTTCAGCCCACCTGCAGCATCCACGCATAACACAGGATTTCACCCTGGCTTCATCCTAGTGCTCCTACCTCCATTTTCCCTTTACATTCATTTATCACTTTCTTATCATTTAGTTTGATTTGGATTAATTTTGTAAGCCATTTCTTCTTATATAGTGAATTTATAGTCATTTATGCATCAACAAATATATTTTTAAATTATCTTTCTGTGACTATATAACACAGGCACATGCTTAGGAAACCTAAACAATACAAATGGAACAGAGAACAAATGACTTTCTCTCCCACCCTGCCTCCTGGTATCCAATTCCCAACCCCAGAGTTAGCCACTGTACCATATTCAAATTCTGTGCACATGAGGGAGTCTTTCTTTTTTTTCCCCAGAACAAAAGTTATAACTCCCAGGTTTTTTTAAATTAAACTTTCAGTTCTGGGATACATGTGCAGAACATGCAGGTTTGTTACATAGGTATACATGTGCCATGGTGGTTTGCTGCACCCATCAACCCATCATCTAGGTTTTAAGCCCCGCATGCTTTAGGTATTTGTCCTAATGTTCTCCCTCCCCTTGTCCCCAACCCCCTGATAGGCCCCGGTGTGTGATGTTCCCCTCCCTGTGTTCATGTGTTCTCACTGTTCAACTCCCACTTATGAGTGAGAACATGCTGTGTTTGGTTTTCTGTTCCTGTGTTAGTTTGCTGAAAATGATAGTTTCCAGCTGCATCCATGTCTCTGCAAGGGACATGAACTCATTCTTTTTTATGGCTGCATAGTATTCCATGGTATATATGTGCCACATTTTCTTTATCCAGTCTATCATTGATGGGCATTTGGATTGGTTCCAAGTCATGGCTAAAACACCAAAAGCAATTGCAACAAAAGCCAAAATTGAGAAATGAGATCTAATTAAACTAAAGAGCTTCTGCACAGCAAAAGAAACTATCATCAGAGCGAACAGGCAACCTACAGAATGGGAGTCTTTCTTATCTGTTAGAAGAATTCTGGTGGAATTTCTGGGACAAGGAAATCCATGCATTTCAAATTTGGAAAGATATTGCCCAATTGTTTTCCAAAAACCTTGTACTAGTTTACACTCCAATTAACACAACCTCACCAGCACTATGCATTCTCACTGGTTACCTCAGTGTATTTTCAAAGTTTTCATCTCTGTTCAGCTAATAAGTGATAATCTTTTAAAATCATTTACACTTCTCTTTGCGTTCATAAGCTTTGACCTTTTTATTGACTTAAAAGAGCTCTTTGTATATTAAGGAAATTAGTTCATAAAATAGCATATCATCATTGCACCTTCAAAGCATTTTGAAAAGAGATGAATAGATAAATGCATAGGTAAGTAAAATAAACAGAAAACGCGCATTTAAAACACATACTAGGAAATGAGCTAGTCTTTGGGCCTTATCAAGAAATCTTTATTTTCTCATACTTCAGTTATTTTTCTCACTCCTCACTTGAAACCCGTACATTTTGGTACCGTGGTCCCTCTCAGGCAAGACAGAGCTCCTTACTCAGCAAGTGGAAATGAGGTTAATGAACTCTCCAGGGGAGAAGCCTGCTGCTTTGACAGCTGTCTGGCTGTATATTAATACATTTCTGAGCATTCTGAGCATTTGTCAAATACTCTGGATAAAGATTGCATTTTCAAAAATCAGCGCCTAAGTAGACAGGCCCCATGTTAAGTCAATGGCATGTTTCCAGGTAATGTGAGTCTGTAATCAGTTTGCCCCTCTCCAGCAGGGCCAGCCTCAATGTGCGGGTAGGAGAAAGGAGAAAAGTTTTTTTAACGTGGGCATGCAAGTGCCAAACTCACATCTGCCTGCAATCTCGGCTCCCTCAGATCCAAGTGCTGCTGTGGTCACGGCCAATTCACTTGAAAGCCAATATGTTTCCAACCTCACATTAGTAAGAAAACAAAGTTTCTAGTCCTTTCCCAGTTTCAGTTAGGAGCGTTTTTGTTGTTTTGTTGTTATTCAAAAAAGAAAAGTTCTAACACAAATTTGGCTTATAGATCACAGCGGCTGTGACGGGTTTGTGTGTGAGCGAGTTCAGAAATCTTCATGCCACCTCTGTTTTTCCAAAAATCTAAATCATCCTTGATGCTTTAAAATAAAGCAATATCTTCAGGATTTAAAAAGAGCATTCTTGCAATGTTTCTGGTATTCTTAACCATTTGCATATAAGTTATGTTTGTTTAAAACAGTATGAAAGCATCTACAACTTCAAATATTTGAGTCCATTATTTATAGACTATTAACAGCATTAAACCACGTGCAAATCAATTGCAGTAGATTGAATTTTGGAGGGGACTTGTTTTTTGCTAAAAATTGAATGTTTCTGAAAAACCTGTGATAATGCCAAATAACTAAATCCTGGTTGCCACTTTCCAGCCATTCAGTTTACCTGACATTATGCCCTTATTTACTTACTTATACATACCTTGCTCAAGAAAAAAATTTAACAATAACATTGTAAAATGGTCATGTCCAGGATTCAAGGTTCTTGCCAATCCATCACCACATAGTTCCATTTGTCGACGGCCTACTGGCCTGGTGTCTGCGGGCGTCTGTTGATGTCCTCCTCTACCGGTACATTCCTCTCGACGTCCAGCTACTTGTGTCTCTGCCTGCTAATGTCTCAGGGTTTTTACAGGCACAGGATGGGGGCATGGTTGGCCAGAGCGGTCTTGGGAAATGCAACATTTGGACACAAAAACAGAAATCCCTGTCCTCACCTAGGTCCATGGGCACAAACCCAGGGATGGATTCCTAGCCAGGGACCATGCCCTTCCCTTCCCAGCACTTCCCTGCTCCCCTCCTATATCAAAATAAGGTTCTCAGATCACTTTCTAATTAATGTAATAACTTAATTTTTTTGTTGCTAGAACAATAAAATATTGCTTTACTAAATTTAAAGCTCAACAAATATCCCAGAACATTTCACAGTATATAAATAGAGTTCAGGCAATGTGATGAGAGGAAACACACTGCTTCATCCAGCACATCCTTCAGTGGACTGCAAATAATCTACTCTTCTGTCAGATGTGGTAGCTACTTGGTTCTAGTTGAGTCTCCCTTTCCACTTGCTCTTTTGTTCTAGTTTCAAAGACTTTTCTAGTCAAAGTCACGTTGCACTGTGGAATTTGGGTTAGAAAAGCAATGTGTCATACACTTCATTTAGTTTTTTATTCAATAGAAAAAGTGAAATTGCAATTACTACCTCCTCATCTCAAAGAAACATCAAGAAAATAAGGTCAAAAGTGTCTAAATTATTTTAGATAGTTACTAAACTATAAAAGAATTATTCTTCTTTACGATTCTGAAAAATCCAGTAAAATCATGTTTTGCAATGTCCTCAATATTTAAAGAATCAAATACTCGCTCATGAAATCTAAAATAAATATATACAGAGAAAGAAATGTATTCAAAGCCAAACTCTCCTTATATATCAATTATGTTTCAGCAATAGAATAGCAACATTTTTTCTCTAAACTACAATTTAAAATTAGATATCACCTATTAGAAATTCAATGGCACATGAAGTAAGTTCACAAAACTCCCCTAATAGTGGTTGGTTTTGAAACAAATTTAGGTAGTTAAAGTAGGAAATCTATTGTATGGTTAAGAAATGTATATCTGACACTGCTAATGCTCTGAACATCCAATGATTGGAACTTTAGAGTTGGAGGGGGCTTTCGGAGTCACCTGAAACAACCCTCTCTGTGGTGTTCCTGATGGTGAACCAGTCTGTATTTGAAATTTTCATGTTTAAAAAATAAAGAATTTAATGTTTGGCTCATAAAATTCTACATTCAGAAAAAAGACAGAACTCTGGTTACTACAGCAGTGACCCAGGTGTTGGATACCACATCGTAATGTCCTTGTCACCTGCTGGTCTTCCAGTGCCATCCTATAAGAAGGTGCTCACCCAGGACAAGGCCCCAAGCCCTCAAAGGAAACCCAATCAACAGTGGCCCAAGAGCCCCTCCCTCCTATCCCCAGAGCCCCCATTTCCTCTGCTTTGTCTCACATTTTCTGCTGCCCACCTGGCCCCAGGTTCATGTGTTTCTCCACACGGCCCTACAGCATCTGATCTTGGCAGTGTCCCTGTCACCAAGGTCACTGCACAAGTTCTGGTGTCCTGGGACCTCTGGAGCAAGGGTTGATGATTTCTCTTGCAACCCCCCACCTCTGGCCAGTGACACACTCCACCTGTCTGCCCTTCCACTGCGCCATTTGCTCAAGCCTGCATCTGGGACTCTTCCTAGAGTTCTCCCCATTCATCAACTCCCACCCACACCACACACACATACACACACACAGGCACACACACACAGAGACACACACACACGCAGCCACACACGCACACACAAACACACATAGGCACACACACAGGCACACACACATGGAGACATGCACACACACAGGCACACACACGCAGACACATACACACACACACACACACACACACACAGGCACACACACTGCCTCATTCAGCCCACAGGTTTTGATACTTCTAACTCCCAAATAGTCCCCAGCTCCCTCCTCTGGTATGGTTAAGAAATATATATCTGACACTGCTAATGCGCTGAGCATCCAATGATTGGAACTTTAGAGTTGGAGGGGGCTTTTGGAGTCATCTGGAACAACCCTCTCTGTGGCGTTCCTGATGTTCATCCTCATGGCGGCTGCCCCTGTCTCAGCCACTGCAATCTTAGCCCGTACTTTGCCTGAGTGTCTCTTGTGGACTCCTCACTTTTTGCCCTGCCTTCCCACCACCTGCTCTCCCTCCACAGCAGCCAGAGCCAAGTCCTTCCCTGCAGCCCTCCCTGGGCTCCCGCTCCCATTCCCACAGATCTTGAAGTATCAGCCCCTCACTGTGTCCTACAAAGCAGGCATGATCTGGCCCCTGCTGGCCTCTCAGACCCATGACTGTCCCTCTCCACCCATGTCCCTCGGTGGTCTCCCTCAGACCCTCACACTGCTACCTAGAGAGCTCCCATCCTCACTGACTTCAGGGAGGGAAAACAGAAACAAAATTGGCTGGTGTCTTAGCGCAGGCTGCCGTAACAAAATACCACAGACTGGAGGGCTTAAACAATGGACATTTATTGTTTGCTTTTTCCCAGTTCTGGAGACTGGAAGCCGAAGGTCAGGGTACCAGCATGGCCAGGTCCTGGTGAGAACCCTCTTCTTGGTTTGCAGATGGCTGCCTTCTCCCTATATCTTCACATGGCTGAGAGAGAGAGGGAGGGCCCCACCCACAGGACCCCACCCTCAGTGTTCCACACTCATACCCTCATCTAAACCTAATCACCCCGCAAAGGCCCTACCCCCTAACAATGTCACATTGGGAGTTCGGGCTTCTGCATATTAACTTGGTGGGGAGGGGCACAATTCAGTCCACAGTGGCTGGAAAATGCAGAGCTAGGGGAGTTTTTGCACTTTTTTTGGAGATGTGAACAAAATCTATATAAAACATTTGCAGGTACTTTATTGCTACTTTTCCCAGCTTTGCTCCCCTTCCACTCCTGAGGGTTCCCCTCCAAATGAAAGGCAGAGAATGCCAGACCTCTACTTCCCATCCAGAGTAAGAGCCAAAGTCTTCACAAGGCCTAACCTGATTGATAACTGATCTCACCTTCAGGCCCTCTCTGTCCTCAACTCGTCCCCAACACCCTGCTCAGCCCCACTTCAGGTACTGACCCTGACTCAGGCCTTAGGTTTTCTGATCTTTTGTGTTTTCTAATTGGGACCCTCCGTTACCAGACATCTGCATTGCCTCCTTAGGTCCTCCCTCCATTCCACAGGATCTTGTCTTAAAGGCATTTTATCTGAGGGTCTGCCCTGGGCACAACACCAAACTAAAACACCACTCCTGAACCTCTACACTCCCCTACCCTGCCTCGTTCCGATTCCTAAAATTTCTCTTTCCTGACACTGTGCATTTAGTTAGTAGTTTGTTTATTGCCTGTGTCTTCTCACTAAAAGGGAATGTATTAGTCCTTCTTCACACTGCTATAAAAAACTACCTAAGACTAGGTAATTTGTCAAGAAAAGAGGTTTAATTGACTCACAGTTCTGCATGGCTGGGGAGGTCTCAGGAAACTTACAATCATGGCAAAGGGGAAGCAAGGTGCGTCTTACATGGCGGCAGGAGAGAGAGACAGCCCACGCCAAAGGGGAAATGCCACACTTTTAAACCATCAGATCTTGTGAGACTCACTCACTATCACAAGAACAGCATGGCGGAAATCCACCCCCATGATCCAATCACCTCTCGTCAGGTCCCTCCCCTGACACATGGGGATTATAATTCGACTTGAGATTTGGGTGGGGACACAGAGCCAAACCATATCAGGGAAGCTCCGTGAGGGCCAGATTGTACTGGTTTTTTCACTGCTGGGTCCCCAGTGCTGGAGCATGGCAGGCTCTCGAGCAAGATTTATCAGGTGAGCAAATTTCATGAACAAACTGAAGAGCAGATTCAAGGAAATAGGAATTTGGGTCCACTTCTCTTTCCTCATTATTGGCAGGATTTTCAATTATTGGGGAGGTATCTGACTTGAAGTAAATTCTCTGTCAGGGAAGTTTCTCAAATTTCCCAGAAGCACTTGAGTCTACCTGAGTTCTCTTTGGTCATGGTTCCACTCAGTCAGTCTGCTCTGCACACACAACAGATGTCATTCCAATATCTGTCATACTTGATGCCCTCTGCTGGGCACCTGGGGCTGTGCATTCCTGGAGAGCTCTGCCAACCCTTGTTCTCTTGCTTGAGGAGTCAGGTCAGAACCCAAGAGAGAATGAGATTGTGACAGCAAGACATCATGAGGATGACGTGGGTTTGCTCTAGCCATATAATAACAAGTCATTTCAACATGTACTTGTATATATTTATTAACAAGGCTACATACTACCAATACTAGTGTTCTGAGATGCTCTTGGTAAAATCATTAGACCAAATGGCTTTGCACAGTCACCACTAAGATTCTGGTTTTGTTCTGCAATGACTCTCACTTTGACTAGACAGAATCAACACATCTCTATAAGCCCCAAATCACAGGCAGATCTGGGAGGTCAATGTGTAGCAAACAGCAGGTGCTCCTCTCCTACACCACTTCAGGGAATAGTGCCCACCTTCTCATCATCAGCACCAGTACACTTCAGCCAAAAGGACTTCCTGCACTATTTTCCTCCATGTGGCAGACCAGAAGAGCCTTTGAGAACAGCCCTCAAGCTCTGACTGACAGGAGTTGGGGTGTAAATACCCCAGCTCCCTCAGTCTGAGGCATGTCCCACACTATCTCCCAGGGTTTCCAGCTGGATGAAGCTCCAATGGCCCCAAGAGGTAAATGGATTGGTGCTGCACCATTATGGGCTGCCTTCTCTTTTGTCTCACTTCCCTGCACCCCTAACAGTGCTTCCTGAGATTGCCTCCCAATTAACTTTTCCTCTCTGCTTCTCAAGAAACCCAAACCAAGACAGAGTAATAGAAATATTGGAATGAGGAGGAAATGGAAAGGTCACCCAGTGCCATTCTACAAATGGGGAACTAAAACTCAAGAGATAATTGGTTCACCATGAATGCAATAAGTATTTGAGATTAGAATCCAGACTTCCAGATTCTTAGTCCAGAATTCTTTCCAGCATACCCTTATCTCCAGATACAACCTGGGCATGAGATAATCAAATGTCTACTTAGTATTTCTTTCTATTTATTTATTGTTTGTTTGTTTGTTTGTTTGTTGAGACATAGTCTCCCTCTGTCACCCAGACTGGAGTGCAGTGACACAACCACAGCTCACTGCAGCCTCCCAGGCTCAAGTTGTCCTCCTACCCCTGCTTCCTGAGAAGCTGAGACTACAGTGTGTTCCACCACGCCGGGCTAAATTTTTTTTATTTTGGTAGAGATGGGGTGCTTAGCATTTCATATCCTAGAATCTGTGACGCCCTGATTACAGTGTCATAACAAGTAAATGTTTTATGTTCACAGAAACATACTTTATTTGAAATAATTTCTATGCATTGACATATGTGAAATTCTTAAGGAAGTTGATTTCATCATTATAATAAATGGCAATTTCATACTTTTCAATATACTTCTTTTGAGATTTAGGGGTAAACTCAAAACCTGAGCATAAGTACACACAACAAAACAGGAACAGTTTTAAAAAGTGTAAGTGTATACCTAAGATAGCCCTCCCTCGGCCACATTTCCTAGAAAATCCAGTGTGAAAATATTCGAATTACAGCAAGAAATGGAATCTGGCTGGGATAGATGGATAGAAAATTGCATAAAGGAACATCCATGTGGAATAATGGTCAGACTTTGGAGGGGGAGTTAGGTTCAAGTCACTTGAGTAAACTATAGCAAATCATCCTCTATAGATTTCCAAATATCTTCACCTATTAAAATGGAGAAGCTTAGGCTAATGCCTTAATAGCACAGTTCTAAGTGTTTCAAATATTAACTCAGTTCAACTTCACAGCAACTCTTTGGGATAGGTACTAGTCTTACCACCATTTCACAGATGCATAAACAGAGGCACAGAAATGTTAAGTAGTTTGCCAAAGGTCACACAGTTAGAAAGCGACAGAGCTGGGATCTGAGCCCAGGCCCAGTTTGTGCACTTGGCCACTGCTCTTTACTGGGCTTCTGGGAGTGGCCTCAGCCTCCAAGGGAAACTCAGAAGCAAGAGTGCCTTGTAAACTATAAAGACACACCAAATGAATTACTAGAGCTGCTCAAAGCGCAAACCCACTAACTGATTTTACGGCAGTTTGAGTGCACAGGGGCTGGAGAAATTCATCATGTGGATCCCCGTCCATAAGCCTGGCCAGTCACCTCCTCAAACCCAGGTCTCTCCTCCCACCAGCAGCCTGAGAGCACCAAGTTCCTCAGCACTCTAGCCAGGAAGCCCAAAGGCTCCTTCAGCCCCTGAGGTAAGTGGTTTCTCCTCTCTGATTCCAGAATTCCTGCCTCTGGCAGCCATGTGCATCACAAAAATCATTTCAGAAGTCCAAACAGTAATATTGCTGCCACCAGAAATGAGCCGCCTAGAGAGAATTCTTTAGTGACCTGTCATCGATGAGAAGCCACTGCCAGCAGTCAGCCTGAGTGACCTCGTAGTGGTTGAAAATGCTTCCTTGGACTTCTAATTTATGGTTGGCTATATAGGTTCGAACTCCCCCTGCTAATGGCTTCCTTCTGTTTGTAGCATGCTTGGTGAGTTCAAAGAGTGATCATTGGGTGAAGAAAGTTAGAGACTTGGGACTGCTGTCTTGACTGGCACAGAGGTTAAATGGAAATTGGGACCTTAGAAAAGGTCAATGAAGTCTTAAAATAGTGGAGGGAAAGGGAAAGAATGTATTTTTGTGGGCAGTGAAATGATGCGATACTTGCCTTTCTTCTGATGTAATCTTGACACTAATTTTCCCATTTAATCCATGATCTCTTGATGTTCACTGCTCAAGAAGAGTTTGACAATAGTGTGGGTAATACGGAGGGCTTCCAAAAATAAAGCAGCAAATCATCTCAAGCACAATTCTATTGGGCTTTGCAATTAGGGCTACTTTTTGTTGCTGTGTTTGCATTTCTACTTTTAAAACATTAATGGGTTTTTTTTTTTTGTTTTTTGGTTTTGTTTTGTTTTGTTTATTCTCCAGTACCATTCCAATTGCTTCAGGGGATTAAATTCTTATAAGACACAATTTCTGCCCAAATGGAGGTAGCAAAGAACACATAAAATTTGAAAGAGGACATTGCTGAAGACAGAATTTCAGAGACATCACATTCTCCTGAAATGGGATGTTCCATTCTCCCTAAGTCATGTGGTGGGAAAAGCAAAGACGTTGGGGTCCAGTTGATCTGCACTGGAATCCTGACTCATCTGTCAGCTTGCTGTGGGGCTTTGTCAAGTTACTAGAACTCACTGAGCCTCAGTCTTCTCACCTGTAAAATGGGATCACCACGTACCTTTAAGAGGCATTTGGAAGCGCCAATTAAATGACTTATGTAAAATGTGCCTACCATGCCCTTCACTCTTTTGAAATTATTTCTTAATGTTCCATGACAGTTGTAGAGAAATAATCCACTAGGCTGAAGCTTCACAAGGACAGAAACTCTGTTTCTCTGTTTCCCAATGCCTGGCAGAGTAAGGGCTCAAAAAACGGGTCTGTCTTTACTGACCTCTCACTTCCACTCTCACAGGACGCTTGTTCCTTGGAGATGCTGAAGCAGTAGCTTCCCAACACTCCCAAAGCCACATGGATGACCCATGGCAGCTGGACCCCAGGTCACATGCCTCACCATCAGGTGTGGCATCCATGGCTGCTTCATCAAGTCAATGGCTGATTAATAACTGCCAGAAGCAGGGTTCATCAATAACTGTCATCTACTTCTCTTTATCAGTGTGTTCTGGGAGGAAATTGCTGTAAACAAATTTGTGAAGGAAAATCAAATAGCTTATATCAAATTCCAACTAAATTTACAACTAAATTCAGAATATCGTTGCAATATTGTTAGAGACAGAGAGAGAGAAGAAGAATAGCCCTTGACATGGAGTGAGAAAACCTGGCTTCTAGTCCATGCCATTTGGAATTGCAGCTTTAGAAAATCCTGTGTGCCCTATTATCTTGTAGCCAACAAAATATAGTAAATTTGCATGTCCTAAAAATACTTAGCTACTGCACTGCTTATACCTTGGGATATGGGGGTGGCACACAGAGCAATATCAAATTTCCTAAAAATGGAAATTTCCAAATTCACAAGCCTGGGCTGTACTTTAGGCTACTTGGATTGTAGTTCCTAATATACACTCTCAGCCATGGGCCACTGAGCTCCAGTGTATAATGCCACCCCAGTTGCCAAGAAAGTAAGACTGACCTTGGCCCTGCCAGGCTGACTTGCTTGAGTTACCCTGTGGGGTAAACTGTATTCTCTGCTTGCAACCCTTGCTTCCTTCCCACCCTTGCCATGAGTCACTGTGAATGGACTTCATTTTCTCCGTTGATATTGGGCTTGTCTATATATTGTGCTTTGGCCAATAAGATATGGGCAAAAATGACAGTGTGCCAATTCTGAGCCCAGGGCTTCAGAAACATCACATTTCTGCTCACCCTTATTTGGCTTCAGCAACAACCATGAGCTGACTACATCCTGGGTCATCAAGGGTCCCAGAATGACAGACAGATGGAGGAAGCCTGAACCCACTGGGAACTTGAAGCCAAGATCAGCTCTCTGACCTAGAGGCCCAAGATTTTTAAAGAATCAGTGATTGTTGTTTTATGTTGCTGAGATTTTTGATGGTGTTTATTACACAGCATTAAACACCTCCCAAAGCTAAGAATTACATGAATTTGCATGGTCTGTGATTTAGTGCCTCCTGTTTTACCTTCAGCTCCATCGCCAGCCTTATTGATTTATCTGACTTGATATTTACTAAGAACAGAAAGATTTCCCAGGGACACTGTCAGGATCTGAAAAGAGATTGTCCCATAGCTCTCATGTCTAAGAATCTCCTGTGAATAGACAACAGTTTGACCAACTCATAAATGAATGTGGGGGAAAAAGGGAACTGTCCCTGGTTATCGTCCAGTCTTGTTCAAGAGACCTGGATATTTCTCCATTGTGAACCCCACAGCTCCAGGATTTGAGACTAAAACATGTTTCATTTACACCCACAAGATTTCATGGGAAATGAAGACATCAGGCTTCTACCTTGTTTTCATAACTCTGTGTGAAACCCAAATCTTTCTAACAACTTTTGTATAAACTCTTGCAGTGATTGGATGCAAATCTAGACAATCAGGGCCAGAGAGAAATCTGGAAATGGTCCTGATGCCTCCTGCCCCTTCCGCTCTGCTGTGGACTCAAGTGTGGTTTCTGGAAAGCTGTTCTCTCACATGTGCCTCAAATGCCTCTTTGGTCAGAGCAGGAAGCACAAGGAAAGCTTTTGGGATTCGGATGGACAGACAGATAGCTTGGTATGTTGTTTCTTTGGGGTTGCCCTTAGCAACCCGATTAAGGAAATTGCTTGCAGGCAGTTTTCTGGAAGAACATGGCCCGGGGCAATAGAGGAGAAAGATTTTGAAAAGACCATCTTTGGAGCTTGAGGGGGTTTGGCAAGACCACGTCTCAGCAGGAGCCCCACTGCTTCTGCAAAACACTTGGAGAGCACACAATATTGTTGGCTCATATCGATGTTTATACAGTGCTGACTTCAGATATAAATACTTCCCCACTTTTCTAAATTATCCTATGTCATTTTATGAGATGCTAGTTGCCATTTTCAATCTTCTTCCAGCATTTAAAAGTGGGAGAAAAAAGGATATTATACTCTGCAGGCATAAAAAATGAGAACAGATAATATTTATTGAGCACTTACTAAGTACCCAACACTGCCTTGTGTTTTCGTATCTCATTTAACCCACACAAAAATCCTAGGAGATAGGTACTATTAGAAACTCTTTTTCCTATAAGAAAACTGGATTTAGACACATTAAATAACTTGGTTGAGTCTATAAGGCTGGAAATGGAATTGGTACTTTAAGGTCCCTGTCATCCTGACTTTAAGATTGGTTTCCTTAATAGCTACTTTGAGTTAGAAGAGTGTCCATGAATTGTAGAGTACTGGCCTTTAAATTCCATGTGTCATGAAATGAGCTCCTTAAAGTTAGATGAGATTAACATGAAATCAGCACAAGAGAGCGCTACCTTCTGCAAGTGTCAGTGATAGCCAATAATCACAACATCATTTAATTGATTCATCAATCAATTCATTAATAGGGAGCTGAGCACCCTTTGTGAGCATAAGTCTACAACTGTAGGCTTGTTCATGACAAGGGTGTCACAGCTCCATCCTGTAACTTACCATCTGATATTAAAAATGTATTAATAAATTTAAGTAATAAATTGTATGATGGTTATTTTTTAAGTTTCCTTAGCTGTTAAAAGAATATGGTGAAATATTTATAGTAGAAAGATATCTGAGATTTACTTCAACATAATATGGAGGAGTGACAAAGCTGGGTGCTAGGGATGTAGGAGTTCACAGGCTATACTCTCTATTTTTGTATATGTTTGAATATTTCTACAGTGACAAATTATTTTTAAAAAAACTTATCACCTAATGGGCAGGCCTAATAATTATTTGGAAATAAGTTGAATTGAGGGAAATAAGGTTAATACTTAAAAGATAGACCCAATTTACAAGGATAACTTTTTAAAAGACAGATCAATTCAGTTCATGATAATTCAAAGAAAAGAGGGAGAATGAGCCTAATTGGAGCCCAGAAATAGGCACTTTCAACACGAGGCTAGACAGGACGCATAAAACAGTGGTGTAGAGGAAAAGAGGAGGGGACCTCAGTGAACCCCACTGATTACCTCAGGGGTTCTTCCCACAAAAGGAAGCATTAAAGAAAGGATTTCACAATTGTGAAGTCTCGTGATCAGTGGAAAAGAGGAAGAGAAGAGCTGTCCAGGCTAAGGGAACCAACTACACACAGGTTCAGAGCATCCAAGTGCAGAGACCCCTTAGGAAATGAGCTTAAATCAATACAATAGGTTATAAGGACATGTGGAGGAAGCTAGTCGGACACCCAGAGGTTGACACTCTATCCTGCAGACAAGAGGGACCTGCAACAACCCATATTTCAGGAATGTAATGCTGGTTGCTGCATGAGATTGGTGAGAGGGGGAGATCCTAGAAATAGGCAGCCCAGGATGGTGAGAGGCCAGATCCTGACCCGGACTGCAGCAGGGATGGAAGGGAAATTGAAAGATATGCATCTGAGATTCTGGAATGATGACCTGGCCAATGGGATGCTCCCACAGAGAAGAAATACTGACCTGACTCTAATCATGACAGCATCTTCAGCTGTCTCCGCGTGACTCTCCCTGGAAGGAGGCAGCCTCCTGGTTGAAGGAGCTCTCTCCCAACCAGCCTCCTCCCCAGGTGCCTCATGGCCAGAAAACGCATGCTTAGGGCTTCAGGACCAAACTTTAAAACAGGCCTCCCATCATCAACCAAAAGTTGATTATGTTTCTGACCCTCTTGAATTGAGAACATTCTTGATCACCTCTTTTTCCTGATTAACAGTGGCCCTGGCTTGAAGGGAGCCTGTCCTGCCGCTAGAGCAGAATGAGGGGGTTCTAGGGTGAATCACGCAACTCTCCCAAGAAATTCAACCAGGGCCAGGTGCGGTGGCTCATGCCGGTAATCCCAGCACTTTGGGAGGCCAAGGCAGATGGATCACCTGAGGTCAGGAGTTCGAGACCAGCCTGGCCAACATGGTGAAACCCCGTCTCTACTAAAAATGCAAAGATTAGCTGGGCATGGTGGTGGGAGCCTGTAGTCCCAGCTACTAGGGAGGCTGAGGCAAGAGAATCACTTGAATCCGAGAGGCAGAGGTTGTAGCAATGAGCAGAGATCGCGCCACTGCACTCCAGCCTGGGCAACAAAGAGCAAAACTCCGTCTCAAAAAAAAAAAAAAAAGAAAAGAAAAGAAAAGAAAAGAAGAGAAATACAACCAGAACCCAACCATAGGAAACTCGACAGAATGGTTTGGGGGGTTCTTGTCTCCTCCTCACGGCACAGAGCCATGATTATGTGTGTTGGGTGTTTGGATATCCAGCTGCAGCCATGGAGACCAGCAGGGCTAGGTTAGGACAGGACAATGCCAGGATGACACCACATCCCCTGAAAGGAGGAGCTGGGAAGGGTCAGCAACTAGAGAAATACTGCACTCAAATTGTCTCACGTCCAGAAGAGGCAGCCAGTATCCCACGGGGAGCATGCAGCTGTCTCCAGTGCTGATATTCCGGGTGTCAGAGTGAGAACTCAAGGCGGGATGGAAGGGTGAACTTGGCCCTTGGTCACAGCCATTTGGAGTTTATGTGGCAGCAAATAGAAGCCAGTGGGAGGTGTAAAGCCCAGGTGTGGCAGCGAAGAAAGGGGCCAGGATAAAGATGTGAGGTGAAGGCCTGCTAAAAGGAACCATGTGAATTCCCAGGCAGTGAGACCCACAGGGTGGAAAGAGATGACAGGCTGCCAAGGCCTCTCCAGTTAGTGGTCACAGCAAAACCTGCACTAGAAAACTCGGTATCCAAAGGAAAATAAGTCATATATCAAAAATACCTGCATGCGTATGTTTATCGCAGCATAATTCACAATTGCAAAGATATGGAAACAACCTACTTGCCCATCAACAGATGAGTGGACAAAGAAAATGTGGTCTACATACACCATGGAATACTACTCAGCCATTAAAAAAATGAAATAATACCTGTTGCAGCATCTGGATGAAACTGAAGGACATTATTCAAAGAGTGAAGTAACTCAGGAATGGAAAACCAAATACCACGTTTTCACTAATAAGTGGGAGCTAAGCTATGGGTTCACAAAGGCATACAGGGTGGTATAATGGAGACTCAGAGGCGGAGGGTGAGGGATTAAAAAAAAAACTACATATTGGGTACAATGTACACTACTAAGTCAAAGGGTGCACTAAAACCTCAGACTTTACCGCTACAGCATTTATTCATGTAAACAAAATCCACCTGTACCCCAAAAGCTATTGAAATAATATATATATATATATATATATATATATAAAAAGAAAACTCAGTAGTCCAAAGTGACTTCAAATAGTTTGATTTTCATTTTCTAAACAGGAACTGTACCATTTAAATAAAGCACACAGCCTCAGTTTCCATTTTTTGCTTCCTCTCATCAGTGCTTTTATTCTCTAATTCATTGCATTGTTGTCTCTGTATCTGTTCTGGACTATCAGCAGTGTTTAGCTAAGGCTTACAGATGGTAAAATAAAAGGTGTTTTATAAGCATAAGGCATAGTCCATTCATCCTCTTACTTACCAAAACATAGATTATGACAGGAAACAGAGTAGGAAGAAAGCCTGCGTCACACTGAAAGGTTGCATTTCATTTTGGGTTGGAAGTGAATGTGCTGAGATTTTAGTTCTATTAGCAACAAAAAACACCCTGTAGAATGAAAAACATAATATTTTTTAAAATCATATTAATTAACTTCATTTTGTGTGTCAGTTAGTTCAGAAAAGATTTCATAGCCCTGACTATGGAAAGAAGTAAACCAGACAAGGGAATATTTTATGTACTATATCTGTTTCTCATAAACTGACATGTCACTAGTGCTGTCATCACCGATTGAGAGAATATTCTATTTGAATTCTCCCTTCCTACACCATATGGACTATCACTGTTCAATTCTAGAAATCTGTTTATAATTTAATCAGAGTACAGATTACATTGAGATGAGACCTGAAACTTCTTTAGTAACCATTGTCAACAAATGATTCTTGTGCTGATAGCTAGTGTACAAAACAGAACACCAACATCGCAGGATAAAAGTCTCAGAAATAATGTCATTTGGGCTTTCACTGTGAAAAAGGAGATTTTTTGAACTATGCCAGTCCTGTCTGCCTAGGTCACTATTCTAGGTCAACCTGTATCCTCTGATACAAGTAGATGGAATTTCTCTTGATCCATTTGTCTTCCGGAAAGAAACCCACTCTTCCAAATCCACCTTTAACGTGTTCTTCCCCTGTGACAGGAAGGGCTGAGCCCCCTCACTGCCTTCTTCCCTTTCAGACTTTGCTCTTTGGTACTATGTCCAGTGAAAATGAACTCTTGCTTACTGTCAGACGTATTTACTGCTTCCGTTTTACCCTTTGCCTTTTACCCTTTGCCTCTCCTTGTCCTCAGTTCTCAAGTAACAAACACACACAGACACACACATACACACTCGCATACACATGTGCAAGCATGATTCACACACATTCACATACTCAGGAGCACACGCACGTGCACACTGGCAGGTCCGTAAACAGTCCCATGAGAGGCCGACATTCATGCCTCTGAGACTCTGTGCTCTTCTGGGCTTCCTGTCTTGCTCCTTTTGCCGGTCTTGTCAACTTTCTATTTGTCCTCCTCACAATTCCATGCTGCCTGGACTCTGGCCAGAGGTTTCTATGAATCATAGACTCCCTAGGTTCTCCTCCGTTCACCTACTCACCTGTATCCCCCAAAAATGTGAGCTCAGGCTTTAGACATTGTTACATTCTACAAATATGGTTAAATATCACTGGGGACCCACTGAAATAATAGAAATAAAATATGATATAAAATGGAAATAACATATGTAAATTATATAAGTACATAATATCTAAACTTGCAGAGAGAAAATCTAATAAAAATAAATCATGACACTTTGGGAGGCCCAGGCGGGCAGATCACGAGGTCAGGAGATCGAGACCATCCTGGCTAACACGGAGAAACCCCATCTCTA
Organism: Homo sapiens; assembly: GCF_000001405.40. Taxonomy (NCBI): domain Eukaryota; kingdom Metazoa; phylum Chordata; class Mammalia; order Primates; family Hominidae; genus Homo; species Homo sapiens. The sequence goes on along the minus strand of NC_000020.11, from coordinate 21,785,651 downwards.
CTAAAAATACAAAAAAAATTAGCCGGGCGTGGTGGCAGGCACCTGTAGTCCCAGCTACTTGGGAGGCTGAGGCAGGAGAATGGCGTGAACCCGGGAGGTGGAGCTTGCAGTGAGCCGAGATTGCGCCACTACACTCTAGCCTGGGTGACAAAATGAGACTCTGTCTGAAAAAAAAAATAAAAATAAAAATCAATAAATCATGAAACTTTGGCTCAATCTAAATTCAATGAAGGAGAAAACAGAAGCATAGCAAAGAGTCAAATAGAAATTAAAAAGCAAGATGAGAATAGGCAAGCTCAAATGTATAAATAATTACAATACACCAGAATGAATGAAACTCACTAATGGAAGGGGGAGCTTATCAGCTTGAAATAAAACAAAAACATAAGCCAGCTCTACACTGTTTACAAGACACATAACTTAAGCTAAGGACATGGAAAGGTTGAACAAAAGATGCAAAAATAAATGCCAGGTAAATATTAATCAAAAACAAGCTGGGCAAACTATGTTATAATTAGACAAAATAGATTTGAAGACAAAAATCATTAAGAGGGATAGAGAGGGTGGTACATCATGATAAAACGGCCCTGTCTTCAAAAAGCTGTTAACAGTTCTAAACTTGAATGCACTTAATAAAGTAACCTCAAAATTAGTAAAGCAAAAATTGATTCAAAACCAAAATGAGACATTGACAAACTTATTATCATGGTAGGAAATTCCTAATTACTGCTCTCATTGATATGGCCAATGGACCAAAAAATATTAAGGATTTAACAATATCAACAAATTTAAAGTCATACGTCAATAAGGTGACCATATTTATGTAAAATTAGAATAAGAAGAGAAACAGAGAAGATAAATAGGGAAAAGAAGATGAAAATAAGAATTATCTAAAAATTTAAAACACTGAACCAAAGAGCTAAAACTCAAACTATAAATTATACACTATTAATAAGCCATGTAACATTTTATATCAAAGCATATCAGATAAAGATTAATCTGTACTCAAAGAAAAATTTACAGCACTCATGCATTTATCTAAAAACGAGAAAGACTAAAAATAAATTATCTAAACTTTTAGCTCAAGAAGCTAGAAGAAGATCAAAATAAGCATACAGGAAATTTATGAAATGAATGAATGAAGGTAAAAGAAGCTACTAAGATATGACACCAAAGAATTATAATTAATCTATTAAGCCAAAAGCTATTTTATTAAAAACTAATAAAATAGGCAAAGCCTTAGAAAATCTGACTAAGAAATTAGTAGAGAATAAACAAATTTAAGAATAAGAAAGAGAATTGTAGAGAAGACTTTTTTAATTGGTAAAATTAACTTTAAGAAAAAGCAGAAAGGCTGAGTAGATGATAAACTTTGGAAGAAACTGCAAAAGCATTCAAAGCTTTAGTCCTTCAATAAAAAAGAGAGGGAAAAAAGGACACTAGGCCCACACAGATTTAGGCATGAGATACTACTGAACATTAAAGAAACAGACCCTCTAATACAGGAATTGCTCAGGGGAACAGAAAAAGACAAAAAATTACTAATTCATTTCACTAGTTAAAAAAAACAAGAATATCCAAATCAGGGAAAGACAATTCCAGAAAACAAAATAGTAGGTGCTACTCTTTAGTGAATATGCACCCAAAAACCTTAGTATAATACTATCAAGTCAAAATCAACAATATATATTAAAAGAATCATATGTTATATCCAAATAAGGTTTATATTAAGAATACAAGACCCATTTGAAATTACAAAGATCTATTTATGTTAACAACTGTGTTAATATATTAAATTAGAAAAATTGTATGATAATCTCAATAGAGGTCAAAAATGATTTAATAAAGTTCAAAACAATACCTGGTTAAAAAAAAACATGTTTAGCAAACTAGACATCAAAAAGAATGTGCTAAATTCAATCTACTAGACGTTTCCAGCAAGTCTCATGCTTAATGGAGAGACATGTAAATGACAAGACCAAACTACTCTCACCATAACCATTCAATATCCTATTAGAAGTACTTGTCAACACAATAGAATAAGAAAAAGAAATAAGACACTGACAAAGGAAAGGAAAACTGTTATTTTCTGTACATGATATGATTATCTAGAAAATTCAAGATTAACTGGCAAATTTCTTTATTTACATGAGAATTGAGCAAAGTTGCAGAATATAAAGATCAACATACACAAATCATTTAAATTCCATTCAATCTACAAAGACAAAACCAACTATTAAATGGCTAGAAATAGAAATAAACAGGAGGAAAAAAGAAAATGAAAAAAAGGAAATATTCAAAACCTACAGGAAAAAAATTACAAAACTTTACTAATAGCCATAAAAGAAAGACTTGAAAAAGCAGAGACATGTACTGGAGTCTAACAAAGGCAGATTTACCATAAAGCTAAAGGAGCTTAAGCCTTGGGATTCCCACTTAGAGACAAAGCCCAAGTCTCAGTGGGCAGCTCCTATTTAGGGAGTCACAGGGACCTAAGCCCCTTTCACTTTGTGGCCCCCTGTATCAGTTAGCTATTTCTGCATAACAAATTACCCCCAAAACTTAGCAGCTTAAAACAATAGGCATTATCAGTTTCCATACATAAGAAATTTGGGAGTGGCTTGTCTGGGTGGTTCTGGCTTAGAGTCTCTTGCAAGGTGGCAGTCATCTGAAGATTGAACTGGGACTGGAGCATCCACTTCTAAGATGATCTCTCACATAAATGAGAATTTGTGCTGGCAGCTGGCAGGAGGTCTTAGTTCCCCACCACATGGACCTCTCCACAAGACTGCTTGAGTGTCCTTATGACATAGTGACTGGCTTCCACCAAAGAGAATGATGCAAGAGAGGTTACAGCAGAAGCCACATAGCTTTTATGACCTTGCCTTGGGAGTCACACACTGCCCTTTCTGCAATATCCTATTGGTGGCACACATCCATCGTACTCAGGACAGTAGAGAATTATATGGGGCATGAATACCAGGAGGCAAGGATCACTGGAGAACATCTTGAAATTTTGCTACCACACCCCCATCTTCAAAACATGGCACCCAAGTTTGCTGCAGAAATGGAAAAAAGCACGGAGGATTGCACAGGAAGTTTTCACGGGTCAGGCCCCAAAATGGCAAACATCACTCCTGCTCACACTCTTCTGGCTGGAATTCTGTCACATGACCATACCTAATCCTAAAAGAGGCTGTAGAATTATGTCTAGCTGGAAAAAGTGGGTTTGGAGATTAGCTAACAGTTACATAAATTCAATAATCATAACACTAACAATGAATAAAAGAGAGAAATTGGATACCTTATGCAACATCAAAGTGAGAGAGAGTTGCAGAAGCAATATTCAAGACCAGATCTGCTTGGATGCTGCCAAAGAGAGACGTGGCTGGTTAATCTGATAGGGATTTTACAATACAGTTGAATCATAAATATGTCAACTTCCAATCATAAGATAGATTAGAAAATACTAAGGGCTATAGTAGAAGATAAGGAAACCACTCTGCAGGCAGAGATGATGAGGGAAGGGGGCCTTCCAGGTAAAATACCTTTTGTCTTGGTCCGTAAGAGAAGCCTTCATGGAAGAGAAGACACTTGCTCTGCATCATGGAGCGTGCTGAAAATCGATTTAAATCAGAGCTAAAGGAGAGAAAATAGATTCCAGAATGAGAGAACAAGAGCGAATCAGGTGTTGTTTTGAACTTTCAGGCTTCCAGGGTGAACAAGGACACTGAAACCTGAAACCCTAGCCGTGAGAGGCCCCAGGTGATTGACACAGAAGGGCTGCAGGTGGGTAGCGAAAGTCCAGTTGAGTAGGTGAGCTGGGATGAAGCACGATGAGCCTTGAACGCCGTGCTAGCCCCGTACCCTGCCTCTGTCTGGGAGTTTACGGACGGGGTTTGTCTATAAATCACTCGCTCCGCCCTGTGATTCCCACATCACTTCCGCAGCAGTGGTAAGGGTGGCACAAGGGGACCTAGGGCTGGCCCGAGGGAGAGCAGCTGGGGTCTAACGGGCGGCAGAGGGAGATGGAAAGGAGACTGCAGCTAGGCAGCAGCAAAGCGTTAAAGAGGAGAGGCTGGATGCGAGCCTCCAAGGACACAGCCTCAGTGGGCTTCGGGGTCATGGGCGATGGCGACCCTCTCGGCTCCTCATCCGCACAAGCAAAGATCTGCAGCTGCACCTGTTCCCAGACTGTCATGGGCTCCGTGTTTTCCAGATACCTTTTGTCATCAGTCCCAGATTTTAAAGAGGGAGGTTTTGGAGTTTTGTGTTTTTTGTTTGTTTGCTTGCTTGCTTGCTTGTTTTTCAGAGGAAAGTGGGATGCAATTTCAGAGTTGAATTTATTCTTTCCCTCCCTCTAGTGAAAAGATGAACTAACAACTTATGTGCAATGCTTCTAATCTGCATAACCACAAGCTGGCAGCCATATGAGGTACATCACACATACTGTAGACTGACCTAGTAAAAATATTTACTAGTTGTTATTTTTATTCACAAAGATTGCAAAATATGTGGAATTCAACAGAAAAAAGGATACCCACTTCACAGATAAAAGAAGTGAGGTTTAGGTCAGCCTTATTTGGCTCCAGACCTCACAATTTAGTGACAGTGACAAATATAGATTTCAACACCAAAGTCTCCTCCAATCCAGCAGTTTCTGGTATCCTTTTTTCTGTTGAATTCCACATATTTTGCAATATTTGTGAATAAAAATAACAACTAGTAAATATTTTTACTAGGTCAGTCTACAGTATTGTGCGATGGTTAAGCAGACCACAGGCTCTGGAGTGAGACTACACAGCTCAGACCCCAGCCTTGGGTTCATCATCTGTAAAATGAGAATAATAACATGTACCTCATATGGCTGCTGTGATGATTAAATAAAATTGTGCTTGCAGTGCACTTAGTATGGGGCCTGGTACCTGGAGACCGCTAAGTACTTGTCATCCATTATCACTGTGGGCGTCATCTCCATCACCATCTTTATTATCACTGTGGTTTTGAAATTTATGGTACTTAGCTGGTACCATGCTAAGCCTCCTTCCACCACCACCACCATAGATTAACTCATTTAATTCTCACAACAGCCCTGTAAAAAAACTGACGCTCAGAGAAGCTCCATAGATTGCCGAAGTCACCACCTTGTGGGCAGCCCAGCTGGTATTCGAACCTGATCTAACCCAGAAGAAATCATGCTCCTCTGTTGCTTGTTGTTCACAGAGAATAATGACCTGAGGTAAAATCAATTCAGAAAGAAAAGCTTGATCCGTCATTACTTGCAGTCAATGTAGTTGTGCAGCACTGTAGGTATCATTTTTTAGAAAAGAAAATTAAACACTGTCCTCAAAGATCTTGCAGTTCAATAAGTATGTAAGTTGATTACACTACAAGACAGAACAAAACCACTCCTTTCACAGTGGCACCAAAAGTGCCGGGCAGGGATGCTGGGGGGTCTCGGAGGAGGCTGCATGATGAGTGTGGCATCTGAGCTAGACCCCAAAGGATAAGTGAGGCATTTAAGAGACACATTGGGGTAAAATCATTTAAGACTAAGTAAAGAGCTTAAGGAATAATAAATAAATAAAAAACAACTCTAGTCCTGGGGTTTGACATGTTTCAGATGTGAAGTCTGGTGTGGTTAGAAAAAGTGGCATGTATCCAACAAATACTAGTCCTTTACAAGACTAATAATAGCTGCTATTCTGTAAAGGGGAGAAACAGATTCCATGGTCACATAAGTTGGGAAACATTAAGTTAAACAAAATTAAACAGATTTCTTCATTTCAGGACTTCTCAAGAGTCTAGAATGTCCTAATGTACCACTTGAATATCCAAGAGTGAGGCAAAGGGAGCAGTGCTCTCCAGTTTCTTACCCTGAAACCCTTCTGCAGAGGAGCATCTCAAAGTATCCGCATTCTGTGGAACACACTTTGGAAAAGTGCTGGTCTCGAGCACATGGAGCATGGAGATAGAGGAACATGCAAGATAGGAAAAGAGGGAAGAGGGGAAAAAATGGAACGATGACAGGACAGCCTTGAATGCCAGAAAAAATGATTTAAACCTTTATTTGTAAGTAATGGAGGTTTTGGTGGTAGGGATGACATGGTCAGATTCACCATTCAGGAAGACTGCTCTGGTTGCAAAATGGAGGGATAAATGAAGGGGGAGAGTGCAAGGAGTCATGAGATGACTGAACAGGTGCGATGAGGGATGATGGGAACATGAAACCAGTGATGGGGAGGAGAAGCCTCATTCGGGAAGTATTCACAGGACAGAATGGAGCAGTTTTGGTGAGGAGTCAGATGTGGAAGATAGGAACAGCAAATAGCTTAGAAGTGCAGAGCTTGCTTTTAGCTAAAGGAAGTAATGCTGAAGATGGAAAATATTCAGTGTTTTGTGGTGGGGTGAAAAGGAGGATTATGGAGGGAAAATAATGAACTTGGTTCAGGACATGCTGAGTTTGAGGTCCACCAAGGGTGTCAGGTGCAGGAATTGTCACTTATTGTGAGGAGTGCTGTCAGCATCTCTTAGGTGTTTGTGTAGAGGTAGAACTAGACATGTTAGAGTCATCAGCTCATACATGGAGGGTAAAGAGAAGACAGAAGAAGATGAAGTGCCTTGCCAAGTATGCAGAGAAACAAGACTCTCCTGGCCAGTGTCCTGTGGGCTTAGACCTCTGCTCCAGGTTAGTAAAGTTTCACCCTTCGTCCACTCCGCTGCTGATCAGCGCCCAATTCTCTGCTCCTCTCTACCTTGTCTCTGCAGAAACATGCCTTGGAACTCAGTTCTCTCATCTGCTCTTGGGTGGTTCCTTCTGCAAATGGGCCAACCAGTAATAACCTACTCATCTGATCAGCAAAAGAGGCTTTACTCTTCAGGCTTAGCTCTCAAAGGAAGACCTAGCAAGTACAAAGATGAAGACCATCATCTTGATTTGGGCTCCCCCAGTGCAGACTATGAGACAAGGATTCATGTGCAGAGTCTAGTTGGGAGATATTCCCAGAAAGCACGGCTAGGGGAGTGAGGAAGTAAGGGAAGGGAAGGAATCCAGTAAAAGGTTGGGCAAAGGAGGAAGTTCCTTCTATGGTCAACTGGGCCCCAATCCCACTGGGGAACTATAAGGAACTACATGGAATACACCTGATGGTTCTCCCTCATGGTGGCAGGGTGTGGCTGTGTATTTACCCATCAGTTCCTATCTATCATCTACCAATGGCTACAGGCCATTGCTTCTACATTAACTCCCAAGAATTTACAACTTGCATGTGCCCAGGCCAACATGCTCCCAAGTCCAGGAAAAGCTCAGGAAGAATCTCAGGGTTCTAGTAGGAAGATGTTGGTACATAAGGTGATCAGTGCTAAACACCAAGGATGCACCAAGGTGGGGCAGCCACTAATAACCAAAGAAGCAGCTCCCTGTTTAACTGGAGACAGAGTCTTTGGTAAGGGAGAGGAAGAGGGCTTCTCTCCTGAGAAACTGACCAATACCATCCCCAAGGAGAAACTTGAGTCAAATGTGCTTATTTCATGCAGTTAGCAGTATATTTTAATGATCCTGAAAGTTCAGCAGTCACCACCAGCACCAAATTTCTCTTGGCTCTCCCTCATTTTCAATGTATAGGTCAAAGAACTCTCAGCCTCGCATGAAAGCATTATTGACCAAAATTGTTTCAAATGTCAAATACACATCCCAAAAATGAAAACCAATCAAGCCAAGGCTTAGAGAAAGTATGTATATGTCGGACTTACCCTATAAATTACTTCTACCTTTGATTAAATTCCTTTCTCTCTAACAAGTTTCTAGACTATCAATTATTATAATGGACAGGGCTGCTGGACTTCTAAAGGAGGCTTAGTAATTGCATTCAAATGTATTCTTTAGAAACATGGTCAGGACCTGGCATTTGAATGCCAGCCTGAAGTAGTCAAAGACACGAGGAGGAATGAACACAAAGAAATGGTTAGGCAGCTGGTCAACCAGCAATCATGATTCATGGCGGGGTATGTTTAATATTCAAATACACAACCTGGGCAAACATAATTTCCATGGAGGTGATGTTTACCAAATTGAGCACTGCACTTTTCTGAATTCTGGAAAATGAACATACAGCTGTAGAATTTTGCAGCTCACATATCTCAAGGACTTTTGGGCTATCATTCGCTTCAGTGAAATAAACGGCCATGCAAAGAATTTGCAGCCACAAGCCTAACAGAGAAGAAGAAAACCATCACTGTTAGTTTTTTTCTAAGTCACAAACTTAAGTGAAAATAAGTCAATGTTGCCTTTTCCCAATCTCAACAGGGTGCTGAAGTTTTTTGGCTGGGCTTCTGGTATTTACTGCTCTCAGAAAATTTGTCTCCAGAGTCATATTTTTACAACGACAGATTTTCCATAAAAAGCAAATTTTGGACATCAGCTTGTTCTAAGACAAAAAAAATTATTTGTAGAGCTAGCCCTAAGAAAAATAGAGCTGCCTTACCTATAAAATGATAATAATACCTGTTGTGAAGATTAAATGCAATAACCTTGCTGAGCCAGGGCCAGGTCCTTCACCTCCCCCAGGTCCACGAAGGAGCTGCACTGCCAAGTCTGAGGGATATCATTTCTCTGAGTCTGATAATTTCTAGATCAGTAAACAGTCAGGGCTTACTCAGGGAGTTTGAACCTCATGGGTGGCATAGAATTAGGGACTCACTACATGGACTAGATCTTGGGCAAGCAATGTGGGAGCTGGTGGAAAAGCCTAGAAAGGCCATGGCTTCTGCATCTGACAGGGGCCTGAAGTCATTGAGGTCAGCAGGAAGGGCTAGCTGGAAGAAAAGCTAGATGTGAAGAAGGAACCCACAGGGACAGACTGGAGCCCATTTCTGTTCTCACCACCATCGAACTTGATGACGCAGTTAACACTGAGAAGATAACGGGTGCATATGCCATAGAGCTGCACCCATGCAGCCCAGGACTTGGAAAAGCTGAAGGAAGAAGTGGATGGGAGCTGGGGGAACTGAGGGTCCAGCACAGCGCTGCCCACATCCTCCGGATGAGTGAGTGTTCACAAGTGTTGAGGCTTCCCTTCTGCCTTCCAGACCCACACAGCAAAAGACTAGAGCTACGCAGGGGAGGGAGCTCTGGGAAATGTAGTTCCACCAAAGCTAAGTTGACAGAGCAGAAAGCCATTACAACTTTCCTGAATAACGGATTACTGTGCCTGCTCCCAGAAAGCTGCTGGGAAGCAAGATAATGCATACAACAATATCCTATATATTTTGCCTCAACACACAAACTTGAGTTCCCCATTCTTTGTTACTATATAAATCTACCCAGAGACTTAAAACACACACAGCTATCCCTTGCTGAAAAACTTTAATTTATTCATGAAAACTTGTCCATAACTTAAAAGTCATTAACCTTCAATTTTTTCATAAATACTAATGGGCAGGGAATAGAATGTACTTCATTTCAACCTAAGTTTTAAAACATTTACAGATAGAAAAATGTATCTCTTGAACAACAAAAATAAATTGACATAAGCAATGAACAACAATATGAAAATTAAAATTAAGTTTATACATAAAATGTAAAGTAGTAAAAATTACTCCCTCTTTTCTTTTTTCTGCACATTTTCTTTACCAATTCTTCAACTTTGGGGGAATTAATGGTTATGTTGCACACAAATTGCACTTAATAAATGTGGTGCAGAAAAACATAGGGCAAAATAAAGGCTGAACATGAAAGTGCTTTAACATGTATGTGAATGGCACACATGTAGAAGAGACTCAACATGTGTAGAAGATGCTGCCACTTCACACCTCACTTGGTGTAAACACATGAAGGAAAATTTTGTGGGTTCACCCAAATAGGGCACACAGTTCAAATGTGTCCCATGAGATATTCTTTGACTAGTGACCTTGGCGTTGAGTAAATTGATGAGTGTGTCTTTCCCTGACACTGTAATATCAAAAAATTAATTCTTATATTTATTTAATGTATTTTGGAATAAGAAGCTTATTATACAAAAATAAGGTGATGAAATTTATATGGAACCCAGAAAGAACCCAAACAGCCAAAGCAATCCTATGCAAAAAGAACAAAGCTGAAGGCATCAAATTACCTGACCTCAAATTATACTGCAAGGCTATAGTGACCAAAACGCATGGTACTGGTATAAAAATAGACACATAGATCAGTGGAACAGAATAGAGAACACAGAAATAAATTCACATATCTACAGCCAACTGATCTTTGACAAAGTCGACAACAGCACACACTTGGGAAGGGACACCCTTTTCAATGACTGGTGCTGAGAAAATTGGATTGTCATATGCAGAAGAATGAAACCAGACCTCTGTCTCTCACCATAGGCAAAAACTAACTCAAGATGAATTAAAGACTTAAATGTAAGACCTGAAACTATAAAAATACTAGAAAGAAACCTAGGGAAATCATTTCTGGACATTGGTCTAGGCAAAGGATTCATGACTAATACCTCAGAAACAAATGCAACAAAACAAAAGTAGACAAATGGGACTTAATTAAACGAAGAAGCTTCACAGCAAAAGAAACAATCAACAGAGTGAACAAACAGCTTGCAGAGTGGGAGAAAATATTTGCAAACTATCCATCTGACAGGGGACTAATATGCAGAATTTACAAGGAACTCAAACACTCAAAAAAAAAAAAAAGAAAGCAAATAACCCCATTAAAAAGCGAGCAAAAGACATGCAGAGACATTTTTTGAAAGAAAATATACAAATGGCCAAGAAGCATATGAAAAAATGCTCAACATCACCAATCATCAGGGAAATGCAAATTAAAACCACAATGACATATCATCTTACACCAGTCAGAATGGTCATTATAAAGTCAAAAATAGGACGGGTGCAGTGGCTCACGCCTGTAATCCCAGAACTTTGGGAAGCTGAGGCAGGTGGATCACCTGAGGTCAGGAGTTCAAGACCAGCCTAGCCAACATGGTTAAACCCCGTCTCTACTAAAAATACAAAAAATTAGTTGGGTGTGGTGGCAGGCACCTGTAGACCCAGCTACTTGGGAGGCTGAGTCAGGAAAATCACTTGAACCTGGGATGTGGAGGTTGCAGTGAGCCAAAATTGCACCATTGCACTCCAGCCTGGGCAACAAGAGTGAAACTCCAGCTCAAAAAAAAAAAAAAAAAAAAAAAGTCAAAAATAGCAAATGTCAGCAAGGATGCAAAGAAAAGGTAATGCATACACACTGTTAGTGGGAACATAAGTTAGTGCAACCTCTATGGGAAACAGTATGGATATTTCTCAAAAGAACTACCATTCAATTCAGTAATCCCACTACTGGGTATCTACACAAAGAAAAAGAAATAATTATATCAAAATGATACCTGCACTCGTATGTTTATTGCAGCACTATTCACAATAGCAATGATATGGAATCAACCTAAGTGTCCATCAGTGGATGACTGATTAAAGAAATATATATCACGTTTTAGATATATAAAGAAAATGTTATATATTATGTGGTATATACATATATATATATATTACACTATTCAGCTGTAAAAAGAATGAAACCGTGTTTTTTGCAGCATTATGGAGGGAACTGGATGCCATTATCTTAAATGAAATAACTCAGAAACAGAAAGTCAAATACCACATGTTCTCACTTACAAGGCGGAGCTAAATAATGTGTACACATAGACATAGGCAGTGGAATAATGCACACTGCAGACTCAGAAGGTGGGAGGGTGGGGGTGTGAGTGGTGAGAAATTACTTAATAGGTACAATGTACACTACTTGAGTGGGGGGTACACTAACAGTCCAGACTTCACCACTATGCAGTACAGCCATGGAACAAAACTGTACTTGTACCTCTTAAACTTCTACAAATTTTTTAAAGGGGAAAAGTGGAAACAAAAGCTGGAAAGTGGTACAGTTTTTCAGAAGTCATGATGATGAATGTTTGACATCATTTGAGTCACTACGTCAGGGAAGTCTTACAGGTCCTTCACCTATGTGCCTCATCCAATTCTCAAAACCACTGTCAAAGTGAGATTTTCATTTTAAAAAATGAAGTATGATAAGTTCCTGAAACACTATTAACATTGCTAGAAATATCTTCTGTGTTCAGAAATTTGACTCCCAAAGCAAAAGAAATTGCGGAACATGACAAACCATGCTAACTGCCTATCCAATATTCATTCTTCTCCTTTCCTTACTAAGAGAAAGCCAATTTCGTTTGGGACAACAATGTGCCTGGTTAAAAATATTGAGCCTTCCAGACTTCCCTGCAGCTAAGAGTGGCCATGTGACTCAGTTCTGTCCAATTAGACATAAGCAGAAATGTACCAAATGGAGCTTCTGGGGAAGTATTTTTCTCCAGATAAGCAGTGTAGATTCAGCTGAATTTTTACCTTTGCTCTTTCCTCTTTTCCCCACCTGGAATGCAGTCTCAACGCCTGGAAACCCATCCTGTGATACTGAGAGCAAAAGTCTCCAACTTAGGGTGCCGAGCCTGAAGAGGGAGGCAACCTGGACATTTATAACATCAGGAGCCCTGCGCTGGCCCTCAGCCATCCACCACTCACCTTCTTGCTGTATGGGAAAGAATAGCTGCTGTCATTTAAGTTTTCTGTTCCATCCAGCTGAATTCATAATTATTATAGAAAATATATTATTTCAGTTTACAGCTTATATTTCCATACGTTACAAACAGGGCTTACTGTTTTAAAAAAGTAAACTGGCTCTGTGATAACATAAAACAGTAACTAGATTTATCAAAAAATATATATTTTAAGAAATATGCACAAAATAAGAAAGATTTAAATTAACAATTATTTCATTTTCATTGCCCACTAAATTTAGCCTACTAAAAAACTGTATTTCAGGTCAATGATGATAAAATAATGCTAATGTATCTCTGAATAGAATGGGTCATGGCCATGGGATCTACTTGTTCGTTTATTGATCTATTATTTGTTTATACCTAGAATCTTCACACACACATTTCATTAAAAATGTTTTTAATGAAAGATGAATGTACCACCTTGATTAAAATAGGGAGAAAAAATTAATAAAACATGTTTTTAGAAAGAAAACATAATCATAATTAAAAGCTAACTTAAGAATACTGAGTAGCCAGGCATGGTGTCTCACACCTGTAATCCCAGCACTTTGGGAGGCCTAGGAAGGCAGATGGCTTGAGTCCAGGAGTTCAAGGCCATCCTGGGCAACATGGTGAAACCCTGTCTCTACAAAAAATATAAAGATTAGCCAGGCATGATGGTGTGTGCCCGTAGTCCCAACTACTTGGGAGGCTAAGGCAGGAGGATCACCCAAGCACAGGAAGTGGAGGCTGCAGTGAGCTATGACTGTGCTATCGCACTTCGGCCTGGGCGATTGAGTGAGAGCCTATCTCAAAAATAAAAATAAGAAAAAAGAAGAAGAACGAGTACAGCTAAACATTACGTTTTGCTCTGAGCCTCCTGTAAGTCAAAGCAAAGAAACAAACATATTGTGTGACAGTACCCTTGTCAACTACCAGAAGGAAATGTGCCAGTTTATCAAAAAACACAGTCTGTTTACAAAAAGAATCTAAGATAAATTTATTATATAAATATTTAAATAAGGTACCTCCAATTCTCCAATGATATAACAGTAGTTTGCATTTGCACAGCACTTTACAATTGGCAAAGCATTTTTATTTTATCCTATGGCAACCCAATAAAGTAGGCAAAGCAGTTATTACAATGATCCTTTTACAGATGAAGGAACTGAGGCTCTAAGGCTGATACTATTAGCATAGCTCCGCTAGACAGATCAGAAACTGAGGCTTACAAAGGTTAATAGAAAATGTGTCTGGGCAACTGAAGAGATAGTAATGTTGGTTACTGAAATGAAGAAGGCTTGGGATGAAAGGAATACCATGGATGGATAAAATGCTTAGTCTATGTTAAGCTGGAGTTTCCTAAAAGACATGTTAAGGGGGAGATTCATGCATGAGTCTGGTGTTCAGGGGAGAAGCTCAGACTGGAAAAATTAATTAGGAATCATAAAGTATACACAATGTTTAACATTATGGATCTGTTGACATCATCAGCATATGAAAAAGTACATGTGAAGGCCAAGGACTGAGACATGCCAACATCTAGCAGGAAACGGGGTGGAGGAGAGGTGAAGGCAACAGAAAAAAACCAGGTAAGCACATTGTGATGGCATTTCAAAAAGGAGAAAGTGGTCACCAAAGTCAAATACTGCTGAGATGTCAGGTAAGATTTGGAGATTGGCTTTGCCAAGACCAGGCCACCGGTGGTCTTGATGAGAGACAATGCAGTGATGGGGATGACAGCCCTACTGGAAAACACAAAGAAGGGAATAAATCAAAGAAGGGAGACAGCACCCATGAAGATCTCTGGACATGTGTTACAAACAGGAGCAGGAAAGTAGGTGATAGCTGATTGTGGACTTCAAGTCAGGAAATAGGCAGAGAAAGCAACCAAGGCAAACTCTGAAGGCGCACAGGAAGGATGAAACTTACCAGCTTCTCTTTCCAACTCAGAGCCTGAGGTCACACTTTGTGTTTTCATAAATCTCATGTTGCATAGATTTCTTTTACCAGCCACAGCAAGAAGAGTATGCAAAGGATATTTCTATCTGTCCAAAGTCTAAATAAGAGATATTCTAGCAATTCAATCAATACATTCCTATAGTGCCCCTCTTTTATTTTTTATGCCTCTATGTGGCTTTTTTACTTCCAAACGTTGCCTCCTGGTCCCCACCTCATCTCCATGCCCTCACAGCTCTCAGAATAGTTGGACAAAACCTAAGCATACCTTTATGACTCAGGGCCCAGGGCCCAGGGCCCAGGCCCCTGCAGGGGAAGGCAGGAGGTAATGGGAAAGGGGAGATGACATTTAAAAGTTATATCGTGCAACAAAAGCAACAAAATGACAAATGGGATCTAATTAAACAGAGCCTCTGCACAACAAAAGAAACTATCATCAGAGTGAACAGATGACATACGGGATGGGAGAAAATTTTTGCAGTCTATCCATCTGACAAAGGTCTAATATCCAGAATCTACAAGGAAATTAAACAAATTTACAAGAAAAAAACAAACAACCCCATTTAAAAGTGGGCCAAGGACATGAATAAACACTTTTCAAAAGAAAACATTCATGCAGCCAACAAATATATGAACAAAAGCTCAACATCACTGATCATTAGAGAAATGCAAATCAAAACCATAATGAGATACCATCTCATGCCAGTCAAAATGACTATTATTAAAAGGTCACAAAACAACAGATACTGGCGAGGTGTGGAGAAAATAGAATGCTTTTACACTGTTGGTGGGAGTGTGAATTAGTTCAACCATTGTGGAAGACAGTGTGGTGATTCCTCAAAGACCCAGAGGCAGAAATACCATTTGACCCAGCAATCCCATTACTGGGTATATACCCAAAGAAATATAAATCATTCTATTATAAAGATACATGCACACTATGTTCATTGCAGCACTATTCACAATAGCAAGGACATGGAATCAACCTAAATGCCCATCAGTGAAAGACCGGATAGAGAAAATACTATGCAGCCATAAAAAGGAATGAGATCATGTCCTTTGCAGGGACATGGACGGATTTGGAAGCCATTATCCTCAGCAAACTAACACAGGAAGAGAAAGTCAAACACCGCATGTTCTTACTTACAAGTGGAAGCTGAATGATGAGAATACATTGGCACGTGGGGGAGAACCACAAACTAGGGACTTTTGAAAGGAGTGGAGGTGGGGGAAGGAAGAGCACCAGGAAGAATAGCTAATGGCCACTGGGCTTAATACCTAGGTGATAGGATGATCCGTGCGGCAAACCACCATGGCACACGTTTACTTATGTAACAAGCCTGCAGATCCTGCACATGTACTCATGAACTTAAAATAAAAGTTGGAAAAAAATAAAATAATAAAAATAATAAATAAATAAATTTTTAAAAAGTTGTATCACGGCTAGGCCCAGTGGCTCACACAAGTAATCCCATCACTTTGTGAGGCCAAGGAAGGAGGATCACTTGAGACCAGGAGTTCCAAGACCAGCCTGGGCAACAAAGCAAGAACCCCATCTCTACAAAAGTAAAATAAAATACTCAGCCGGGCGTGGTGGCCCACACTTGTAGTCCCGACTACTTGGACTTGGGAGGCTGAGGTGGGAGAATAGCTTGAGCCCAGGAGATAGAGGTTCTAGTTGCTGTGATTATGCCACTACAACCTGGGCAACAGAGGGAGATCCTGTCTCAAAAACAAAGACAAAAAAGGTTGTATTGTGTTCCTAGTGCTAAACCAGGACTCCCTGATCTCAAACCCACTTCTCCTTGCACCTCACTAATAGGACTTCTCAGCACCATTTACAGAATAAAGGCCAATTTACCTGCAAAGGAATTCAAATCATTGGTACCATTACAGTGAAACCTGGACAAACAGAAATACGAGACCCCAAATCAAGCATGTGCTTTTACACCCCCTGCCCAATGTTAGACAACAGAAGCTCAGAGGTGGCTATGCCTTGTCCAAGGAAGAAAGATGCCAGGATTCCAGGGCCAGCTAGACAAATGGGAAACTGAGGAGACAAACATTTTGCTCCCAAAATATAAAACTGCTGCACAGTTTCATTTTTATTGTTTATTTATAAAACTACTTATTGAATCTACAGCTTAACAAATTTGCACAAACTGAACACACCCATGGAACCAGACCCTAGATCAAGAGACAGACCCTTCCAATTCCATTTTCAAAGAGTTAACTGCATTCTATTTGAGATCCAGAATTCTGATGAGGCTGAAATTGTGCGATGGTTAAATTTTGTTCTTTGGAAATATTTATACTGTTCTTATTTTTATTATCTAGTACACATTTAATCAGATGATCTTAAGTTATTCTGGATAGTTTTACAGTAATGGTGCAAAAGAACTCTAAGAAGTCAAAATTAATTTCTGAGGCTTGTGAATCAAAATAAAATCCCCACATTCTCTGGATAGATGGATACACATACGATGGGGCAAGGACAGTACCATGTTGGTAGCAGGACTTAAAGAGTGGGTATAACAGTTTCCTGTAGAAATCTTTCATCTTTGCTATGTGTTTGACAGTTTTCATAATAAAATTCTTGATTGCTTACAGTGATAATATTCGAGTTTTAGTCTCTCCCTTGGAAAAAAAATCTAATTGGGTTAAAGCTGATTTTTTAATGATCAGCTTAGTTTTAAACAAACAGATTTAATAATATTGTATCTGAATACTTTTTAAAATGTAAATTATTATCATTACTAACAAAATGCAATGCCTATTAAGCATCTTTTCCAGATCCTATCCCTCTGCCAGCCTTTCACTGTCTCCACCAAGGGACTTTAAAATGAAGTCCTTTAGCTCAAGCATCAAAGGCCAACCTAGAATATCACAGCACACCTGTATTGTGCAGATTCCTTCCATTTAGGCTCATCAAAAGCTCATTTGAGGCGTGATTGCACTGACCCTGTTCAGCCAGTGGTCGGAAGGTCACATTCCTGTGGCCAGGGAGCCTTGATCAGTAGATAAGGCAGTCAGCAGCAGCCAGTTCAGCCCTTCCAAGAGCAAATCTCCTACGTGGTTCTGCCTCCATGACTAGCGCTCTCTGTGACAAAGGAAATCCAGAGCAAGTATATCTACAGGCACGACAGGAAAGCGGAAAAATGCTCTGTGTGGTAGTGTGACTCTAATCCTACACTTCTTACAAATGTCTGGGACAAAGGTGCAGCAGGGCAAACACGCATTTGAGGGCTGTTCACGCAAGCGCAGCTCCGGCGGGACGAGGGCCAGAAGGGGGCGCCGCTGTGCGCGGAGCTGGGTCGGAGGCGTCAGCGCTTTCTCCCGGGTGCGGCCTCTCCGAGGGACACCCATTAATCACATCAAATGAAGAAAATGAGTTGCTTTCTTACAGGCATTAAAAGTAAAAAGCACAAAAAGTGTGCAACATGCAGCAGTCATGCTAGCTGAGCACGGCCTGGACACACACCTGAAACAGCCACAAGCCCCCAACTCTTCTTCCAAGATAACTGTCCACAAAGCCAGGAGGCGTGCAGCCGAATGACCGCCAACTCCAGGCTCCTCGTGAACATCAAACAAGGAGGTAATACTGGCAGCCACCGATTATCGAGTATTGATTGCGTGCTCAGTATTTGCAAACGTTTCCTCGTTTATTTCTTACCACAAACCTTCCCAGAGCTGCTAACCCATTTTACAGATGATGACACTGAGGTCTGAGTGAAGACAAGATTTCAAATCAGTGAGTGGAGAAACCAGATTTCAAACCCAGCTTGGCTTAACTCCAAAACTTATATCTCTTTCAGAGATATGCTAGACTGTCCAGGGTTCAGTATAACTCACTCCCTATAACTTCCTCCTCCCAAAGCAAAACCTGAATAAGGTAAGGGGGTTCAGAGTTAAAAACAAAAATCTCACAGCATCCAGTTCAGCTTGGACAAAATGCTGTTTCAAAGTTAATTTTGTTCCTTTTCTGCCAGAACAAGTTTCGAAATTAATTTTTCCCATTCCATCAAATATCAGTTATTTGCTTACCACCTTGACTGTTCAGCTAGTATTTAATTAAAACATGCCATTAAATCTAGTTGCTTTCTTACTTAAATAAATATATTTTAAATGGAAACTCGACATCACTACCATAAGTAGAAAACCAATATTACCATAAATAGAAGGTGACTTTCATAGCTGATACATAACTTTGAAAGGTGATATAAAAATATCTACTAATGCTCCAGCTAAAGTCATTCTATACATTCTATAAGAGCCAGGCATGGTGGTACACACCTATGGTCCCAGCTACTTGGGAGACTGGGGTGGGAGGACCACTCGAGCCCAGAATTCAAGGCTGCAGTAAGCTATGATTGTGCCATTGCACTCCAGCTTGGGCAGCAAAATGAGACCTTATCTCTTAAAAATAAACACATAAATAAAATAATTCTACAAGAATGCACAGAAAATTAATACTACAGAAATAATACCTCACCGACCAATAGAAAACCCCCTAAATGTGGTAGGAAGGAAGCTTAAGGCAAGGAATTTTTTTTTTGTAGTAAAGCAGATTCTAGTTTATTAGGTCTGAGATGGGGTCCACTGCATTTCTAACAGGGTCTTGGAAGATGCTGATGCTGCTAGTCCAAGGGCCACACTTTGAAGTAGAGAGACATAAGATGGATCCAATGGCCTCTCCAGGTTCCTCCGGGTCTAATGGTTTTGAGATTTCGTAGCATATACAAAAGGATACAAAACAAACAAAATCTCCATATGCAATCAATTCTAATTTGTCTCCACTTTGCATAGCAAATAGAAGTCACATTTTAATGATCACATATATCCAAAACCATAAATATTATGAAAACATTCATTCATTTAGGAAATACAATTCCATTTCCTGCCTTGATGGGGTTGGGAGAGGAAATATCTTCATTGAATTTTTCTAAAAGAATCATACTTTTGACCAATGTTGGCAAGAAAGTAACTTTTTCTTTTGGGGACTGTGAGCTCTCTGTTGTCTTACTGAAAAAAAAAAAAAAAACTGCTGCTGATTCTACTGTCAAGCTAGTGACTTATTTGTGCTTTACCTGAGGAACCAATTAAGGCAAGGAACTTTTTTACCTGTTGCCCAAGAGAATGATCATTTGAACAGGTAACTAGTGCACACACCAACAAAAACAGTACACCTCTACTTGGTCTTAGGAGACCTGGGCCTCTATGACAACACTGGTCCACGGGACAATGGATTGTACCATACCTGATTCCAAACAAACCAGGAGCCTCAACTTCTTGGTGCAGCCAGTTCCAGGGAAAGCAGGGAAGTTTGGGCTCTGCCAACCCCCAACACCCCCTGTCATGGCCCCACCAGCCTCTCACCCTCCTTCACTACCTGTGCCACCCCAGTTCTTCATTCAGTCCCCAGAAAGCCTTGAGCACAGTTAGCTGTCACCTAATTGCTGACAAGGTGTGGATGCTAAGACTTAAGCCTGATACTATGCAGCAGCAGATGCACTTAAGAAGCAGGGCTGGGAGCCCTCAATGCCCTCCAGACCCCAAGGAACTGCATTTCTAATGCTGGACATTCATGCACTTTGACAAGTAAGAAATGAGATATTTAAACCAATGGGGCCTCAGATCATGCCATATAGACAAGCACCTTTTAATGACATGAACTTTACACCTTACATATAACCACATATTATCTTTTCCTTAAAAGCTTTAAAAGTCAAGCTGAATTAACCACAAAGAAATTCTCTTCCTGATGAATTAATGGCATTTGCAGCAAGCTGGATGAGATTGGAGACTATTAATCTAAGTGAAGTAACTCAGGAATGGAAAACCAAACATCGTATGCTCTCACTCATATGTGGGAGCTAAGCTATGAGGATGCAAAGGCATAAGAATAACACAATGGACTTTGAGGACTCAGGGGGAAATGGTGGGAAGTGGGTAAGGGATAAAAGACTACAAACTGGGTGCAGTGTATAATGCTCAGGTGACGGGTGCACCAAAATCTCACAAATCACCACCAAAGAACTTTCTCATGTAACCAAACACCATCTGTTCCCCAATAACTTATGGAAATTAAAAAATGTAATAAAAAAAATTCTCTTCCTGGCTATTACAGGAAAAATACAAGAGAATGTCCCATATTTTAGAGACCATAAAACATGCAGTGGGTAATCCACAGCCTAAGTTTGTTGAGGTAGAAAAAGTAGTGTGTATGTGTGTGTATTGTGTGTGTGTGTTCTTTGCACTATTTCCTGACTAGAGGTAGCACTGTGTTGATACCTCTATTTTACCATTTCTCACATAAGAAGTCTCTCGTTTTGAGCTTGGGAGAGATCAGAATCATTTCTTATCTGGATCACTAGCGTAATGGCCTGATCATCATATTTAATAAATAAATGAATGAGTGAATAAATCTGCTATATTTTTTGGAACCCATTCTCACATGAATTCAGTGCTTTTTCACTCATTTTATTTCTACCTGTGAATCCTAAAATCAAGACATTTGACGGAGCAAGTTTTGAATCACTTTCCTTTGAACTTGTAAGCAAAGTTATATTTAGCTTCTCAAAAAAGGGCCAACGACAACTTTGGCCAGGAATCAACTGACCAGGTTGAGGTCCTGACCCTGTCATTTATGAGCTGTAGGTCCCTGGACTTCTCAGCCTCTGTGTTTGAGCTTTCATCTATAGCGTGGGTGGGCTTTTTAGAAATAAACTCTACAATGATGGGGAGTACTGGAAACAGTCCGAAATCCCATGGGTAGAGAGGTAGGAGGTTATTGGTGTGTCGGGAACTCTATGGGAAGAGCAACAAGTGAGTGCCACAATTCCCCTTCTCCTGGACTACAATGGGACTGAATGCCCACGGTAGTCACTCATTAGCAAGGCCTATCCCATGTGCTGCAACATTCCATGAAGCCTGAAGACCAAGGCTCCCTCAGGGCACTGCACAGAGCACATGCCATTGAATGCAGTCAGTGAATGAATTAATGAATTAATGAAAATTACTAGGCTTATTTTGCCCAAAGTGACACCATAAAGGCAATAATTCTATTCATTATCTATTGCTATGTAACAAATTTCCCCCAACTTAGTGGCTTAAAACAACAAACGTCTTACAAAGTTTCTGAGGGTCAAGAATCCAGGAGTGGCTTAATTGGGTTGTTCTGGACCAAGATATGTCATGAGGCTGCAGCCAAGCTCTCAGCCACAGCCACAGCCATCTGACAGCGCAACCTGGGCTGGAGGATCTGCCTCCAGGAGGGCTGCCTCACATGGCTGTTGTCAGAAGACCTCCATTCCTTGATGACTGTTAGCAGAAAGACTCAGGTTTTCAATCCATGGGCCTCTCCATAGGGCTATCATTGTATCCACAAGACAGGGCACCTGGCGTCCTCCAGAGCAAGTGACCCAAGAGAGAGCAAGAAGGAAGCCACAGTGCTTTTCATCACTTAGTCTTGAAAATCACCCACCATCATCCTCACATGACTTTGTTCTTTAGAAGCAGCTCACCAAATCCAATCCAGTCTACACCTAAGGGAGAGGAATCCAGTCCCATCTTTTGAAGAGGGTATCAAAGGGTTTGTGGATATATTTTAAGCCACTATAATGACCATGTTTTCCTCCAACCCCCTCTAAGCCTATGACATAAAAGACATCATTCTCAGCCTACATTTAGATCCCCCAGCCCCGTCATTCTGGATGGATCCCCTAGCCCACTCTTGCACATGCCCAGTTGATCTGCTTGGTGGTCCTCATGCATGCACAGTGCTTTCCCATATTTCAGCCTTTCTTATCAATGTTCCTTTGAACAGGAATATTCTACAGACATTTGGGCATAGTTGAACCCTATCCATTCATCAAACTGAGCCTAAACTTTTCCATGGTGCCTTCCCCAAGGCTCCACTGAAATCCTGAAACCCTTTGTATTTTCCAGGGCACTAGTCATTTTCTTCCTCCAAATTGTACTAATGCCCATGACTTAACTTTCCCAATTAGACTGTAAGCTTTGTGCGGAAGGCCCAGGCATATCACGGTATGTTCAAGAGCACTCTCCTGCATAATCAACTCTTTACTGGCAACTGGATCAAGCATCAGAAAATGTTTTCTGTAAAGGGCCAGATAGCAAATATTTTAGGCTTTGCAGGCCATTTGGTCTCTGTCACAGCTACTCAACTATGTCATGTAGTATGAAAGCCGCCATAGACAAACTATAAACACATGCATGTGGCTGGGTTCCAATCAAATCTTATTCACCAAAACAAGCAGCAGGCTGGATTTGGCACAGGGGCCATGGTTTGCCAACTGCTGAACTAAAACATCTCCTAGGTATCATCAAGCTCCAGAATTCCAGGCTTTCAATATAGGAGTTGCTGTATTTTAACATGAATTTTTTCTCTGTTTTAAAGTGTGTTTATTTTCTACTATTTCTACAATCTAGGCGCTCTTCCTTTATAAGAGGAAAAAAAGTAATACAACTTCACAAGTCTTTCTCTTTCATAGTTTTAGGAATTATTTTAAGGAAAAAGGGGCTGGATGAGATACATACATGTAATAATATAGTAGTCACTTTCTTAGCATTCTTCTAATATGAAAGTCTCTTAATTCTTCCATATTTTCCTACCTCACGTGAAAAGCAATTCATTTTATTCCCAGTTACAATGAAACTACAGTTCTATCATGGCTAAACTGTAATTTCCATTCAAAGCTGAGCTTTAGATTGTTCTAAAAGACAGTCTTAATATCATTTTTGACTCATATATTTAAATTATTACCTTCTTTTATAAGAAGAGATATGAATGAAAAGTAATAGCTGAAGAATCAGTGACCCACAATCATAAACATGAATACTAATATGATTATTTAAAGAATGAAGTTGAGCTTAATAAGCATATAATACAAAAATAAATAATTGTCAAGTTTCATGGAGACAGCAAGAGGATGTGAAAGGATATAAGCTTGAAAAGTCAAGTTATAGGTTTTCATGAGGAAATAACATTGCTGAACAAAGCCACTCTTAAAAAGCTCAACTCACCTTTACAACAGTGGATATGAAGCTTGAAAACCACCCGGGTGACAAATGAAACTTGCTATTTTCAGGGAAACGTCAGGATACAAATTATATTCTTGTTTGAATAGAGCTAAAAGAGAGGCCACTATGTGTTTTTGACAGTGACAAATGGCTTCCAAAGAAAACAGGGCAGAGTCTGTCCGGTCCTGCCTTTGGGGAACCTGTTTTGCCAGCTGTCAGTCCTTCAGCCCCCTTTCTGTCTCAAGTGATCATGGGAAATGATCATGAATTACTTATTGTCTTAAAATTTACATAGACCTCTTCATTTCAACTATTTCATATCACCTGAAACTCTCTATACAAGGGGAGAAGAATGTTACCTGAAATGTAACAAATGAATAAATGTTCAAGGCATTCAAACCAGTTTTGACTGTCTTCTCTGTCTTTTCTGACCACAATTCTTTCCTGATTACCAGTGGAACTTTGAGGAAAGCATATTTAAGCTTCAGTATCTCAATGTTACAATAAAATAAAGAAAAAGATACTTATATCATAAGTGAGAAGATACATACTTCAGTCAATTCTGTGATAATGAACTGCAAAGGGTTCCAATTTGGTGGTTGTCTTATTATTTTGCTGAGTGAGTTAGAGCTGGAAATTAATGGAAGAATCTAAATAGAGTTTTTTTTAACACAATACAAAGATTCCTATTTTAATTATGGGATATTGTTACTAGTGAAGCTTACTAAAATGCTGTATAAGAATATGATTGTCTTATCAAGAAGAGAATGAATAAATTATGGGATGGGGGGCTGTTTTGTTTTTTTGTTTGTTAGTTTTGAGATAGAGTCTCACTGTCACCAGGCTGGAGTGCAGTGGCGCGATCTTGGCTCACTGCAACCTCCGCCTCCGGAGCTCAAGCAATTCCCCTGACTCAGCCTCCTGAGTAGCTGGGACTACAGGCACACACCACCATGACCGGCTAATTTTTTTTTTTTTTTTTTTTTTTTTTTTTTGTATTTTAGCAGAGATGGGGTTTCACCGTGTTGGCCAGGATGGTCTCAATCTCCTGACCTTGTGATCTTCCTGCCTCGGCCTCCCAACGTGCTGGAATTACAGGCATAAGCCACCACACCTGGCCCAAATTATGGTTTATTTTTATAATATAATACTACCCCACAATAAAAAAGGACAAACTACTAGTACCCATAAAACATGAGTGGATCTCACAGACATAATG
The DNA here is from genome assembly GCF_000001405.40 of Homo sapiens. Classification (NCBI taxonomy): domain Eukaryota; kingdom Metazoa; phylum Chordata; class Mammalia; order Primates; family Hominidae; genus Homo; species Homo sapiens. The sequence continues at coordinate 21,760,838 of NC_000020.11, read as the reverse complement.
ATAAGCAAAAGAAGCCAGACACAGGCGAGTGCTCACAGTATGAGTCCATTTACATGAAGGTGAAGAACAAGCAAACCAATATATACTGATAAAAGTCAAAACAGTGGTTCATTCTGGGTAGAGATGAGGTGTAGACTGGGAAGGGGCATGAGAAAGCCTTATTAGATTCTTGATCCCAATGGTAGTTACATGGATCTATACCTTCATAAAAATTCAGCAAGCTGTACTTAAGACTATTGTACTATGTGCACTTTCCTGTATCTATGCTAACCTTTAATTTTAAAAAGCCCTAAAATGAAAATTTAAGAGACTGTAAATAACTCTAAAACAAGAAATGGTGATCATAGAAAAGATCCAACAGGAAACCAGCAAATCAAAAATGGGAAGTAAAAGTTTCAGAATATAAGTGGATAACAGAGGAATACAGAATGAAAACAGAGAGGAAAGAAGGAGGAGGAGAAGCAAGAAAGAAAAGCATTAATTTTGAATGAAAGAAAAGAAATGAATTAACTATATGCTTAACCTGTGTAGAATCTTACATGATCTACAGTTTCTTCAAACCTATCTTCTAGTCTCCTATTTTCTCATCAGGAAGAGTAAATTTAATAACAACTAGAACTTTGAAAGAAAAAAGTGAGGTAGAGGAAAGTGGCCTATAATTACATATCAAAATATACTAAAGAAGTAAGAAAACTCAATGTGCAAAGGTGCAAGAGTACACAGACAAACTAAGTGAATAAACTAGACAACCCTGAAAAAAACACCACTTAATTTATTATAAAAGAACTGTCCAACATGAGCAAGGATGGAGAAAATGTTCAATAAGCTAGGTTAATACAACTGGTTAAATCCTGCATATCCAGCCTAGTGTGGAATCAGATCCATTCCCCTGAGAGGCCAAAAAGCCCGGAGGTCTTAGGAGATCTGATTACTAGGAAAGATAAGCATTTGCAGAAAAGCTGAAATAAATATTGATTATGAACACTGAGTTAACCAAGAACATATTCGAAGAAGTACAAATGTTTACATTTGTAGTGTGGTCAGAAGCTCACAGAAATATCCACAGGTCTTCCTCTCTCAGGGGTTCAGAGGCTACCCAAGAGACATATGCCTGTTACTGTCCATTTTCTATTTTGTGGCAAAATCATCCACTTATCAGTCCCATTTCGTACAGATGATGTCCCCTGGGGGTCCTCCATAACCATGCATAAAAGCATGGTCTCTTGTGTGCCCAATTTTTAGCTTTTGATAGTGGTACCCTGGTGAGATAAAGATGAGTAGAAGTAGGAGGACCTGCTCATATATTAGACTTCATAACCTTCATTCTTACAGGCTCTGATGCAATTTAGAAAACAACACACCCTAAAGAAATAATCTAAGACCTAGACAAATCCACACATTCAATAATATGTATTGCAAAGTGATTTATAAAAATAGTAAGATTTGGAAACAACCTACATGTCCACCTAAAAGGAACTAATTAAACCGTAATATGTCCATATCATGGAACATCATACAACCAGTAAAAGTTATTTATTTGAAGAATGCATGGAGCACTTGACAGGGATTATGTCATCTGATTCTCATAAAATTATATGAGGTGTATCTTATTATCATTCACACTTTACCGAGAAGGAAACAGGCTCAGCATGGCTGTTTTCAGGAGGCCTCAGTCCCTAAACACATGAACCTCCACATGAGGTGCTTGAGCCTCCTCACAACATGGCAGCTGGCTTCCCCCTCCCCCAAGCAAGTTGTCCTTCTGAAGCACAGTGGGAGCCACAGTGTCTTTTATGACCTCATCTCAGAAGTCACACACTGTCATGTCCACAGTGTCCTGTTGCTAACATGGATCAGCTCTAATCAGTGTGGGAAGGGACTACCAAAGAGAGTGAGCAGCAGGAAGGGAGGGTCAGCGGGTCCCACTTGGAGGGTGGCCCCAAAAGGGGTCTTCAGGAAGGACAAGCTGCCCCCAAGAGTTTCCTTGGGTTTCGCTGGGGAATCAAAGACCAAACCATAGAGGCTGTTACTGAATACTTCTGCCAGATTTTTGGTTGCTGCATCTCTCCAAGCTATTCTAGGAGTCATTTCTTGAGGGACTAAGGAACACATTCTCTCCTTGCTTGGTGATGTTGAGGACTTGGCAGGGTTGATTACCTAACAGGCATGTATGTGCATGTGTCAGGCCTGCAGGCACAACGGCAAGCTGGTCATCTCCTCAGATGAAGCCAACCCCTAAAAAGAAGCAGTTCTTCAGTCCACCGCCCCTTTTCCTCCTTAGGCTGTCAATTCCTCGCCTTTTCCACATACACCTTTCCCACTCCACATGGGTACATTTTCTAGGAAAAGTGTTCATACTTTCATTCAGAAAATAGAACAGAATGCTTGTTACCTACTAAGCCTCCCTGACAGTTACTGGGGACTCAAATGCTGAGCGTACTCAGGAGAACAGGCAGCAAGTGACAATGTGGACAGCGTTCCAAATCTCTTAGCCTCACCAGTGTAGAATTCACAGAACCACCTGCAATTCAAGTTAGAGGATTGCAGTCCGGTTTTCTGACAGTAAGTAATTTCCATCACTATGAGTGCAGACATGTGCCCTGGGATAAGATGAGTGATGTTCCAAGTCACCACCCTGAATGAGGACCAGGATTGACAAAGATGGACTTTACCTTCCTCAAGTTCTTCTTCCAAAAACCCAGAGATCTCACTTGCCCAGAGCTCAGGCATCAGAACTGATGGAAAAACAAGGTAATCTTATGACATACCAGCAGGTCAGCACCCGAGCCCCCAAGAGCAACTGTTTTGAGGTCTCCTGTAATATAATTTTGGTTGAGGAGTAACCTGAAGCCCTATACATTTTGTAACCAAGACCGGAAAAAGGGTATGAGGAATGTGTGAAAAATATCTATCTTATTTCTATTTCAGGTAGCACCTTTCTCCGAGAAGATCAGGGGGCTGTTTGAACACAAGTCAACATTATATATGGTTCTTCTGTTCATGCCTGTTTGCTTGGTTGCTCAATTCTGCTTCCGCTGTGGGTTCTTTGTTCCCTTTCTTTTGCTTATTGCTGCTCATGGTTGTAATGGTGTTCTGTTATATCCATTTACCTAAAGCACTTGAGACTTATGTTTTAGGAATCTAGGAGACCAAGAAGACATGCTTAAAAATTGAATTTTTTATGATTGCAACATGGTGATTCACCCTTTTATATATTACAAGTTCAATAAATGCATCAGCACACTGAGAAATATTTACAGCATGTCCTGCTTTTGTCAAAGTGCCAGTGAATGCACATCCAGCCGCTGGGAGCAAAAATGTCTGAAGAAACAGAGACAGATGTTCTTCTTCCTGTAGGATTAGGTTCAAGGTGATTCTCCCCAGAGAATGGCACATAACCCTGTGGGGGTCAAAGTGACAGCTTTAATAGGAGATTTGGCAGTATTTAGATGGAAAGATGTAGATACTAGATTTGAGGCTGCAGTGGGGCTCTCTAAGCCTGACTCTGAAAGAGGGAAACCTACACCTCTTTGGCTCCCTGTCCAGTTCCATGTAGATTCACTGGATCTCCCTGCAGAGGGCTTCAGAAGAGTGAAAGGAGGAGAAAGACTTGCCCTGGGTTGCCTGTGGCACGGGAGCCAGGGGATCCAGGGATGTTTTACTCACTCATGAGAGAGACAGCACAAAAGAGGAGAAACTGGGCCCTGGGGTTTGTGTTTGAAGCCCCATAAGCCCACCCTTGGGCAGCACAGACCTTAAAAACAGTAGGTCCTTACCAATTATATTAGCTCCTTCCTTGGGGGAAGAGGAAGAAGAAGAGACACTAAAAGTCCCCATTCCAATGTTGCTTCCCCCTGAAAAGCGGAGAGAGAACATGAGAAGGGAAATACAACTGACCCTTGAATAATCTGGGTCTGAACTCTGTGGGTCCACTTATACATGGATTTTCTACTTGTGCCACCCCTGAGAAGCAAGACCAACTCCTCCCCTTCCTCCTCCTCCTCAGCCTATTCAACGTGAAAACAACAAGGATGAAGGCCTTTATGATGATCCACTTCCACTTAATGAAGAGTAAATATATTTTATCTTCCTTATGATTTTCTTAGTAATATTCTTTTCTCTAGCTTATTTTATTGTAAGAATACAGTATATAATACATATAACATAGACATATGGGTAAATTGTTTATGTTATCAAGAAGGCTTCTGGTCAACAGTAGCCTATTAGTAGTTAAGTTTTGGGGAAGTCAAAAGTTATAAGCAGATTTTGGCGGCAGATGATGTTGGGGGTGGTACTGGTACCCCCTAACCTCCGTGTTACTCAAAAGTCAACTGCAAGTCTGCCCATTTCACATGCATTTGTCAGAAGAGGGGGGTCAGTGAAAAAACTTTTTCATTTGTAAACATAACTAATATTCTTCATTCTTGAGGGTGGAGGGCAAAGGAATTGGGGCAAGAATTTAATCCCAGCCTCCATTTTGACAATCACAGTTACCCAGCTACCATGACTTTGCAGGGAGAAATGAGAGAAACAATCAAGACCATGTCATCCCAGTCCTCTGGAGCCACCAAGCAGTAATCTTATGATTTTTCCTCTTCCACAAAGTATCAAATTGGCTTCTCCCTCATCGTACTCAGTGCCTCCCCATCCACACCCAACCCTGAGGCAGCATTCTCCATGTGGCTCCAATTCAGGTCAAACTTCATCCCACACTGGTGATTTCTGTTGGCTTGGTCCCTGGAGGAGGGAACATGGTAACAGTAGTTTTGTGGCTTGCACTATTTATGTTATGAATAAAGCACTTACATGCCTAATCCCTTTTAGGCCTAGCCAATTGTCTTTCCGGCCTAAGGTACCATTTGTATCACTGCCTATATGTCCCAAAAGCAATAAAAATCCTTGCCCAGTTTTCTGAGTCAACTGACTACTGGGACCAATACTGCCTGAACAGCTTTCCTACTGTATATACTTCTTTGGATCTGTCGCAGACACAGTCATATGTGTGGCTGCAAGTCGTAGGTTGTGTTTGTGTATGGGTGATGAATGTGACTGTCTCCATTGGAAGTGTGGCTACAACCAAGCTCAGGATAAGAACACCAGCTAGATGAACAAACAAGCTAAGCTGACCCCTGTTGGCAAAACAGCCACCACTCAGCTCACTCCTTCCCTCCCTTTTCTTTTTTTTTTTTTTTTTTTCAGCTAAAAGAGCAGAAGAGGTGATTTATTATATGGTTGTTACACTCGGCCACAAATAAACACAGAAATAGTCCAGAGTGTCACAGGTCCAGGGCAGAGGACCAACATGGGCATTTTGTTTATGAGCAAGGTGGGTCTCAGAGGTGATCGGCGATCAGAGGGCGATGAAGTTCTAGATCCATTGAGACAAGCTCTAGACAGTAGCATGCAGTCCCACAACTTGTACCAGCATCCCCAGCGTCTGGCATTCCATGTTTCTGCTCCTGTGGCCTCCACGGTGCAACAAGCTAGCGGTTTACTTGGACCTCTGCCTCATCTTTCTTCTTTTGCGCTTCAGCCTGCGCATTCGCTTCTTCCTCCACTTGGCTCTCATGGCGCAGAGGTTTCCAAAAAAATGGCGCTAAGGCTGAGAGCCCTTCCCTCCCTTTTTGACATGTCCAAACACTTTCACTGTTGCCTTCACTGAGGTGCCAATCCTTAGATGTGGTTGATACATGGAGCTGGGGAGTCTTAAATAGGACTTAATTTCAAAAGACCTGGTTCAAATTCTGGTTCTGCACTTAATAGGCATGTCACCTTGAGTAAATCATTCTTAGTCTCAGATTTATAATCTACAAGACGAGAATTTATTCTTTAAAAACAGGGGGTGGGGGTAGAGACAGAGTCTTGCTCTGTCACCCAGGCTGGAATGCAGTGGCACAATCAAAGCTCACTGCAGCCTCCAACTCCTGGGCTCAAGCAGCCCTCCTACCTCAGCCTACTTAGTAGCTGGGACCACAGGCATTTGCCCCTATAGCAGGCTAATTTCTTTATTTTTATTTCCTTGTAGAGATGTGGGTTTCACCATGTTGCCCAGGCTGGTCTTGAACTACTGGCCTCAAGTGATCCTCCCACCTCGGCCTCCCAAAGTGCTAGGATTACAGGTGTGAGCCACTGTGCCCAGCCTTCTAAAAGTTGTATGTGTGAATCCAGCTATGGTGGGCTAGCTTAGAATAAACCAAACCCTCTATCCAGAACAACTAGAAAACTTGGAAAACAAATCATGAAAAATACCTGTTTGGAGATATCAGAGTACTGTGAAGGCTGCTTGAATCTGAAGAGCCATGATCCAAGACAGAAGAAAAAAGTCCAGCCTTTCTCCTTGAGAGACTGACGGATTCCAAAGCAGCAGCCTAGGGACCTAGAAACTGAAGGGGAGGAGAACAGAGAAGGAAGTGACAGCTCCAAAAGTCTGAGATATACTAGGCATAGCTTTAAGCAGTCTCACAAAGCTGGGTGGGAGGAACAAAAATTAGAACTCAGAGCCTGACAAAGAAGAGAAGCTCTGGAAAACACCACAGGCTTTGGGTTGGGACTGTCACAGGGATGAACCCTAGGAGTAAGGCAAACTAGAATTAAACAAGCCATGACAAACACTGGCTCACCTCCTGGGGCTAGACTGATGATCTCTCCTTCCATCACAGCCTGCCTGAAGCACAAGTAAACCCTATCTACAGGAAGATACGACTGTCCAGAACCTCCAATTATCACTAAAATATATTATATATAATATCTGGTATTTAATAAAAAATACCAGGCATACCAGGAGATAAGACAAAATGACAATATAGAAGTTTAAAGAACAGTCTTATAGAATGTAATGTAAATGTAAATGTAATCCAGTTAACAGAGTTGTCAGAAAAGAACTTTAAAACAGCTGTGATAAACATGTTCTAGAAAATAGAAGACAAAAAATTTCAGCATATAAATCCAATTTTAGAAAAGAATTAAATCCAGGTTCCGTGCTGAAAAATAAAGAAACTGGAAATAAAAGCTAAACTAGATGGGTCCAAAAGCAGACTAGACTTGGGGGAAGAAAGATCAGCAGAAATTAAACAAACTGAGGCACAGAAGAAAAACAGATGGAAAATACAGAAAAGAACATAAAAGAAATACAGGACACATGAAAAAGCATAATACATAGTATAACTGGAATCTCAAAGTAGAGGAGAGAGAGAATGTGACAGATGCAATATTTAAAGAAATAATGACCCAAAACTTTCCAAAAGCAATGGAAGACAGAATGTCTTACATTTAGGAAGTGCTATGAACCCGAAAAGAAAAACATACAAAGAAAACCACATCTAGGCCTATCAGGGTTTTGTTAAATAGAGCAAACAGAAGAAAAAATCAGGAAGAATATAGAAGATTTAAATAAGGCAATGAATAAGCTTGAATTGTTTGACATATGTAGAATATAGCAGAATAGACATTGTTTTCAAACCCATGTAAAAAATAAGAAAAGTAAACATAAAGATAAAAGTAAATGTAAGTAAGGGGTAATAAAGCAATCTTAATGAATATCAGAAGTTTGACATCAGAGATGTCATGTTTTTGGTCACAGCAGAATTAAACTAGAAATTAATAGAAAAAAGATAACTAATAAAATCCCAGTGTTTGCAAAGTAAGTAATACACCCTAAATTCCCTATGGGCTAAAGGAGAAATCACAATAGAAATTATAAATTATATGAAACTGAATAGTAATAAAAATGTGACATGAAAACCTTTGGGATACAGATAAAACCATACGCAGAGGAAAATGTATGGTCATCTGTGAATATTTTAGAAAATAATAAAGGTAGAATTAATGAGCAACCAAAGAACTAGGAAAACAACAGCAAATTAGACCCAAAGAAATGACAAACATGAGAATAATAAAAAGGATAACAGAAATTGGTGAAACAAAACTAACATACAATAGAGAAAAATCTAGAAAGTCAGAAGTGGATTCTAGAAATGAAGGGAGGAGAACACAAACTACTAATATCAGGAATGAAAGAGAGAACATCTCTACATAATGAGAGAACATGATAAACAACTAATTTAAAACCATGTACCAAAAACCTGGGCAATATAGTGAAGGACCTGAAGGACCTGCCTAAGGCTGACTTACATTAATTTTTTTATAACAGAAAAGAGTACACTAAAATAATAAACAGTATAGTATAGTAGATAGTAGATACTATAATATAGTATAGAAAAGACATTAATCAATAACATAGTCATTTATTATTATTATCATGATAATAAATGAAAAAATGTGCAAGATCTCTACACATAAAACTAGAGAACATTATTAAGAGAAATTAAAGAAAACCTGAATACAGTAATGCACCACATAACAATGTTTTGGTCAACAACAGACTGTATATACAATGGTGGTCTCATAAGATTATTATAATAGAGCTGAAAATTTTCTATGACCTATATACAGAAAAACAGAAAAAGTTTTTGAATCATTTTATTAGGCCAGCATAATCTTGATGCCAAAATCTGAAAAAGTCATTACAAAAAAGGAAATTGGCAGACTAATGTCACTTGTAAATACAGATGTAAAATTTTTAACAAAAGATTAGAAAACCAAGTTGTTATACATAAGAGAATAATATATCATGACCAGCTTGAGTTTATTTCAGAAATGCAAAGGTGATTAAAATTCAAAGATGACAACATAATTTACCACATTGTTAGAATAAAAAGAAAGTTATATCATATGACTATATAAGAAATGCAGAAAAGCTTTTGAAAAAATTCAATACCCTCATAATAGAAAACAAAAATTGTTAACAAATTAAAAATATAAGGAAACTTTCCTAATATAATAAAAATGATATGTGAAAATCTAAAACAAATATGATACATAATGGTGAGCTATTTAAAGTTTTTACCTGCAATGAGGATTGACACAAGATGTCCACTGTTAAATATTAGTCTAGAACATTATAAAGCAGAAAAGGAAATGTAAAAAATACAGGTTGAAAAGGAAAAAGATAAAGTGATTAATTACAGAATACATAAAAGCATGTATTTAAAATACACAATAATCTACTTATAAATTATTTAAATCAGTAAGTGAATTTTAGCTGGGGCAACAGAAGTCGATACACTGCAGTAAACATCTAGGAAATGAAATTTTAAACAGATCCTACTGATTCTACAGATGCTAATAATAGCATCCAATTTCTAGAAATAAACCTAAAAAAAGTGCAAGATCTCTACACATAAAACTAGAGAACATTATTGAGAGAAATTAAAGAAAACCTAAATAGAGTAATGAAACACATAACAATGTTTTGGACAACAACAGACTGTATATACAACTTACAACGGTGGTCTCATAAGATTATTATAATGAAGCTGAGAATCTCTATCTTCTAGTGATGTCTTAGTCACTGTAACATTACTCATACTTGTGAAAACAAGCCTACTGTGTTGTCAGTCATATAAAAGTATAGCACAAGCAATTATGTATAATACATAATACTTGATAATGATCATAAATAACTATGCTATTTGTTTACATCTTTACTATACTATACTGTTTTATTACCTTAGAGTGCACTCTTTCTACTCATAAAAAACATTTTAATGTAAAACAGGCTCAGGCAGGTCCTTCACCAGGTATTCCAGAAGAAAGCATTGTTATCATAGGAGATGACAGCTCCATGTGTGTTATTGCCCCAAAAGATCTTCTCTTGGGACGAGATGTGGAGGTGGAAGACACTAATACACACCTCATACAAACGGGTGCCTCTCTGGGACAAAGCTTCCAGAGGCAGCAATATTTGCTGTTCTGCAATAGTTGATCTTCTGCAGCCTCTGCTGGTGACACCCAGGCAAACAGGGTCTGGAGTGGACCTCTAGCAAACTCCAACAGACCTGCAGCTGAGGGACCTGACTGTTAGAAGGAAAACTAACAAACAAAAAGGAATAGCATCAACATCAATGAAAAGGACATCTACGCCAAAACCTCATCTGTGGGTTACCAACATCAAAGACCAAAGGTAAATAAAACCACAAAGATGGGGAGAAACCAGAGCAGAAAAGCTGAAAATTCTAAAAACCAGAGTGCCTCTTCTCCTCCAAAGGATTGCAGCTCTTCGCCAGCAATGGAACAAAGCTGGACAGAGAATGACTTTGATGAGTTGACAGAAGTAGGCTTCAGAAGGTCAGTAATAACAAACTTCTCTGAGCTAAAGGAGCATGTTGAAACCAATCTCAAGGAAGCTAAACACCTAGAAAAAAGGTTAGACAAATGGTTAACTAGAATAAAGAGTGTAGAGAAGATATTAAATGACCTGATGGAGCTGAAAACCATGGCACAAGAACTTCATGACACATGCAGAAGCTTCAATAGCCAATTTAATCAAGTGGAAGAAAGGGTATCAGTGATTGAAGATCAAATTAATGAAATGAAGTGAGAAGACAAGTTTAGAGAAAAAAGAGTAAAAAGAAATGAAAAAGCCTCCAAGAAATATGGGACCATGTGAAAAGACCAAATCTACATTTGATTGGTGTACCTGAAAGTGATGGGGAGAATGGAACAAAGTTGAAAAATGATTTTCAAGATATTATTCGGGAGAACTTCCCCAACATAGCAAGACAGGCCAACATTCAAATTCAGGAAATACAGAGAACACCACAAAGATACTCTTCGAGAAGAGCAACCCCAAGACACATAATTGTCAGATTCACCAAGGTTGAGGTGAAGGAAAAAATGTTAAGGGCAGCCAGAGAGAAAGGTCAGGTTACCCACAAGGGGAAGCCCATCAGAATAACAGTGGATCTCTCAGCAGAAACCCAATGAGCTAGAAGAAAGGGAGGGCCAATATTCAAAATTCTTAAAGGAAAGAATTGTCAACCCAGAATTTCATATCCAGCCAAACTAAGCTTCATAAATGAAGGAGAAATAAAATCCTTTACAGACAAGCAAATGCTGAGAGATTTTGTCACCACCAGGCCTGCCTTACAAGAGCTCCTGAAGGAAGCACTAAACACGGAAAGGAACAACCGGTACCAGCCACTGCAAAAACATGCCAAATAGTAAAGACTATCGAGGCTAGGAAGAAACTGCATCAATTAACAGGCAAAATAACCAGCTAACATCATAATGACAGTATCAAATTCACAAATAACAATATTAACCTTAAATGTAAATGGGCTAAAATGCCCCAATTAAAAGACAGACTGGCAAATTGGATAAAGAGTCAAGACACATCAGTGTGCTGTATTCAGGAGACTCATCTCACGTGCAGAAACACACATAGGCTCAAAATAACAGGATGGAGGAAGATCTACCAAGCAAATGCAAAAAAAAAAAGGCAGGGGTTGCGATCCTAGTTTCTGATAAAACAGACTTTAAACCAACAAAGATCAAAAGAGACAAAGAAGGCCATTACATAATGGTAAAGGGATCAATTCAACAAGAAGAGCTAACTATCCTAAATATACATGCACCCAATACAGGAGCAACCTGATTCATAAAGCAAGTCCTTAGAGACCTACAAAGAGACTTAGACTCCCACACAATAATAAAGGGAGACTTTAACACCCCACTGTCAAAGTTAGGCAGATCAATGAGACAGAAGGTTAACAAGGATATCCAGGATTTAAACTCAGCTCTGCACCAAGCGGACGTAAAAGACATCTACAGAACTCTCCACCCCAAATCAACAGAATGTACATTCTTCTCAGCACCACATCACACTTATTACAAAATTGACCACATAGTTGGAAGTAAAGCACTCCTCAGCAAATGTAAAAGAACAGAAGTCACAACACACTGTCTCTCTGACAACAGTGCAATCAAATTAGAACTCAGGGTCAAGAAATTCACTCAAAACTGCACAACTACATGGAAACTGAACAACCTGCTCCTGAATGACTACTGGGTAAATAGCAAAATGAAGGCAGAAATAAAGATGTTCTTTGAAACCAATGAGAACAAAGACACAATGTACCAGAATCTCTGGAACACATTTAAAGCAGTGTGTAGAGGGAAATTTATAGCAGTAAATGCCTACAAGAGAAAGCAGGAAAGATCTAAAATCCACACCCTAACATCACAATTAAAAGAACCAGAAAAGCAAGAGCAAACAAATTCAAAGGCTAGCAGAAGGCAAGAAATAACTAAGATCAGAGCAGAACTGAAGGAGATAGAGACACAAAAAAATTCTTCAAAAAATCAGTGAATCCAGGAACTGATTTTTTGAAAAGATTGAAAACAAAGTTGATAGACCACTAGCAAGACTAATAAAGAATAAAAGAGAGAAGAATCAAATAGATGCAATAAAAAATGATAAAGGGGATGTCACCACCGATCCCACAGAAATGCAAACTAACATCAAAGAATACTGTAAACACTTCTACGCAAGTAAACTAGAAAATCTAGAAGAAACGGATAAATTCCTAGACACATACACCCTCCCAAGACTAAACCAGGAAGAAGTTGAATCTCTGAATAGACCAGTAACAGGTTCTGAAACTGAGGCAATAATTAATAGCCTACCAACCAAAAAAAGTCCAGGACCAAACAGATTCACAGCCAAATTCCACCAGAGGTACAAAAGGAGCTGGTACCATTCCTTCTGAAATTATTCCAATCAATAGAAAAAGAAGGAATCCTCCCTAACTCATTTTATGAGGCCAGCATCATCCTGATACCAAAGCCTGGCAGAGACACAACAAAAAAACAGAATTTTAGACCAATATTCCTTTTGAACATTGATGTGAAAATCCTCAATAAAATACTGGCAAACCAAATCCAGCAGTACATCAAAAAGCTTATCCACGACAATCAAGTCAGTTTCATCCCTGGGATGCAAGGCTGGTTCAACATACGCAAATCAATAAATGTAATCCATCACATAAGCAGAACCAACAACAAAAACCACATGATTATCTCAACACATGCAGAAAAGGCCTCCGACAAAACTCAACAGCCCTTCATGCTAAAAACTCTCAATAAACTAGTATTGATGGAACATACCTCAAAATCATAAGAGCTATTTATGATAAACCCACAGCCAATATCATACTGAATCAGCAAAAACTGGAAGCATTCCCTTTGAAAACTGGCACAAGACAGGGATGCCCTCTCTCACCACTCCTATTCAACATAGTGTTGGAAGTTCTGGCCAGGGCAATTAGGCAGGAGAAGGAAATAAAGGGTATTCAATTAGGAAAAGAGGAAGTCAAATTGTCCCTGTTTGCAGACGACATGATTGTATATCTAGAAAACCCCATTGTCTCAGCCCAAAATCTCCTTAAGCTGATAAGCAACTTCAGCAAAGTCTCAGGATACAAAATCAATGTACAAAAATCACAAGCATTCTTATATACCAACAACAGACAAACAGAGAGCCAAATCATGAGTGAACTCCCATTCACAATTGCTTCAAAGAGAATAAAATACCTAGGAATCCAACTTACAAGGGATGTGAAGGACCTCTTCAAGGAGAACTACAAACCACTGCTCAAGGAAATAAAAGAGGATACAAACAAATGGAAGAATATTCCATGCTCATGGGTAGGAAGAATCAATATCGTGAAAATGGCCATACTGCCCAAGGTAATTTACAGATTCAATGCCATCCCCATCAAACTACCAATGACTTTCTTCACAGAATTGGAAAAAACTACTTTAAAGTTCATATGGAACCAAAAAAGAGCCCGCATTGCCAAGTCAATCCTAAGCCAAAAGAACAAATCTGGAGGAATCACACTACCTGACTTCAAACTATACTACAAGGCTACAGTAACCAAAACAGCATGGTACTGGTACCAAAACAGAGATATAGATCAATGGAACAGAACAGAGCCCTCAGAAATAATACCACACATCTACAACCATCTGATATTTGACAAACCTGACAAAAACAAGAAATGGGGAAAGGATTCCCTATTTAATAAATGGTGCTGGGAAAACTGGCTAGCCATATGTAGAAAACTGAAACTGGCTTCCTTCCTTACTTACCCCTTATACAAAAATTAATTCAAGATGGATTACAGACTTAAATGTTAGACCTAAAACCGTAAAAACTCTAGAAGAAAACCTAGGCAATACCTTTCAGGACATAGGCATGGGCAAGGACTTCACGACTAAAACACCAAAAGTAATGGCAACAAAAGTCAAAATAGACAAATGGGATCTAATTAAACTAAAGAGTTTCTGCACAGCAAAAGAAACTACCATCAGAGTGAACAGGCAACCTACAGAATGGGAGAAAATTTTTGCAATCTATCCATCTGACAAAGGGCTAATATCCCAGAATCTATAAAGAACTTAAACAAATTTACAAGAAAAAGACAATCCCATCGAAAAGTGGGCAAAGGATATGAACAGACACTTCTCAAAAGAAGGCATTTATGCAGCCAACAGACACATGAAAAAATGCTCATCATCACTGCTCATCTGAGAAAGGCAAATCAAAACCACAATGAGATACCATCTCACACCAGTTAGAATGGCGATCATTAAAAAGTCAGGAAAAAACAGATGCTGGAGAGGATGTGGAGAAATAGGAATGCTTTTACACTGTTGGTGGGAGTGTCAATTAGTTCAACCATTGTGGAAGACAGTGTGGCAATTCCTCAGGGATCTAGAACTAGAAATACCATTTGACCCAGCCATCCCATTACTGGGTATATACCCAAAGGAATATAAATCATGCTACTATAACTACACATGCACACGTATGTTTATTGTGGCACTATTCACAATAGCAAAGACTTGGAACCAACCCAAATGTCCATCAGTGACAGACTGGATAAAGAAAATGTGGCACATATACACCATGGAATAAAAAAGAATGAGTTCATGTCCTTTTCAGGGACATGGATGAAGCTGGAAACCATGATTCTCAGCAAACTATCACAAAGACAGAAAACCAAACACCACACGTTCTCACTCATAGGTGGTAATTGAACAATGAGAACACTTGGACATGGGGGTGGGGAACATCACACACTGGGGCCTGTTGTGGGGTGGGGGGAGGGGGGAGGGATAGCATTAGGAAAAATACCTAATGTAAATGATGAGTTGATGGGTGCAGCAAACCAACATGGCACAAGTATACCTATGTAACAAACCTGCACTTTGTGCACATGTAACCTAGAACTTAAAGTATAAACAAAGTAGAAAAAAGCTTATAGAATAAGGATATACAGAAAGAAAATAATTATACAGTTATACAGTGTGTTCATGTTTTAAGCTAAATATTATTACAGAAGTCAAGACTTTTTTAAAAATTTGAAGTTTTAAAAAGTAAAAATGTCATAGTAATCCAAGGTTAATTTATTATTAAAGAAAGAAAAAAATACTTTTATAAATGTAGTGTTCCCTAAGTGTACAGTTTATAAAATGATACACTCTGTATAAAGTGTACAAAGTGTTTGTAAAGTCTACAGTAGTGTACAGTAATGTCCTAGGCCTTTACATTCACTCACCACTTACTCACTGACTCACCCAGATCCACTTCCATTCCTGCAGTCTCCATTCATGGTAGGTGCCCTATACAGGTGTGATATGGTTTGGATATTTGCCCCCCACCAAATCTCATGTTGAAATATGATTCCCAATGTTGGAGGTGGAGCCTGGTGGGAGGTGATTCGATTGGGGTGTCGATCCCTCATGAATGGCTTGACACCATTCTCTCGGTGCTGTCCTCAAAATAACCAGTGAGTCTTGCTCTGAGTTCACATGAGCATGTGGTTGTTTAAAGTTGGCACCTCCCCCTTGGCTCTCTCTTGTTCCTGCTTTCACCGTGTTACATGTTGGCTCTCCATTGCCTTCTACCATGAGGGTAATCATCCTAGGTGTCACCAGAAGCAGATGCCAGCACCATGCATCCTGTAAAGCCTACAGAACCATGAGCCAATTAAACCTCTATTCTCCCAGCTTCAGATATTTCTTCATAGCAATGCAAGAACAAGCTAATACAAAGTACATCACTTTTTATCTTTTATATCATATTTTTACTGTACCTTTTCTATGTTAGATATGCTTACACTCACAAACACCATTATGTTACAGTTGCCTACAGTATTCAGCAAAGTAACATGTTGTACAGATTTGTAGCCTCAGAGCAATAGGCTATACCACATAGCCTCGGTGTGTAGTAGGCTAGGCATCTAACTTTGTGTAAGTACGCTTGGTGATGTTCACACAATGACAAAATCACCTGACACAGTTCTCAGAATGTATCCCCATCTTTAAGTGACATCTAACTATAAATAGAGGGGTACACCATCTTCAGGAATTAGAAGACTCAAATTTGTATTTATATCAATTATCTCCAATTTACTCTCTAGATCTGAAGCAATCCAAATCAACACCCTGACAGACTTTTTCTATGTAGAAAGTTGTGAATTTATATGTAAATGCAAAGGGCCAATGTGGTCAAAACAATCTTAAAGAAAAAGATGGAAAATTTACATGATCACATATCAATAGTATCCCAATAGTATCCAGACATCTTTTTTCTTTCTTTTTTTTTTTTGAGACAGAGTCTCGCTCTGTCGCCCAGGCTGGAGTGCAGTGGCGTAATCTTGGCTTACTGCAAGCTCCGCCTCCCGGGTTCACACCATTCTCTTGCCTCAGCCTCCCAAGTAGCTGGGACTACAGGCGCCCGCCACCACGCCCAGCTAATTTTTTGGTATTTTTAGTAGAGACGGGGTTTCACTGTGTTAGCCAGGATGGTCTCGATCTCCTGACCTCATGATCCGCCCACCTCGGCCTCCCAAAGTGCTGGGATTACAGGCATGAGCCATTGTGCCTGGACCCAGACTTCTTTTTTCTAAAGATACTTAAATTATCCAATCTACAGGGTAGAAAGAAAAAAGATGGTTTCAGAGACCTATGGGATGATATCAAACAATGTAACATATGTGTAACTGGAGCCCAACAGGAGAAAAGAGTGAGAATGATGCCAAATATATATATATTTGAAGAAATAATTTCCAAAATATAACTAAATACAATGGAAAACATCAATTTGAGATTCCAGACATTCAGCAAACCCCAAACAATACAAAGAAAGCACATCTAGATATATCAGAGTAAAGCTGCTAAAAGTAAAAAGAAAAATCTCAAAAACAGAAAGTGGAGAGAAAAGATGCATTACATAAAAGAAAAAAATAATTACAAATGACAGCTGATATGGTTAGGCTATGTCCCCACCCAAATCTCATCTTGAATTGTAGCTCCCATAATCCCGTAAACCCCCCCAGTGGGAGGTAATGGAATCATGGGGGTCAGCTTTTCCCTTGCTGTTCTCGTGATAGTGAGTAAGTCTCATGAGATCTGATGGTTTTATAAAGGGCAGTTGCCCTACATATGCTCTCTTGCCTGCTGCCATATAAGATGTGCCTTTGTCTCCTTTGCCTCCCCGGCCATGTGGAACTGTGAGTCCATTAAACTTTTTACTTTATAAATTACCCAGTCTCAGGCATTTCTTCATAGCAGTATGAAAATAATATACAAATACAACAGCTGACTTCATGTCCTAAACAATAGAAACTAAAGGACAATAGAACACTACATTTGTAGTGCCAGCTGAAAGGCAGAGAGAGATTGTCAACCCAGAGATTAATATCCGGTGACAATACCCTTCAACATTGAGGGTAGCCTTTGGTCCAAGGTGGCAGGGCTGAGCCACCAGCACCTCCCTCTGCTCCCTAGCTCTCCACACTCCATTGTCCTGCCTGCCACCATGATGGAACAGTCCAACTCCCTCACCAATGATTCCCAAATGGCCGTGGCTCAGATCCAGCAGGTCAAGCTGCTGCTGCTGCAGGGGCAACATGCCAGTAGCAGATTGCAGCCCACAAGCAGCACGAAGTGTGGTGGATGGACTGCGTCCTCTGCATCTCCAAGGAGCATGGGGCTGTCTTCCTGGAAGGGCAACCTTGCCAGTGCCATCCATTACTTCCCATGCAAGCCCTTAACTTTGCCTTCAAGGATAAGTACAAGCAGTTCTTCCTGGGGGTGCAGACAAGCGCATGCAGTTCTGGAGGTGCTTCGCTGGCCACCCGGCCTTGGGTGGCCTGGCTGGCACCACCTCACTCTGCTTCATGTACCCCCTGGATTTCCCAGAACCTCCTGGCAGCAGACATTGGGAAATTGGGCACAGTGCATGAGTTCAAAGACCTGGGAGCCTGGCCGGTGAGGATCACCAAATCCAATGGACCCAGGGCCTGTACCAGGGCTTCAGCATCTCATGCAAGACATCATCATCTACCCAGCAGCCTCCTTCTGCTAGTAGGATACAGCTGAGGGCATGCTCCCCAGCCCCAAGAACATGCACATCCTGGCAAGCTGAGTTACTGCAAAGACTATGAGGGCCATGGCCAACATGATCTCCTATCCTCCCACATGGAGCTCAAAGGAGCCCACATCATGTATACAGGGACCCTAGATTGTTGGAGGAAGATCTTTAAAGATGAAAAGGGCAAAGGCTTCTTCAAGGGCGAGGTCCAATGTCCTTGGAGGTGTCAGGGGCTTTGGTGCTGGTCCTGTAAGAGGAGCTGAAGAGAGTCATGAAGTGCGTTTGTCTCCTCCACAGAAACAGGAAACAACAGAATCATGGTGAGTGCTCAACAGCTGCAGACCATTGACCTTCAAGAAACTCCAATTGTCTGTCCTGGCCAGATATGTCTGTGGAGGGTGGGGGAAGGCTCTAGAAAATGGGTGCGTTGTGATCACGTTCGACCATCAGCATCACTATCAATAACCATGATCAATTCCATGAACTGATCGCTGGGGGGAAGCAGGCCCAGGGGCATTTTCTCTGCTGCTCAGACCTAGAGTCTAGTTGTTTGTAGGGCCTGAGTTGTGTGTAAATATTTATGTAAAACAAAAGAAACATGTGTCCCATTTGTACTTAAGCACTGGCTCCTCATTTGCACTGCCAAATATTTGCAATTATGTTCTATGTGGGCATTCTGCTGCAAAACAATAAAAAGAGAACACTGAGAACCTCAAAAAATGAGGGCAAAGACATTTTCACAGAAAATAAAAACTGAAAAAAAATCATCACCAGCAGATCTGTACTATAAGAAATAGTAAAGAATGTTCCGCAGGCCAAAGGCAATTGATTCTAGATAGGAATGTCTATCTACAGGAAAGAAGGAAAAGCATGAGAAATGATAAGTGAGTAGGAAAACATAAAATAACATGGAGTTTCTTTTCTTCTCATAATTGTCTTAAAACACAACTGACTATACAGAGAAAAATATAACACTGTAAGGTGAGGTTTACAAAGTATATTGAAGTTCATGTCAGGGGAACAGGTTCAGGGGAGTTTACTCTTGTAAGGTTATGACATTTGTAAAGTAGGAAGTGAAACATTTCAGACCAGGTGTGAAGTACAAACTGAGAGATGGTACAAGGTTGACTTTAAGTAAGCTTTGATAATTGAAGGATGCATATTGTTAGTCATAGAGCAACCACTTAAAAATTAAATTAAAAGAGATATTCCTAGGAAACCAATACAGGAAATATAGTCTTATAACCCAATAAGCAGATGGCAAACAACCCAATTAAAATATAAGCAAAAGGGCCATGCAGGGTGGTTCATGTCTGTAATCCCAGTAGTTTGGGAGGCCAAGGCAGGCAGATCACTTGAGCCCAGGAGTTTGAGACCAGCCTGGCAACATGGTGAAACTCTGTATCTACAAAAAGTACAAAAGTTAGTCAGGCATGGTGGCACACACCTGTAGTCCCAGCTACTTGAGAGGCTGAGACTGGAGGATTGCTTGAGCCCAGGAGGTCCAGGTTGCAGTGAGTTGTGAGTTGTGATCATGCCACTGCACTCCAGCCTCAGCAACAGAGCAAGACCTGTCTCTTTCTCTTTCTCTCTCTCTATCTCTATCTCCCAAAAGATTTTTGGCATACATATATGCAAAAGATTTACAAAAGAAAGTATACAAATGTCCAGCAAGTCAATAAAAAGCATTTGCATAATTAGTCATCCAAAAATACAATTTACACCAAAATGTGGTATCACTGTACACCCACTAGAATAGACATAATGAAAAACGCAAAACTTTCTTAGTGTGGGTGAGGATCTGGAGTAACTGGAGTAACCCATTGCTGGTGGGAAGAGTATGTTGAAGCCAACAATTTTGGAAAAGTGTTTCGTAGTTTCTAGAAGCATATACACACTCTATGACCCAGAAATCTCACTCCTAGATATTGAAGAGAAACAAAAACATGCCAACAAAAATACTTTTAAAATATTCACAGTAGCTTTATGCATACCAGCCCCAATCTGGAAACTACCCAAATATATATCCCCATTGGAATAGATAAATAGTGGTATATTCTACACAATGGAATAGTATACAGTCATAAAAGGAATGCTAACTGAAAGAAAACATACACAAAATTAATCCATAATGAATTATTCCACAATATAAATGGAAATTAGGACAAATTGGGAAAAATTAATATTCATTTGGGATAAGAAATCATGAGAGCAGTTAGCATTGAGGGAAAGTGGGATATGGAGACTGAGAGGAACAAAAGGAAGTTTCTGGGTGCAGATATTATTCTCTTCTTGAGCAAGTCAGAGGCCAAAAGGATGTGTTCACCATCTGAAAATTCATCAAGATATGAACCTTTAATTTGTACACTTTTCTGTATATGCTTTACTTTGATAAAATAGTTTACTTTAAAAATATATTTGGCTGCCACCACAATAATCATTCTTTCAAGCAAGAATCATCAGTTGGGGGAAATAGCTGATTGGAGGCAGGTGTAACTTGCAGCCCCACTCAGACAGAGCAGCATGCAGAGACCACATTGTGAAATTTTGCTCCAGGAACTACCACAGGAACATACCAGGAAAGCTGAGAGAATCCACAGGCCCTTTGAAGGAGGTGAATTGCCCCTGCAGGCTCTGTGAGACAGCTGAGGAACTGTGAGTCGACTTGCTTTCCCAGCTGGGAGGCTTATAGCCTGGGGCAAGTTCTCAGCCCTGCTCATTGGCTGCCTGGAAATAAACTCAGTGCTGTTGGGGTGTGGCGGGGGGAGCGGGGCATGCTGGGAGAGAGACTAGCTTTTTGGGCTGCATGGGAGCTGGGGGAAGCCTGTGGCTGCTGGCTTTCTCCCACTTCCCTGGAAACCTGTATGACACAGCAGAGACAGCCATAATCCTCCTGGAAACATAACTCCATTGGCCTCCACACCTCCATCCCCCTCAGCAGCTGCAGTAAGCCCTGCCCAAGGAGAGGCTGAGCTCAGACACACCTAACTTTGCCCCACCTGATGGTCCTCCTCACCCACCCTGGTAGCCAAAGACAAAGGACATATTATCTTGGGAGCTCTACCATCCACCACCTGATCCTCCCTATATTTCTGCAGCTGATGCACTCTTGCAAGGGCCACCTCCTGGCTGGAGGCCAACCAGCACAAAACCAGCGCACTAAACAAAAATACAACCAAGAACCCTCACTGAGTCCACTTCACTCCCCGCTGCCTCCACCAGAGCAGGTGCTGGTATCCACAGCTGAGAGAACTGAAGACAGATCGTATCACAGGACTCTTTGCAGACACTCCCCATTACAAGCCCAGAGCCTGGTAGCTCTGCTGGGTGGCTAGATCCAGAAGAGAAATAACAATCACTGCAGTCCAGCTCTCAGGAAGCCACATCTCTAGGGGAAGGGGGAGAGCACTACATCAAGGGAGCACCCTGTGGTACAGAAGAATCCGAATAGCAGCTCTTGAGTCCCAGATCTTCTCTCTGACGTAGTCTACCCAAATGAGAGGGAAACAAAAAAACAATTCTGGTAATATGAAAAAACAAGGTTCTTTAACATCCCCCAAAAAATCACATTAGCTCACCAGCAATGGATCCAAAACAAGATGAAATCTCTGAACTGCCAGAAAAAGAATTCAGGAGGTTTACTATTAAGCCAATCAAGAAGGCACAAGAGAAAGGTGAAGTCCAACTTAAACAAATCAAAAAAAAAATTATACAGGATATGAATGGGAAAATCTTCAGTGATAGCATAAATAAAAATCAATCACAACTTCTGGAAAGGAAGGACACACTTAGAGAATTGCAAAATGCACTGTAAAGTCTCAGCAACAGAATCAAACAAGTAGAAGAAAGAATTTCAGAGCTCAAAGACAAGGCTTTCGAATAAACCCAACGGTGACAAAAAAAAAAGAATAAAAAAATGAACAAAGCCTCCAAGAAACTGGGATTATGTTAAACAACCAAACCTAAGAATAATTGGTGTTTCAAGGCAAAAGAGAAATCAAAAAGTTTGGAAAAATATCTGAGGAAATAATTGAGGAAAACTTCCCTGGCCTTGTTAGAGGTCTAAACATCCAAACACAAAAAGCTCAAAGAACACCTCAGAAATTCATCATAAAAAATAAATCATCACCTAGGCACATAGTCATCAGGTTATCTAAAGTCAAGACAAAGGAAAAAAATAAGAGCTGTGAGGCAAAAGCATCAGGTAACCTATAAAGGAAAACCTATCAGATTAACAGCAGATTTTCTCAGCAGAAACCCTACAAGCTAGATGAGATTAGGGTCCTATCTTTACCCTCCTTAAAAAAATTATCTGCCAAGAACTTTGTATCCAGTGAAACTAAGCTGCATAAATGAAGGAAAGATATAGTCTTTTTCAGACAAACAAATGCTGAGAAAATTTGCCACTACCAAGCGAGCACTACAAGAACTGCTTAAAGGACCTCTAAATCTTGAAACAAATCCTCAAAATACACCAAAATAGAATGTCCTAAAGCGTAAATTCCATAGGACCTGTAAAACAATGACACAATTTAAAAAAAATTAAAAATTAAAAAATAAACGAAGGTTTTCAGGCAGGCAACAGATAGCATGATGAATAGAATAACACCTCACATCTCAAAACTAATGATGAATGTAAATGGACTAAATGCTCCACTTAAAAGACACAGAATGGCAGAATGGGTAAGAATTCACCAACCAAGTATCTGCTGTCTTCAAGAGGCTTATCTGACACATAAGGACTCACATAAACTTAAGGTAAAGGAATGGAAAAAGATATTCCATGCAAATGGACACCAAAAGTGAGCAGGAGTAGCTATTCTTATATCAGATAAAACAAACTTTAAAGCAACAGCAGTTAAAAGAGACAAAGAGGAACATTATATAATGATAAAAGGACTAGTCCAAGAGGAAAATGTCACAATCCTAAATATATATGCACCTAAAACTGAAGCTTCCACATTTATAAAACAGTTACTACTAGACCTAAGAAATGAGATAGACAGCAACACATTAATAGTGGGGGACTTCAGTACTCCACTGATAGCACTAGACAGGTCATCAAGACAAAAAGTCAACAAAGAAACAATGGACTTAAACTATACCCTAGAACAAATGGTCTTAACATGTATTTACAGAACATTCTACCCAACAACTGCAGAATATACGTTCTATTCATCGGCACATGGAACATTCTCCAAGATAGACCATATGATAGGCCAAAAAACAAGTCTCAACAAGTTTAAGAAAATTGAAATAATAGCAAGTACTCTCTCAGACTTGGAATAAAATTGGAAATCAACTCCAAAAGGAACACTCAAAACCATGCAAATACATGGAAATTAAATAACCTGCTCCTGAATGATCTTTGGGTCAACAATGAAATCAAGATGGAAATTTAAAAGCTCTTTGAACTGAATGATAATAGTGACATGACCTATCAAATCCTCTGGGATACAGCAAAGTTGTGCTAAGAGGAAAGTTCACAGAATTAAATGCCTACATTAAAAAGTCTGAAAGAGCACAAATAGATAATCTAAGGTCACTCCTCAAGCAGCTAGAGAAACTAGAACAAACCAAACCCAGACTCAGAAGAAGAAAAGGAATAACAAAGATCAGAGCAGAACTAAATGAAATCAAAACCAAAAAAATACAAGAGATAAGTGAAACATAAAGCTGATTCTTTGAAAAGATAAATAAAATTGATAGACCTTTAGTGAGATTCACCAAGAAAAGAAGAGAGAAGAGCCAAATAAGCTCAATTAGAAATGAAATGGGAGATATTACAACCGACACCACAGAAATACAAAAGATCATCCAAGGCTACTATGAACGCCTTTACACACATAAACTAGAAAACCTAAAGGAGATGGATAAATTCCCAGAAATATACAACCTACCTAAGTTAAACCAGGAAGAAACAGAAACTCTGAACAGACCAATAACAAGCAGTGAGACTGAAAGGGTAATTTAAAAGTTACCAACAAAACAAAGTCCAAGCTAGATGGATTAACAGCTGAATTCTAGCAGACATTCAAAGAATTGATACTAATCCTATTGACACTATTCCAAAAGATAGAGAAAGAGGGAATCATTTCTAAATCCTTCTGTGAAACCAGCATCACCCTAATACCAAAACCAGGAAAGGACGTAACAAAAATGAAAACTACAGAACAATATCCCTGATGAACATAGATGCAAAATCCTCAACAAAATATTAGCTAACCAAATCCAACAGCATGTCAAAAAGATAATCCACCACGATCAAGTGGGTATCATACTAGGCGATGCAGGGATGGTTTAACATCTGCAAGTCAATTAATGTGATACATCACATAAACAGAATTTAAAACAAAAAATCACTGGATCATGTCAATAGACACAGAAAAATCATTTGATAAACTCCAGCATCCCTTTACGATTAAAACACTCAGCAAACTTGGCATAGAAGGGACATACCTTAAGGTAATAAAAGCCATCTATGACAAACCCACAGCCAACATTATACTAAACGGGAAAATTTGAAAGCATTCCCACTAACAACTGGAACAAGACAAAGATACCCACTTTCACCACTTCTACTCAGCATAGTACTGGAAGTCCTAGCCAGAGCAATCAGACAAGAGAAAGAAATAAAGGGCATCCAAATCAGTAAAGAGGGCGCCAAACAGTCACTGTTTGCTGATGGCATGATTGCATACCTAGAAAACCCTGAAGACTCATCCAAAAAGCTCCTGGAACTAGTAAATAAACTCAGCAAAGTTTCAGGATACAAACTTAATGTACACAAATCAGTAGCCCTGCTATACAACAACAGCAACAAAGCTGAGAATCAAATCCAGAACTCAACCCATTTTAAAATAGCTGCAAATAAAATAAAATACTTAGGAATATACTTAACCAATGAGGTGAAAGACCCCTACAAGGAAAACTACAAAACACTACTGAAAGAAATCATCAATGACACAAACAAATGGAAACACATCCCATTCTCATGGATGGGTAAAATCAATATTGTGAAAATGACCATACTGCCAAAAGCAATCTATAAATTCAGTGTAATTCCCATCAAAATATTATACCACCATCATTCTTCACAGAATAGAGAAAAAACAATCCTAAAATTCATATGGAACCAAAAAAGAGCCTGCATAGCCAAAACAAGACTAAGCAAAAAGAACAAATCAGGAAGCATTACATTACCTGTTTTCAAACTACGCTATAAGGCCATAGTCACCAAAATGGCATGGTACTGGTATAAAAACAGGCATATCGACCAGTGGAACAGAATAGAGAACCAAGAAATAAGCCCAAATACTTACAGTCAATTGATCTTAAACAAAGCAAACAAAAACATAAAGTGGGGAAAGGACACCCTATTCAACAAATGGTGCTGGGATAATTGGCAAGCCACATGTAGAAGAATGAAACTGAATCTTCATCTCTCACCTTATATAAAAATCAACTCAAGATGGATCAAAGACATATCTGAGACCTGAAACCATAAAAAAAATCTAGAAGATAACATTGGAAAACCCCTTCTAGACATTGGCTTAGGCAAAGACTTCATGCCCAAGAACCCAAAAGCAAATGCAACACAAAGATTAATAGATGGGACTTAATTAAGCTAAAAAGCTTTTGCACAGCAAAAGAAATAATCAGCAGAGTAAACATACAACCCACAGAGTGGGAGAAAATCTTTGCAATCTATACATCTGACAAAGGACAAATATCCAGAATCTACAAAGAAACAAATCAGCAAGAAAAAAACAAACAATCCCGTCAAAGAGCAGGCTAAGGACATGAATAGACAATTCTCAAAAGAAGATATACAAATGGCCGACAAACATATGAAAAAATGCTCAACATCACTAATTATCAGGGAAATGCAAATCAAAACCACGGTGAGATAACACGTTACTCCTGCAAATCAAAAAATAATAGACGATGGCATGGATGTGGTGAAAAGGGAACACTTTTACACTGTTGGTAGGAATGTAAACTAGTACAACCACTATGGAAAACAGTGTGGAGATTCCTTAAAGAACTAAAAGTAGATCTACCATTTGATCCAGCGATCCCACTCCTGGGTATCTACCCAGAGGAAAATGAGTTATTATATGAAAAAGATATTTGCACATGCATGTTTATAGCAGCACAATTTGCAACTGCAAAAATATGGAACGAGCCCAAAGGCCCATCAATCAACGAGTGAATAAAGAAAATGTTATATATATAACATGGAATACTACTCAACCATAAAAAGGAATGAAATAATGGCATTTGCAGCAACCTGGATGGAATTGGAGACCATTATTCTAAGTGAAGTAACTCAGGAATGGAAAACCAAACATCATATGTTCTCACTTACAAGTAGGAGATAAGCCGTGAAGATTCAAAGGCATAAGAACGATATGATGGACTTTGGGGACTCGGAGGAAAGGGTGGGAGTGGGATGAGGGATAAAAGACTATACATTGGGTATAGTGTACACTACTTGGATGATGGGTGCACCAAAATCTCAGAAATCACCACTAAAGAACTTATTCATGTAATCAAACACCACCTGTTTTCCAAAAACCTATTGAAATAAAAATAAATAAATAAAAGTAAAGCGAAGCCCCACAGAGGGGAAAAAGACAGAATCATCAGTGGATACTGAACTGTGTGGCCTGAAGGCATGATGGAGAACAGGAGATCTGGAGTCTCACTCTCTCCCCACAACACACTTATCACTCGCAAAGAAAAAAATAGTAATTTTACAATAAAGAGAATTGAGGACACCATCTAACCAAGTGATCAACTTATCAACATTAACATATGTGTTAGTTTGCAAGGGCTACCATAGTACCACAGACTGGGTGGCTTAAATCACAGAAATATATTTTCCCATACCTGTGGAGGCTGGAAGTTCAAGATCGAGGCATCAGGAGGGCTGTTTCCTTCTGGGGGCCATGAGGGAAGGGACTGTTCTTCCAGGCCTCTCTTCTTGGCTTGCAGACAGCCACTCTCTCCCTGAGTCTTCATAGCATCCTCCATTTGTACATGTCTGTCCAAATTTTATCTTTTTTTTTTTTTTTTTTTGAGACAGTTTCACTCTGTCATCCATGCTGGAGCGCAGTGGTGCAATCTCAGCTCACTGCCTTCTCTGCCTCCCAGGTTCAAGCAATTCTCATGCCTTGGCCTCCCAAGTAGCTGAAACTATAGAGGTGTGCCCCCACACCCAGGTAATTTTTGTATTTTTAGTAGAGACAGGGGTTTCACCATGTTGGTCAGGCTGGTCTCAAACTCCTGACCTCAAATGATCCACCTACCTCGGCCTCCCAAAGTGCAGGGGTTACAGGCACGAGCCACCGCACCCAGCAGATTTCCTCTTCATATGAAAACACCAATCATGTTGGATTAGGGCTCGCCCTAATGACTTCGTTTTAACTTAATCACCTTTTTAAAGAACTTGTCCCCAAATCCTACCACATTCTGAGAAACTAGAGGTTAGGGCTTCAACATCTGAATTTTAGGGGACATGACTCAGCCCATGACAATGTGTACCAGTCATGAAACAATAGGGCACCGTGGGCCTCAAGATAGAAGAAATTGAAATGCTCACAGCATCATTTTTGCAACTTTCTTGCCGGAAATCTCAAACCTGCATCTCATCATTTAAAAAAAAAAAAAAAGAAAACCTAAATCGAGGGATATTCTACAAAATAACTAACCTGTACTCAAAAGTCTCAAGGTTATGAAAACAATGGTTAAGGAACTGTTCCAGATGAAAGGAGGCTAAACAGACACAAATTAAATGCAATGTGTGATCCTAGACTGGCTTCTGGCCCAGACGAAGGAAACAATTGATTGAAAAGTCTATCAGTTGATAACAATTGATAGAAAGTCTATCAGTTGGATAATTGATAGAAAGTCTATCAGTTGGATAATAGCATCATATGAATGTTAATTTCTGATTTTAATAATTGTGCTGTGGTTTATAGGAAATGTCCTTGTCTTTTGGAAATTTTCACTGAAGGATTTAGACATAAATATAAATTTGGGGGATCTTGATGAAGAGTCCTTGTATCATTTTTGCAACTTTTCTGTAAGTCTAGAATTATTTCAAAATTAAAAAAAAAGTTACAGAAAAGTAATACTTTTAAAACTCTGCAATTGAAAAAAAAGTGTGTGTGCGTGTGTGTCTGTATGTGTGTGTGTGCCTGAACACATCTAGCACCCACAGTACCTGATAAAATTGAGGATAACCATTTGCTCATTCTTGCATATTTATGTAACTAGGAATTATTGATATAGTAAGTTGAAACCAAAGGCAAAATGTGCCTAAACTTATACCATCTAGGAATCAAATTAATTGACAGAGTGGCCCTTTAAAATAGGGGTGAGTGGGTAATTTGCTCAAAGACCTTCATCTTGGGTTCCTCAACTGTTCCCACAGCTTTGGCTCAAATTCTGGTTAAAAGTAAAATTTCAAGAGCGTGAACCCTAATTAAAATGTCCTGGTGCTGCCTGGATTTATATTTAAAACCAAAGTCAGAGTATAAAATTTCATGTGACTCCGTTCTCCCATGTTTTACCTCTGAAAACATTATATGACTGTCACACAATCCCCAAAATTAAGATGACAGACATTTCCCCTCCAAAGATGATTATTTCAGCATTGTGTAGGTTCAGGTTCTAACCTCCCTCAATCAGGATTTGACTCAAATCTTCCACGTGGTTATCTCCTTATTTGTTCAGCCAGCAATCATTGAGTGTCCAACATATGCCAGGCACAGTTCTGTAAACTACATGAGTGGAAAAATAAATCAGACATAGAAACTGTCTTTGAGGGGCTTGCCTTTACCTAAGATGTTGAGAATAAATGTTTTCCCTTTATTCTTAAAATTATTAAAAATAGGAATTATTTGGCATTAAAAACTAAGGCATACTGCCTTAGTTTCCTAGGGTTGCCATTCATAACAACAACAACAAAAGCCCAAAACCAAGGTGTGAGGAGGGCCAGGCTCCCTCTGAGACTCTGGACAGAACCTTTCCTTGCCTCTTCCTTGCATCTGAGGGTAGCTGTCAGTCCTTGGCATTCTGCGGCTTGTAGCTGCATCAACTCCAACCTCTGCCCTGTTGTGACACTGTATCCTCCCAGTATGTCTGTCTCCACATGGCATTTTCCTCTTCTTATAAGGACACCAGTTATACTGGATTAGGGCCCACATTAATGACTTCATGTTAATTTAGTTGCATCTGCGAAGATCCTGTCTCCAAATAAGATCACATTCCCAGGTAATGGGGATTGAGGCTTCAACACATCTTTCGACAATTCAACAATTCAACTCCTACACGCACATTTCAATAAATGAATTTGGTCTTCTCCTCGGGGAACTTAAATCTTCCTAATGAGAACACAAATTTGTGTTTTAGACTTGTTTTCCAAAATACTATAAATGACTCTCCAGGATGTGAAGGGCATCTTTCTGGGCCTCAGGAGAAAGTTTAAACGTAATACTTGCTTAGTTAGATATGTGGGTGAAAGGATCTGTTCAAGTGTAACGCTAAGTATGAGGTCTCAAGGCTGCTCTGATCCGTTATTACACAAATATTAAACCTGTATTATCCATTATTACATAAATATTAAAAACCTGTACTTTGAGCTGGGAACGGGGGATGCAGGGAGGAGAGGGGAAGGGAAAGTGCGTAACTGTCAGGGTAGAGGCGGCTGGATCCCACCCCCAGGCAGAACAGCCATCATTACTACCTTACCTGCTGTATACACTGGGCTCCTGCGCAAAGATCCCCTCTAGAAAACAAAGCAAAACAGGGGTTCCCAACTTAAAACATTTGAAAATCAATGGCTTAGATTTCTGGGAATTTTTTTCATACATAGATTGAGGGGGTACACATGCAGATTTATTACATCGGTATATTGTGTAATGCTGGGGTTTGAGCTTCTAATGAGCCCATCACCCAAATAGCGGACACAGTACCCAGCAGGTAATTTTCCAACCCCTTCTCATCCTCCCAGCTTCTGCAGTCCTCAGAGTCTCTTAATTCTGTCTTTATAACCTTGTGTACTCATTATTTAGCTCTCACTTATAAGTTAAACACAGCCACATTTTATTCCTATGGTGGTATTTTCCTTTCCTTTGTCTTCTTCATAAAATTAGGCTGGTCAATTTATTTTCCAGTTTCAATTATATTTTCCAAACCATTGTTTCTCTGCTCCTGTACTAATAAAATGCTGTCATCGTAGGTCCCTGCTAATAGTAAAAATGTTTAAATAGCGGAAAACTAAAATATTGTTCCTCAATTTTTCTGACAATAATTCAAAGATTCTTTCCTTAAAAAAAAAAATGAGTTCTCTTTTAAAATTCAAATTCCGGTATTGATTTAAATGTTATTACCACTGATGTATGAAAATTTCAGATCTTTTTTTCTTTGCATTTTTAATCTTTTCTCAATATACTTTCACCTTCTAACTTCTTGACTCACAGAAGAAAAATTGTATGAATAAAGTTAGTTTTCTACCTTCTTCTTGCCATACCTTCTTTTTTCTTACCTCACTGTCTTTACATCCTCCCTACATTATTCCTTTACTGTTCTTTTCTACTATGCTTACACTTCCACAGTTTTTCATTTATTTATTTTTCTAAACCTTCTTTATTTCTAATTTTATAGTCACATATTTTAATAAATTTGAATGATTCTATTTGGCATTTTTTATTACTGTTACACCACTTTTGGTAGAAATTTAAAATATACTGTCACATTAAACATCTTTATTGAAAAATTTTCGAAACACAGATAGATTTAAAATTTTTTTTAACTCCTGAACGACCGCTTGGACAGCATTTTCAATACTTTGATGTACTGTATATACTTCCAGACCTTTGCTATGTAAATAGTTTTTATTAAAATGTAAGCATACTGTAAACTGATATTTGTGGATAGGCCTAGTGAAATTGCAGGCAATTCACAAGGAAATCTACAACTGGCAGCAGCGAGCCGGCCTGTGGTTGGCCCCGGGGCGCAGCGTGGAGAGGAAGCGGCTATGTCCCAGCACACCCGTGGAAGCGTCCGCGTGCCCCACTTCTGGGCCCAGACGTGCTGTCAGCTGCATCCGTGGAATCCCATACTGGCCCTCAAAAAGCTAAGGGAATCATATCCATCCACCTCCTCCCCGCTCCTCCCCAGCACCCCAGTCCTCACATCCTAGGTCCTCCGTGCTCCGCCTCTGATGGTGTGGAATGTGCTGGAACGCAAGACCCATCAAGCAGCTGCTGAGAGTGCCACAGCGCCCAGGCCACAGCAGCCAACCCTGAGGGGTGGCCTTAGCTGCAGAGTCACCCCCAAACCATGCTCAACCTGGCCTACTTCCGGGATTTAAAGTTCCGACTCTCTCGCCGGAAGTTGGGACGGCTCTGGAGGGCCACTCATCTTCAGAGCTGCCCCGTCCGTACAGCCTGGCAGACAGTTTTCTGCCGCCCACTCCTGCTTCGTTCTTGCCCCTTGCCCTCCAGGTGCAGATCCCAGGAACAGCTCCCAATGTGTCCAGAGTTTGCTCCTGCCGGTGGGTTCATGGTCTCGCTAATTTCAAGAATGAAGCTGCAGACCTTAGGGGTGAGGGTTACAGCTCTTAAAGATTTGGGTCACGGACCCAAATAGTGAGCCGTAGCAAGGTTTATTGTGAAGAGTGAAAGGACAAACCTTGCACAGCCTGAAAGAGGACCCGCACGGGTTGCTGCTGCTGGCTGGGGTGGCTAGCTTTTATTCCCTTACTGTCCCCTCTCATTTTCCATTTCTGTCCTACCAGAGTGCCCTTTTTTAAATCCTCCCCGCGATTGGCTACTTTTAGTATCCTGCTGATTGGTGCACTTTACAGAGTGCTGATTGGTGTGTTTTACAATCCTCTTGTGGAGGGAGAAAGTTCCTGATTGGTGCATTTTACAATCCTCTTGTAAGACAGAAAAGTTCCCCAAGTCACCACTCCATCCAGGAAGTTCAGCTGGCCTCACCTCTCACCAACAGGCATCCCTCAGGCTCATCTCCATCTGAGTCAGCTCACTGGGGACCCCAGCCTTGCACTGATATATCAGATGGGATCCCAGGAACAGCAGCACCGATTTTCCTCCCTCTGCGGACCACCAGGCTCCCCTGGCCCCTCAACATTTTAACAGATCTTTGTATATTCAGTTTAAAAAAAAAATGGGGCCAGGCGCAGTGGCTCACGCCTGTAATCGTAGCACTTTGGGAGGCCGAGGTGGGCGGATCACGAGGTCAGGAGATTGAGACCATCCTGGCTAACACGGTGACACCCCGTCTCTATTAAAAATACAAAAATAATTAGCTGGGTGTGGTGGCAGGAGCCTGTAGTCCCAGCTCCTGCGGAGGCTGAGGCAGGAGAATGGCGTGAACCCGGGAGGCAGAGCTTGCAGTGAGTCGAGATTGCACCACTGCACTCCAGCCTGGGCGACAGAGCGAGACTCCGTCTCAAAAAAAAAAAAAAAAAATGGTAGCTGATTTTATTTTGCCTTTCTTTGATCACTACTGAAGTGGACATTTGTTTCTCTTGCTTACTGGGCATTTTCACTTGCAGTTTGTGACTGTTATATAAATCATATTATTTTCACTCAACCACTTTCTCCTACTGATTGGTAAGAGCTTCTTAGATGAATTGTTAAAGCTTTGCTATACATTACAATTCTATTCCTAGATGTATTCTTTATTGTCTAATGCTATTTATAATGTTTTGAAATAAGCTGAAGTTTTTGTTTGTATTAGGCCAAATGTCTCAGTCTTTTCCTTTGTGACTTAGAGTTTCTAATATCATATATACAAAATTCTCAGTCCCTCCATGATTATATGAATATTCACCAGAGGGAAAAGATGTCTATAACTATTTCAGTGAACATTATGAAGTTGTCTATAAATTGGAAAAACTATTATTTGTTTTGTCAATGTTTAAAAAAACTCTTAATTTATCAAGGGAGAAGATAAAAATCAACGACTATGACATTTAGAAAGGTCTGTGCCCTCCCTCTTGCAGACTCTGAACTCATTCATTTTCACAAGCCAACCAGGTGTCCTGGTGCAGTCTTCTCCAGGACTATCTTGGCCTTTATTGCCTTGTAAACTGTATTTCCTGGGACCAGGACCAGCAACATAATTTGCAGGGCCCAGTGTGAAAAGAAAATGTGGGGCCCCTTGCTCAAAAAGTATTAAGAATGTCAAGAGGGTAACAACAAAGCATTAAACTAAGTACGAGGTTGCACAGGGGTCTCACACCCATGAAACTACCCTGCTCAGAACACAAAGAGCAAACCTTCTAGATCAATTCCTTTTACCAATTAGATTAGTCAAGTCAGTCAAAAATATATTTCATGAGTTTTTCACTTGATTAGTTCTTAAAAAGATGTGATTGAATTCTTTTTAACTGAATTAGGTGGATCTATTAGGACGGGGGAAAATGTGAGGATGTCATTAGGCTGAAAGTTCTGCAAACAATTTGGGGGCAATATTTGAAGTTAAAATCTGAGATCTATTATCTTTGAAGACCCCAAAGTGTAATTCCATAATTAGATAATAACTGCCAATAGTGATCTCTGGCCAAGATCCTGGGCTAAGAGTGTTTACAGGGAAACCTTCATGGCAATCTCATGGGTCAAGGAGTCACCCATTTTACCGATGGTTCACCCATGGATGGCTCACCGATTTTACAGATGCAGAACTTGAGGCTTGAAGGAGAGCAAGTAACTTCCCCAATTAACACTGACAGTCAGCAGCAGAACAAGGGCTCAGATTCGGGTCTGAATTCAGAGCCTCACTCTTGGCCTCCGTGTTGTTCTGACATCATGATGACTGGTCCCACCTTCTACAAACACAAGTGAAAATCTGGATTTGGAAAGTGCTATGGTTTGAATATTTGCCCCCTCTAAAACTCATGTTGAAACTTAATTCTCAATGTGGCAATATTGAGAGGTCAGACCTTTAAGAGGTGATTCAGTCATGAGGGTTCTGCCTTCATGAATGGATTAAGCCATTCATGGATTAAAAGATTAATGAGTTAATGAATTAATGGGTTATTGATTAATGAGTTATCAGGAGATTAGGACTAAAGGCTCTATAAGAGGAAGAGAGACAAGAGCCAGCACAGACAGCCCTTTGCCACGTGATGGCCTGCACCACCTCGGACTCCACAGAGTCACCACCAGCAGGAAGGCACATAACAGATGCAACCCCTCAATCTTGGACTTCTCAGCCTCCATGAACTGTAAGAAATAAATGTTTTTCTTCATAAATTACCCAGTTTCAAGTATTCTACTGTAAGCAACAGAAAATGGACCAAGACAGGAAGGCAGTAGGGAGGCTCACCTGGTCGTATTGCATGTCATGCATTCTTAAGATGATCCTCGTACTTGTAAAAGAGCCAAAGCTCCTGAATGCCACTGAACTTGTATGCCTGCATTTCAGGGCTGAAGGAGGTGGAGCTACTCTGTTTTCATATAAAGGCAAGGAATTTTTTTCTCCTCTGTATAAACAGCAGGTTGTTTTCCTAGTTCTAAACTGAATGCCAAGCTTCAGTTAAAAAAAATTTTTTTTTTTTGCATAGAACATTAAGGATTGGGCAATTGCATCTCAAAATCCCAAGTGTTCAGGTTCCATGTAAGTGGCCAGCATTTCAGGTGCTTACTTAAACCTTGCCCTCACCCAACAGAGTTTAAAAGCCGACAGTTACAAGCATTTGCATTAGATTAACCTTCTGCCTTTGATCCTACCAAAAACAGTAGAATCAAAATGACCTGTTCATAACACTGTGTTACTTATCTGCTTTTGTGGCTGCCTACAGACCCAAAACAAAGCTAAAAACAAGAATTGAACCATCTGCATGATTTAAGCCAAAATCAGGAAAAAAATATATATATTTTAAATATGTTCCATGTATATATATAACTTCTTCAGTTTTCCAGTTTACTTTCTGCATATAAACATCAAAATAAAATATCAAACATATTTACCTTTTCATACTTCCCACAGTCCCTTCAGGATGCAGACAACTGGACTGAAGTTTTCAAAAGACATTTATTTGTTTTTCTCACTCATATCTCATTTGATAAGAATTCAGAGGATCCCCCAATTTCATACCTAATGTTTGTTTAGCACAGTGATAGCCAGTGCTTTTAATGAGAACCCTGAAATAAGATGCAGAAGTGACTTCCAACCATTAAAAATAACATTGTAAATATGATGTTGCAAAAACTATATTTTATAATATTTTAGAAATTGAAAAACCCTTTTAATATCAATTATTTATCTTTTTAGTGGTGTCTACTCTGGTAGATCGCCTAACTTGGCCATAAGTTTCTCCCATCCAGGTATGCATGCCCCTTTGTAATGTGACTTTGCTGTTCTTCCATAAAGAGGTAGAGTCTACTTTATCATCTCTTGAATCTGGGTTGGCCTGGTGATTTGCTTTGACCATTAGAATGCTGTAGAAGTGATATTATCCAACTTTCAAGGCTGGCTCTTAAGAGACCTTGCGGCTTCCACTGTCACCCTCTTAGACTGCTGCCCTGGGACTGCTAGGTAAGAAAGTTGGTCTAGCTTCCTGGATGAAAAGAAGCCATGCAGAGCAGAGCTGAGAGCCCCAGTCAACAGTCAGCAGCCACGGCCAGCCACGTAAGTGAGGTCACTTTGGGCCTTCCAGCCCAGCCAACCTCCAGCTGAAGGAAGCTGCATGAGTGAGCCCAGGGGAAACCCGCTAAGGAACCACCCAGCCAACACACAGAATCATGATAAATAATAAATTGTTGTTGCTTTAAGCTACCACATGTTGGTATGGTTTGTTACACAGCAATAGATGGCTGATATATATACAGTAATGTTGCAAATGTCATATACAAATAACTCTGCATTGCATTGGAGGCTATTGCAAATGTAGAGACTCTCCAATTGTGACATTATACAGACATCAGAAACAAGTAAGATCTCAAGGGTAGACTCTTCACTTGTGGGCAGGGAGAGAAGAGCCACTGAAGGACTTACAAGTATCTCCTGGTTTTGCAGGGATTAAGCAGGGCTCTGAGGCCAAACTGTGTAAGTTCAAGTTTTGGCCCTGCCATTATTAGGTGGGTAACCTCAGTCAGGTTATGTTACCTCAATTTCTTCATCTGGGATGCAGGGATAGAAACAGTACTTCCCCTGAAGTCTGCAAGGACTGAATTAGAAAGTGTTCATATTTTGAAACATACATGGTACCTAGTAAGAGTGTAATAAATATTAGCCTTTATCATTGGAGGTAGAGAAAGCCTACATACTTCATAAAAGCAAATTTAATATCAGAAGATGACAGCCTCCATTTGTGCAGCTGGCTTTCCTGTACTCTGACTTTTAAAACTGTAGCCTTCGCACTGGATGCCGTCAATGTCACATCTTTCTTTCCAGAAAAGTTTGGGGAAAACAAGGGACTCCACATTTATACCTATACAAGAGAGTTTCATAAAAAATATGGCTCTTTCAAGCCTTTAACTTTTTTCTCCTACTATTCTCTCTTTTGTAAGCCATAATACTTCTTTTGAATACTTTACACATGTGAGGGTATGAGAAATTTATTTTTATCCAAGGGAATCACAAGTTTAAAAGCTCTACATGGATAAAAACAGATGGAAGTGAACTAGACCATTTATTATTTTCATTTATATTAAACTCTCAAAATAAACGTTTTACCGGACCAATACTTACCACCATTACCGATTGTAACATCACAGCTAAAAATGGAAATTGCAAGAAAAAAAAAATCTATGCTAATTTGTTTTTATTTAACTAAACAAAATGAAATTCTTGCAGCCAAAATTCCTTCTGATGCTGAGCCTAGTGTAACCTGAATAATTCTCTAAGGCTATGTTATCAAGACAATTAAAAATAAAATGTTGGCTGCATTCTTGACTGAACTGGTAGATCTTAATTGATTCCAAGCACCACTCAGATACAAATGTTATTTTACGTTCTCGACAGAATCCATTCCATGTGACCACGAGGAGCTGAACATGCTTTCCCTGCACTTTTTTCCTCTCTCAGTCCTCTTATGCCTCAATGTAAATATTATCATGAAGCCTCAACTGTTAGACTTGACTATGGTGTTATCCAAATTTAAGAGAGTGATAGTGTGCTGAGCATAGCAACCTGGAAGTTTATACAGGAAGAAATGAGACTGGCCATAAGCTGTGGAATGTGCTTAAAAATAGAAATTCAAATTGCAAGTGCCTCTCTGGAGCTTCTTTCAGAAAAGCATCCTTTTGGGGTAATATTAATCACTATCTGATGGTTCAAATGACATCATAGGATAGAGGAGTCTGTGCGGTTTTGAATATGTTAGGCACCTTTGATTATTTTCAAAGTTTCAACAAGAACGTAAAACATATTGTAGCCAGCACATTTTCTTTTAATTTTTAAATTCATGCATATTATCAGAGAAATGAAATCCATATGCTTGTAAAAATTCATTTACACTTTGCACTTCAAAATGTGTGACAGAGTCTCTTCATAAATCTTTTAATGTCTTTGTTTACTTTTGCAAGCATCCGGGTTGTGAGAACAAACTCCAAAAATTTGGAATCAGAACCCAGCTGCCATATTGAATTAGCATGCACCCTTCACAGATGACTAATAGGGCTGTAGACATCTGGAACAAACTCGTGGACACTCTAAAACTAAGACGCACTGTTAAGTAAGAAGGCCTGATGAATGCTTGTGAATGTTACTGTAACAGTAAATTCTACTGCTACCTTTTAAGTCATCTTTTGTCACTAATTTGGTGTGTGTGCCTTGGAAGGCTTTGAGAATTTGAGGATTTCCTCTAGTTAAAGTTCAGCAATATATGAAGCTCTTACCTACATTTTGAATTTCAAATGACATCTGAGAAGGACAGGACGTTTCCTCTCTCAATGGCCATAAAAATCTGATAGGATCTTTCAAAGAGGGAAGATTTGAAATGTAACTCTTCCTGAAGATGATGAGTTAAAGGCTTTTGTGCTATCTTGTGTTGTCTCCAGTAGCAGCTAGAATACGTAGCTTTGCCTTAACGAAAGTCATTTACTCATCAAAGAGACACAAACTGAAGCCCAACATGGCTGCCCATAATCATTGCACTAAAGTCAGCAGCAGATGCAACAGGCTTTTCAGCCCCCTGGAGGTGAATGCGTTTTCCAAGCAGGACGAGGTCTCTGCACACCAGTTCTGGATCTGTAGACATGACACAAAGCATGATCACATAAAATTGATCTAAGTGGACTTGCTACACAAACTCTGCTTCAATGCAGTAATGGCAGTAACCTGCTGGCTGTTAATCCTCACAGGTCTAGCCATGAAATCATCAAGTAGTCTTAAGGTCTTGGTGAATGT
The DNA here is from genome assembly GCF_000001405.40 of Homo sapiens. Lineage (NCBI taxonomy): Eukaryota > Metazoa > Chordata > Mammalia > Primates > Hominidae > Homo > Homo sapiens. Next base: position 21,722,161 of record NC_000020.11, on the reverse strand, counting down.
CCCAGGGCCATCAGATATGATTAGTAGGTGATGGTGGCTCTTCCCTCTGATGCTGTCGAGTGCTCCAGTAAATTCAGAGACTTGCGTTAGCAGTCTTGATGGGCTCTGGATCATCAATGAATCTAATATATAGCCAAGGCCAGGTGCGGTGGCTCATGCCTGTAATCCTAACACTTTGGGAGGCTGAGGTCAAGGTGGGAGGATGGCTTGAGCCCAGGAGTTCAAAACCAGCCTGGGCAACATAGCAAGACTGCATCTCTACAAAAAATTAAAAATTAAAAAATTAGCCAGGTGTGGTGGTGCATGGCTGTAGTTGTAGCTACTCAGGAGGTTGAGGTGGGAGGATCACCTGAGTCTAGAAGTTCAAGGCTGCAGTGAACTATGATCAAACCATTATACTCCAGCCTGGGTGACAGAGTGAGACCCTATCTCAAGAAACAATTTTTTAAAAAATTTTATATATATATATATATATAACATATATATTATATGTGTATTACATATATGTAATACATATATGTTATATATGTAATACATATATGTAATACATATATGTTATATATGTAATACATATATGTAATACATATATAATATACATTACATATATAATATATGTATTACATACATATTATATACATTACATATATAATATACATTACATATATATTATATATGTATTACATATATATTATATACATTACATATATATACATTACATATATATTATATATGTATTACATATATAATATATATGTATATATATGTATTATATACATATATATATACATATATACATATATATATACATACATATATATACATATATATGTATTATATACATATATAATATATATGTATTACATATATATTATATACATTACATATATTATATACATTACATATATAATATACATTACATATATATATTACATATATATTATATATATATATGTAATAGCCAATGTGGTCTACAAGGTTAAAACACGATTTAATTCACCATAAAACGTTGATGTACAAAGAAAAAGAAGAAAACAGCAACAATAATAACACTAATAAAAGCTGACTGTGACCCAAAGCAAGTCCCTACTCTTTATGTATATTATTACATTTAGTTCTCACAGCAGCCCAGGGAGAGAGGTATAATTTCCATTAAACGGATGAGGAAACTAAGGCTGAAAGGTTTTGCCTAAATTTACCCAAAGCAACACAACTGGTAAGTGGTAAAACTGAGACTTTGAACCAGATAGCTCTGCCAACTTTTAGCTACACATCCCCTATCCTTTCCTAAACTGCTTCCTGCATAAAGATGTTCCACAGCTGGTATTCTGAGTTAAATATGTGCAAACGACCACATTACAGATGGTAAGAGAGGCTCCTTTTTTTAAATCTAAGAAATAAATTATCGTTGCCTCACCCATGGTAATCTTTCTGGATTTTATCCTAAAATAAATAGAGAGTGAGAAGATAATCATTTTCCTTGCTGTTTGTTGCCTCTGTAATACGTTGGTCCTTACAGAGAAATATTGTATTGTCACTTTAAATGATTAAAACTTTCAAAAAGATCACTAAATATAGATAAGTTGCTTAAAATGAGAGACAAACTCAAATGAACCAAAAAAATTAAAATTTCACAAATATAAATGAAATTGATTTTATTTCCCAAAAATATCAGTTTAGATTAGGTTGGTTTTTTGTTTTTTGTTTTTTGTTTTTGAGACAGAGTCGTACTCTGTCACCCAGGCTGGAGTGCAGTGGTGCAATCACAGCTCACTGCAGCCTCCCTCTCCTGGGCTCAAGGAATCCTCTTGCCTCAACCTCCCAAGTAGCTGGAACTATGGGCATGCACACCACATCCAGCTAATTTTTTTTTTTTTTTTTTTTTTTTTTTTGATAGCGATGGGGTCTCGCTAGGTCACCCAGGATGGTCTCAAACTCCTGGGCTCAAGCAATCCTTCCTCCTCAACCTCCCAAAGTGCTGGGATTACAGGTGTGAGCCACTGTGCCTGGCTAGTTGCTTTTAAAATTCACATATGTTTATTTTAAACTCAAAGACTTCAATCTATGTATATATTAGAGTCAAAGTTGGAAGTGAAACTTATTTTCAAGGTGCTATTGATGTCTAAGCTAACTTGTTTGCTAAGTCATGTGTTGATGAGCCTAGAAAGTCCATTTTTTACCACATGTGCGAGCATCTGGCTAACAATAATAATAATAACAACAACAACAGCAAGAGCCCTTCTCTTCTAAGTAGACCTTCACAACAGGAAAGTCGCCACTTTAACAAAACGACAAATCTTTTACATTGTATTATTTATCTTCATGCTTGTCTTCATCTCCTGGAACAATATGTGCTCCCCCTGGTGGCCAGAATAATACTTTCAGCTTCCCGGTTCAAGCTAATCATATTACAACTTGTTTGCCAGAGAAGCATTTTATTTTTTATGTTTCACAAGTTTCAGGCTCCAATTCAATTTTTTAAGAAGTCAATTTCTTTCCATTCATTTAAATATCTTGCTTACTTTTCATCCAAGAGATTGTTGTTAAATCAAAACCATCTAGTAATTTTTGTTTTGCTGTTTGTTGTTTGGGGTAAAATAAAATCTTACAAAGCTAAAACCACATCCGCAAATGACTGGAAGAAACTCTGAAAGTTAAAATTGTGAGGTCTATATAAGAAATGACACTGCAGATAATCCATCAAGTCAATATATTTCACCAGAGAAAAAGGAAATAAGACGTTACAGGATGGAAATGTAATTTAATAGCTGAATGAATACTTATCTGCCTATTTCATCCTTAAGAAGAAAAAGAAAAGTGAAGGCAACCCAGGTGGTTACATTATAATGAAGTTGAAATTCTGCCACCCATGAAAACTGCAATTGGGATTCCACTTTTGGATTTGGCCAGCCAGAAACAGATGTGTGTTCCAACAAGAATCACAGGCTGCATCTCCTGGACAAGAGCTCTTTAGAGTGCAGCAGGAGTTTCAACTGGTTTCAACTCCAAAGAAAGGACTAGACTAAACTGAGTATAATTGTTCCAAGTGTTTAGAATTCCCAAGTTGGACTGGGGCTAAATGTGTGGTTCTCATTTTATGGCCTTGAAAAAGAAGACAGTGTGATTCTTCCTTGTTCTGTTAAAAAAAAAAAAAAAAAAAAAACGAAAAAAAAATTTAAGGTTGAGATACAAACGTTTGGCTAGAAATATCTCAACCATAGGACATTTCTTCAGTGAGTAAGGCTATGGTTCAGACAGCAAGGTCAAGGTGAAAACCAAATACCACTTTGTGCATAAATCTTGCCCATTAAAAGAAGGGATTCAAATGTTTCTTATTATATAGCCTGTCTGGATGCACAGTCCTTTCAACTGAGTTCCTCAGGCACATTCTAGCAAGATTCTAAATTCATATCATCCAGCATTACATGGGGCAGGTAGAGTTTCTTTTGAAAAGAAACCCAGGCCAATGTAATCCTAGCTAGGGAAGCTGATGCCAGGAAATCTACAGTGTGCTTTACCGAAACCACAGTTCAATTAAATAAATTCCATCCTTCTTACCAGAAACACACAAATGGCAGAAATACTGTTGTCAGTGAGTGGGGTTCACTCGTCAGGAGGTTAATTCCACGTGGATTTTAGTAAATTGAATTTGGGATAGGTTTAAAAAAATGCTTGTGCCAGTATTGAAAATCTAAACTTTATTTGTAGCCAGTATTTCTTCACACAAGGTTTTCCCGCACCCCTCTGCCTCCATGTCTCTTTCCTGGCCCAGAGAGACTGACTCCCTCCAAAGGAGAGGAAGCCTTCCCCTCACACCTTCAAATGCCCTTCAGTGATCTGTAGAACAACTCGGGGCATATTCAAGAAGGGCAAAACTTCATGCCTCTTGCCCCTCAATCCTCCTTTCCTTTGGTTTGTTTTCCTTACTTCTTGCCAAAAAACAGCTACCTTTGGCAGGGAAGTTATTACAATCCATTGCAAGTACTTCCTCCAATAATGAACACAACAAAATCCTGTCTTTATTCATTTAAAGCACGAAGCTGGCCCTCTTTACAAATACCCTGTTTTTAATAAATCCTCGGTAATAGACATCCATTCACGAGAATAAAGTGGGTACATTGGAGCTGAAGCTGGTGGTACGCAAAGAGCAGATCTTCAGCTCATGTCTGTGTGTGCACAGCACAACTCATTAGTGTGCACTTTCAAATAACACATAGACAGAAACATATTTTCCCGCATGCATGTTTTTCCTGGAAAGATTCACAAAAGACTATAACAGCATTCACCTTTAAGAACAAAAATGAGAGCAGGAAGAACTTCCACTTTTCATTTTAATGTTTCTGTACTGCTTGAGTTTTTTAGTGATACGCATATATTATTTCTATTCTTTCAAAAAATCAGAGGGCTATCTGATTATGTCTTTATTTTCTTTGGGTTACATCTCTATATTTTTCTAAAAAAAACTTATTCTTAAATTAAAAAAATGAAAGGCAAAGACAAACTGCGTTTAGGGAGTGATTGTTTCTCAAATTATTCTACCTGACGTGGTGCTGCATAATTTTATTATGAGCTCTCAGTTCCTCCACAGATCCATACGAACAAAGAGCAAAAGTGCAATATTCCAATGGGATCTTTTGGAAAATATTTAAATTCTGGGTCTCCCACCAACCTTACAAGTGATTCCTCTAACTTTTGTTAACAGATAAGCAAAATTGTCTCCAGAGAGGTGAGGCCACACCAGTGGCAGTCTTCCTACAGGCCAGGTCACCGTGCGCGTTACTGCATTGAAGGCTACATTTCACAGACAGGTTCCAAGAGGTCCCAGTCCCCTGACACATACAGTGGAGCAGAGATTTAAGCCAAGTTCACTAAGATGTTCCGTGACCCCCAGCCGCGAGAGAGGGGGTATGTCCCTCCACACCCCACATGAAATGTCAGAGCCTGCTGGCTCTGGGACGAAGGCTGCCTATCCTCAGTGAATGCTCGCCCCAGAGCCAGGGAACTCAAAGACCCGCCTCCAGCCACAGGATACAGGGAACAAGAGGCAGATTTGAAAAATGCCTCCCTTTGCAGGTGGCACTTAAAACACAGGTGCTTTGCATCCACCCTGGGGCGCATTTCCCAGCTCTTCTCCCCCATAACCCTGATCAGCTCAAACACAGAAGTGGGCCATAGCAGGGAAATGGGGATGGTGACAACTCAAAGGTAGAAGTTGTCATATAGATTCTTCTCATTCCTTCAGAAAGGGATGTGATGTCTTCCTCCTGGCCTGAGCAAGCCAGTCCTTCTCCAGGCAGCACAAATGGGTGCATGAAAATTCTGTCCAGGATGTCACCACTGAGCATGCAATGCTCATCTAAGCACAAGGAGACAGGCTGAGAGGATGGGGGACTTGGGAACATGCTTCTCTGTCATACTTTTTTCCTATTATCAGTATGACAAGCTCTTCTACAGGATATGCTGCCATGGAAGGCTGAGGACTTCAGTCTCAAAGTCCAAGTCTCAATCCTGCCTCTCTGATGAGATAGTGTCACCCAGTTTCCAAGCACAAGCCCTCTAATTCATACCTTGCTATGTGGTCTAAAGAAAATAAATCAAATCCCTAGCCATCACTAACACTGTCTACAAAGTGAAACTTTAAAAAAAAAAAAAAAAAAAGACAAGAGACTTTGAATCTGAGAAGAAGAGTCTCTCTAGGAAAAAAGTAAGTACTTTTTTATAATTGATACCTTCAACAGATACTATCAAAAAGAGTTGAAACAAAAACTGTTTACCACTAGTCCCCTAGGTGGGACCAGTGCACACACCAAGCAGGCAGCTCCACTCACAAACAGCAACTTCAATTCAAAAATCTCTTCCATCAGTTTTAGAAGGTCAAACAGAGGCAGGAAAAAAAAACAATTAGCCGGAAGCCCCTTTGTAGTGCAAACCCCCTAGATTACTTGGTAGCCTGGGATTGTCTTCTTTAGCTTTTAGAATACTAGAAATGTTCTGAAGAAATCCTCCATTCTGGCTCATTGCCTTTTGCCCATTTTACTCTTTTCAGAATTAACTGCATTTCAAGGTGGTTTCTGCATAATTTCCCTTGATAGTGTTCATCCTAGGAACTCAGGGGAGAGGGTAGCTACGGAGTAAGAACTCAACACTCTGCGCTCAGAAACAGACTTGCTCACCTCACCACACACCTTTCAGACGCTTTCCTTTATTCAGAGGCAGCCACCTTTAACAGGCGATGTCAGGCTCTCGCCAGGGATATTGCTCTGACTACAGAATTGCATTATGTCCAGGGTACCACCACCAGCTCGCCTAACTTGGAAGCAGCTCACAGCTCTTGCGGCTGGCTCTAGAAGATACTTTCTGGGTTGTTTTTGTTGTTGTTGTTGTTTGTTTTGTTTTGTTTTTTTTAACCCTCATCCCTTGCAAACCAGAAGTCCAAATGAACCTTTGTACCTGGAAGCAGTCTGTGGTTTAAATTAACAAATGTGCTGACCCCTGAACACCAAAAAGTGCTGATGTGTTTACCACTGGTCGGATTCCCTAGCAAGTGTTGCGAGTGGAGGGGTGGGAGGAGACACCTGCAGGACAACCCAGTTTTCTAAGCACTGAAAACACCAACAACCCCTGTGCTCCCTACTCCTACCCCAGTCTTCTTTGGGGTGACATCATCTCAGAAGGGAAGAGAAGCCCGGCGGCCACTGGGCTCTGAGAAAGAAAACAGATTTCCAGACAATATGCTGCGGGGATCGACGGGAGAGGACAGTTCATGGAGGGTTTTTTAGGGTTTGTTATTACAAAAAAAATACAAAATAAAGGCTGTGGCTTTTCTGTCCACTTCCTAGGTTTGAGCCCCCCTCCATTAGGGCTGGTGGGCTCAGAGGAGTGAAGGCTACAAAGTCCCAGGTGCCAGAGAAGGGACTGTCACCGAGATGGCTCTAGGGCTCTCAGGGACTGAGGGAGGGTTGGGGAAGCAGTAAAACAAAGGGAACTAGGGCCCTTGACAGTAGAACCAGAGACAGAGAGAGAAGGAACGACAGGGATGGACCAGGAAAAAGGGCTGATAGCATATAGAGGACTAGAAAGAGGAGACGGGGGAAGAAGCGGGACTGGAGCAGAGGTCGGAGCAAGGAAAAGAGAGTGGAAGGGCAGAGGGAGCCCTGGAAGGTCGGGGAAAGCCGGGGTGGAAGGTAGGGAGGAAGGGAAAGAGAAAGGGAAGGGAGGGAGAGTGAGAAAGAAAGAGGGGGGAAGGAAACAGGGAGAGAGGCGAGACGGAGACGGACAAGGGAGTGACAAAAAAGAAATTTGAAGCTGGCAGAGCGAAGGAGGCCACGTCAGAGCAAGGATTGTGAGGAGGGTACGGCAGTCTAAAACCCAAGTTCAGAGAAGCCTAAAAACCCAGACCAATAAAGGAAGTGTGGTGGGTCCGGCCAGAGGCAGGGCTGGGCCTGGGGGCTGGCTGGGCGTGCACCCCGCGGGCCGGCACTGGCTTCCTCCTCCGCGAGTCCTCCGATCCTGCCCGTGCCGATTGCCGGGGCCGCCGCGCAGACCTGTGCGCCCGGGTCCGCCTGCCGTTCCCTCCGGGCTCGGGTCCGGGGAGAGCTGCCCCTAGGAGGTCGAGGCCGGGATGGGCAGTCCGTGTAAGCTACTGAGGGCGTCCGGGGCCTTGCTGCCGGAGCTGGGAGGCTTCCTGTCAGCCACTGCGGGAGGAAGCACAGAGGCGTCGGATCACTACCTAGCGCCGCGCAGTGCGAGAGGCACTGGGACTCAGGACGCCTGCAGAGCGAGGTCGTGAGCGCTCAACCCTTGAAGGCTCTGGAAGAGTGAAGCAGAGACTCGCGCTCTCCAGAGACCCCAAGCTTCCGTGGGCGACCAGCCCTTCCTCTCCCGCTAGGAGAGCCACTTGCAAGGAGAGCCTTGGCAAGCGGGACTCCTCGCAAGGCCATTTGCAAACACTGACCGCTGGCCAGGTGCAATTCCCGTTGCCGTCCAACCCCCTCACCACCTGCTCAGTAAAGGAAGTGAAGGGCGCAGAGGGCTGGGAAGGTTTCAGGTCTGATGGCGACTTCCGCAGAAGGGAACAGGACTCTAACGTTGCGCGGACCCTCACCCTTTCCAAACCCCAGGCGCCCGCACAAGTGCGAAGAGCAGCCAATGCGTCGAGTCCGCTGACACCCGCGGCTCGGAGCTCGCTGTGGGCAGGGGGAAATCTTGCGGGAAATGAGCCACCAGAGATTTCCCTGGAGCGGCCTGGATTCCTCCGACGTAGGAGGCAGTTGCGCTTTAAGTGAGCGGCAGACTACGTTGTGCCCACGAGGTCCGGGGATCCAGATGCGCTCACCACTGTGGGCACAGCACGTCCTGGGACCTGTGGGCCTCCGGATTAAGTGACAGTGGGATTGCCAGATCGGGCAGTATTCTGCGCCTTACTCTATTATTTAGGGGCTTGGGAAGGGGCCCAAGTTTTGCCACCGGAAGCCAGAAAGTGACGCCACGATTGCGCAAGCCTGTTTTTCCTTTCCCAACCTTGAGCCACTCTGCTTCTCCTACACTAGGATCCACAGTTTGTTTATACCTACAGGGGCCTATTTTCAATTTTCTTTTTTCCCCAAGTCCTCCTTTAAAGGGGGAGCTTGGAGCGCCTCGATTTGAAGTAAGGGGAACTCTGGATTTTTTTTTCTCCTGCAGCTTCCCTCGCCTCAGCCTCAGGCGCAACTTGCTGTGGCTGCGCAGAGCTGGGCCAACCACCTCTGTGCAAGACACACACACACACACACACACACACACAAAAAAAAAAGAAAACACACGGTTTCGTTGAGGTTTTAAAGAGGTCTAAAGACCTTCCCAGGACAGAGCGGCCCCTCTGCTTTTCCCTGGCTCTCAGCTCTTTTTCCTAAACAAAGTTGTGGCCGCCCAGCCAACAAGTATTCAGACCTTTTCTTTCTACCGTGGACACACACTTCAAAGTGAGGACCTGTTTAGAAAACATCTGAGGAGGTGGAGGTTTCTCAGCCAAGGGACGGTTACCTTAGAGACAAGCAAGAAACTGAACTCATGAAAAATAAACACCCAGGAAGACTGCATCCCACCCTACAGGGGCGAATCCTGCTGTGTTTTTAGCCCTGTCCAAGCCATCCTTCCTCATAGGGCCCCTCCTGCCCTCCATTCCCTCCATAGGACAACAAGGGTGGGTACTTCTGGGCCCTCGGAGGCCGGGGCCTAGGTCAGGCTCATTTAATTCAGGGGCTAAGAATGGGGAGAGGCATTTTTTAAATATTCAACTGCAATTGCAGGGCACTCTGAGACCACCGCTGAGGGGAGGCACGGGTCTGGGAAGGGATCCCCGGGGCTGGGTCAAACGGAGGCCGGGGTTGCCAGCGTCCGGGTGCGACAATGCCAGCGACCTAGTGCTCTTTGACAAAGTTTACTTTTAGGATCTTCCAAGAACCAATCCCGAGGCAGAGGTAACTGGAGCGAAGCTGCAAGTTATCTTTAACAAATAAAAGCAATACATTTTCTTTGTGCGTATGCAGTATCTTATAGATTTGATTTCCAAATCTTTAGTCATTCCAGAGCCCCACGAGGAGGGACTTAAAACCCTGAGGTTTCGAGGGTCTCTGAAAACATCCTGTAAATACCAGCTGTCTTGAGGGAGCATCTGGTGGTGTCTGTCACCTAAGGGTGGGGAAGGGGAGATGGTCGTGCCCTGGCTATGAAAAGACATTTGGATGTGGGTGGAGATTCCTAGAATGTCAGCCTCTCCAAGTGAAGATTAAGCGAAACTTTTTCTATTCTTCTCAATTCCCAAAAATTAAAGTTTCCTTTCAGGGGATGGGAAATGTAAATCATGCTTTTTACCTACATAATAGGAAACCCAGACTCACTACCTTTTTAAAAAATAAGAAAAAAATGAATTATAGTATTAAATAACACAATTAATCAATTAATATCTAATTAAATGCTAAATTTTCGATTTGACATTTGATTAAGTTTCACTTAGGGTAACTGTTAAGCTGTTCATTTGCACTAATTTGGAGGACATATTGATATATATTGCACTGTGCGTGTGTGGTGTGTATGTGTTAGGTGATCAAAGGTATTTGCTTTTACTGAGCATTTATTGTATTAAATTGCTTTTCATTACACAGAAGAATTTTTTCTTACTGAAAAGGAGTTCACTAAATACTATTCTCACTATTCTTATGAATTGAACAATTGCTGATAGTAAATTGTCCTCTGGGACAGGTTTCTTTGAAGATATTAATTTCTTAAGAACTGATCAGAAAATAAAAGGCAGTGATTCTTATTATTTTTCTGTCTTTCCAAAGACCAGTTGTGTTGAGGGAATAGATCTTTGAAGTCAGCTGTTCTACCAGTAAGGAGTAAAAATCCATAACCCAAGCATGTATGTAATTCTCAGGCTATGAATATAGATAGATAATGAATGATTATTTCTACATTCCTGTTCGAACACAAACAGTTGCATGCCAGCTTGAGAAATCATTGCTAATGGTGTCCCCAAGTTATCTGATTATCTTTTATTAGAACCTTTAAAGAAGTTGGAGGACCACAAAATTAAATTATTAATTTAATAACTAGAGTAACAAATTATTGCTGTAGCTTTTAAAAACAGGTGGGATATTACATAATAGGAAACTGATATAATGGTAAAAGGGACTTATGCCAGCACCATTCAATGACCCTGTATTTCTGAAAAGGAAAGTGTCTTCTAAAGAAAATCAATCACCAGTGAGGCTTAATGTTAAAATCAGCTTCCCCGCAACTTCCACCACAAATTAAGACAGGTAGTTTAGAATTAGGAACTGTGTGTGTTACCTTTGGCTTATTATCTGCACTTTATAATTTGTGTCTAATGTAGAGCTTAAAATGCCTCCAGGGCAAAGTGGCTCTATTGAAAACAAATGCATTCCTCTGAAGACTGTGGGTCTTTTTTCTAAGTCTTCCTTCTCCTTAAGATGAACCCAGTGAAATATTTCAAATCTGTGGTTATACATTTTTAATTCAAAAGAACCTGCTTATTTAAGTGATTTGTGTAATGTGGTAAATTTTATTTTGATTTCGATTTCGACAGATAACCTCAGTTGTTGAGAAAACAGGTTGATTGGAGGCTGAGGATGAGTGAAGCGCTCATCTGCGACCCCTTAACTATCCTTAAACATAAAGCTTAAAGGAGTTCTTACTCTCAACTTTTAACATTTCCTTCACTTGGATTTTTCTATAAATGAGTAAATGATAGTATCCTATTTAAATTAAACTTAAAGTTTAAAAGAGCTCTAAATCCCAATTTTTATAAATTTTCCTTATTTGGATTTGTCTGTAACTAGGCAAGTGAACATTATCCTAATATCCCAGGATGTCTGTGCTCTAGGAAAGGTAGAAATAGAAAAAGTATTTTTCTCCCTTCATTTCACTGTTGTGGATGGCATCTTTATTTCCTTCCTGCCCCCCACCCCACCCCCACTCCCCAGGGCATGCCCTCCTATCTTATCAAGACTACTTGGAAATAGCACTTTTTGCCTGGGCAGCACCAAGGAGGATGGCCCTCCTGTCCCCTGCCTGCCCACTGCCACCTGCCACTACATCCACCTCGCTTCCAGCCCTGGACAGGTGGAGGCAAAGCAGCTAGTAAAAATCCTTTTATAATCTGGGAACTCCACGCTGTCCCCCAGGTTTGTGCCTTGTCTCTTTCTCTGCTGGGGCTGGGACGACCTGGGGTGACCCTTTCCTTTCCCAGGTTGGTTGAAGTTGCAAATTTCTGGTGCTCAGAACCTAAGCACTGGCAAGTTTGAACTTAGCAAATCAAGCCATTCCTTTTAACAACAAAGAAAATGAGGACTCAAGGGCTGGTGAGCTTTTCCCAAGTTAAAGGAAAAACTGGAACCCTCCTGGTTGTGTGAGAAGATCCCCCTCACACTGCTGACTGTCAGTGAAATACCTAAAATCTGTTCCTCGACTTTTCAGGAAGTGGACTTATGGAAAAGGAAGAGAAGGAGGAAGCGGAAAAGGAGGCAAGACTCCCAGGCACATTTTCCACAGAAAGAGAGAACCCCCCCACCCGCCCACCACCACCACCACCCACAACCACAGAAAGCTCCTGAGCCTGGAGTAAAGGACACTGATTCACATGGCCTCTACTTTCCCACAGTGTGTATTTAAGAAAAAGAATCCAAACGCCTTTTTTTCTCTCTAAGGAACCTGGAAAAAACAGATGGGCAGTGGGGCAGAGACGGGAAGGGTCTGGGGATGGAGGTTAGGTGCCACTAGCAAGTCCAACCCCACCTAAAGGGCTTAGGTGCCAGAACAGGTCTACAGAAAGGTGAGCCTGGAGGGTGCCTGCTAGACGTGTCTCTGGATGGAGAAACAGAAACCCAGAAAGAAGCAGGAACTTGGTCGAAGGTGCCAGAACCGGATCCAAACCCACGCGTCCTGTGTGCCAGAAGGACCTCCTTTCACCTCTCCCATCATAAGTGGAGGGGACAGTCTTGGGGCCAGTCTCTCTCAACCTCGGGTACCTTTATAGGGACACCTGTCAGAACTAATCTGCTCCAAGAAGCTACATGCTCAAAGGTTAACCCAGAAGAAGGGTTCATGCCCAGGACCCACCTCTTCCCCACCCGCTCTCCCTTTTCCCAGGCTCACACCCGCTCCCCAGTACCCTTCCTAACCCTTCCAGCATCCACCCGCCCCACTCCCTGCGCTCCTCACCTTCTCGGCTGGGATGCTTGAAGGTCATTGCTGCCGCGAGTTCCCCGCCATGCACAGCTACGCCGGCCCCGGGGGGCGCCAGAGGAGGACCTTGCGCAGGCGGCCACGGCGGGCCCGGGGCGAGGTAGCCGCCGCCCGGGGCGCTGTACACGCCGTGCTGGTTGGAGGCCGGGTAGGCGCAGGCGGGGAGAAAGCCGCCCACGGCAGAGAGGGTGGAGGCCGACTGTGGGGATAGAGAGGGACCGTCAGCAGCAGAAAATCCTGCCTTCTCTAGCCCACGCCATCACTGAGACGGGGGTTTTCGTCCATTATCGCTCCCCCACGTCCTGTGCCCATCCATTATCCCCATGCGAGGCCTGGCCTCTAAATTTCCTAGTCAGGACTCTTTGGCAAAGTGATTTCTAAGAATTCACTCAAACTGTTACAAATAACGATGTGAAGGGGTCATGGTATTCATATCGGGATTTAGAGAAAGAAGGCCCTTGACTGTGGATTCGTCATCTGGAGTTCCAGCTTTTTTTAGCTAAGCTATCTTGGCAAAGGCAAGTCAACCCCTCTAAAGTCAGACTCTCCCAAACTAGTACGCTTGAGGAAAGGACAGAAAGGACGCTTGCTAGCCGGCTGCCAGATACAACCATCTCTCTGCCTGGAAATTTTTTCTTTTCTTTCTCTCTCTTTTTCCCCACTTGCCCAAACCTTCTGCTTCCCTACTTAAGGTCACGGCCTCACGTGCCTCCTGGTTACCTGAGTGTATTTAATGTCTGCCTCTAAGGCAGGTTTCTCTAGCCCATTCACTGCGGGGGTGGCGGGGAAGGCCGTGCGGTTCACGCCGGCCCAGTCTTCCATCTTGGGAGAGTAAGCGGTGCCTTCGCTCCCAGCCAGGGCCCCTGCAGGAGAGAGAGGACGGATTAAAAGGTGCCTCCGAATCTGCCCTGGGCACACGTGTGGCCAACCACCCAATTTGTATCTGAAGACACGGCCAGGGGTCCCACAAAATTTGTAGGTGGCCTGACACTCCACCAGGAGGCGGCAGGGACTGGAATGTTCACCACTCCGGGTGGGGCGGAGGAAAGGCAGCCAGGCCTGCTGCCCGGTCCTCCTAGCCTTCAACCGGTTTCCCACGAACGGGAGGCTGCTGCTGAGTCAAAGCCTGGGCAGACTCGGCCAAAGCGGCCGCTCCATTGTCCAGACACGGCTCCCAGAAACTTCCGAGTTCAAAGCTACAGCAACCTCATGAAAATTGTATTGATTTCTCAACATCTGCACAAGCCTCTGGAGGGCAGGGAGACGATTCTACGAGAACTGCCTCTGGAAACGCCCAGGGTTTCCCAAAAGAAGCGTCAACATTGTTGTCCCCACGGGTCAGATAGAAGCACACAGCTGCTCCCCGGGCCCTTGTGTGTGCCAGGAACCAAGGGAAACCTCCAGATCTGCGTGCAGGCTTGGTGGGGTCACCTCCAGACCCCTGCCATTCCATGGGAAGCTTTAGCCTTAGGCTGGGTTAGAGCCACCAGGAGACACAAAGCCAGAGCAGGGCCACAGAGGCGCTGCTGCTGCTGGAGCTGAGCACTCACAGTTTCTTTCCAGCCACCACTCTTTCCTCCTAGGCTATGGTGAATTTTGCTTCTTGCCCTCCTCCTGAGTCTGATCACCTAAGAGTGTGCCATCCCCTGGCCAGCTGCTGGCAGCTGGGGAGAGCGCAAAGAAATCCAGACCCGATTCTGGCTGGTTTCTTTCCCAGCCAGGCATCAAAGTTGTTCCAAACCTCCCGCCTTCCCCATCTTCCTCGTCACCCACTTGACCTATAGTGTGTTAAGCTTTAGTTGCAGATAAATGACAAATCCTTGTGAAGGTGGCTGCAGCCCCACCAGCCATCACCGCAAACTCCAGGACCTGCAAGGCCACAGGACCTTAGAGATGTAGGCCACTCAATCGACCACAAGATCCCTTTTCCTTTAACTCAGAAGAGCCACTGGGCCTGGGAGTGGGGGACAGAACCCTTGGGAAATCGTGAAGGATTCTGAGAGCTAAAGAAAGGGTCTCAAAATTGAGCGGGTTTTTTTCCCCCTTAGATTTGGCAACAGGGGCTTGCATACTTTTTGCAAGAATGAAAAAGCACAATTTCAGGCCTCCAAATTTGTGGTCGGCGATTGCTCTTCTATTTGGGAAATATTTTCCATATTTGTCATAAAAAGTTCAAGATGTCCGAGGTCTCTTACAAAAGGCCCAGGACCCCCAGCCTCCCTGGCCAGTGTGGAGCCCTCCCCTGAGCCAGAACCGGTCCCGGGAGGAGAGCGAGTGTGAGTCCTCTCCTGCAAGCCTGCCCGCCCCAGGTTCTGCCCCTTAATAGAAGGCTACGGAGGCCGCCACAACTGACCTGTTTGCTCCATAAACGTCCGGATGCCCAGGATGTTGCTGACCGAGTGTGCCGAGGGCCATGAGCGCGGGATGCTGACGTGGCCCGCCGTGCCCGGGACCCCGGGGTGGCTGCCCATCTTGGCGCCCGTGGGCGACACGGGACTGGGGTAGGGGTACTGGTAGATGTGGTTGTAGGGCAGCGTAGGCTGCGACGGCGGCTGCTTACTTGCCTCGTACGGTCCGGGCTGCGCCAGGCTGCCGATCTTGTTGCGCAGGATGCGGCTGATGGAGCTCACCGAAGGCACATTGTACTTGTCACAGACGCCGTCGGCCAGCAGCCGGTCGCGGATCTCCCAGGCAAAGATGCCAGGGTCTCCTTGCTTGTAGTCCCGGATGTGCTTGACCACGTTGGGAGTGGTGACGCGGGGCTTGCTCCCCCCGATGGCCCCGGGCAGAATGGAGCCGGTCTCGTTGTAGCGCGCCAGGATCTTGCTCACGCAGCCGTGGGATACGCGGAGCTGCCGACTGATGTCACAGGGTCGGATGCCCAGCTGCGCCAGCTCCACAATGCGCAAGCGGATGGCGTTGGGCAGGGGGCGGCCGTTGACGAACACACCGCCCAGCTGGTTCACCTCGCCATACGTCTGCTCTGCGGATGCGCCAGACAAGAGTGAGCCGGAGGGGGAGAAAACACCCGGCGGGTTAGCCAAGGGTCCCCACGCGGAGCGAGGGACTGCACCCAGGCGCACTTCCAAAGGTGACCTGTGGGTCCCCAGACAGCTCGGAGTCCAAGGGCAAACCGCCTGGGTCTGGCTTGGAGTGGGCAAGGGCGCAGAGGAGCCGCGGAGTGGAGCGCGGCGCATTGTAGCCCTCCGTGCCCTTTCGCGACTTTTAGCGCGTCTACTTGGAACACTCCCTTCCCAGACTTGCTCAACTGCCCCCTGAAGGCTGGGGATCAGAGGAGAATGCAGCTTCTCCAGGACCCAGGACTGGGTCGCCCAGGGAAAGCGGACGAGAGGGAAGGGAGGCAGGCGGACCCGACCCACCTCATCAGCCCTCCCGAGCCCTGCCTGTCGCCCGCCCCTTACCCATAGCGAGCGGGCCGGCCAGCTGCCTGGCGCCGGGGTGGCCGGGGTGGCCGGGGCTGGGCCCGGCGCAGTCCGGGAGAGCTTGGGCGCCGCCGCCGCCGCGTGAGAGGCATAGAGGGAGGGCGCCCGAGAGCCGAGAGCCGCGGCGGCCCAGCCGCGGGCTGGAGACGCGCTGTGCGCGGCAGCGGAGCGCGCTGCCGCCCGCTCCAGGGCCTGCCGCCGCCGCTGCTGCCCCCTCCCAGGACACTCTCCACGCCCGCGACCCCAGGCCCAGGGTGAACTTCATCCGATTGGGAGAAATTCGTCTGACCGGGAGGCTGCAGCGTGCGGGAATCAATTTGACGTGTCCTCCACGTCAATCTCGGCAGTCACGCCGGAGACGCGCGAGTTGGCAGCTCATTGGTTCCCGTCACTGCGCCCCAGCGCCCCCCTCCCCGCCCTGAAACTCTACCCCCTCCTTCTATCCTCCCCCCTCGGCCCTCTTCCACCACCCCCCCGGAACCCACCCCTCTACACACACACACACACACACACACACACACACACACACACACACGTCCCAACCCCAGCTGGGCCTGGGACCTTCCACTGCTCTGAGCCCCTTTCAGCCCCCTTCCTCCTCTAGCTTTGGGAATGAGGGGGAAGTCATCTCAAATTGATTAGTGTGTTAGTACTAGTACTCGTTTTCGTTTTGGTTTTAGTTTTATTTCCGCCACCATTAATAATAAGATAGAGAATAAAAGTTTATCGTGGAAAGGTGTTTCGGGTGTGGCTCTCTCTACCTCCCCACTCCCGGGGCAGCGGCCGGGGAAGGGTGGGATCAGTACCCCAGCTGGCTGGGAGTGTCAAGGTGAGCGTCCAGCGCGGTGCAGGGCTCCTGTCAGGAAGACACAAGGCGGAACTTGTGTCCCATTCCTGGCCAGGTCCTCAATCCTTCTCTCAGGAAATCTTCACGTTTAATAGCCAACCACTCTTGGAATAGTGGGGGTGATTTCGGTGATGCGAGAGGGGCACGGTCCAAATCCTGTCTCCTACAGCCAGGCCCAGCCACCAGAACTCATCCCTCTCCAAGCAGTGACAGAAGGGGCAGGAGGCAAAAGGATCCCGATCTGCTGCTAAGGGGCGCATAGATCCGGCGCCCTCCTGTCCCCAAGCGCGACCGGCGGGAGGCCAAATGCATAGCTCCAGCTCTAGGTCTGAAGGACAAGTTCCTTTCTCCCTGGCGGTGGAATCTCGCACCACTCTATCCCAGGTGGCCTGGCCTCGTCTTTCTCCCAGCACCTGCAGCTTCAGGAAGTCTCTGTTAAACCACAGAATGGTCATTTCTCCTTCATTTAAATGAGGTTTTGCGCAGCCCTGAATTATTCACCCCTGAGATTGAACATCAACAATTTCTCTGTTTCTACCCTGCACCAAAGCAGTTCTGAACTCCCCAACCTGTGCAGCTAACTGTGTCCGGGAGCCATGCGGTGAGGGCCAAGAGGAGGAAACTCGTGGTTTTGAACATGAACTGATTTGAGGGGGTCAGGATCTGAGAGCTCTGAGGTTGAGCCCAGTAAGCACCAAAGGCATTGGGCTGAATGTGCTAGACCAGGAAGAGGGCATAGGGGAGAGAGTAGGAACAGCCGAGGTTTCTGAGACTCCCAGCGCTCCCCTGGAGGAGAGAACCCTCTTCCCCTCCCTCCTGCCCACCCCAAGGGTCTAGCTCTCCTTAGCCACCCAGAGTTGAGTATGGCGCCAGCGCGGTGACAGTGGCTGAGGAGCACATGGACCCTATCAGCCCACCCTGGGGAGCCATGGCTGCGGAGGCCCCGACCCCTTTGCCTCCGCTGTAGGGCCAGAGAGCATCCCTGGCTCCTAATCCACCTGTCTAAATGTATCTGTCAGGAGTGACTGGCTCATAATTCCTGGACTCTCTAGAGAGAGCACGCGGTGGGGCCACAGACAAGAATTACTCCTGGAAAAAGAAAAATCAGGTTTAAAAGAAGTGAACTCTTCCTCTCCGGCGGCATGAACACAGTACAGTCTCTGGCTCTGGGAGGTCCTGGAGACCTGGAGGAGGTTTGAGGGTCAGTGCACTGGCAGGAGGGTGCGAGAGTGGGAGCAGGGGAAGCTATGTAGAAGATTAGGCCTGTCCATGACAGCGTAGGTTTGGAGTAAGGAACAGGGAAAGGGAATGGTTTGGATTAAAGTGGGCACGCCTAAGCCAGGAGTTCCGCGAAGGCAGCGAAGAGAGGACTAAGCACGCACAGTATGCTCGGGGCTCCGGGGGTGCGGGGAGTGGGGACGCACCCTGCCCAGTGCTCTCCATTGCGGAATCTGCTAGCTTCGTCGGGCGCGAGATACCAAGAAAGGTTGATTTCCAGACCTTGGAGTCTCTGAGATAAAGGAACGCCACATCCCTGCCTCAGTCCAGTGGATACTCGTGATCCGGAAAAGCAGCTAAAGCCGCTTCTTCCCCCCAGTAGGTGAGGAGTCAACAGGCACACTCTAAAGACGAGGAAATAAAGCCGGTCGTGACACCGTGAGAGCTGGTTCGCCCAACTACCCTTTCAGGGGAACGTCCACCCCACCTCTGCTGCCGAGCTTGGAAAAGTGGCAAGGAGTCGCAGTCCAGGACAAAACTCCGCCCCCGTCCCCGTGAAGGCCGCCCGTGGCTGGGGGCTACTGTAGAGGGGTGAGTCTGGGGATTGCGCACGATGAGAGGGGGTGGTTCTCCCCGGTAGCAGAGTCCGCGAGCCTTCGTCTCAATCCTGGCCCCTTTCCCGCAGCCAGCTGTGCGCGATCGGGAGCACACAGCCCTCGCTGCAGCCTTCTGCACGGTCGGGCATAGGGAAAACCTTACAGTTTGTCGCCCCCTGTCGTCCCCCGGCCGGGTATCGCGGGTTCCCGAGCTGCAGGCTAGGCTTGGTGAGAGATGGCCCTAAGATGAGATTGCAGAAGGAAAAGAAACGTCTCTCCCACCTCCCAAGGAGGCAGCTTAGCCCTCTCCATGGCCCGGGGACAGCTACTAGTCAGCGCTGAGCGCACAGAGGTAAAGAGCTCGCGGATTCTGCGTTTTTGCTTGGCTGGGTTTGGCACCGTATTTCAGCGTCCTCTGGAAGCGGAGTGCAACAAAGTTCCGCTTCCAGGGTCGCGGGAGCCTGTTAGCTGAGGGCGCACTCAGAAACCTGGGGCAAAACTCCTCCGCCTGGGGCTGGACTCCTAGCAGGGCAGAGGATGGATCTGAGGGTACCCCAGAGGCTTCGGGCCCTCGCCCAGTTTTCCCAAGGCAGGAAAAGAAAGAGAGGTAAACTCTTTGCCGAAAGCGGGAGTCAAAAAGGAGGCGCGAAGGGGTGCCTGCCCTTCTGGGGACTGGGGGTTGGCGGCAAGGGGGGTTACTGATGAGAACTCCCTTGCTGCACGCCACCTGAGCCGTGAACTCAACACCCGAAACTTCACACTGCTAAACACCCAGGGGTTCGGTGACAGGGCCGCTCTTGGAGCTACAGTCGCCCCCACTTCATGTCTCATACTTGGCTTTGATTTTTGGTGGGTTTGTTTCCGGGAGTTAAAACAAGCAATAGGCCGGGATGTTCCCCGGGCCCATGCATTTCAAGGACTCCAGGAGAAACCTTAAGAAAAAGCTGATTTAAGTCCAACTTGGGCATACAGGTGCGCATTTCGGTTCTTGCGGGAAGTAACAGAGGGCAGAAAACACAGGTGGCACTCCCCGAGAGCCCTGGCCAGACTTGGGCCTAACAACGAAAGCTGGTACCCACCAGCAGCAGCCCGCAGGGGCCGCAGGGCCGGGATCCCGGGTCTTCCTCACGACGTCCTAGCCTCAGGCCTTAATAGGCCCGCTTTCGCTCCTGCATGAGTCCTGGCTCTGCTCAGGACCTGCGCTTTTACTGTGTTTTTAAGAGTTTTAAGAGCACTGAGCCATGAGTCCTGTGGTTCAAAATCAAAGTCAAATTGAGTCTCTTAATTTTCTTCTTAAATTTACGTTTGAAGGGGAAAATAAAAAAGCAGCTCGGGCTAAAAACGCACTTTATGCATCAGGTTATAGTACCAAGCTCCACACGTACACATGCCCGTAGTTTTGCAAAAAAGATCCGCCACATCATACTTAAAAATAAGAAGAAAATTGACGAAAAGAGAAATGAGGAGCTGCTAGCTGCAAAGAAACTATGGGAAGAAGAGCTGAGCCAGATCGGGGAGCTGCAAACCCTGGGGGAATGCGAACAACTAACAAACCAAAAGCTGGCTTGTGTAACAACACAACGAAACTCCGCGGGGAATGACTGCGGCGGTGGAAGGAGGGAGCGAGGAAGGGGAGAGGAAGACTAGATTCTGAATTGGCGCCTGTGAGCGCCGCCTCGGAGCGCAAGGTCAGAGCGTCCTCCCAACAGAGTGGATCCTCAAGGACGAGGTGGGGAGTGCGTTTTGCACAGAACCTGCCTCTCCTGACTAGGACACACAGACTCTCCAGACCCCAAATGGAAGGTGTTGAGGACCCTGCCAACTGGCATTAAAACAGAGCCCCCAAGAGCGAGAAATAACGTCCTTGGCTTCGCGGACCCATTCCCGCGGCTTATTTTCCTTTGGCCTGCTGCTGACCAAGGCGGTCGTAAAGTTGGTTCTTTGCCTAGGCCTCCATGATGTTCGCTACCCTGGAAATGTTTATTATCGAAAATGAGTCGGGTCAGCTGTGGTGGATGGAGCACCGTTTCCGCTGACACTGGCCACTACCAGCGAGCAACGTCCTTGGCAATGCATGGCGAGAGAAGCCAGGACAACTTTTTTCATTTTCCTAAAGTGAAATGAATAAAAAAGAATAGGTGAACATTTTCAATGTGATTAACAAAACGGTGGAAGACCAGTGCTCCTCAATTCTGTTCAGAGATGTAAGAAAAAAGCAAATTAGAAAACAGATTTGCTGTGAAACCTGCACTAGAAATAAATAGGGGGAAATTGAGTATTGGCAACGAAGATCTGAGATACTTTCTACCCTGCAATGCAGGGATCTGACTACTACATTAATAACATTTACTTTGGAGTAGATATATTTTAAACGTGGAATTTGGCTGATAAAAATAAACTACAGAGGGTTGGTGCCCTTTGTAGGAAGAAACGGTTTCTAGAGCCTTCAGGAGGATCTGGCATTCTTGCCATTCTTGTGTGTATATTCTCACTAGCCCCAAATCGAGTTCTGCAGATTGCTATTATGTCTCTCTCTTTCCCTGGCAATGAGCATGTCAAATAAGCCTCAATTTCCTCTTATATAAAATGACCTCTACTGTGCAATTAGATCTGATTTAATTTCATTTCATCAACATTAATGCCTGCAGAAATTTCCAGACATGGGTCAAAATTCCACCTTCGCAGTGAGCACTCAAAAAATGTTTAAGTGACAGTATTAAGTCTAAATGTCACTAATAAAATGGAAATTATTTGGGAAACTTGAAATGTCCATGTGGCATATCTCCCAGGTATTTGGAAAAGGGGAGATCTAAGAGTAGCCACAGGGGTACAAAGGATAGAAATGGTATTTGTGAAGGGAGGCGAGAGGGAGGTGGTGTAAATGCCTGCAGGATTGTTCACAAAGGCAGCAGTAAGAAGGGTCTCCTGCTGTCTAGAGGATACCCCTGCAGATCTGACTAGCTCAGCTGCAAATATTGACGCGTGTGAGACATCCACACTGGCCCAGCCTAATTGGAACCAGCTTGAAGTGTGTTGCCCTTGAATGCAAGGGTAGTGCTTTGGAAATTCTGTTCCTACATGGTAATAGAACCTGAATAATGGACAAGGAAGGTGAAGGACCCATGTGGAGCCCTTTGTCTTGATTAAAGACAATGTCAAGCCAGTCCTTGTTTGCCTGGACTTGTCTAGTTTCTTATTAAAGATCAGTCCTCTCCAATCTTCAGCACACACCCACACAAAAACATAATTCAAGCCCTGAAAATGAGATAGGTAGAAGGTTTGCTAAAGGAACGCTAACACCTGCAGCTACTGCAGGTGTTAAAACCAAAGTACTGCTCCCATCTTCAGTTATCCATTTCTTCCATCATTAAAATTATGATTAGAATTAGATGTTAAGGCTTTTATTTTTTATATCCAGCATACTATTTAGAAACACCGCTATTTTGGAATAAAGACTTTGTTACACGGTTTTGTAAACTCAGAAGTCTTGAAGTCCTTTATAATTGAATATTCTCATGAAAGTAGGATCTCCTTCATGTTCATTTAATTTATCATATGTATATCACTGTTATTTCCACCCACCTTGGCATAAATCATTTTCCTTGTTAGGAATCAAGGATCTTTTATGATGAGCTTTCTTTAAGGCACAAATGGATTCTTTTTACTTGTGAGTAACTTTTTACTGTCTGCCTAGCCAATCACTTTTAACTAATTATTGTTCTACATATTTTTGTCTCTAATTGCTATGACATCCCAATGCTTGCTACATATACATACATACATACATACGTACATGCATACATACACACACAAAAAAAATGCACACACTCACACATATAATATGTCCGCAGCTTGGTGATGGTTTTAATTTTCTTCTCTCCCCCCCCTTGTGTACGGACTATGAAGTTTTACTGAAGACCTGTAATGCCTCCGGTTTTGATTTAATGTTTTGGAGTTTGTGATCTCATTGCCTGGCATGGAAAATATTAGACAGGGTCTGTAGATTTTATGCAGGAAAAGAGCCGCATCACCACCGCGGGTGAGTGCTTCTCCCCAGTCCTGCAATAAGCCGACTGAACAGTCATTTAGAGCCGATGTTCAGTTCTGTGCCGTTGAATAGACACCACTTCAACCAGTCCTGCTTTTGTAAAGGGTTCTTTAAGAAACACTGAATCTCAACTGGTGCTGCATATTGAATTCACCAAAGGGAGACTTAGAAGGCCCTGATGCCTGGGACCCATCCCCAGAGATTCCGATTGAATTTTTCTGGGCTGTGGCCTGGACACTGGGATTTTTAAGAGCTGCCCAGGTGATTCTAATGCGTATTGAAGTTGGAGAATCTGTTTTAGGAGAAACTGGGAAGAGAAGGGCTGGTGTAACATGATACTTCTTGCTTCACAAGTGTTTTCCTGGATGCCAGAGGAAAGGCGGGTGGCTCACTGGTCTCACCTCTGTGAACACCTTACAGTGGCTCATGAAAATATATTTAAATCCATGTCTAAAACAGCCTTCCTGGGCATTGTCACACTATGTCACTTTGACCCCTCCTGGAAACAGGGAGAACACTGCCTTCCCAGGCTGGGTTGGCTGCCTGACGTTTGTCATCTTTAAAGATCCCTTTGTCTTCCTGCCCTCACACAGGTGACCCCAGCCTCCTGCTTAGGTATAACCGTCCGTACAGCTTCACTGTACAGTAAGCTGGAGGGGTTGGGGAGCAGCAGAGAGTCAGCAACTGACTTAGCCTCTCGGGCTGACAGATCAAATTTGGGAGAGGTGGCAATGAATCATAAATGCTACCCAGTGAGGGAGTCCGAATGATTTCATTGTCCGAGGAGGTGGGAGTTGAACTCTACTCTTAGCACTGTTAAATAGCACAGTTCTCTAGATATGTAAGGTCACAGAGCAATCATAACCCTCAAGCTTCTGATGCCATCTGAGAAATACAGAATCTTCTGAAGGGCTCAGTGTAGTTTGTATCTTTATGACTAGTGGGGTTGTTAACATTATTTCATTGCCATGCAGCTTAGAACGGGGGTGACTTTTGCACACTGGCTAGGGACTACTGCATTGCAGATCTGAGTGTTGCTTTTATCCAGACCCAGACTTGTGGTCCTCATAGAACACTTCACATATGCTCTTCCAAGTCTCAGAAATCAACTAAAAGAAAGCTCCTTTTCATTTTCGCTAGCCTCACCTTGGTAATACATGTTAAAATCTAAACTGCTTGATTTGATTTGATTTTTATTGTTTTGTACGCTTATTCTAAAATACAAACGTCATTTCATTTTTTAAACAAGTTGCAAAAAATATGGAAGTAACCGCATCACTGTAGGACCTTTCTGTCCTCAAAAGGTACATAAAAGTACAGCATTGTAAGCAATGGTTTTTCAGATTCTTTTTAGCTGTAAAATGTTGTTACTAAGTCACTATTAAGACTAAAAGAGCAAGTACACAAATTCTTGAGGGGCTTTGGGTCTCATTTATCTTTTAAAATCTTGCATGGACACCTCTTGAGAAGATCTTGAAATGCATATTTTAGAAACCTCATCGGTTTTTTTAAAGTATCTTGTAAAATATTCTTTACATTCATCCACTTTAGTAAAATTAACTGTGTGTTATATGATGATGTTAAAATAATTTATAGGTACATGAAAATTAATAATAGCAACAACAGAAACTAAAATGTCCTTAAAATGACATTTAATATATGGTATTTCTCGGCAACACCCAGAAGCTTAAGGGTTATAGGGTTACAGGAAATGCAGTAACAGATGCTGAACGAGGGTGCAGGACTGTAGATTTTATGAACGGGTATGCTGAGGAAATGAGTTTTGACAAGGTTTCTAGGCATTTCAACATTGGCAAAGTGGCTAATTGAATTAACATCCGTCAGACTGGGAAATGCTCTACACTTGGAATATCTCTTTTTGGCAGGCCAACAAGGCGAGAGGTTTGCTCCCCTGTAATGGGTACCCTGTAACGGTACTGTCCATTTCGTTTTGCATAATAACACCTCTGGCTGAGCCCAAATTCTGTGTGGTTTAATCTCTGTTATGCAATTTTGTTATCCAAAATATAACCCAGTTCGTTTTGCAAGGGGCTGGTCATTTCATGTGCGGGATATGTGTTCATGTTTGCGATGTCAGCCAGCTGATTTGGGCAGAGTGAATCAGGCACTTTCGTCTTACTTTCTCTTTAAACTGGGGTGTAGGTAACTGTGGAAGAGGAGCTGTGGAATTGGCTGGGGCTTGACATTCAGCAGAACTTTAATTTGGACGAATAGCTTTAGGCAGGGTTTGATGGCGTTTTGTTACGACTCAGGCTTGAGGTTCTTCTGCCATTTTAGGCTGTACTCACCTGCCCTTCATTACAGAGGGAGTGGGGATTTAATGAATGACCCTCTGTTCTCATTGTGCCTTCAGAGCTTCTCTTTGCAGCTCTAGTATTTAGGCTGCTAGGAAGGTTGAAAAAATTTGTGACCAGACACTGTTAGAGCTACTACCCATGGCTAGTGCCTGCATGTGTGTGTGTGTGTGTGTGTGTGTGTGTGTGTATTTCATTGTCGAGTAAGCACACAGAGGATCTACACATGCTCTTTAAGGCTCAGTGTTTATAGGTCAAAAAATGCATATGCACCTCGAACTCAGAAAACCACCTGGCTACAGAAAAGTACAATATGGACAAGTCCAGCCATTTTTTTTAGCTCAAAAGTCCTCAGGCTGAAATCCATGTTCTGGATTCCACCTCCTGAGGCTTAATCTCATGGATCTCATGGACCTCAGTGTTTTCATCTATATGATAGGGTCATGGCCAGGGCCAAATCACCTAACCACAGAAAACACTTGATGACAGGAGATGCTGAATCACTGGCCATTATTCTCATTACACTATTTTTCTATACTTTTTTTTTGAGACAAGGTCTTCCTCTGTCAAGCAGGATGAAGTGCAGTGGCACAAACACAGCTCACTACAGCCTCGACTTCCCAGGCTCAAGCCATCCTCCCACCTCAGCCTCCTGAGTAACTGGGACTACAGGTGCACGCCACCACATCTGGCTAATTTTTTAATTTTTTCTCTCGCCATGCTGCCCAGGCTGGTCTTGAACTCCTGGCCTCAAGAAATCCTCCTGTCTCAGCCTCTCAAAGTGCTGGGATTACAGGCATAAGCCACTATGCCCTGCTTATTTTTCTATACTTTTAAAAAACTAATACATTTTAATTTGTGTCTTTTTTTTTTCTGACGAAGTTTCTCTCTTGTTGCCCAGGCTAGAGTGCAATGGCATGACCTCAGCTCATCACAACCTCCGCCTCCCAGGTTCAAGTGATTCTCCTGCCTCATCCTCCCGAGTAGCTGGGATTACAGACATGCACGACCACGCCCAGCTAATTTTGTGTTTTTAGTAGAGATGGGGTTTCTCCATGTTGGTCAGGCTGGTCTCGAACTCCCGACCTCAGATGATCTGCCCACCTCGGCCTCCCAAAGTGCTGGGATTACAGGCGTGAGCCACTGCTCCCGGCCTTTGTGTCTCTTTTATAGGACATCTGTTAAACATGCAGTGAATGATTTGCCAATAGAAATATGTACAAATCAAGCCATCTTAAATTGAGTCTCGAGAAGAAAACAGCCCTATTTTTCTGAGTTTCCATTAGCTTGTCATGTTCTTCCTTGGTTCAGAAGCACTTCACAGGGCTGCATTCAAGACCCTGAAGTGACACTCACTAGGGAAACAGGGTTAGCAGCGTCTGTTGCCAATAGAAGATGAGTGATGGAGGTGGTGAGTGACAGCTATACGCTCTCCAGTTTCAGAAAGCTGAGGAAGACGGCAATCCACAGCTGGCCAGGTATTTTCCTGTACCATGGGAGAACTATGGTTCTTCCTGAGGCCCAGTCCTCTTGAAATGCTGGGCCCTGTGCTAAACAGGTATCACCGGCTTGTTCTGGCTAAACCCACTGTAACATCAAGCTCTTCCTTTGCCAGAAAGAAGAAGATATTTTACTTCTGTGTTTACTGTTATGCTTTTTTGTCCTGAGTGTGGTTTTTCCCCTTCCTTGTTTGCCTTCTGAACATGTTCTTTCACCAGGAGCTCCCTCAGGGAATGGGCCCAGTCCCTTACAAATCAAGCCTGGGCTTGGGGTTCAGGGACTGGCTCTCTGAGCAGGCCTTTGCTTGTGACAAGCGTTCCTGACTAAGGAACAGTGAGACTTGACTCTTCCATTTATCCCAAATTACCATTTTTCAAAAAATTCACGCCTCTCTTGGGTTGCCCCCATCTATAACTTCTCCGCAATCCCTGAGGTGCCTGATGTCTAAGATTTTAGTGAAGTGACATCTTCTATTATGAAAATGTTGTACTCTTGGGATAAGCAGGCTCCTAGTTATTCGTCCTTATTAATGCGGTGGAGTGCTGTAGGGAGCTCATGGCCTCTGTTCACCATGAGGTTGGGCAGCTGTGTATTGTAGCTAACGTTGCCCAGCATGCCCAGATCCCCCCACCAGCACTGAGACGCTCATTCCCTCAAGGCTGGTGGCTCACAGCAGAGCCTCCTTTCCATTGCCTTAGGCTAAAGAGAACCATAAAACCCAAGCAAACACCCCCTTCCTGGGGACCACTCACTGTGGGGTACAAAAGCTTCAATGGAGGACAACTCTGAGGACCATCCCAGCACCAGAGCTCCACGGAAGATCAGCTTGGATCTGTTTTGCTACTGCATCACAGTCAGACTTCTCTCCTGGTCAGCCCTGCTCCTCATCCCTCACAGGCATCAATCTCCATAACTCTTCCCAGTACACCAGCTGCCTGCCGGGAAATCCAGCCCATGCCATGCCAACCATGTGGGTTTGTTATAACAGTTTTGTTGCTGCAAAGATGAAGGCATGGAGATAAAATCATTGCTACCCAATCACACAGAGATTTCTATCTCTGTGGCTCCAGCCACAGCCCCCATGCCCTGGCAGGAGGAATTATTCTGAGAAAGTGGGAGTTCTTGCCCAAAGGAAATGATTTAGCCTGTGGTGCCCCAAGAGCAAGGAGGGGACAGGCTGAGCTACAGCAGGGCCACGTCAGAGTTAGGTTAACATCGGGTCTCTTAGAATCTCAGCAGCAAGAGAAAGGCAACGAATATGGAGGTGGGAGGGCTCTGTGACAAATGCAGCGATTTAAGAATGTGGTCTGGCTCTGTTTCCAGCACATGTAGATTTCTGAAATGGAAAAGCGACAGAACTTCCTAGGGACCCCACAAATTAGAACTTGGGAACATAAACTATGTTGGTGGGCTCATACCAGCTCTAAAAAATAGCTTCATTGAGCAAATTAATCAAGTCATTTTGATCACAAGGAAAACCCACATCTGCTGAGAAATAAATGATTTTCAGACCCTTTAAGAGGTGATGTTAACGTGTAATCCATTTGAGCAAATATAAAGTTCATTCTTTCTACAGTCGACACCCGCTGGTGAGGCAGGGCGAGAGGCAGTTTTTGCCTTTGAGGACTTTGTGTTCTGCTCACCTGCTTCTTAAACTTGGATGTGCCTCTCCTTTTAGTACTTGGCAGTGGGATGGAGGAAGGGCCCACCACAGGAAAGCACGTCTTCCTGAAATCTCAACCTCACCTAATGATTTTGGAAAATAACATTATTTTGATATCAAAACAAGTGTAAACTCTTCCTGGCGCAGGATAGAAATTTTTGTCCATTTGAAGGACAGAATAGAAAACATTTAAAAATGCCGCCCTGGTTGTCTAGAACAGGTTGAGGTCCCTTTCCGGAGTGGCAGGGCATTTACCTCTGGGAACCAGGAGGGGGTGCTGTAGCAGAATACTTTGAGCCCCACTGTAAGCAGAAACAAGGTGAACACACATTTCTGAGACTGAGGAGGCCAGGGGCCGCCAAAGAATACGGGGCATTTCAGGAAGGAATTGGCATCTCAGACGGACCTTGACCAATGGGTGGAGTTTGACAGGCGGAAGTCCAGAGGCCAAAGGAAGGACAGGAAACGTCTCCCTGGGAAAGCAAAGGTGGTCGCAGAGGTAAAGTCACAGGAAAGCAGGCTTGAGACAGTTTGGCTCAAGAAAGGAGCTGGGCAGTGTGGGATGTGGTGGCGCGGAGAGCAGGAAAGAGGGTTGAAGTTGATCACTCATGAGCCCAAAAGGCAGGTTAAAGTGCGGTTACTGAATTGAGGGGGGCATCCAGCGAGGGGAGAGGCCCAAGTCCTGGGAGGTGGAACATTGACTTCAGCCTGAAGAGGCCTCCTGACTCACCCACTTGCATCCTGTGACCCAGGCAAGTCATCTAACCTCCAGACATCAGTTTTTCCATCTGGAAAATGAAGTCACAACAGAACCCATTTTGTGAGGATGGCCAACAATTAAATGAGATGAAAAAGATAAGGAGTTTGGTACAATGTCAGCTGCATAACAAGTGCTCAATAAATGATTGTTATTATAATAATATTATATAGCTATAATAGATGACAATTTTCATATAATACATAATTGTTATCATGGTTTTCAAGACTAACCATGAGGGTACTGAGAAATCAAGAGGAAGCCAGATGAGCTGTGAGCTCGGAATGCCAAGAGAGGAAAGATGCTCGGACAGACTTCCTTGCTTGGCTAACTGTGAGACGATCTTAGCTATTCACTAAGGCAGAATTTCTGCAAGCCTTAGCCTGCTGGCATCCTAGATATTCCTCCCTGGAAAGCAACAAAGCCTCATTTTTAAAATCTCTTCTGAGTTGAGTTGCACTTTCACAATGTTATTCCTCTCTGTGCTCCCACCCTAAAACACTCAGTCTTGGGAGCAACCCCTGGAAATCAAAGCAGCCCTTGGAGGATGGCCTTGAGGGGTCGGACCGCAGAGGGAAGCAAAGGCAGGAGTCAAGGAGCCCAGTCAAGGGCCCCCGTGGGCTTCAGTGGGGGAGGACTGTGGGCAGAATCACCTGTTTGCTTCCTTTAACTTTGACTTTCAGACACCAACTTCTCCGCCATTGTCTGTCTTCTGGGTCTCTGCCCAGCTGCTAGTAACTGGGGGTTCCCCAAAGCCAAGGGCTGGGTCCAGCCTTCAGGCTTCTTATGTGATGGTGGGGTCAGCCCTGCAGTTCAGGGAGCCCCATCTTCAGCCTGCTGTGGGACCGTGCCGCTGCTTCGCATGGACCCCTGGCCTACCCTCCTGTCTTCTCTCACTTTCGAGCTCCATGGAAAGGACAGTGCTGTTTCCCTCCTCACTCTCCTCACCTCTGGCTCAGCCAGCCTCTCTTGCTGTGGTTGTCCGTTGCTGCTGCCTTTGTCAGAACGTGCTCCAGGCTTCTCCGGAGTGGTCTTTGCGCCATGCCTTGCCCTCCGTCCCTTCTGCCTTTCTGCTCTCAAGGCTCTAATCTCCCCAAGATCGCCCAAATCTTGTGATTTTTTTCTCTTCCTTCACTCATTCCTCCTTTCAGCCCCTGCACCCTAAAATGTAACAATTCTCAATCTCTTTAGTCTTACTTTTTCCTCTCTGGAGGACCTCTGCTGTATCCACTGCTTCAAGCCATGCTCACAGGAATTCCAACATCACAGCCCCCTCCCCAGCTGCCACCTCTTCCCAGAGCCCTGATTCTCATTTCCAGCCACCAGCTGCACTCCTGCCCCATGACACAGGCCTTCGGGACCCTAGGAGGCTGACAGGCTCTTTCTCCCAGCTCTGCCCCTCTCCTGGCTGTGACTCCGGCACCCTCTTTTCCACTTCACCACCTCCCCATGACCTCATCTCAACCACCATCACCCCTAATCCTGTTTGTCCTGCTTCACTGGTACTTTTCGTACAGTTGGAACCCCCTTCATTCCATCTCCAGGCAACTTCTCCTAGATGCCTTGATTCACCTGCTTTGCTGATTGGATTCCTGACTCCAGCATCTTCTCTCCTCCCAAATCTCCACAACACTAACCATTCTCTCCTCCCGAATCTCTACAACAGTAACCATCCACCAGATGAGCCTTTCCACTTTTTATTTAAGCATCCCAGCTTCTCTGGAGGCTCCCCTAGGCCTCCATCTTCCCCTAAAATGAATGAATTGAACCTGTTTCCTGTTACTTGGTTCAGACTTCTAGTGCCTCCCTCAGCACATGGCCCCTAGTCATTTTTGATAAACCTGTCTCCCCAGGAGATCACCAGCTACTGGCTGGGTGCTGAGTGGTGTTCATCTCAGTGCCCCAGCACCTGGAGCAGTGCCCACTGTCTTAGGCACACAGGAAATGCATGAACAGATAAATAGAACTGCAGCTCCAATGGATTCAAAGAGACTCAAAACCCTTTAATGGCACCCCACCACCTGCAGAATAAAGTTCAGGCTCCCATCTGGACAGGTGGGGCCCCCCAGTGCTGACCCCAAGGGCCATTTTTGTCCTCCAGTGCCCTCTGCTCCCAGCAGGCCCATGGTGCTCTCAGCTGCTACCCACACTCACCCAGACATTGCTCCTCTGAGCTTTTCCTCCTGCTATCCACTGCCTGTCAGCTTCTCCTCAATCAGCACCTGTTGAAACCAAGATCCAGCTCAAGTGCTTCCCCTTCCATGACACATTTTTAAAATTGCCCCCTCAAAATCATGGGCCACTGTTCCCCAGTGAGTGCTTTTTGCAGGGTGCACCTTGTTGCTGGGGCTTCCTGTTACACATACTGGTACACAAGACTTCTCCTTCCTGAGAAGCTGTATACCTTTCAGACCCAGTACCATTCATGTTTAAAATGTTTTTTTTTTCTTTTGAGACGTAGTCTTGCTCTGTTGCCCAGGCTGGAGTGTAGTGGCATGATCTCAGTTCACTGCAAACTCTGCCTCCCAGGTTCAAGCGATTCTCCTGCCTCAGCCTCCTGAGTAGCTGGGATTACAGGTACCCACCTCCACTCTCGTCTAATTGTTGTATTTTTAGTAGAAACGGGGTTTCGCCATTTTGGCCAGGCTTGTCTTGAACTCCAGACCTCAGGTGATCCACCCACCTCAGCTTCCCAAAGTGCTGGGATTACAGCCACTGCGCTCAGCCGTTTTTAAATTTTATTTTTTGTAAATATGTAAGATATTCGCATGACTTGAGGGTCCACACGATACATAAAGGTCCACCTTGAGAAGCCTTCTTACTCACACCCTGCCCTGTCCTCCCTGAGGTCAGTTTTTAATCTGCTTCTTTTGTTTCCTTTTATGCAAATACATGCAAATAAGAGTACATGGTCTTTTCTTTCCCTTTCTTACCCAAAAGGCGGCATGCCAGGTACTCTTTCTGCACTTGCCTGTATTCACTGACTCCAGTGATTTTTCCATAACAGCACATGGAAAACCTCACAGCCTCTGTTAATAGCTGCGTGGTGTTCCACTTACTGAGGTACCAAAGTGTTTTTAGCCTTTGAATTGTGTCTAGTTCTTTGACATTTTGTGGGCACACAGGTATGCATCTGTGGGATAAGTTCCAGAAGTAGGATTTCTGTGCAAATAATATATGCATTTGTAATTTTGATAAATATTCCTAAATGGTCCTTTCCAAGGGTTGTACCATCTTCTGCCCCCAACGGTCACTTTTTTTCAGCCAATCTAATAGGGCTGGATGGTAAGTTATTATTACATATCATGACAGTTATTACAATTACATCTGCATTTCTCTTCTTCAGAATAAGATTAAACATCTTTTCACATGTTTAAGCCCTTTTGTAGTGGTTTTGTGAAATGTTTTTGTTTATTTTTATGTTGGGTTGTTGGCCCTTTTCTCAGATTCTCGGAAATCTTCACATACTGGAAAGATTTGTACTTCTCTGTCATATAAGATGCAAATATTTTTTCCTAGATTCTCAGTTGTCTTTTGATTTTGCTTATGGTGATTTTTTTTTTTGATGTACAAGTTCTTGACTCTTAGGAGTCAGAGTAGTCTTTTCTTTTTAATGGATTCTGGATTTTTGTGTTACAACTAGAAAAGCTTTCCTTCCTCCATGATATAAAAAATTATTCCATGCTTCTGTCTAGTACTTTCATGGCATCATTTTCCATATTTAACCCGCTAGGGTTAACCTAAATGTGTGGTGTGAGCTATGAATCTGTCTTTCTTCAAGTCACCTAGTAGAGGAACAACCCATAGAATTGGAGGTCTGAGCTTGACCATTACCAAAGCTCTGAACCCACTCTCTTGGCCTCTTATCCTGCCATTCTATGCCGTTCCTTCTGTGTACAGTAATTGACCAGTTCTTCATTCTAAAATGCCTTTGACAATGCTATTCTCCAACCTACAACTTTCAATACTCCTCCTCCCTACTCTGCAGCACCTATGGCCAAACATTCCACAAATTGTCCAGGCTCAATGTTACCAAAAACAGAAAGGAGAGGAGTTCCCATTTCTCACTTTTGAGCAACCAGGTCATTCTGCCTAGGGAGGAATCTTCACCTCCTCTGTATTACCAGGCTGACTTAGGGAGGTAGTAGAGTAAAGTGGTTCAAGCTAACAATGGCAATAATATCATTATTTAGTCTTGCAATGCACCAGACTCTGTTCTAAGTATATATATGCAAAGCACTTAGCACATGGCCTGTTATATGTGTTTTTAAAGTATTATTATCCATATTTCTAGCTTCATCTTGCTTTGCTTCCCTCTATGAGGTTTCTATTTTTGATATTAGTTTATTAGCTATACCCGGAACACTTTAGAGTTAAAAAATTGTCTTCAGGTCTTTCACGGCCCTAATGATATCCTATTCATCAATAAGGCTGTCAACATCTGAACCAAATGATCAATCTTTTTCTTTTTCTTTTTCTTTTTTTTTCTTTTTGGAGACAGGGTGTCTCTCTGTTACCCAGGCTAGAGGAGTGCAGTGTTCAGTGGCACGACCGTAGCTCACTGCACCTTTGAACTCCTGGACTTAAGTGATCCTCCTGCCTCAACCTCCTGAAGCACTGATATTACAGGTGTGAGACACCATTCCTGGTCTCCAATTATTAATCTTAATATCACAAAGAGAGAAACAACCGGACCTTATGTGTCTCTGTATGGTGCAGTAGGAAGCCCCAGGCCCATGGAGTAAAACTGAATCTGATAAAAACTTTGAATCTAATCACCAGCTTACAGGAATTATAAGATAAAGGTTCTTATTAAATGACCTCATGAGGATGCAATTAGCCAAATCTGAAATGTGGGAAATTTTACAGAACAACGGCCTAACACGTTCTGTAAATAAATGGCAGTGGAAAACAGAAGGGTATGTAACACATAAAAGTAAAATTAGAAGAAATAAAAGAGACCTAAGAGATAGATCAACCAGTGGAGAGGGTTGACCTTGTTTGAATTCTGATTCAAACAAATCAACTGCGAAAATTCATTTATTGATCCACCACAGAAATGTGAACACTGACAAAATGTTAGAAAATATTTTTAAATTATTGTTAATTGTTTAGGTGCATAGTAGTGTTGTGTGTTTGTTTTTTTTTAAATCCTAATCTCTTAGCGAGACATACTGAAACATTTTCTGATGAAATGGCATCTGAGATTGGCTTCAGCACAATCCAGCAAATGTACAAGCTATATTCCAATGCATTTCTTGCCCATGCTTATTATATCAGAAGCCACTCAAGGTCAGGAAGCAGATCGTACATTCTTCCACTGGGCCTTGAGTGTAGATTTTCCAGGAGGCATATGTTGAATTTTCGGAACACATTCACATCAGCAGAGGAGCAGAGCTTGGTTGCCAAGTGTCCCTCATTTTGAGGGTTGGGTAAGTTGGGTCATCACATGAATATGACAAGATGATAGGAGTCTGGTGAGAGTTGGCCTTCTTAGTTTTTCATGGAAAACATTGCCAAACTTATGCTCAGCACGTAGTCTCCTTCCACCAACAGAAGCCTGGGAAATGGCAGTAACAAGAGCTTCATTATTGTAACATCCAACCCCCCTTGTGTGGAGCACAGGAAAATAAAACACTATGTAGTCCACTTAAAATGGTCTTTAAGGCTTTTAGTGTTTTGTTCCCAAACATAGTTGAACTCAAAGAGCTCTCTAAAGACAGGCCAGAGTCCATTGCTCTGTTTCTTTTCCTAAATGCTATCCTCCTGTTCACCTACAATTTAGAGAGCTACAATTCCTGCTTACTTAAAATACACAGATGAGGCCAGGCGTGGTGGCTCACACCTGTAATCCCAGCACTTTAAGAGGCCGAGCCGGGTGGATCATTTGAGGTCAGGAGTTTGAGACCAGCCTGGCCAACATAGTGAAACCCCATTTCTACTAAAAATACAAAAATTAGCCGAGCATGGTGGCATGTGTCTGTAATCCCAGCTGCTCAGGAGGCTGAGGCAGGAGAATCACGTGAGCCAAGATCATGCCATTGCACTCCAGCCTGGGCAAAAGAGTGAGACTCCATCTCAAAAAAAAAAAAATGTCAAGTTTGAAGCTGAGTTTATTCACGTCATATGAAGCACAGTTTTCCAGCTTTAACTTTATCAGCAAATCAGCATGAAGAACACCAGTAAAACATGTCCATCAAGGAGAACATTTTTTAGACCCAAATTGTCTTTCTTAAAGAGCTGGCCTGCTTCCTCTTCAGATGCGCTGTTCTATACTCCATCATGTTTCCCCAACATTTTAATGTTCAACTTCAACTACTATATTGGCTATCACTGCTGGAATATTCATCATCCATTTTTGGCCTTGCTATTTAATTTTTTATTTTATTAGCTTTATTGGCATACGACCCTACTGACACACCAATATAAAATAAAGCAGATATTTAGAACTTTTATGGAAGCCTAACATGTGTAGAAGCTGTCAGATGCTATTGGATATGATTTTGAAAAATGTCAGGTTTTGATGTAATGGGAGGCAAAGATGGGTGATGGCCTGGTAATCTGAGGGGAAGTCCTCTCACCATTCATAATGATCTTGCATAAAACACTCTACCAATGGATACATTTTGTTTTCTCTGGAATGGGACATTGGCCATCCCGTTCCATTTGTTTTTCTCATCTCTAGTCTCAGAAATTTTGTGTGGGTAACTTTGGACAGCAAAGAGATTATCACATTATTCCTGATAACCACAAGCAGATTCTGTTCAGAAACCACAGAGTGGCTTGGAGCTCAGATGCAGCAATGCTCTGACCATGACCTTCAGTGTGTCATCATTCCTAGGACTTCTTGATCCTTTGCTTCAACTGCACATTCCGGCACAGAGGCATCTGCATCTGACTCTTGGCAGTGCAAGGAAGTCTGAGTTCTCCCACCACTGGTGGATTGACTTGAGTCATTTCTACTCCCAAGCCAGAGCTGCCCCAGATGGGAGCACACACTGAGAAATGGCTGCCCAAGCCAGGGTGTCAACTGTAACTCATTAATAATGAAGGCCCCTCTAAGTGTCCCTTTCTGCAGCAGTCACTGGAGCACAGAAAAAAAAAGTGTTGTTTAGTATTTCCAGCTGGGAATCACCTGAATTGCATTATACTCACCATTCAGGTCATGAAAGCAGAATTGGAACTCTGAATTTCAAAAGAGGTGAAGAGGCTTCCTGTGTTAAAAAGATAATAAATTTTAAAAAAAAGAAGATAAGGTGTTTATAAGTTTAAAAAAAAAAAAAAGACTATTTCCAGGGAACATTCCTTTTACACCTAAGAATAGAAGCTGTTTCCAAGGTGAAACTCGTGAGGTGAGGATAGTTTTATGACCTAGTGCTAAGCCCCTGCATGAGAGGACCTGCATCTGAAATACTGGAAAATCACAGCAGCCACACACATAGAGCAAATGAACAATTAAAGGGGACAAAGGAGACAACGCAGTCACTTCCAAAGGAAACAGGCCCCTTTTGGATAAAACATTCTTTACCTTACCAATTTAAGTGAAGAAAAATGCCAACTTGGATGTTTAGCCCCACAAGGACTATAAATGCAGCTGATGAGCAAACCTCAAGGTCGGGTCTTGCCTGGTTACCGAAGAAATTACAGCAGCTGCCTCACTGTCAACTATCCCACTCCACTGGGTCCATATGGTTGTAAACTGATGTGCTCCTTCTTGGCCTTGCTAGGAAGAGCTGAGGCTTGCTGAGCAACTTTTCTGTGCCAGGCATCGTTCCAGGCATTTCCACTTACTATCTTGCTTGAGCTTCACAACAGCCCTGGGAGGCTAAACTAACCAAGTTATCTCCATTGTACAGACGAGGAAATTGAGGGCTATAAATGACAACTCACCTCCAGCCATGCAAACCAGGAAGTGCCTGAACCAAGATTTGAACCTGGCATTTGACTCCAGAGTGCACATTACTTCCCTGTGCTATTCAAGGGATGAGAACGTTGGGGCACAAACACTTTGTTCTCAATTCAGGAACATCAAACCCTCCTCTAAGGTTTAATATGCAGCCCACTCAGAATTTCCCAGAGGGATTTCTGACCAGCAGGCTACCCAGTCCCTGAACGACTCCTGTAGCCCCCTCTAGAGCCCCACTGGGATGCTCTGAGTGCTCACCACTACCTCCACTAGGAGGCGGCTGATGGGAGGAGAGGCAAAGAAGGCAATTGGGGAATTTGACTAAGCCTGTTTTCAAAAATATTTAGTAGATGATTTGTAAGGTGAAGACCTAATAGAATTTACAGATTTTAATTATCTATCCATTACATTTTAATGGAGATCCCAGGTGCCATGGATGGCTTCTTGATCCACAAATCCACTAACACGGATTGCAAATTTGTGTACCTTAAATAATCGTTTGTTTTCATTATATTGTCAAAAGTCTTACTAAAAAATTTCTAAAATCATTGCTATCTTTGTTATTCAAACTTATGAATAAGTAAAAGTGTATTGTGAAATAGGCAACACAGTGGCAAATGCAGTCATTTAAGGTAGCACAAGTTTTATTCTGTTTCCTACCAGGAGTCAATTTTGCTTTTTAGAAAAGACATTGATCTTGAAATCAGAAGACCTCGGTTCTTATGCCGGCTCGGCCACTCACCAGCTGTGTGTCCCAAGGAAAGGCCTGTATTTCTCAGCCGGCTTGTTTCGTAGAAGGAGGATAGCAAGATTTTGCCCTGCCTGCTAAATCCAATGGTTCAGTTATGGGTTTAAAAAATATTACATTGTCTTGTGAAAGAACATTATAGCCCTTGAAAATGTCCATGGAGTTTAGATACAATATTTTCCTAAGCTTTGTATAATATTTCCTAAGGACAATATTTGTCCTTCAGGGAATGATCTGAAGGACAAGCAATCCTCTTGCCTGGTCAAATTTACAACAATCTTTCACTTCCATGAAAGGTGGGCATTAAAATGAAAGGAAAAGCAGGTACTTGTCCTTATGTTGAGCGTTGGGAAATATTGCTGCCTTCTCAGGCTGCAAGGACTCTGGACTCTTGAGCGGCCCAAGTGCCATGAGGTCTGTCTACGGCCAGAGGAGACCCTCGCTGAGAATTCAGGGCCTGGCAGTGAACATTAAAGGCTTGAGTCTCCTTTATCTTTTTATGAAGTTGTCTTGCTTGGCCCCACCTCTGTTTCAGGTGATGAACCACACTGACCTTGTAGGAGGAAGGTGGAATCACAGTACCTGGGCCTAACCTTGTCCAGAAATTTTTAGCCAGATATGGCAATTGCTAACAAATTGCAGGCTCCTCCGTCGACAGTCTCAATGTATTCATTAATAACCGTATTCATTAATACTGATGGCCCTAAGTGCCAGTGACTACTCACCCCTGTTGAAGAACCTCATCTCAGACCCTGTAACACTTTTTTGAGGCCTCTATTTGAAATAATTTATAGTCTTTGGTCTGGTGGCTTTGTATCGCTGAGCCTAATGACTGTCTCTATTTGAATTTCAGATGCTTAATTACAGTGGAACACTTCAACACCATTAAATTAATGCAAGCTACTAGCTTGTTCTTGATCATGGCCTGGCACACATTTATAGTAATATCATATATTTAATTCATACCACACATATTGCAAACCTCGGAACAAAATGGGAAAATGCCTTCAAATCAGCTTGTGATCTAAGAACTCTTCCACCAGGGAAAGAGTTTGGGGCAGCATGTCTCATCTGCTAATGAGATTTTAGGGTTTTGCGGAGATCAGAGTCCCTTTACTTGAGGAATAATGATTTTCCAATTTGGTTTTCATAAGGACTGCTTATATTATATTTTCTGAAAACTAATTAAATTACATATTTCTTGTAATCATGGTCTTATTTACACCACCATGTGACCAAGCCTATTATTTGGACTTGGCAAATGAGCAGATAGGCCATTAATCCTCAGCCTTTTGGTGTAGAAAGCAAGCTTTTTACGTGCCACAAAATCCTGCAACACAAGTACCTATGTTGGAAGAGAGTTAAAGGCAACATCAGGCCCCTGTAAGATAATATTCCTTGGGAATGGATGTTAAGAGTTAGTTTGTGTCTTTACAACATCAGTCATATGGGTATTGTTTGCATCTGACAGTTTTTCTTTTAAGATTAATGTGCTTATGAAAACCTTGTGCGTTACTCTACGAGGCAAGCTTGAAATCCATCAGCATTACCATCGGAATGACACAACGCTGGGAGAGCAAACCAAATGACAAACAGAATCTGGTTTTCAGAGGCCAGTGTGTGTTGAAGAGAAATGATCCGAAGCCAAATTTGGCCTCCTTCCAGAAATTCCTCTTGCTACACTGTTGGCACAGCCCACCAAAGGGTGGGGGCTGAGGGAGGAGGGAGGGTACTCGGACATGGAGCGGGAGACAGTACCATGGGGACAGGGGAGTCGGAAGGGAGCATGATGGATTGCAAAACTTGATCTTTATTGCAAACAATAGTCATATGTAAAACTAAGTCATGGAGAAAGAAAAAAAAACCTTTGTGAAAAATGGGACTTTTTCTGGATCATTACGGAAAGTCGTTTCTAACATCACCATTTGACATGCAGTTGGTGATGTCCATGCAATTGGATTTGAGGCGTAAGAGCGGAATGGGGAGGGGACGGTGCACCAGCTTAAGGGGAGGAAAATCTTGAGGACCTCCACTGCGTCAGGAACCTTTAGATACTGCAAAGGGATGCTTGCGCTTATGAGAAGAGGGAGAATTGTGGTGTGGTCTGTAGGCCAAGGGGAAATCAAAGCAATGTCCAGCTTGAGAAATCAGGCTGCTGTCTGCGGCAGCCAGAGATGCAGACAGCACTCACTGGGCTCAGGGCAAACAATCATATAGAGATGGAAAACGGATGCCAGGCCTGGCAGCAAGAGCAGCAGGCAGGGTTAGCGAGGCCCCACTCAGGCGTCCGGACTGACAGTCCACGAAACTGAGAGGGAGGAGGGGATTCTCACCACCCACTGCCGTCACGTTGGCTACTATCTTTCTTGATTTCAGCAGTTTCACTTTGGCTCAACTTGGCCAGATCCCACTACCTCAGCTCAGAAATAGGTGGCCAGAAATAGAAGGGAACAACGCTTTAGAGTTTCCTCGATCCACAGCCTTTTTGAGTCCCAAATCAATTCCAAATGTGGCAGCCCAGCGAAGCGCCAAGAGATCGCACTGCCTGCAGCAACTGCACATTGGAGATATGATGAATTGGTGGAACCCCACGGCAGGCGTTGCCAGTGGAGCAGGCCAAGAGGCTGTCACTGCCTGGGAGAGTTAGGAAACAGCGGGACGGGCAGGGTTTTCACACCATCTCAGCCCAGGCCAGCACGCTGCGGCACCAACAGCTTCCAATGGGTGTTGCCTCCTGT
This sequence comes from Homo sapiens, assembly GCF_000001405.40. Classification (NCBI taxonomy): domain Eukaryota; kingdom Metazoa; phylum Chordata; class Mammalia; order Primates; family Hominidae; genus Homo; species Homo sapiens. Next base: position 21,681,641 of record NC_000020.11, on the reverse strand, counting down.
CTGGCATGGGAGAAGCTGCACAAAACCAAGTGTCTGAAACAGAGTAGATGCAAGAGTGGGGAAGACGGAAGAGGCATGAGCAGTAACCAGAGAGCAAATCCCACCAGCTGCCTGGGATTTGTTCCTAGACATCTACATCTGGGGGCCCCTTCTCAGCTCACACCTTAGAAAAGTGTGTGTGAGTGGAGTTCAGATTGGCTGGCCCGAGACCAGATTTCTCAACAGGCTGCAGGCATGCACATCTCTGCAGCTTTCAAGGAAGGGAGGGAGGCCTGGTGGCTGAGGCTACTGTGAGCCACAAGCCTCCACATGGGCTTCAGTTTCCTCTCTTGACCTCCCAGGCGTCTCATCTGCTGGACAGATGACGGTCATTCTGTGTGCATTTGGTGGGTGGGCTACTTAGCCTGTCCCAGGGGTTTTGAAAGCAGAATTATTATAATACACCTTGGCTTCTTGAGAATCCAGAGCTGATTCCTCTGCTGATTTCTTTCCTATGGAGGTGGCCCTCATCAAAGCTAGCTCTGCAGGGAGAAGCAATGGTCCGGAACTGGGTGAAACCCCTGTCAGGCTCATTTTATTTCAATCTACACGTTCTGCGGGAGAGAGGCAGCCAGGTGGGGGTATACAGTGTTCCAGTCTCACTCCTGACACTTACTTCCAGCAGTCCCTGACCAGCTCATTAACAACCTGGCACCTCCACTCCCTCATCTGCAAAATGGGAGTAATACAGTGACCACCCATGCATAAGGCAGTGGCAGTGAGGAATGTATAGGTTACTGGGTTTAAAAATCATCATCATAAACCTAGTCTATTGACAGAACATGGGGTTTTCTAAGTGAATTCAGCTCAAACTCTTGAAAAGTAAATAAATGGAGTATATTTCAAAGGCTTGAGTGCCTTTGCATGATGGTGACATGGACATATATTTATTTCATTTTGGTGACCCAAAGCTCTTAAGAATTCCATCTTTCATTTCTTTTCTTTTCTTTTTTTTTTTTTTTGGTTTTTTGTTTTTGTTTCTGTTTTTTGTTTTGTTTTGTTTTGTTTTGTTTTTGAGATGGAGTCTCACTCTGCTGCCCAGGCTGGAACGTAGTGGCACGATCTGGGCTCACTGCAACCTCTGCCTCCTGGGTTCAAATGATTCTCCTGCCTCAGCCTCCTGAGTAGCTGGGATTACAGGCACACACCACCATTCCCAGCTAATATTTTGGATGTTTAGTAGAGATGGGGTTTCACTATGTTGACCAGGCTTGTCTCAAACTCCTGACCTCAGGTGATCCACCTGCCTCAGCCTCCCAAAGTGCTGGAATTACAGGCATGAGCCACTGCTCCCAGCCCTTTCTTTTATTTTCAATAAATAAATCTATTTATCTATTTCCTCTCTCTTCCCATAAGCCTACACCATAAACCAGCCTATTCTTCTATTATGCCATAAAAAGGTTGAGGAGACATTATACTTTTATTTATTTTTTATTTTTTATTTTTTTTTTGAGACGGAGTCTCGCTCAGTCAACCAGGCTGGAGTGCAGTGGCACGATCTCAGCTCACTGCAAGCTCCGCCGAGGAGACATTATTCTATACAGGTCCTAGAGAGCATACCACATCACTTGTCTCTGCCCTGTTAAGTGGTGCATTCCGGAAACATTTTTAATCCATAGGAATGAATTAACCACTCCATCCTCGAGGCATCCTAAGTCTCAGCGAAACACTTAACTTACGTGCTCTCTATGCAGCCAGAGACCACGTCATACATGCGGTCTGACATTGGCGGAAACATTGTTACATAGCACATGACTGTATCGAAAATGTTTAAACTATGGTACAATAGAGTAATATGCAACCAAAATTAACATGATATCAAAAAACTAACATGTGGTGAAAAAAATCAGAGCAGTACTTTCTTGAGAGTGGAGTGGGGGTTTGACCAGGAAGAGACACGGGAGAACTTGTAGGTTGACTATAATGCTTTATACCTTGACAGGGGTGTGTATTACCCAGGTGTATTCATGTGTCAAAATCCTTTGAATTGTTCACTCAAGATTTGTGCATTTCAGTGTATGTAAATCTCCCTTAAGCAAAGAGCCATAAAGAAATATTGAGCTCTAGTTACTTGTGTGCATGCTGAAGTGTACTAGTTTTTGCAACTTACTTGAGGCTAGTCTGAATGTATGTGTGCCCCGAACATTCATGCACTGCAACGTGATCCCCAATATTATGATGTTGGAGAGTGGGGCCTTTGGGAGGTAATTAGGTCATCATGGGGTCTCTGCTCTCTGCTCTTATGAACAAGATTGGTGCGCTTGTATAGGAGACCCCAGAAAGACAGCTAACCCTTCTACCATGTGAGGACACAGCAAGAAGGTATCATTTATGGACCAGAAAGTGGGTCCTTACCAGACCCTGAATCTGTTGGCATTTTGATCTTGGACTTCTCAGCCTCTAGAACTGTAAGAAATAAATTTCTCTGGTTTGTAAGTGACCCAGTCTGTGGTATTTTGTTACAGCAGCCCAAACAGACTAAAACCTTTGAAATCTGTTAAACAGAAGATGGAATGATCAATGGATACAGTGATGGAGAAATGAATAGATATTTAATAAAACAAATATAGCAAAAGATCAGTAACAGAAATAGGTGGTGGATATGCAGGTGTTCTCTGCCTATAATTTCTGTCACCTTTCTGTATTTGAAATTGTTATTAAAAATATAAGGAACGGGATGACAGAGAATATTTAATGACATTTCTCCTGATATTTAAATATATTTCATTCCATTTTTTGTGAAAATGTCAAAAGGGGTTATTTCTAAGTATTGGAATTAGAAATGGCTTGCTTATGTTCACATTCTGAGAAAATGTGTCAGTTTGAATTAGAAGTTGCTTTTTATAACCTTGCTTCTCTCACTGCTCGAAGTGGAAATTGAGGCCAGTGTTGCCAGGTAGAGTAGACAGGTTCTGCACCTCCAGCCCACCCTATAAGGGCCACTGAGGACCTCTCCTATGTGAAGTCCAATAGATTTTGTGATCACGACCACAAATAAATGTGTGTTTGTCATGCAGTTTCTAAAGCCTCAGAGGTGTGTTGCTCAATTATAAATTGAGGCCAAACTTTCTTTTCTTTGAGACCAAACTACAGATGGCTTGAAGATAATCATCAGAGGTGATGTGATAATACACTTGGTTTCCAAACATCTCCATGAAGTTGTAAATTAAATCCCAGTTCTGTTTTTTCGCCAGTGTTTCCTATGGGAATGATAAGGCATATTCAATGTGAAGGGGGGAGTGAATCCTAGAGCTATTGTGGCAAATGTGCTAAGTGAGTCTTGTACCCTCACTATGTGGTGAGAAGTAGATCTCATAGAATAATTTACAAACACGTCATTTTTGATGAACTACTGAAGAGAACATTTGTATTATTTTCTGCCCTGACACTTTTAAGTAGACATGAAAGATTTATTTTCTTCTGTTGAATTATTGACACAAATACTTACGCCCTTTCATTCTAACTTTTAAAATTTTCCAATTTACATACAGTGAAATTCCATTTTCTTGGTATACAGTTCTATGAGTTTTGACAAATGCATAGTCATGTAACCACAACCCTAATCAAGACGTAATCTTTTCTCCCAAGAAGCATGCATATAAATATTTGAACCTCTGGCTGTGGCAATGCTTTGGAATGTTGTTTCAGTTCTTTATTGTTTTAGAGATTGAGTCTCACTACGTAGTCCAGGCTGGTCTCAAACTCCAGGGCTCAAGCAATCCTCCTGCCACACCCTCCAAAGTAGCTGGGATTACAGGTGTGAACCACCACAGCTGGCTCAGTTTATTTTATGCCTGGAGAAATAGAGGCTACATAAAGATTGTGGAACCTCTTTGCTGAAAAATAGTATTTGAAGTTTTGACTTTTGAACATTATCCTCTTCTTGAAATAAATCAGATTGTAGGAAAAGTTGAGTAAGGTGTGGAGTGGGGGGAACTCTGTATGAGTAAATAAGGTGATATTTTTTGCAATATAAGTTCAAAATCAAAATGTGGAGCATAGCTGGATGGTGCAGGAGCCAACGGTGATATTTAATTAGGGCATGGATGCTGATGCCAAACTCCCTGGGCTCAGACCTTGCTCTGCCACTTGCTAGCTGTGTGACCTTGGACAAAATGCTTCCTTGCTCTGTGCCTCAGTTTTCTCATCTGTAAAATGGGTCATAATAACATTAATCGCATAAGGGCACTGTAAAGATTAAATGAGGATTTAGGTACATGGTAGGCAATTGATAAACTTTTATCACACAATCAGGAAATCCTATTTCTATGCATATAATTCTATTTCAAATGTATATGCTGGGCCCAGTCACATGGAATACAAAACTGAAAAGGTTAGGAGAGGGGAATGTGCCTCAGACTTCAGGCAGCTTTTTAATGGAAAATTCTACCAAGAGAGAAGGCTGGTGAAGAAAATCCCAAAAGCTTTTGTTCCAGGGAAGATGGGAAGCCAATTGGGAAGACATTCTCTTTAAAGTAATTGACAAGCCACACTTGCCTACTACACCTGACCACAGTGTGCAGGACATGGGCTCAAGAACGTCACACATTGGGATGCCTTTCCCCACTGCATCAGACTGGAATGGGAAGACTGTGGAGGATGCCTCTTAGGCAGGGCCACTCTGTGTTGCCTAAAAACACTGGCTTTGACCAAGAGCTGTCTGCGGTTTGTCAGGCAGGCCCGCCATCAACAGACACATTACACCCCTGCTCGGGCCTGCAGTCCTGCTCACCAGCACGCCCATGCTGAGGAGATGAGGGGGATGTTGTAGTCCATGCTTATCATATTTCTGTAGACGTTGAAATCTCAAATCTCACTGGGGATTCAAAAACAGTTCCAGGAAATGGCTCTTGGGGAGAAGAAGGATCTCACCACCTGTGTTTGTGGAGTCATTGGTTGGGCTGGCTTGAGCCTGTCCTGGTTCCCATCTCCTTCTGTCATGCTCTGAAGCCTGGTACCATCCCTCCTGCTCACCAGCCTTGCTTCCCACCGCTCCCTAACCTCGATGGCTGCTCCAGTCCCACTCTCCCGTCACCATCACTCCACTCAACTTGTGGCCCAAGACTCCAGCCCTGCCTTCTGAACTGGGTTTTCTTTCTGAAAAAGCTCCCCTCCTCTCCCACCCTGACATCCTAGATGTCTGTTCCATTCTACAATCCAATTACATGGTTGAACTGACAACCCAAGTCTCTCCAGACACTCTGCCCATTGAATCCCTCTGAAAACTGAAGAACAACTTAGGGAAAAGCACAGTGAAGAGTCCAGCTGAGGGCCAGGAACTAGAGGCTACCAATGGGGAGCGGGGGACGGATTCTGGACGAGGCAAGGCAGAGGGGCTGCTTCATATGGGTCCAATACTTTGTTTCTTTCTCCTAAATTCAGGTATTCGAAGAACTTCTACTGAGGAATGTTGGCCATTGTCTCACCTAACTCTAGTCATGTCAGACACAATCAATTCTCCAGAGCACTAGGCATGGAATTTATGACCTTGATGCGTGTGTTTGTGTGTGTGTGTGTGTGTGTGTGTGTGTGTGCTTGCTTGCTTGCTTTGGATTTCTGTTTGCCAAATTCTTTTTCTAAAAAAATAAGGAAGAAAATTGACCTCTCCATAAGGTAATCAGGAACTGTCCACAATGTGAAACTGTGACATTTTTACTTAAATTTGAATATATATATACTCAAATTGATCACAACAGTCTAAGCAAGAATGGCCCCCAGTGAGATAGAGCAGCCAAGTTTTTTTAAGTGTTCTGCTAAAAGTAGATTGGCCTAAATTTGCAACTACACATTGAGCATTGAGGGTTGAAGGAGGTTGAAGGCACCAGGTATGTCATAAGGTTGAGAACACACTGGCAAGAACAATGCCATCCCTGCTCTTCTGTGATCCCCGCTGCATAACAAACCACCCCAAAATTTAACGGTGCCAAAGAATACCCATTTGATTTCACCCAAGTATTCTGTATGTCAAAGTGGGAAAAAGGGAGGGTGGTTGTCTCTGCCCCTCCATGTCTGAGGCCTCAGCTGGGGATACCTGACTGGGAGTGACTGCAGCTGCTGGAATCATCTGGAGACATCTTCACTCACATGTGTGGTTCCCAGGCTGGGGTGACCAGAAGAACGAGCCTGCTGACTGGAGCACCAACACAAGGCCCTGCACATGACTTGGGCTTCCTCACAACATGGTGGCCTCAGAATACTGGACTTCCTACATGTGGCTTAAGACTGAGATGTTCCAGTGTCCACGTTGGAAGCTGCATGGTCTGTCATGAATTTGCTGCAGAAGTTCTGTGACATCACTTCCAAAAAAAAGTATATGTGCAAGTGTCCTTTGCTGGTGTGTTTCATATTCACTCCACTCAGATGTACAAGAAAATGCAACTTCTTCTTTTTTTTTTTTTGAGACAGAATCTCACACGGACCCCGGGGCTGGAGTGCAATAGTGTTATCTCAGCTCACTGCAACCTCTTCCTGCCGGGTTCAAGCAATTCTCCTGCCTCAACCTCCTTAGTAGTTGGGATTACAGGTGCCTGCCACCACGCCCAGCTAATTTTTCGTATTTTTAGTAGAGATGGGGTTGCATTATGTTGGCCAGGCTGGTCTCGAACTCCTGACCTCATGATCTGCCTGCCTCGGCCTCCCAAAGTGCTGAGATTACAGGTGTGAGCCACCGTGCCCAGCCGAAAAATACAGCTTCCTTACTTTCCATCACTGCTTCCATCATTCTCTGGGGCCCCACCATCCCCAGTGGGGAGACATAGGTTGCTAATTCACAGTATTTTTGCCTTCTTTGGTTTAATTAATTACCTTCTACTTAAAAGAGGCTCCATCCATGAAATATTCAATATGTTCAAACTGCAGCACCCTGCCTCCTTCCCAAGATGTCGCCTGGGGCAGCTGAGAGTCCCCCTGGAGGTTGCGGCAGGTCTCCCTGGACTCCTGTCTATCCTTGTGGAGATGTGGCTGAGGGGCAGTGGGTCTGGTCTTTGAGTGTGTGCAGGCTGATTTAGCTGAGGTGTGGCTCATGTGAGTCTATCCCAGGGAACCTTGCTGGTGATTTCTTCTAGTCTCTGCACCTGGAGAACTCATGGTCTTCTCTCAGCTCTCTAAGGGTCAGATGGTTTCTCTTATTGAGTCACAACACCAAGGCTCTTACATGACACCATGACTGCAGAGCCCTCCTGGCTCCTAATTGGTCTTCAGCCTGGTTACCTTCCCTGGAGCTTTCAGGCGCTAGCATTTTCCCCTGTCCATGTGGTTCTCAAACCACACTCTTAGATACATTGTTATAACATAGCTGCACATTTTTTAACATGGTTTCCATTGAGAAGTGGTGTTTCTGTACTTTCTCTTTGAATCTGGAAGACTTGTGGATACTTTGACCAATAGATTATGGCTGAAGTAAAGGTTTATGACCTCTGAAGCTAAGGTATAAAAGACCATGAAAGTTTCTGCCTTGTTTCACTGGAATGCTCTCTGTTAAAACTGTGAGCTGCCATGTTAGAAGTCAGCTGCCCTGTAGCGGCCTTGTTGAGAGGAAGCCCAAGCCACATGGAAAGGTCATATGTAGGTGCTCCAGTCAACAGGCTCAGCTGACCCGTTCTTCAGGCATTCCAGTCCAAGCACCAGCCATGACGGAAAGGTGATTTGAGATGATTCCAGCCCCCAGAAATTTGAATCTTCCTAACCGAGACCTCATTATGGAGCAAAGACAAGGCATGCCCACAGTGGCCTTTCTGGATTCCTGACCCACAGAATCCTTGAGCATAAAAATATGGTTTTTGTTTTTATACTACTAAGTTTTGAGATGGTTTGTAGGGCAGCTAAATAAAGATAACTGAAGCCATTGTCATCCCACTTGGTCATGTGGCTCCTTCTGTGCCACATGTGAACCATGAGATGAGAATACTAACTCTGGTTCATCTGTCTGGCCACCTCTTTCTTCTATCATGGCACCATTCCTTCCTGCATTCATGGAGTCCACACATCACCCTGTGAGTGAGCTCCTCCTTCCAAGTCTCAGAGCAAGCAAAGGCAATAAGTCCCCCTGATTTTACGTTTAACCCTTCAAAATCCTTTGCAGGATTTTGGTTCAGAACCAGAAAACCAGAGCATGTGCACATCTGACCACCTGCCTTTCCTATTGTACCAAGTCCAGCAGGTACTTCATCCATTTATCTTTTTTCTATGTGTCAAGGGCTTCTCTTACATCATGTCTTGAGATTCCCTCTATTCCTGACTCATAGTAAATGTCTTGACATTGCCCACAGTGTTGGGCTTTTGATATTAGAAAACAATTTGGTCTCTCCCCGAAGCCTAGCTTCCAATATTAAAGTTGAGAACCAAAAAAGAAAAAGAAGACTTCCTTTCTATCTCAAAAGCTGGACATAGATTCTTGTCTCAGCATTCTTTTTGTAATGATCCTGTTCTTCCTGGAGGCAACTGGGGGGAAGCCACAAAGAGCAAAGACAGTGATATATTCATAAACATTGTCCCTAGTACTTCAGTTATGCCTTAAACATAGATGGATACTCAGACTGATCATGAGCTCTAATGACAATAATAGCAAGATCTTACATTGTGAGTTGTACAATTTGGAATGTGATTTCTTCGACAATAACTTACCGCATTTTCACAGCCATCCTGTGATGTAGCAGGGGCGAGCCTCACTACTGATGAAGAAACCAAGGCTCAGAGAGGTTCAAAGGCTCTCCTTGGGACAGGCAGCAAATAATGTGAGCAAAGGAGCACATGGATTACTTGAGCCCAGGAGTTTGAGACCCATCTGGACAACATGACGAAAACCTGTCTCTACAAAAAAATTAGCCGTCCATGGTGGTGCTTGCCTGTAGTCCTAACTATTTGAGAGGCTGAGGTGGGAGGATCACCTGAGTCCTGGAGGTTGAAGCTACAGTCAGTCATGATTGGGCCACTGCCCTCCAGCCTGGCTGACAGAGTGAGACCCTGTCTCAAAATAAATAAATAAAAATAGATGATAAAGGTGTCTCTGAAATGTTATGGTATTGACTGGCCTTTCTTCTTCAGGGCAGCAGAGGATCCCAGAGTATAAAGAGGGGATACTGGAAGACAGTGGCAAGGGTGGCATGATTTTTGAAGACTTCCCATCGCCCCCTTCACAACACACAGAAATATTAAAACGGAGAAACCAAAACCCCAGAAGCCGAAAAATACCAGCATATAGAGATGAACCACCCAGTAGCTACAGGGTCAGCATGGGCTGTGCAAGGGGAAGGAGAGGGAGGTTGAGGGGGTGTCTGAAAGCCCTGAACCCAGTTTTCTCCTCAGAGCCAGGAGGCATTTGCCACAGTGCTTAGTTAAGGTCTGAGTGGCCGGAGCAAACAATATGCTCTCAAAACTGACCCCTCAAGCTCTCTCAGAATAAACTGCAGAGATCAGAATCCAACCTGAACAGTGCAGGTGCAGAAGAGACAACAGAAAGGAAAAGTCCAGAGAAATGTGGAAGAGGCACAGACCCAGAAGATCTCAATGCCAGCTGCCAGGCTTGTTCACACTCACACCGACAAGGGAAGAGCCCTCGGGAGCCATGACATTAGAAAACTTCTCAAAGTACACTTCCCTTTTAAAAGCTCCAAAAGTCTAATTTCATGGAAAAATAAGAACCAAAAAAATGATTGAAGTCAAATCTGATACAAAATTATTATAAGAAAAAAAGAGAAGAAAGTAAAGAAAGAAAAGGGTGCACACCAACAAAAACTCACACTTCAAAAAGTCTTTACAATGTAATTTACATCAATACAAATATAACTTTACAATAATTCCTAATGCTGTTCAAGTGATAATATATTTTAAAAGCCTAAAAAAGGTTAAATAAAAAATAACTCCCAGGCACGTGGAATTTATCCTTGTGACCATGAGCAAAAGCCACTCATCATCAAAATTGTCCTCATGATGCGCACGGTGGCTCATGCCCGTAATCCCCAGCACTGTGGGAGGCTGAGGCTGGAGGATCATTTGAGCCCAGGAATTTGAGACCAGGCTGGGAAACATAGTGAGATCTCAGCCCTACAAAAAAAAAAAAAATAATAGGCAAGTATGGCAGCACATGCCTGTAGTCACAGCAACTCAGGAGGCTGAGGTGGGAGGATCACTTGAGCCCAAAAAGTAAAGGCCGCAGTGAGCCATGATTGTGCCATTGTACAACAGAGAAAGAGAGAGACTCTGTCTTTAAAAAAAAAAAGTGTGTTCTGAGTCCATCCTGCTTCAGGCCACATTCACAAAGATAGGAGTCAAGTTCTGGCTTATGCCAGGACCCACAGAATCAAAGGGAGGTGTGAGTGTGAGTGTGTGTGTGAGAGAATGTGTGAATGTGCAAGTGTGGGGGGGCTGTATATGTGCATGTGTGTGGGTAGATGTGTGTGCATGTGTGTGAGTGTGTGTAAATGTGTGTGAGTGCATGTATGTGTGGGAGTGTGTATGCATGTGGGAGTGTGTAAATGTGTGTGTTGGTGTGAATTTGTGTATGTATATGTGGGGGGGGCTGTAGTGTGTGTGTGTGTGAGTGTAGGAAGGAGGTTGGAAACCCGATAGACTGACCTTGTGCTTATCAATAACTCTCTTCTGAAAAATAAAACACAGATGATTCCCCAGTTTAAAACCTGTCCTGGGTGAATGGGGGTACCTTTGACAGTAGGGTGCTAATGTAAGCAGATGGGGAGGGTCTCCAGGGACCATAGAAATTTAATTGACTTAAGCAATCGGCCTGTTTTACAGCCTCCTGCCTTGCAGCTGGTTTTCTTTTCTTTTTTTTCTTTTTTTTTTTTTTTTTTTTTTTTTTTTGAGACGGAGTCTCGCTCTTTCTCCCAGGCCGGACTGCAGTGGCGCTCTCTCGCCTCACTGCAAGCTCCGCCTCCTGGGTTCACGCCATTCTCCTGCCTCAGCCTCCTGAGTAGCTGGGATTACAGGCGCCCACCACCGCGCCCGGCTAATTTTTTGTATTTTTAGTAGAAACAGGTTTTCACCGTGTTAGTCAAGATGGTCTTGATCTCCTGACCTCGTGATCCGCCCTCCTCGGCCTCGCAAAGTGCTGGGATTATAGGCGTGAGCCACCGCGCCCGGCCTGCAGCTGGTTTTCTCCCAAACCTTGAGTGGAATGAGGTCACCTAGTCATTGGAACCAGCTCCTGACAGACCTCAGCAACTTACAGACAGGCCCAAGTGAACTTTCCACATGACCATGCTAGCGTCTCCACCCTGGGAGGAGCCACAGCTTCATTACCATAACATGCGACCTACATGCTGGCGTGATTGATGACTCGCTGCCTCTGTGCCACTGGGACCCCTCCTCCACATGCCATGACGCATCCTCTCCCCTCACCATCGCCCCATAAAGCCCTCCTGTCGCTTTCCCTTGGGGAAGCACGCCTTTGGAAAGTATTCCTGTGCTCTCCTTACGTTAGGAATAAAAGTCCTGATCAAAACCTGAATTCTCATGGAGATTTGTTTGTTACTCACCAGGCAAACAAACCCCAGGTTTTGGGGGGTAACACTAGTTCGGAGATGCATATGAAATTTGACTTTGGGCCTGTCGAATCTGAGAGATGACGGAGATGCAGGCAGAACTGCCCTCCTGGCACCCAGAAACCTGAGACTGGGACTGAAACGAGTTGGCAGAGCTGGAAGCTGCAAGAGGAACTCGTGCTTGGGGCTTATCGTTCTGCATTTGCCATCTTGAAATTCTTGTATTATTTTTGGATTTGTGTTTTGCAGCTGAATCCCACGGGACAGTGGGGCACAGGCCAGGTAGTTGGAGCCGCGTCTCGCACATGGTCTTGCAGTCCAAAACCTTGGATGAGTTCTAGGCCACCCGCTCCCTGACCCCAACTCCCCGGCCCCCCCAGGCTTCCCTTTGCTCTTTCCTCATGACCATGGCCACCCTCTGCTTGGGGCAGTGACCTGGTTACATCAGTAGGACAAAACTGTGTCCTGGCATTGCTCTCTGTCCCTAGTGAACACCTGAGTGAGGCCAGGAGAGGTTAGGATCAAGTGTTCACCTGTGGAATATCAGGGCAGGACAAAGCCATCCTCAACCCCCTGTAAGGCTGGCAGCACCTACACATTCAGCCAGGGACTTGGCAGAAGGCATTTTGCCCATCACCAATCCAGATGCCTTAAGATGCCAGGGATGGTCTCCCAGCTGCAGCTGAAGTCAGAGGTGGGTCAGGGGAGACAAGCTGAGTACCTGGACTTTTGGCGACTTAGGGGAATATTTTCAGTAAGGTGGAAGGACACATCACATTGGAAGGGGCTGTGATGATATCAAAACAGAGGCATACCTAGAAGCAGAAGGAAGGAATGAGAGCAAGTGTCAAGAAAAGACTCTGAGATGCAGACAGCCTGGAGGAAGAAGACCTAGTAGCACAGGAGAAGCAGAGAAAGGAGGGGTGTGGTGGACAGCAAGGCATGCTGACCCCATCTCCTTCCAAGCTTGCAGCCCTGCTGGGGAAAGCACTGCCTCCAGGGGCCTCCAACCATCAGAGCCTCAGGGTCTGGGTCAGAGAGTGCCCCACCCACAATGAAACCCCTTCCCAGGTGGTCCCAGGTCCCACAGCTGATTGTTATGGGAGTGGAGAGCTGGCTATCTTGACCAACTCAGGCCAACTCGAAAAGGCCGTCCTGCTGCAGATCTCCCTATGGAGCTGGCCAAGGGTGTCCTTGGATGGGAATCACAGCTCCACTTCTCCCTCTGCCCTCTCCTGCCTCCTTCCCTCCCCTTCTACAAGGGTGCTGCTTCATATACGGCCTGCACACTACACTCCATGTCAGAGCCTGATTCCTGAGAACCCTTCTTGTGGTGGGTGGGATCAAGGGTCTGTGAGACTGTGGACAGAACAATAGGGACCTATGGGATCTCTGGGGCATGGGTGGAGAGGCCAGCCTTCTAAGAGAGGCCTGAGATTCAGGCACCAAACCATTGGTCCCACCCAACCCACCAGCTCTGAAGATCTACATCCCATGAACCCCATGGTTTGTGTGTGACCAGCCCTCTTGAGCCATCAGACCAGCAGGGTGGCACCTGAATTAGCTCTCAACACCCCCAGGCATTGGTCACACTCGTAGCCCTGAAATACTTAGAAATAAATGCTGTATGTAATCAATTGTGTGATATTGGGCTGTTCAAGTTTAATTACACTGGAATTACACCCTAGAAGTATGGAATTATCCATGATAATGCCAAAATAATAACAAAGGGAAAACAAGTATAAACAAGACAACTCCACTTAGGATCACGTCCAAAACTCACATACCAGGCCTGGCCGCTCCGATTCATCATTATCAATAAAAGATGGCATAGGGCCTGCTCAAGCCAGTTGTCTGATTATGTGGCCCCTACAGAGTAAGTTTTTGTTTTGTTTTATTTTGTTGTTTTTGTTTTTGTTTTTGTTTTTGAGACAAAGTCTCACTCTGTCACCCAGGCTGGAGTGCAGTGGTGCCATCTCGGCTCACTGTAAGTTCCGCCTCCCGAGTTCATGCCATTCTCCTGCCTCAGCCTCCCAAGTAGCTGGGACTACAGGCACCCGCCACCACACCTGGCTAATTTTTTGTATTTTTAGTAGAGACAAGGTTTCACTGTGTTAGCCAGGATAGTCTCGATCTCCTGACCTCATGATCTGCCCTTCTCGGCCTCCCAAAGTGCTGGGATTACAGGCGTGAGCCACCGCGCCTGGCCCAAAGTAAGTTTTTATGCTCCTCTCCAACATCTTCCCTTCCTCTGAGACCGAAGAGCAGGAGGAGAAGCTGGGAGCTTCTTTTGGAGAAAGGGGATGCTTCCAAGTGACTTTGTTAAAATGGACCTGCTTTCAACCTCTGGGCACAGGAATCATTTCTTATGCTTTACTATCAATGTGGAGGAAGGATAGGAGGTAAGATGCTATGCAAAACACAGAATGAGTCTGTTTTTCTTTCTATTGGGTTTATGCCCTAAATTTATTAATTCTAAAAATATAAGACATATACAAAAAGTTCTCAAATCTGTGATAAAGAGACAAACCTCAGAGGGCAAAGGACATGAACAAGAAATACACCTAAGGAATACAGCTAATGTGCAATGAAGTGTTCTAGCTTACAAACTGAAACAACAATGTGTCAGCCTTGTTCTTCTATCCTAACAGCAATAATTAAAAAATAGATGCAACCCAGTGTCAAGGGTGGAGGGCAAAGAATACTTTTGTACAATATGATGGGCGTGTACTACCTTTGTGGAGATCAGCTTGGCAATATGTGTCCTAAGGAAAGGGTCATTCATGACCTGTAAAGATTTGCCCACAAAGACGTTCGTTGCAACACCATTTGTAGTAGTGAAAACTAAAACCAACCGAAGTGTAATTACAGCATGGACGAAATCAATCATAGTACATCTAGAACAGAATAATACAATACAATCACACAAAAAAAATGCAGTATATTTGGGGAGTGGAGGAGAGTAAAATAACAGTGATTAAAAGCGTAGGCTCCGGAATCATACTGCCTGGCTTTAAATCCTACCTGTTCACTCACAGCTGTGTTAATTGCTCTCAGCCTTAGCTTCCTCCTCCATTGGATGAGGACAGTCACGGCCTCTTCATAGGGTTGTGGCAAGAAGGCAATGAGACAATGCTTGAAAATGCTTGGCAGAGGATTTGACATGGAATAAGTACTCAGTAGTAACAGTAGTAGCACCGGTATTTACCAACATGGAAAGATGCTCACTGCAGGTAAGTGATTAAAAAGATATATAATGTACTAACTAGAATCAATGGACAGAGCTTATTAAACAGAAATAAATGAAAGAGAAAGGATAGCTGAAAATACACTTAAGTCTTGCATGACTGTCAAGTTATGTGGTAAAAACTGGAAGCCTAGTGGAACATTTTGGCACAAAAAGAAATCTTTTGTCCGAGTGATCTAAATGGGAGCTTTCTTGCTTTTTTTTTTTTTTTTTTTTTTTTTTTGAGACAGTCTCACTCTCACCCAGGCTGGAGTGCAGTGGTGTGGTCTCGGCTCACAGCAACTTCTGTCTCCTGGGTTTCAGCGATTCTCCCGCCTCAGCCTCCCCCAGTAGCTGGGATTACAAGCACCCACCACCATGCCCAGCTAATTGTTTTTGTATTTTTAGTAGAGACAGGGTTTCACCATGTTGGCCGGGCTGGTCTCAAACTCCTGACCTCAAATGATCCGCCCGCTTAGGCCTCCTAAAGTGCTGGGATATAGGCATGAGCCACCGCACCCAGCCTCTCATTTTTTCTTGACGAAATATTTAATTTCCTATTCTTTGCCTCTGTTGGGGTTTCCTGCTGGTCAGGAGTGGCTTACAGACTCTTAGAGGAATCTGTTGGTGACTCAGGTGAGATTTTCTGGAAGACGTGGTGTCTTAGACAAGCTTCTGATAAACAAGCTCCTTTGAGAAGCCCATGAATCAGCCTGGCTGAGTAACCAGTGAACAGGAGAGAAGACAAACCTTGCAGGCAGTTTCATCCTCACTGGGGGTCATGAACCTTATATGGGAAACAGCCTGGAGAAGGAAAAAGGAATTTTGGTTAAAAGGATAGTAGAGGAAACTCAAGTTCTTCAAGGTTACTGGCTGAGCTCATGAAGTAAACACCCAGATCTGAATCACTGACGACAAAGGAAGTCAGTAAATACACAGCAGAAAGGGTCGGGGGTGAGCACATCATTTTAAAATGAGTCCCAGTATTTGTGGAGGTCACATGACACTGTTGCACAAAGGGTGGAGCTAGACCCTAATTCTACGCTCGCTGGAGCTTTTTTTCATCATCCCAAATCCGCATTTGTAGTATTTTCTCCCTTTGGGGTGGATATTCTGCTCCCTACCTTCCAGTAGAATTGATAGAAGCAATACACCAAAGGTAGTGAAGTGTGTGTGGGAAATGAAGATCGAGGGTTTATCAACATCTTTCCTGCTGTAATGCAAAGTGAGCTCCCAAGTTCAGCTGCGCCTGCAGCTGCAATCCTGACCCCAGACGTGAACATGAAGGAGACTGTTGATAACACTTAAAGGAAACTCAAGGTGGCTTAGATACCCCGGGACATCGTATTGGGTAGGTAGGAGCTTCCAAGAGAAGGTCAGCAGAAGCATTGCTCTCACGTCCTCAGACACTCCTCTACACCCCTGGTTGCAGCAGGGGTCTGCTGAGTGCAAGGGAGCCCTTTGAAGAGATGGAATGGGGCTACCCATGTGTGTTTGTCTCCTTAGGGTCAATCTGCTCAAAAAATGTTTCCCCATTGCCTACAGCGTGTAGGGAGTGAGCAGCCACATACAAGCTTCTCCCACAGGGCTTGCTATCCAGTGGACCTTCCGAGAATGGTTAAATAGAATAGAACCAAAAGAAATCAGAAACTGCAGCTGGAAACACAAAGTACAGCTCTAAGCCCCAGACAGTGCTAGCTGAGCCAGTGCTATGCCCACCCTTCAGGGTTCTTCTTTCCTGAGATTATAGAAACTTCAGGAAAATTTTAGCCTTTGAAATATTCCTGGTTAAACTGATACCTCTTGGTTTTTGTACCACAAGAGGTGTTTGAACCACAGCATTTCAGCATTAACTTACCGGCTGAGTTGAGAACCGTGTTTCCTTATTTGAGGCTGCTGGTCAACCCAGGCTCACTGCTCTGATAATCTTCCATGAACTTGGAATCAGACAAACCTGAATTTGAGCCCAGGCTCTGCCAAGCAATCTTACCATCCTTCCTTTGCCCAGCATTTCTCCAAGTGTGAATGGGGTGCCTGAGACCCTTTCAGGGGCCTGTGTGGTCTAAAAATATTCATAGTAATATCAAGAAGTTATTTTTTCCATTCTTCTTTTCTCACAACTGTACAGTGGAGTTTCCCAGAGGCTACAGGAAGTACGTCATCTTAGCAGATCAAATGCAGAAGCAGTTATGAGAATCCAGCTATCTTCTATTAAGCCAGACATTAAAATAATTTGGGAAAGAAAGGTAAAATTGCCACTTCACTCACTTCCCAGCCCTGGTTCTTACCACACTCACTATTTTTTTTTGTTTTGGATAATAGTTATTTTTTAATACAATGAGTCATGCTAATATATAATGGGTTTAGTACTCTTACTTTAAAAATGTATAATTAAATTTAATTTTTTTCATTTAAAAAAACAGTATATTTGGATAGAGATAACCCCTACAAATAAAAACTCCTTGAGGTCTTCAATTTTTAAGAGAGTAATGGGGTCCTGAGACCAAAAAGTTTGAAAACTGCCCAACCTAGTTCATTCACTTTCCCACTCCAATACAACGGCTTTGTTTCTTATTTCACAGAGAGAGCAAAATCAATCAGAAGAATGGAGAACTGGCTGTGCAAGGTGGCTCACGTTTGTAATCCCAGCACTTTGAGAGGCCAAGGTGAGAGCCCAGGAGTTCAAGACCAGCCTGGACAACATAGAGAGACCTTATCTCTACTAAAAAATAAAAATAAATTAGTTGGGCATGGTGGTGTACACCTGTAGTCCCACCTATTCAGGAGGCTGAGGTCAGAGGATTGCTTGAGCCCAGGAGTTCAAGGCTACAGTGAGTTATGACCATACCACTGCACTCCAACCTAGGAGACAGAGTGAGACCCTGTCTCGAAAAAAGGAGGGAGGACAACAGCCTCATATTCCCACCACTAACTTCCCAGCCCAGCTGCATCTGTCTCCATGCAGCCTCCTTCCCTCCAGCTCCATACATAAATTGACCCATCTTCTATCCAAATTTAGCTCACCACTCTTGCCCAGACACCATCTCCTCTACCTCTTCCCAGGGATTCTTCCCTGTAATTCTCTCTCCTACATCATGGATTTCTTCTTGGACTATCCTCAGCAGCATGCAAGCATGTTCCAGTTTCTCTGTCTTCAAAAGCTCCTCCCAGGACTCTACGTTCTCTACGTACTGTACCATTCCCCCATGTGCACTCATAACAAAGGCACATGTTTTGACATCTCCATTGATTCACTTCTCTTCTTCTCTTTAATCAATGCCACTGAGCACACTCTTTGAGGTCATAATGGATCTCCATTTTGCCAAATCCAATGGACAATGCCATATCTTTGTCTTACTGAAACTTTGAGCAACATTTGGAATAGTTGGTTACTTCCACCTCCTGAAAACACTTTCTTCACATGTTTCTAAGACCCCACACCCTCCTCGTTCTCCCTACCCTACTGACCACTTCTTCACAGCCCCTTCTCCAGGCTCCTCCTTCTGCACTTCTAAGTGTTAAGGTACCTGAGGCTCAGCCTTGGGCTCTTCTCTTCCCTCTCTACCCCCTTCTCTTGGCGATCTCTGTCCCTTGATTCCAAACACCATTTCTATGCTGATGACACCCATATGTATATTTCTGCCTCATACGTCTTCCCTAAGTTCCAGATGCAGCCATCAATTATCTCCTTAGCATCTCAATGTGGTTGCCAAATAAGCATTTAAAACTCAATATGTCCAAGCAAAACTTTCTTTTTAACCCATCCCAAGCTCCTTCTTCCTGCAGTCTTACCTTCTTGGAATATGGCACAACCATCCACCCAGTGGCTCAGACAAAAAGCCTGGGAGTCATTTTTCACTCCTCTGTACTTCTCACACCCCATATCCAATCCATCAACAAAGCCTGACTGCTTCTTGTCACCCCCATGGCTGACACCCTGTCCAAGCCACCATCATCTTACACAGGGACTACAGCCATAGCTCCTAACTGATCTCTCTGCCTTCAGCAGTTTGCTTTCTAAACCAAAAATCAGAACATGTCACTATACTCGAAGCCCAACCATGGCTTACTTACCATTGTACCTGGAATCACAGAACATGGTACAACTCCAAGGCTTTTGTGGTCTAGTCCATGCCTCCCTCTCCAGCCCTGGTTCTTAACCCATACTCACTCTCGCTATCTGCCTTGCCCCCTTTGGTGACCTCATCCCCCACCTCCCTGTGCCCCAGACACATTAGTCTTCCTTCTTGCTGTCCTGGAACAAACCAATTTGTTCTTGTTCCATTCGCCAAGAATGTCCTTCCCTATTCTTTCACATGGCTCACTTCTTCACATCAGTTAAATGTCACCTGCTCAGAGACCCTTCCCCAAACACTCTAAAATAATCTCTTCTATTAGTTAGGTTACATTCAGCTGCAAGTAACTGCTTAAACAATATAAACATTTAATAATTAAACAATATACACATTTAATAATTAAATAATATAGACATTTAATATTTAACAAGACCCATAAGAGAAATAAGCAAAAAATTTACATCATCTATGATCACACGTTATAAATATTTTTAGAAATCTCTCCGAGCCTTTTTCCTATGAAAATGTAATTATTTTAAATCTATTTGGGACCATTCTAGGAATATAGTATTATCTTAGATTTTAATTTAATATCAAATGATAAATGTTTTTCCAAGTCTTGTGCAAACCAAATCACAAGCTCCTTGAACTGTAGGAAACCTTGGAAATTATTTAGTTCTGGCTCAGCGTGCAAACTTTACAAGATGAGGCATCTGAGGGCTGAGTTGTTTGAGTTTCTCCAAAATGTTTTAATACCTCAGTGATTTTCTGTCTGATTAAGCTGACGGAGAGCCAGAAAGCCTGGACCTATTGGTTGCTTTGTGTGCATAACCAACTAAGGGCATGTGTCTCTTTATCCCACAGAAACTCGGCTGCCAGCAGAGCTCTGCTTACCCCTTAGCGATTTTGCTGACAAATATGTTATCCCTCTACACCTTTCTGTCAACAACTCTCCCTCAGGACAGGTTCAAGACCTCGATAGGATCTGGGCACTAAAGCAAACCTGTCAGACCAGCATGCATTGGGAGAGCTGCCTGCTCCGCACCCTTCTTGGGGATCTAGGTGTTTTGTCCAGCTGGCACATTTGCACTTCAGAGGTGGGAGGGGCACGTAGCCCAGGAGAGTATGCCAGGGGAGAGAGCACAGCCAAGCCTGGGGCCGTAAGACTGCTCATGGCAAGATGTATTTATGTTCTGTAATGGAATGCCATCACTCGCTATTTTGGAAGCATGATGGCATGGAGCAACTGAAAGATTGTGGGATGGGTTAAAAACCACATCCATTACTTTATTGCTATGGGAACAATAAAGGAACTGGAGCAAGTTCCTCTCTGGTCTTTAGTTACCTCCTTGGTAAAGAGGGAATCATAGTTCCACCTTGTAGAGTTATAACACCTCCAACATTCATGTAGGTACTCAATAAGCAGCAGCTGTTATTAACAAACTTTCTTTTTTTTCCCTCTGTAACAGTCTAAGATACAGAGTAGGGGCTCAGTTAATATTTGTTGCATAAATATGGAACCCAAACAAATAAGATCAGATCACATATTTTGAGACTAAACTACTGAGTCTGCAGGAATAACAGTAATAATTGTTGCCTACACATGATTCTAGAAAAGCCAGAAGCCAGGTCTCTTGAAATAGACATTTTCATGCCCTCTTATTCTATCAGGATTTCATTTTGTTCCCAAATCATTTTGACTTAATTAGAAAGAAGATTTTTTTTACTTTATTTGCCTCCAAAGAATCAAAATAAATAGTACTCTTCCAGATTTTCTAAGTCATTATCTTATACAATACCATTGGTTAAGTTCTCTTCTTCATTACAAAAGTGACAGTTAATTATAGAAAAATTGAGAAGTACAAAAAAGAAAAAAGGGGCCAAAGTATCACCAATAGCTGTAAAATTGTTGGCGTATTTTCATGCACACTTAGTTAATTGTGATCCTACATTATATCCAACTTTATCTTCTGGCTTTTCTCCTTAACATGATGAAATGTGGTTTTCCAAAATATTCCCCTATTGTTCATTCTGTTACCAATTGTTCACAATTTTAAATAATGCAAAATGAATATAATTCTTAATTATATACTGCAGTCAGGGAAACATTTCTTAGGCTAAGTTCCTAGAAGTGAAATTATTATTTTTAAAAA
Source organism: Homo sapiens (assembly GCF_000001405.40). NCBI lineage: Eukaryota > Metazoa > Chordata > Mammalia > Primates > Hominidae > Homo > Homo sapiens. The sequence continues at coordinate 21,660,652 of NC_000020.11, read as the reverse complement.
TACAAACATTCTTTGGTACATACTATTAAAAAGTCATTCAAAAATTGTTGGAGAAATTTATAATCTTTCACCAGTCCTGTATATTCTCATGATAATTGGGAAGAAATATTTCATTTTAAAAATTATTATTTTTTTTACCAATGAGGCTGAAAAGCATAAAATATTTATTAAATAAAAGTATTTCTTTTTGGTGAATTATCATATTTTGCTTTTGCCCATGAATTTTTGTGGGGCGTGGTGTGATTTTTATTAAATTATATGATACTATATTTTAAGGGTTAACCTTTTGTCAAATGTTATAATTATTAAATGTATTTCTGGATGCATCTTTATTTTGTTTATACACCCTTTTGGAAATTAAAGGGATTTTAATTCCTGTTTGGAAAATTTCTATTAATATTTTCATTTATGAGTTTCTTATTGGATTTATCCTTTGAATTACCTTTCCCATTTAAAGATCAGATAAATACTCACTATCATATTTTAAAATGCTTTAATCATTTATGTTTTTTGTGGGTAGGGTTTCCTTTTACTATTTTTTAATTGTTGTGAAATATATATGATCAATATGATATAAGTATGATCAATGATTATTGCCATTTTACCATATTTAAGTGTATAATTCCGTGCTATTAATTACATTACAATGTTGTACAACCGTTACCACTATTTCCAAAACTTTTTAAATCACCCAAACAGAAACTCTGTACCCAGTAAAAAATAACTCCCCAGCCCCCAGCCCCTGTGACCTCTAACCTATGTTCGTCTCTATGAGGTGCCTATTCTATATACTTCATATAAGTGGAGTCATGCAATATTTTTCCTTCTGTGTCTAGCTTATTTTACTTTGCATAACATTTTCAAGGCTTCTCCATATTATATAGAGCATGTCAGAATTTCCTTTCTTTTATGGCTGAAGGTATTTCAGTGCCATTAATTATGTGTATACCATATTTGTTTATCCGTTTATCCATTGATGAACACTTGGGTTGTTTCCACCTTTTGGCTATTGTAAATAATGCTACTGTGAACACGGGTGTACAAATATCTGTCTTACTCCCTGCTTTCAATTGATATGTAGATATATCCAGAAGTAGACTTGCTGGATTAAGTAGTAATTCTATGTTTAATTTTTTTTTTTAGTAACTGCATGCTGTTTTCCACAGTGGCTGCCCCATTTTACATTTCCATCAGCAATGCACAGTGCTCCAATTTATCCACATCCAGGCCAACACTTGTTTTGTTTTGTTTTGTTTTGTTTTGTTTTTTGATAATAGCCATCCTAATGAGTGTGAAGTGGTATCTCATTGTGGTTTTGATTTGCATTCCCCTGATCATTAATGATGTTGAGTGTTTTCTTATATGTTTGTTGGCTATTGGTATGTATTCTTTTGAGAACTGTCTATTCTTGCCCTTAGCCCACGTTTTGATGGGATTTTTTGTTTTTTTCCTTGTTGATTTGTTTGAGTTCATTGTAGATTCTAGATATTAGTCCATTGTCAGATGGATAGATTGTGAAGATTCTTTCCCACTCTGTAGGTTATCTGTAATTACTCAACTGACTATTCCTTTTGCCATGCAAAAGCTCTTTAGTTTTAGTCCCTGCAATTTTTCTTTGTTTTTATTGCATTTGCTTTTGGGTTCTTAGTCATGAATGAAATCCTTACCTAAACCAATGTTTAGAAGAGTTTTTCCAATGTTATCTTCTAGAATTTTTATAGTTTCAGGTCTTAGATTGAAGTCCTTAATCCATCTTGAGTTGATTTTTGTATAAGATGAGAAATGAGGATCCAGTTTTATTCTCCTACATGTGGCTAGCCAATTACCCCAGCACTGTTTGTTGAAAACAGTGTCCTTTCCCCGCTTTATGTTTTTGTTTGCTTTGTCGAAGATCAGTTGGCTGTAAGCATTTGGGTTTATTTCTGGATTCTCTGTTCTGTTCCATTGGTCTATGTGCCTATTTGTATAGGCACCATGCTGTTTTGGTGACTATGGTCTTATGTAGTATAGTTTGAAATCAGGTAGTGTGATGCCTCCAGATTTTTTTTCTTAGTCTTGCTTTTGCTATATGGGCTCTTTTTTGGTTCCACATGAATTTTAGAATTGTTTTTTCTAATTCTGTGAAGAATGATGGTGGTATTTTGATGGGAATTGTGTTGAATTTGTAGACTGCTTTGGCAATATGGTCATTTTCACAAAATTGATTCTCCCCATCCATGAGCGTGGGATGTGTTTCCATTTGTTTGTGTCATCTATAAGTTCTTTCAGCAGTGTTTTGTAGTTTTCCTTGTAGAGGTCTTCACCTCCTTGGTTAGGTATATTCCTACTTTTGTTTTGCAGCTATTGTAAAAGGGGTTGAGTTCTTGATTTGATTTTCAGCTTGGTCGCTATTGGTATATAGAAGAGCTACTGGTTTGTGTGCATTAATTTTGTATCCAGAAATTTGCTGAATTCTTTCATCAGTTCTAGGAGCTTTCTAGAGGAGTCTTTAGGGTTTTCTAGGTAAGCAATCATATCATCGGCAAACAGTGACAGTTTGACTTCCTTTTTACTGATTTGGATGCCCCTTATTTCTTCCTCTTGCCTGATTGCTCTGGCTAGGACTTCCAGTAATATGTTGAAGAAGAGGGGTGAGAGTGGGCATTCTTATTTTGTTCCAGTTCTCAGAGGGAATGCTTTCAACTTTTCCCTATTCAGTATTATGTTGGGTGTGGGTTTGTCATAGATGGCTTTTATTATACTGATATATGTCCCTTGTATGCTGATTTTGCTGAGAGTTTTAATCATAAATGTTACTGGGTTTTGTTGAATGCCTTTTCTGCATCTATTGAGATGATCGTGTGATTTTTGTTTTTAATTCTGTTTATGTGGTGTATCACATTTATTGATTTATGTATGTTAAACCATCCCTGCATCCCTGGTATGAAACCCACTTGATCATGATGGATTATCTTTTTGATATGTTGTTGGATTCGGTTAGCTAGCATTTTGTTAAGGATTTTTGCATCTATGTTCATCAGGAATATTGGAATGTAGTTTTCTTTTTTGGTTATGTCCTTTCCTGGTTTTGATATTATTACAGGACCCCAGCACTTACTCAAAGGTAGCCTTTGGGTCAGGGTTTCTGCACTATAATCTGTTCTGTGACAGCCAGAAATATGTTACAGGACTCCAACACTTACCCAAAAGCAGCATTTAGGAAGGGAGTTTCCACACTATAGTCCCTTCTGTGGTTGCCAGAAGGATGTTATAGGAAAGGGGTCCCAATCCAGACCCGAACAGAGGGTTTTTGGATCTCACGCAAGAAAGAATTCAGTGCAAGTCCTTGGTGCAAAGTAAAAACAAGTTTATTAAGAAAGTAAAGTGGTGAAAGTACAGCTACTCCTTAGATAGTGTAGGACATTCCTGAAAGTAAGAGATGGAACGCATCCACCTTAGGTACAATGCTTGTATATATGGGGAGATGTGTTTTACTACAAGGGTTTGTGATAAAGGATTAATTTTCTTAATTACTATATTTTGCAAGAATCAATATTATTGTCTTTAAAGCAAAATTAGGAATGCCTTTGTTCTCCAGATATTGGGATATCTGGACACTCCCAAGTCTGGGTGTGTTTAGTAAATGTTATAAATTTGTTCCCTTAACCGTAAACATCTAGAGGCTAGGAATGACTGACTTTCTGAGAATGCAGCCCAGCAAGTCCTAGCCTCATTTTCCTAGCCCTCACTCAAGATGGAGTTGCTCTGGTTCAAATGCCTCTGATATATCTCCCCACTCCCTTTACAAGAAGACCCTCATTTCTAAGGGTTTCAGAACTTCTGTAACTTCTTCAGGCTGAATAGGGGTGGTCATATTCCTGCCTATTAGGGTCTCTTGCATCAGGGTAGAGAGAAGCTCAGTCCCAGAGTGGTGGTATGGTGAAGGTCATTACCAACTCCAAGTTCCGACAAAAGGTGATATCTGGAAGATTAATAAGTATTCAATTTAAAAAAGCATTGAGTGAGTTTGTCTTGCATTTCTACACAAAGAGTACAGCCACAATATATTCCACAACAGCAAAGCAAAATAAGTAAAGTCGTTCCAAGTAAACTAAACAGGAAAGCTTTCCAAGAACTGGACAGTTGTTGGAACCAAGCCAATATAGGGTTGACTGATAGCACGTCGGTGGCAGAGATCTGAGTGTCTAAAGCTTTCATAGCCTGAGTAATGTCAATGTGAATAGTCTGGAACATACACAAAACATTCAGTTTTGATCATACACAAGTTCCCCCTTGGGCCGCTGGTACGTTAAAATGTCCACATATCCAGCAGTTTGTCTGATTATGTAAAGAGGCTAAAGTCTATGCCCACTCAGTAAATAAGTTACTCTCTGCATGATTCCAACTTATACCCAAAAGTAGAATGCCAATTCGTATCTTTATGTTACTCATCCCTCTCATTTCTTCTGAACAGGAGTCAGAGGTCACTTATTGGCTCACAGGAATAAACAGGATTAGTCTCTTGTGTTCCACTGGCCTGTGGGACTTCATAAGAGACAGATTTAATTTAAGATAAGTGGACCCAGCTGTTTATTCACAGAAGTTTAACTTCAGTTGGGGTACTAAGGAGAACTTGATAGGATCCCTTCCATTTGGGGGGACAGTTGATCTGCTGGGGATCATTTCTTCCAAGTTTTTAATAGGACCCAGTCTCCCGGCTGGGTTGTAACAAGATTCTCTTCCTTAGTGGGGGAAGGGAGTCTTTGATTTCCATATTCAAGGAGTGCGTTTTGCACTTGTCCTACGCTGATCACATAATTCTGTAACTTGAAAGTATCTATGTCTATTAGACAGTCTGTAGTTAAGAAAGGTCTGCCGTACATTATTTCAAAAGGACTGAGCTGCAGATTTCCTTTAGAGGCTATTTAAACCAGTAATAAGACTACAGGTAATAAAGACAACTAGGTTTCTGATGTTTCTTGGCATAGTTTTGCAAGAGTCATTTTTAGAGTTTGATTAGCTCTTTCTACTTTCCCTGAAGACTGTGGTCTCCATGCTTAGTGAAGGTGGTACTGAATTCCTAGGGCTAAAGATATGTTTTGGGTAATTGTCGCTGTGAAAGATGGGCCGTTATCACTCTGCAAGCTCTTAAGGCAGACCAAATCTAGGAATTATTTCCTTTAGTAGGAGTTTAGAAACCTCAATTGCCTTTTCAGACCAGGTAGGAAAAGCTTCGATCCAACCAGAAAAGGTGTCAACAAATACTAATAAATACCTAAACCCTTTACATAGGGGCATTTGAGTATAATTTATTTGCCAGTCTTCAACAGGGTACGTTCCCCTGTGCTGAACAGGCCTTACTAGAGGAGGAGGTGAAGATTGGTTATTTGGGTTATTCCAGGCGCATAGTTCACAGGCCTGAGTTAGCTGCTTTACTGTTTTAAGTCTTTTCCTATAAAAAGTTAATTGAAACAGGAAATATCTTCCCAAATGACTAGAGTCACACAAATGCTTATTTTCCACTGATTAGCACCTGGTAATAACAGTTTGTTGTCATTGATAAGCCAGCCAGAGGATCTTTAATTAAACCCTGACCTTTAGCCCATTCTTGTTCCTCTTTAGTATATCTAGGGTCTGTCAATGCAGTGGCTGAGGGCACCAACATGCCAATAAGTCCTATTGGCTCCTTTAGTGCTGCTGCGTTAGCAGTTGCATCTGCAAAGGAGTTTCCCTTAGCCGCACCAGAGTCTCCTCTTTGATAACCTCTACAATGGTTTATAGCTACTTCCTTGGGCAGCAAAACAGCACCCAATATTCTCCGAATTTCTAAGTAATGTTTTGCAGGGGAACCCTTAACAGTTAGGAGTCCCCATTCCTTCCAGATAGCAGCATGAGCAGAAGTACCAGAAAGGCATACTTAGAATCAGTGTAAATGTTAATTCTTAGGTCCTTTCCCAGTTGCAGGGCTCTAATAAGAGCTATTAATTCTGCCTTTTGAGCTAAGGTAGAGGCTTGTAAGGCTTGAGATCCAATTACCTCATGTTGACTGACAACAGCCCCAGCTTGCCAGTTTTCCTGGTGCACGAAGCTACTTCCATCTGTAAACCATTCTACCTCAGGATTATCTAGAGGCTCATCCTTTAAATCCAGATGGCTGGAGTAAACTAGCTCCATAATTTGTATACAAGAATGATCTAGGGTGCCAGTTCAGGTAAATAGGTAGCTGGGTTCAGTCTGGCATACTTTAAGAATTATATAAGGATGTTTAGCAACAAAGCCTGACATTTATTCATAGGAAAGGAGAAGGAGCAATTTCTGTCTGCCTTGTGATTTATGAAAGATACTACTGTTTGCAGCTGAATTAACAAATCCCTTCCCAACAAGGTATGGGGCATTCAGGAGAAAAACCAAAGTCCCTGATGAGCAGCTTAAAGGATTCTTAAAATGGTGTCTATGGGATTGTCCATCTATCCCCATGACTATACCATTTTGGGGTGACAAAGTCCCATTATAATGGGTCAAAACAGAGTAAGCAGTCCATAAGGGAGTTAATATTCTTACCTGCCACATTAAGGGTTACCCAAGGCTTCTCTGGAGATATGGCTAGTTGTCCAATGGGAGCTTCAGTGGAAGGTCTCGGGCCCTATCACTCTTGGGCTTGCCCAGCTATTTCGGCCATCATTGGTTCAGGTCCCAGTGACTCCCTTCCGAACCCTGGGGAATCCTTCTTCCTACGGCCAGTTTTCTTACAGTGTGCACACTGATTATTCCCAAGGCATGGTGACTCAGACTCCCAGCTTTGGGCTTCCCACCTTTCAGCTTCCCTTGTCCAGGCCAACAGCCAGGAGGGCAGCCCCACGTGGGAGGTAAGTTGGAGGCTGCAGCCAAGAGCTGCACCTTGTGGGAGGTCCTTCTTGCTCTTTCTGCTTCCTCTGCTTTGTCCCTGTTGTTAAAAACTAAAAATGTCATCTCCAAAAGCTGTCCATAGGAGTTTGGGGACCCATAGCTGGTTTTTGTAGTTTCCTATGGATATCAGGGGCAGACTGGGTTATAAAATGCACTCCCAGAGGGTTTGTCCTTCCTTTGAAGCAAGATCAGTGTTAGTATATTTCCTCATTGCCTCAACTAAATGCCCTTGAAATAAAGCTGTATTCTCATCTTTGCCCTGAGAAACATCCTTAACATTTTCATAGTTAATGGGATTTTTCATACATTTCTTCATCCCTTCTTACAAACAAGTGACCTTACAATTCTCCTCCCCAAGTCCTCACTGCCCCTTTGATAGTTCCACTCTGGATCTTGATCTGGAACTGCTATACCTCCTGCCTGATACATATTATGGTTCAGATTATGAGCCAATACTTCATCTGCATGAGTCCTAGCTGTCCCCAAAATGCGTTGTTTCTCTTCCACTGTACAACACAGAGAACACAAAACATGCGGATCTTGCCAAGTTAAACCATAGGTCAGAGTTAATTTCTCAAACTCGTCTATGAATTTTCCTGGATCTTCAGAGAAATGACCAAACTTCTCTTTACATAGAGCCAAATCAGACATAGAAAAGGGAAGATGTACTCTCACAGTGCCTTCTTCCCCATCTGCCACCTCCCTAAATAGACAAAGATTTCCCTTTGGAAGCTGATAGGAGGCTTCACTATGAGTAGTACTCACTGGGCTAAGTTCCTCAGGGAGTCGTGGGTATAGAGTAGACTAGACAGGTAAGGAAGAGGGGACAAAAGGTTCTCAACTGAACTTTCAAGTGGACTGGAGGGAGAAAGAACCAGCTCTGAACCATCAGAACTGAGAGAAGGAGGGTCTGCTCCACCCAAAACTGCCCACTGAATGGCGGGGAGGGGAGGGGTGTATTAAAGAATCATCTGGTGTATCTAGCTCTTTTTCTTATTTTCCTTCCTTTCCTCTCATCAAACATGATTCACATTATCCAAATAACATAAGTGAGCCAAGCCATGAATCTCAGATAAACCACAACATGGACTTTGACAAAAATGTCAAATAAGGCAAAGGAAATGAAGAGGATTTAGATGGGAATGACCAGAGCAAGCAGGTTCTGGGAAATAGCGGCAGTGTGGATTGAACAAGCAAAGCCAGTTTGCCTGAATCCAAGAAAGGAAAGAAGTTTTTTTAGTGTGTAAAATAAAACAAAACAGCAAGGAGAAAAGTCCCCTGATTTCCATCCTAGTGCTTCTCGATCACACCTAGTCAGCATAGCAGCAACCAAACATAACCACATCTGTTTAATTTTATTGCTTATAACTGTTAAATACCAAATCTCAATGAACAATTTTAGAGACAGAGCCTTCAATGGTTTTTGCTCTCAATGTTTCACAAGTAAACAGACAAAAATCAGGAGGCACATAGGAAAAGAGTAAGTTAAAATCCCTAAGACCCGTTAAATAAAGTCTTCTGAAAATGACAGCGAAACAGACAGCAACCGAGAAATTGATTGATGCAGCAGGAAGAACAAGGAAGATTAATACAAAGAGCATAGCCTGCAGTGCCAAACTCATTCTTAGCTGAGAGGGACTTTACTGAGAGGGGCCTCCAGCCCCCTAAATCTTGGAAGGGACTTTAACCCTCCTAAGGCGGGCCTATAACCCAAGGTGGGTCAAGCGTCCTTGCCTTTCACTAAGAGGGGCCTCTAACCCACTCTGGCTTGGGAGAGACTCTAACTCCCCCAGTTGGGCCTCTAATCCCATCCGATTCTTTACCCAGGTACCCCACCACTTGCTCAGAGTCGTCCAATCATTGCTACAGTCTATATCCTTTGGGTTGGCGAGTTTCTTCAGTATTGTCCATTCCATGGTTTGCCAGAAATATGTTACAGGACCCCAATACTTACCTAAAAGTAGCATTTGGGAAGGGGGATTCCACACCATTGTCCCTTTGTTGTCGCCAGAAAGATGTTATAGGAAAGGGGTCCTGATCCAGGCCCCAAGAGAGGGTTTTCGGATATTGCACATGAAAGAATTCAGGGCAAGTCTGCAATGCAAAGTAAAAACAAGTTTATTAAGAAAATAAAGTGGTGAAAGTACAGCTACTCCATAGACAGTGTAGGACATTCCTGAAATTAAGAGGAGGAACGCATGCATCTTAGGTACAATGCTCGTATATATGGGGAGATGTGTTCTGCTACAAGGGTTTGTGATAAAGGATTAATTTTCTTAATTACTATATTTTGCAAGAATCAATATTATCTTCAAAGCAAAATTAGGAATGCCTTCATTCTCCAGATATTAGGATAGCTGGACACCCCCAAGTCTGGGTCTATTTAGTAAACATTATTAATTTGTTCCCTTAACCATAAACATCTAGAGGCTAGGAATGCCTGACTTTCTGAGAATGCAGCCCAGCAAGGCCCAGCCTCATTTTCCTAGCCCTCACTCAAGATGGAGTCGCTTTGGTTCAGATGCCTCTGACAGTATTAGGGTGATACTGGCTTCATAGAATGATTTAGGGAGGGTTCCCTCTTTCTCTATCTTGTGGAATAGTGTCAATAAGATTGATACCAATTCTTTGAATGTCTGGTAGAATTCTGCTGTGAATTTGTCTGGTCCTGAACTTTTTTTGTTGGTGGTAATTTTTTAATTACCATTTCAATCTCTCTGCTTGTTACTGGTTGTTCAGGATATCTAATTATTCCTGATTTAAGCTAAGAGGGTTGTATCTTTCCAGGAATTTATCCATCTCTTCTAGATTTTCTAGTTTGTGTGTATAAAGGTGTTCACAGTAGCCTTGAATGATCTTTTGCATTTCTGTGGTGTCACTTGTAATATCTCCTGTTTCATTTCTTATTGAGCTTATTTGGATTTTATCTCTTATTTTCTTGGTTAATCTTGCTAATGGTCTATCAATTTTATTCATCTTTTCAAAGAACCAACTTTTTGTTTCATTTATCTTTTGTATTTTTTTTTTGTTTCAATTTCATTTAGCTCTGTTCTGATCTTGGTTATTTCCTTTCTTCTGCTGGGTTTGGGTTTGCCTTTTTCTTGTTTCTCTAGTTCCTTGAGGTGTGACCTTAGATTGTCTGTTTGTGTTCTTTCAGAATTTTTGATGCAGCCATTTAGGGCTATGAACTTTCCTCTTAGCACTGCCTTTGCTGTGTCCCAGAGGTTTTTGATAGGTTGTGTCACTATTGTCATTAAGTTTGAAGAGTTGTTTAATTCCATTTTTATTTCATTTTTGACTGAATGATCATTCAGGATCAGGTTATTTAATTTCCATGTATTAAATATTGTATAAAATATTTAATATTCCATATATTAATTGCATGGTTTTAAAGGTTCCTTTTGGAGTTGATTTCCAGTTTTATTCCACTGTGGTCTGAAAGAGTGCTTGATATAATTTCAATTTTCTTAAGTTTATTGAGGCTCATTTTGTGGCCTATCATATGGTCTGTCTTGGAGAAAGTTCCATGCAATGTTGAATGGAATGTATAATCAGTGGTTGGTGGATGGAGTGTTCTGTATATATCTATTAAGTCCATTTGTTCCAGAGTATAGTTTAAATCCATTATTTCTCTATTGACTTTCTGTCCTGATGATCTGTCTAGTGCTGTCAGTGGAATATTGAAGTCCCCCACTATTATTGTGTTGCTGTCTATCTCATTTCTCAGGTCTATTAGTAATTGTTATATAAATTTGGGAACTCCAGTGTTAGGTGCATTTATGCTTAGGATTGTGATGTTTTCCTGTTGGACAAGGCCTTTTATCAATATGTAATGTCCCTCTTTGTCTTTTTTAGCTGCTCTTGCTTTAAAGTCTGATTTGACTGATATAAGAATAGCTACTCCTGCTCAGTTTTGGTGTCCATTTGCCTGAAATGTCTTTTTCCACCCCTTTACCTTAAGTTTGTGCAAGTCCTTATGTGTTGGGTGAGTCTCTTGAAGGCAGCAGATGGTTGGTGAATTCTTATCCATTCCACAATTCTGTATCTTTTAAGGGGAGCATTTAGGCCATTTACATTCGATGTTAGTATTGACATGTAAGGTACCATTCCATTCATTGTGCTATTTGTTGCCTGTATACATTGGTTTTTTTGTTTTTTGTTTTTATTTTTAAAATTGTATTTTTGTTTTATAGGTCCTGTGAGATTTATGCTTCAAAGAGTTTCTGTTTTGATGTGTTTCCAGGATTTGTTTCAAGATTTAGAGCTCCTTTTAGCATTTCTTGTAGTGGTGGCTTGGTAGTGGCAAATTCTCTCAGCATTTGTCTGAAAAAGACTGTATCTATCCTTCATATATGAAGCTTAGTTTCACTTGATGCAAAATTCTTGGCTGTTAATTGTTTTGTTTGAGGTGACTGAAGATAAGACCCCAATCCCTTCTAGCTTGTAGGGTATCTGCTAAGACATCTGCTGTTAATCTGATAGGTTTTCCTTTATAGTTTACCTGGTGCTTTTGTCTCACAGCTCTTAAGATTCTTTCCTTTGTCTTAACTTTAGATAACCTGATGACAATGTGCCTAGGTGATGATCTTTTTGCGATGAATTTCCCAGGTGTTCTTTGTGCTTCTTGTATTTGAATGTCCAGGTCTCTAGCAAGGCTGGGGAAGTTTTCTTCAATTATTCCCCCAAAATGTTTTCCAAACTTTTAGATTCCTCTTCTTCCTCAGGAAAACCAATTATTCTTAGGTTTAATTGTTTAATATAATCCCGGACTTCTTGGAGTCTTTGTTTGTATTTTCTTATTCTTTTTCTCTGTCTTTGTTGGATTGGGATAATTCAATGACCTTGTCTTTGAGCTCTGAATTTCTTTCTTCTATTTGTTCAATTCTATTGCTGAGACTTTCCAGAGCATTTTGCATTTCTATAAGTGTGTTTATTGTTTCCTGAAGTTTTGATTGTTTTTTATTTATGCCACCTATTTTCTTGAATATTTCTCCCTTCACTTCTTGTATCATTTTTTGGATGTCCTTACATTGGGCTTCACCATTCTCTGGTGCCTCCCTGATTAGCTTAATAACCAACCTCCTGAATTATTTTTCAGGTAAATCAGGGATTTCTTCTTGGTTTGGGTCCATTGCTGGTGAGCTAGTGTGATTTTTTGGAGGTGTTAAAGAACCTTGTTTTGTCATATTACCAGAGCTGGTTTCCTGGTTCCTTCTTGTTTGGGTAGGCTCTGTCAGAGGGAAAGTCTAGGGCTGAAGGCTGCTGTTCAGTTTCTTTTTTCCCACAGAGGTTCCCTTGTTGTAGTACTCTTTGTGGCTTCCTGAGAGCCCAGCTGTAGTGATTGTCATCTCTCTTCTGGATCTAGCCAACCAGAAAGTCTACCCAGGCTCCAGGCTGGTACTAGGGGTTGTCTGCAGAGTCCTGTGATGTGAACCATCTTTGGGTCTCTCAGCCATGGATAACAGCACAGTATTTGGGGTGTCTCTTGGGTCCTGCAGGAGCAATCCACTTCCTTCAGGGGGGTCTGTGGGTCCTCTCAGGTTTTCTGATTTATTCCTCTAATCACTCTGGAGCAAAAATTCACGATGTTAGCTTCCCCCTGCTTCTCTGTCCGTCCAAGTTGGAGCTGCAATCTAGTCCTGCTTCCCATCCGCCATGATCTCTAGTTTTTATATATAACATTAGTCAAAGGTCCAACTTCGTTCTTTTGCACATGGATATCCAGTTTTTCTAGTATCGTTTGTTAAGTGCCTTCAACAAATGATAATACTTCTGCGTTGAAAGTTTTGGCAATCTTGTCAAAAATCATTTAACCTTATGTGTGGGGTTATGTATTCCTGGGCTCTCTTTTCTGTTCCATTGAGCTATATGTCTGTGTTTATGCCAGCACCACACTGTTTTGATTCCTGTAGCTTTGTAATATATTTTGAAATCAAGAAGTGTGAGACTTTCAACTTGGGTCTTTTTCAAAATTGTTTTTGGCTATTTGGAACCCCTAGAGATTCCACAAGAATTTTAGGACAAATTTTTCTATTTCTGCAAAAGATGCCATTGTGATTTTGATAAGGATTGCATTAAGGCTGCAGATTGTTTTGTGTAGTGTTGTCATTTTAACAATATTAAGTCTTCCAGTTCATGAACATAAATATCTTTCTTTTTATTTGTGTCTTCTTTAATTTCTTTCAGCAACTTTTTATCATTTTCTTTCATTTGTTTGTTTGTTTTTTGAGATTGATCTCATTCTGTCACCCAGGCTGGAGTGCAGTGGTGCCATCATGGCTCACTGAAACCTTGACCTCCTGGGTTCAAGCAACTCTCCTGCCTCAGCCTCCTGAGTAGCTGTGATTACAGGCACATGCCACCACACCTGGCTAATTTTTGTATTTTTAGTAGAGATGGGGTTTCACCATGTTTGCCAGGCTGGTCTCGAACTCCTGACCTCAGGTGATCCACCCACCTCAGCCTCCCAAAGTGCTGGGATTACAGGTGTGAGCCACTGTGCCCAGCCAACTTTTTATCATTTTCGGTGTAGAAGTCTTTCACTCTTTGGTTAAACTAATTCCTAAGTATTTTATTATATTTGATGCTATTGTAAATGGAATTGGTTCATTTAATTTTATTTTTGAATTGTTCATTGTTAGTGTATGAAAATGCAATTAATTCTTGCATATTGATTTTGTATTCTGCGACTTTGTTGAATTTGTTTATTAGTTTTAAGACTTTTTTGTGGAACCTTCAGTGTTTTCTACATACAAGATCATGTCATCTACAAACAGAGATATTTTTATTTCTTCCTTTCCTATTTGGAGCCTTTATTTGTTTTCCTTGCCTAATTGCTCTGGATAGAGCTGGCAATACTACGCTGAACAGAAGGGGTGAAAGTGGGCATCCTTTCCTTGTTCAGGATCTTAAAGGAATTTATCAGCCTCCTACTATTGAGTATGATTCTAGCTGTGGATTTTTTATATATACCTTTATATTGTTGAGGTAGTTACCTTGAGTGTGTTTTTTTTTTTAATCATGAAAGGATGTTGACTTTTGTCAAATACTTTTTCTAAATCATTGAAATGATCCTGTGGATTTTTTTTTTCATTCTGTTAATGTGGTATATTACACTGACCAACTTTTTTTTTTTTTTTTGAGACGGAGTCTCGCTCTGTCGCCCAGGCTGGAGTGCAGTGGCGCAATCTCGGCTCACTGCAAGCTCCGCCTCCCGGGTTCACGCCATTCTCCTGCCTCAGCCTCCCAAGTAGCTGGGACTACAGGCGCCCGCCACTAGGCCCGGCTAATTTTTTGTATTTTTAGTAGAGACGGGGTTTCACCGTTTTAGCCGGGATGGTCTCGATCTCCTGACCTCGTGATCCGCCCGCCTCGGCCAACTTTTTTATTCTAATAATATATTGTATTTAGCCCAATCATATCCAAATATTATCATTTTAACATGCAATCAATATAAAAAGTGTTGAAATCATTTGCATTCTTTGTCACTCTAACTTGAGAATACCTTTATATTCACATATATTTTCTTGCTTTTTAAAAATGTCTTAAGCTCATTGGCGAAACAAAGCAAAATAAAGACAGATCCACATTGACCCATTTTTGCATATTGAACCGTCCCTGCATTCCAGGAATAAACCACATTTTGTCATGGTGTATAAACCTTTTAGTATGCCGCTGAATTTAGTTTGCCAGTATTTTGTTGAGGATTTTTACATTAAAGTTTATCATATATATTGATCTGTAGTTTTCTTTTATTGTAATGTTTTGGCTGGCCTGGTATCAGTCAACACCCAGCCTCACAGAATTAGGTAGGAAGTGTTCCCACCTCTTCAATTTTTTGGCAGAGTTTGAGAAGGATTAATGGTAGTTCTTTAAATGCTTAAGAGAATTCACCAGAGAAGGCATCAGGTCCAGGGCTTTTCTTTCTCAGGAGGTTTTTGATTACTAATTCAGTCTGTTTACTAACTACAGATCTATTCAGATTTTCTATTTCTTCATGATTCAGATTTGATAGGCTTTGTGTCTCTGATTTATCACTTCATCTAGGTTATTTAATTTGTGGGCAAACAGTTGTTCATAGTGCTCTCTTATAATCTACTTTATTTCTGCGAACCAGTTAGTAATGTCCCCACTTCCATTCCTGATTTTAGTTATTTGAGTCTTCTATCTTTTTTCTTAGCCAATCTAGCTAAATGTTTATCAATTTTGTTAACCTTTTTGAAGAGTGAACTTTTGGTTTTGTTGATCTCTATTATTTTTCTCTTCTCTATTTTATCATCTCTGCTTTAATCTTTACGATTTGTTTCATCTGCTAACTTTGGGTTTAATTTGGGTTTTTTAGTTCCTTAGTTGTAAAGTTCATTTGTTCACTTGAGATCTTTCTTCTTTTTTAATTCGTTCAAAGCTTTATTTATTTATTTATTTATTTATTTTTGAGATGGAGTCTCGTTCTGTCACCCAGGCTGGAGTACAGTAGCATGATCTCAGCTCACTGCAACCTCTGCCTCTCAGGTTCAAGCAATTCTCCTGCCTCAGTCTCCCAAGTGGCTGGGACTACAGGCATGAGCCACCATGCCCAGCTAATTTTTTGTATTTTTTTTTTAGTAGAGACAGGGTTTCACCACGTTGTCCAGGCTGGTCTCAAACTCCTCACTTCAGGTAATCCACCTGCCTTGGCCTCTGAAAGTACTAAGATTATAGGTGTGAGCCACCACCTCTGGCCTAATGTGTTCACAGCTTTAAATCACTACTTTTACTGAATCCGATAGGTTTTGGTATGTTGTGTTTTTATTTTCATTCATCTTTAAGTATTTTCTAATTTCTTTTGTGATTTATTCTTTGATCCTTTAATTGTGTAAGAGTGGCTTATTTAATTTCCACAAATTTGTGAAATTTACAGTTTTTCTTCTGTTATTGATGTGTAAATTGACCCCATCATGGTCACAGATGATAGTTTGAATATATCTGTTTCTTGAAATCCACTGAAATTTGATTTGTGGCCTGACATAAGGTCTGTCCTGGAAAATGTCCCATGTTCACTTGAGAGGAAGTTGTTCTGTTGTTGCTGAGTGGAGTGTTCTGTATATATCTGTTAGATCTAGTTGCTTTACTGTGTTGGTCAAGTCCTCTGCTTCTTTACTTATCTTCTTTCTGGCTTTTATGTCAATTGTTGAGCTTGGGTTTTGGAGTCTCCAATTATCATTGTAGGGTTAACTAAGTAATATTTGTGATTAATGTTTATAAGTAGGAGTTTGTCACAGAACAACATGGAATGAGTCAGGGATGGGGAGCAGGTTACCTTCTCAGAAGAGAAGATAACACCTACAAAGGAATTGAAGTATGGACTCATAGAGAATAGGTGTCTATGTTGTAGCAAGGTAAGTGCTCCTGAGATAAGTGAGCAGGGCTAGTCAGATGGTGAAAGGTCTCGCACGCCATGCTAAGGAGTTAGAATATCACTGTGAAGGCAGTGGATGTCCATGAGCTTACAACAATAACATGGTCAGCGTTTCATTTTAGAAGGATGATTATGATTCCAAGAGGGAGAACAAGTTGAAAAGGTGACACAGGAAACAGGTATAGGAGACAAGACCACTGCCATTATCTAGCTAAGGAAGGATATGGGCCTGGGCTAGGGTGACGATGGGGTGGAAGGTTAGGTTTTCCAGATAGGAAGTGACTGATCACCTTTAGCAGGTGCAAGACAGAGAGAAGAAACAATAATGCCTCCTACCTTAGAAATCTTAATGCAACCACAGCGAACCCCAGAAAAATAATCAAAGTGGATTTAGACAGAGCATCTCACAAGAGGAAAATTATTCCTCTCAGGTAGCCTGAGGAAGCCTCCATACTAGGCACCTGCGGAATACGCATCAATTGTGTTTGTGCTAATCCCAGGGATCTTGGAAAGCAACACGGATTACTGGTGTCCTGTTAGGTCAGAGAGGCCTCCTGTATGTCTTTCCTTCTCCTTTCTTTCCCCTCAGCCCCACCTTTCATTGTATTCCTAGGAGACAACTGCTTTCCTTCTCTCACCTTCTTCCCCCTTCCTGTGCTGCCCCAGGCTGACTGACAAGGGAGCCTTCAACCGTCATGCACATGAAGCCGAAATTTAAGTCCCTGCACAACGCTTACCCAAGCTCCTCCAAAAAACTTGTCCTTGCATGTTCGTAGTAGACAATACGCTGTTTGTTTTGGCTAACACACACACACACACACACACACACCAAAAAATGCTGATGGAACCAAGCACGCAACACTATATGACAGGTTTATTGCCCAAAGTTTTAAGGTCAGTATGAAGCTGGGCTGGAGAGGACAAGGAGAAATAAAAAAATTGGTTTTCTTTATCATTTTAGGAGAGGGCTCATTATTTGGGTATTTTTATATACCTGACATTCCCATGGTCACAACAGAGCAGTTATTAGGGGAGAAAATGCCACAAATGGAAAAATAAAATTTGTCAGTATATGGAATCATGTTGCTTGCCATGAACATCTCAAGGTAAGTTCTTTCATGCAATCTCTTATGAGTAAAACTATGTTGATTTTCTAAGTGTATTTTTTTTATCTAGTCCATTCCTATGTAGTTCAAGAAAGTGATGACTATTAGACAATAATTTGGAATCTTACTGACACTGTAGCCTGGTCAGTATTTTTTAAAGGGTTCCACTGTGACACATTGCTGAAACTTGTTAACCTGCCTGTATTTCATTTCTCTGTTGATTTTACTGACTCTGGGTTGGCTGTGAGATATTAACAAGCAAAACTTTTCCAAAAATTAGCTTATCTTATGAGACTCGAAAAGCCAGTCTATTGATGGAAAGGCCTATCAGAATTTATTAAAAGTTTAGGTTTATAGGGTTTTTTAAAGAAAGGAATATGCTTTTATTATCACTTCCAGCCTATTGCTGGAAGTAGGCTGGTAAAAAGATATTGTCTAACAGGAAGCCTCAGGGAGCCCTATCAGATACCAACAGGTGACACTCACATGTCCCCAGCACTGAGCTCATGTTACAGCATTCTCTCCTCTGGTCTTTTCAGTAACCCTGTGGTGTAGGTACTGTGATTATTGCCCCATGCAGGTAAAGAAACTGAGGCACAGACAGTTGAAGTTATACAAGTTCACACAGAAAAGACATGGAGGAGCTGGGATCCATGCTCAGTGTTGGAAAGCTGGAGTTCTGGCTTTTTAACTATTTTGCTGCACAATGCCCAGAAAGACACTAGGAGCTGCAAACTCACGTCCCTTAGGAAGGGTTCATGACATTGGTACCACAAGCCTATTTTAGGCTATACTGCCTGCTCCTTGACCCTAAGGTTTTTAAAATACAGGTGGGGGATGGGGGAGAAACGCTCCCAAAGAAAGCAACCAAGGCAATTACATGCTAAACACATAATCACATCAACTCTATGTGAATAAATCAAATCCTTGCTTCTAGGCTTTCTGTCACTGTTTTTGTCTTAAGTTCTACAATTTGTTCTCTCAATCTGCTGAGCACTGCTCTTTCTTATCGAGAAGACAAACTTCTGCCCAGTACCCAGTCAAGTGATCACAAGAAGCAGGTTAATGGCGGTCTCTGAAGAAGTGAGAGCATCTGTTTTTAGAAGTCAACCCAGAGGTATCTTGGTTGGAAAGAAAGATACAAACTGTAAAAAGAAAACTGCTGGGGTTATCAGATCCATTTAGTGTGTCACTGTCAGCTTTTTAAAAAATAAAAAAGATATAATACAAAGTGAAAATTGTTTAATGAACTTTTAATTTCAATTACGAATTGCACATTAAAATGTGTATACCGGGTTATATGGTAAAAATGTATTTTTTTGTATAACTTGTGGTCAATAACATTTGAAAGACATTGTTCTTAAAAAGCAAATCATTGCCCCCAAGTTGGGACATCTCTGGTCTTTTTATCCCAGTGGGGTTCTTCACCTTGTGAGTCTGTGTAAATCACACCAAATAGAAGATGTACGGAACACCTGCAGTAATAGGGGTCAGCGGAGCTACAGGAGGCCCCCTAGAGACTGTGATAGACTCTTTATGATGCCACCTTTTCTAATAAAGACTTGAGTCTAGAAAGTTCTGAAGGCCTGAAAGATATTTATTCGACAACAGGAATGTGGGATAAAAGGTGTCAGGCAAGTCAAGCTTTGTGAGTGCCTCTGAATCTGGTTTGCTGATGACATTCATATTATCCACACTGACGCGGCTGCCCCCGCCGATGGGCCATAACCTGGTGCACAGGAATCCGCACACTAATGTTTCTCACCATCAGCTCCCAGGTACCCCCCTAGTCAACAGCTGCTTTGGCCCGAGACTTCTCATCGGCTGAACCAATCAAAGTCCATCACAGCAGCTCCTCCGATGCTTCCTCCACCTCCACAGTATTTTTTCCCCACCAAGTTGGGTTCCTTCTTCCAAATTCTTCCCAAACTCCACATCTTCACCAAACCTTCCTTGAGCAGCCCAGCCTCATGCCAATCCCTGCCTCATCATCCTTCCATCATGTCTTTCTCATCCTCACAGCCTCCACATATCCCCACAGTCAGTGCTCATGGGATGTTTGTGCCTGTGTTTGCCCATCCAGCTGTTTGCATCTTTGTGCCTCCCCGCACCTTTCTGGGCTTGGACCACATGCCCAGGGTATGGTCAGGCCCTACCAGGGAAAGGAGCACAACTGGCATGTGTTCACAGCCCCCAAAGGCTGCACACCATTTGGCAGGTGCTCAGATGCAGCCTGGCTACTCCCAATGTGCCTGGCTACTCCCATCTGCCAAGAAGGTAGATAGATATTCTAGAGAGATATTCAGAGAGATGAAAAATCCTTGGAAGATGGAGTCTGTGCTAAGCCAGGCTGTTTTGAGAAGCTAGTGTCTGCATCACATACATTCAGACTTAAAGTTCTTCTCTAGAGGTATTCTTTGACTTAAACCACATAGCTGCTTCTATCGCCTTGACAGCTAGGCTGAACCACCCACCTTAGCAGGTGCTTCTTTGCTGGCCCGTTGCTACCACCTATTGGCTCCTGGAGGAAACAAGAATGAGCCACATGTCTGAGGATAAGTGCTTCCGAGTTCCCAAAAGGCTTCCAGGGGCTGGAAAATGATCACATGAGAAGCCACCATGTAGGGAATCGATGCCTGCAGAATGCTTTTGCCATCTTGGCTCTGTCTTCCTGCCCCTCATCAAAGTTGGCTCAGGGAGTTCAAATATAGAACCAACATTTGTTTTAAAAACATAAAGGCAGGCAAGCCCTACCCAATAAAAATTGACATAGAGAGATGAACTACCCCACATTCAGAGAAAAACTACTATTCCAGGCCCACCTTCCCAAGCACCTTGCTTCTGCAGAATTTTTATCCATGAGGCATCTGTTAGGTTACCTGCCTTTGCCAGGGCCTAAAATCCCACCCCTTAGCAAAGCAAAAACGTCATCTAGATCTTTCTAAGATGAAAGACAATCCTGTCTCTTCACATAGTATCAGCATAAGGATGGCCACTGAAGCAGAATCTCACATGATAAACTAAGCTATCCTTGGAAAACACAAGTATTTCCCAAAGTAGAATGTAGACTGTGTCACAACCCACCAAAAGTGGAAATTTTTGCATTCAAATTTCCTGGCTATGAGCTCAGACCACCGCCACTACCAAACAAAATCTGGCTAGAATGGACTGCAGGGAGTGAAGTTGATGCTGATTTTCTCAGGAAGCCAGGGTTTAAAGTTGGGCTTTTCCTGGTTCCAATTCGTTGTCTGCCATTGCTCCAGGAAGAATATAGCTCAATTGTTCCTAATTTTGAAAAACATCAGAGCTGACCATTTGCCACAAGAAGTTAATTTTCAGTGAAAAGAGAGGCAAACTCTTTTTTTTTTTTTTTTTTTTTTTTTTTTTTTGATACGGAGTCTCGCTCTGTCGCCCAGGCTGGAGTGCAGTGGTGGGATCTTGGCTCACTGCAAGCTCCGGAGAGGCAAACTCTTACAGTTATTTATTGCTGCATAAAAAACCACCTCAAAATGTAGCAGCTTGAAACAATTTATTATTAAACTAAAACAAGCTATTAAAGCTACACCATGTCAGCTGTGGCCACACCTGTGTTCATCTGGGTGGGACTAGAGCCTCCCAGACAGCTTCTGTCAGGTATCTGCACCTGCATGTGCTGCTGGGTGCCCTCTTCCTCCACATATTGACTCATCCCCCAGGGCCTCTTCCCATGGCATCACTCTACCAGGATAGCATGGATGTTCTTATAGCACAGCAGCCCACTTCCAGGAGGGCCAACACAGAAACTCCCAGATCTCTCAACCACTAGGCCTGGAATTGACACAGTGTCACTTCTGCTTCATTCTACTGATCAAAGCAAGTCACAGGCTCGCCCAGATTCAGGGAGCAGGAAACAGATTCCACCTATCAACAGGAAGAATGATAAAAGCCTATGTGGAGAGGAGGACTGTAGGCACCATCTCTAAGACAAGCTAACACAGACCTTAACAGAAGAGAGAACAAGATAGGCCTCATTATTCCACTGTCCATATGGAGGATCAAAGTCTTTATCTGCACAATGGCATTAACAATGCTACTTGGAGCATTGTTCAGATTCAAGGAGATAATGACAGTTAATGCTGGGCACATGGCACATGCTTGTGGCTCTCCAAGTGTAGCCAATTCCCATGAAACGTTGGGCTCCACCAGGAGCCTGTGAAGACAAAACCTGAGAGGAGGTGCCATTTTGGAAGCATGCAGGGTTCAAGGCTGGCTCCAAACCACACCCTGCTGTGAGTTTGCCAGGGAATGTTCATGCTTTGGTTGACTTTTCTCACCTTCGTTTTCTTCTCCGACCCATCTAAAAAGGCTCCAAATTTATTTCTTTTGAAATCAAAGATTCAGAGGAGACTAGTTTCTCACTTGCAATAAGGATGCTACCATACCGAAGGGCACCTCCAGACCAGCACACAGCAGGCCAGTGAGGCCATGCACACAGGACGTGGAGCCTGCTGGCCCTCCGACAGGCAGCTCCACTTTTATCCATTTTAAGCATTAGGGTCATTCAATATAAAATCTGGTGTGTGGTTGGAACCCCTGGTTTATTACAAAGTGCTACCTTGGCTAGCTGAATGTTAGCAGACTGGAACACCAGATAGCCAAGTTTTGATGGGGACGAGAGAGATTTATACTTTAAGAGAAGTGGGCAAAGAGAAGATGCATGATTGAGGGAAGAGGGCATGCATAAAATGAGCATCTTGGGAGGCAGCATTCAAGAGACGAAGCAGAGTATGAGTATGTAACGGATGCATACAAAAGAGCCTTAACAAAGGAGGAAATCCTGCCTTCGCAGCAACATGAAGGAACCTGGAGGACACCACGCTAAGTGAAATAAGCCAGATACAGAAGGAAAATTACTGCAAGATACCACTTTCATGAGGAATCTAAAATAATTAAACTCAGAAGCAAAGAGTAGAGTGATGGTTGCCAGGATCTGAGGGGAGGGGAAAAGAGAAAGGTATTAGTCAAAGGGCACAAGGTTTTGGTTATAAAGATGAGTAAGTCCTAAAGAGTTACTGTACATCAGAGTGTCCATAGCCAGCAATACTGTATTGTGTACTTAAAAATTCGTTAAGAGGATAGATCTTGTGTTATGTGTTCTTATCACAAAAACAAATAAATAAAAAGGGGACAAGGACAATTTGGGAGGTGATAGATATGGTTATGGCCTTGATTGTGGTGATGGTTTCACCTTGCATACTTATCTCCACACATACCAAGTTGCATGCATTAAATATGTACAACCTTGTACCCATGAAAATCAAAAATAAAAACTTTTAATAACATATATATAGATTATTGTATGTTAATCATCCCTCAATAAAGTGTTGTTTGTTTGGGTTTTTTAAGAGAGAGATGAAGCAGAGTTGGACAGTGCTGTGACCTCTGAGCCAGTCTCTGCCAGGCCTGCCACATCTCCCACCGGGAACTGTCCCTGTGCTTATTCTTGGCTTCCGGAATCACTGCATCAGGGCATTCTCCCTGGAAGTGCTGGGGAGTTACCCCTAGTGACACACTCAGCCACAGACAGGCAGGAGTGGCGGTGAATACCGCAGCTTTCCGAGCCCGCCTTCTTATCTCTGGGGGTGGAGGAAGAATCCCCTAGTTCATCCCCTTGGTCCTCACCTCTGCTACTTGTCCTCTTGACTACCGGTTTTAACCCATCCTAGCCACTCTTTCCATAGAGAGGGAGACAAAAATGAATGGAATTATGCAATGCTCTTGTAACTGTAAAGGGCAGAAGCCAAACTTATATTAGCTCAAAGAAATAGGAGATATATTGCTCACTTAACTAAAAATTCCAGCAGTCTTCTAGCTTCAGGCACCAGGAGCTCAAATGATGCCATCTCCATCTCTCAGTTCTGCTTTCTTAGGGGGGTTGTATCCTTAGAGGGCTGAGAATGATGTCTGCAGTGCCAGGATTAGTGGCCTCAGTGCAAGGAGGACTATTTTTCCTTGACGGTTCTAGTATAAGTCTAGGATGGAGTTCTCACGAATCTGGCCTGATGATGGGCCAACCCTAAATCTATCATGGTGTAGAGCAGTAAGGATGCTCTGGTTGGCCAACACCAACTTGCGTATGCACTGCAGGATTTAGGCAGCATTGGTTCCACATAAAACACATAGAGGAAAGTGATTTTCTTTTTATTATTATTATTATACTTTAAGTTCTAGCGTACATGTACACAACGTGAAGGTTTGCTACACAAGTATACATGTGCCATGTTGGTTTGCTGCACCCATCAACTCATTATTTACATTAGATATATCTCATAATGCTATCCCTCCCCCCTCCCCCCACACCTGTGTGTGATGTTCCACTCCCTGTGTCCATGTGTTCTCATTGTTCAACTCCCGCTTATGAGTGAGAACATGCGGTGTTTGGTTTTCTGTCCTTGTGATATTTTGCTGAGAATGATGGTTTCCACCTTCATCCATGTCCCTGCAAAGGACATGAACTCTTCCTTTTTTATGGTGGCATAGTATTCCATGGTGTATATGTGCCACCTTTTATTTATCCAGTCTATTATTGATGGACATTTGGGTTAGTTCCAAGTCTTTGCTATTATGAATAGTGCCACAATAAACATACCTGTGCATGTGTCTTTATAGTAGCATGATTTATATTCCTTTGGGTATATACTTAGTAATGGGATTACTCGGTCAAATGGTATTTCTAGTTCTAGATCCTTGAGGAATCCACACTGTCTTCCACAATGGTTGAACTAATTTACTCTCCCACTAACACTGTAAAAGTGTTCCTATTTCTCTACATCCCTTCTAGCATTTGTTGTTTCCTAACTTTTTAATGATCGCCATTCTAACTGGCGTGAGATGGTACTTCATTGTGGTTTTGATTTGCATTTCTCTGATGACCAGTGATGATGAGCATCTTTTCATATGCCTGTTGGCTGCATAAATGTCTTCTTTTGAGAAGTGTCTGTTCATATCCTTTGTCCACATGTTGATGGGGTTGTTTCTTTCTTATAAATTTGTTTAAGTTCTTGTAGATTCTGGATGTTAGCCCTTTGTCAGATAGATAGATTGCAAAAATTTTCTCCCATTCTGTAGGCTGCCTATTCACTCTGATAATAGTTTCTTTTGCTGTGCAGAAACTCTTTAGTTTAATTAGATCCCATTTGTCTATTTTGGCTTTTGTTTCCATTGTTTTTGGTGTTTTAGTCATGAAGTCTTTGCCTATGCCTATGTCCTGAATGGTATTGCCTAGGTTTTCTTCTAGAGTTTTTATGGTTTTAGGTCTTACATTTAAGTCTTTAGTCTATCTTTAGTTAATTTTTGTATAAGGTGTAAGGAAGGGATCCAGTTTCAGCTTTCTACATATGGCTAGCCAATTTTCCCAACACCATTTATTAAATAGGGAATCCTTTCCCCATTGCTTGTTTTTGTCAGGTTTGTCAAAGATCAGATGGTTGTAGATGTGTGGTGTTATTTCTGAGGCCTCTCTTCTGTTCCATTGGTCTATATATCTGTTTTGGTACCAGTACCATGTTGTTTTGGTTATGGTAGCCTTGTAATATTGTAATATTACAATATTAATGTAATGTATGGTAGCCTTGTAATATTGTTTGAAGTCAGGTATCGTGATGCCTCCAGCTTTGTTCTGAGGCAGCTTAGGATTGTCTCGATTATGCAGGCTCTTTTTTGGTTCCATATGAAATTTAAAGTAGTTTTTTCCAATTCTGTGAAGAAAGTCAGTGGTAGCTTGATAGGGATACCATTGAATCTATAAATTACTTTGGGCAATATGGCCATTTTCACGATATTGATTCTTCCTATCCATGAGCATGGAATGTTCTTCCATTTGTTTGTGCCTTCTTTTATTTCATTGAGCAGTGGTTTGTAGTTCTCCTTGAAGATGTCCTTCACAACACTTGTAAGTTGGATTCCTAAGTATTTTGTTCTCTTTGTAGTAATTGTGAATGGGAGTTCACTCATGATTTGGCTCTCTGTTTGTGTGTTATTTGTGTATAGAAATGCTTGTGATATTTGCACATTGATTTTGTATCCTGGGACTTTGCTGAAGTTGCTTATCAGCTTAAGGAGATTTTGGGCTGAGACGATGGGATTTTCTAAATATACAGTCATGTCATCTGCAAACAGGGACAATTTGACTTCCTCTTTTCCTAATTGAATACCCTTTATTTCTTTCTCTTGCTGATTGCCCTGGCCAGAACTGAGGAAGGTGATTTTCTAAAGGAAAGTCCAGGTACTGTCACCAGAACAAGAGGAAGATGGAGTTTGGTTGGGAAAAAACAACAGTTACCCACCTCAAGAACTAACAATGCTGAACATATATCATGGTTCTGCCACTTGCCAGGCTCTATTTATATGCTGTCATTAAATCCTCAGAGGTAGACATGATCCCCAATGCCCCCATTTTATAGAGGAGAATACTAAGGTCAAGGAGGTGAAGCCACTTGCCCAGTGCTGCACCATTAGAAGGCATGATTCGACCCGTGTCCAGATTAGAAGTTATTTGCTTTTCTTCCTGGAGCTCCTGTCTCTACATTCTGTTGGATTTGCGTATGACAAGTTGGCCCACAAGTCTAGCTTTGTAGTTT
Organism: Homo sapiens; assembly: GCF_000001405.40. Classification (NCBI taxonomy): domain Eukaryota; kingdom Metazoa; phylum Chordata; class Mammalia; order Primates; family Hominidae; genus Homo; species Homo sapiens. The sequence continues at coordinate 21,634,646 of NC_000020.11, read as the reverse complement.
GGCGATCATGCACTTCTCTGTCTGTTGGTCAAAGCTGTCATCCAAGAGAAAGTAGCCTGAGAGGCTTCACTAGAGCCTCCAGCTTCACATCCCTATTTCCCAGAATTCAAGAGGCAGATTCCTGGATCTCCTAGCTCATGACTGTGAGGACTTCCAATTCTTTTTTTTTTTTTGGTGGGGGGGGGACAGAGTCTCGCTCTGTCACCCAGGCTGGAGTGCAGTGGCGCAATCTCAGCTCACTGCAACCTCCGCCTCCTTGGTTCCAGTGATTCTCCTGCCTCAGCCTCCCAAGTCGCTGGGATTAGAGGATGCGCCACCACACCCAGCCAACTTTTGTATTTTTAGCAGAGACAGGGTTTCACCATGTTGGCCAGGCTGGTCTCAAACTCCTGACCTCAGGTGATCTGCCCACCTCGGCCTCCCAAAGCGCTGAAACTATAGGCGTAAGCCACTGCACCCAGCAGGGATTTCTAATTCTCAGCCTCATTGCAGAAGAGAAGAGAGTCATTGCTTCCTCAATTTGACCTGCAGCTCAATTTGTTTTTTACTTTTCTGGTATAATCTGGGCAACAACTCTGATACTTCATGCATGTCCTGTTGCACATATGATTGCCCTTGGCAGGCCTGTCTGTCATCCACCAATCTGAAGACACTGGGGAACAGTTCAGATCCCCTCAAGGCCCTTGCCTTCCCACTGACTATCTCCATTTTCAGAAGGGCAGCAAAGGAAGAAATTATGAGTAAGAAAGCCACCTCACGTCTTCAGCCAGGACCCAGCAAGAGCCCCTGAGAAAGGAAAGTTACTACCCAAAGCCCGAGTAGCTAGAGCAGCAGTTCTGAACCATTTTTTGAACACAGGACACTTCTGGTAAAGCCCTTGAATCCCTTCTCAAAATGCTTGTAAGCACATTAAGTAAAATACACAGGAGTACAAAGGAAACCACTTATACTGAACTACAGTTATCAAAATATCTTACAACAAATTTATGATATGCTAATATCTGTGATTATTAATTGGCACACTAAATAGCAGGATCTAGCTGTATGTCTAAACGTTAACATGATTTTGAAGTCACGATGAGTGTAAATAAAGTTTTGAAATGCCTATAAAACTGTAATGTAATATGAAAATATCTATGGTTTCTATTGATGACAGTCACAGGTACTACTAACACTGCCACGAGTTGTTGTCCACAGAATTGAAGGAAATGCTAAGCTGTGCATCACTTTCCGTGTTAATAAAGGTGCAATTATATTATTCTCTTGAATTCTACTCCCAGAATTTTGAGGGACTCTCAGCAGATCCCAGGCTAAGAACCAAGTGACATTCTAGAGTGTCTGACATTACAGCATCCATGTATGGGTGTCTACAGCCATCCTCTTGGCAGCCCTGTGAGTGTTGTCATCCCCATTCTTCAGTTCAGGAAACTAAGGCTGGAAAAGGTTAAACCATGGGAAGGCACAGCAGTGAATGGACCCGGCTCTGGAGCCCATGGCCTTCCTGTTTTCCTGCTTCTGTCTCAGCAGCCTCATCGTGGTGAAGCCAGTGTCTCATGCCTTGTCTCTAGGAAGAGGGGAGATGAAGTGGAAAGTCCACACCCCCAATGCCAGGAACAAAACAAGCAACCCTGCAGCCATTTCTGCTTCCCACTTCCCCATGAGCCGTTCTCAGAGATGGAGAGAAATGTGGCTATACATGCAAGCCCTTCAGAGGGGAAATAAATGTGTGAAAAATTCCACTTGACTAGGCCTACAGTTAAATTGTGCCACCTCATGAGGAAACCCAAGCCTCCTGGGAGTTCATGCATTTGGGGCTGGTTAATATCAGCATGAGCAGCGTCCAAGGAGCACTGCTGAGGCCCTGCACATTTAGGAGGTGAAGAACTGCCTCTTGCCTGTGCAGGACATGAGGGCTCCTGAAGGCTGGGCCTTGGGAAATGAAGCATCAGGCTCAAGTCCTGCCGTCAGCCTCCCCATAGCCATTGAATGCAGGGAAGCGTAAAACTGCAGCCTCCTGGCCAAGGCCCAGCTCAGGAAATTGCTTTTTGCCTACTGGGACTCCACATGCATTTTCACTTTGCTGGCCTCTGTGCCAGCAGCCAGTGCAGTGAACATCTGCCAGCCATCGAGTCCACCTCACTGGCACCCAGGGCCTCCTCTCATATCTCAGCGATTCCTCATGGAAGATAATCTCAGTCTGCATGGAACAGAGCAGACCTCTGGGTTGGGAAGGCCCACTGCAGAGATGAACTGGAAATAAAGACTTAACTCAGGGTGTAACAGGGGTATCTACAGTTCCTGTCAGCTCTGTTGGAGTGTTAGGCTGACAACTCAGCTACCAGCCTTACCCAGCTTAGCTGAAATCTGTTCCAGAGGTGGACTATGCCATCCAGGCTCAATTCCCCTGTGCAATAGCGTCCCCGGTGTCGAAGCAAATTGAGAGCAGATTTCATTCAGTTTGAAGCCTTTAAAGGGGCTTTGAATTTTTATTAATCTGAACCTCCTCATGAGGAAACAATCAGACAAATCCAAAATGAGGAACATTCCAAAAATAACAGCCTGGGGTTTTCAAAATTGTCAATGCCATGGGGGAAGAAAGGGCTGAGGAACTGTTCTAGAATAGAGGAGGCTAAAGAGATAAGTCAGCAAATGCAATGTGTGAACCTGGGCTGGATCCTGGAGCAAACACACAGGAAAACGGTTATTAAGGACACATACTGGGACAACTGGGGAAATTTGAATATATACCATATTAGATAACAGTGTTGTTCCAATGCAAAATTTCCTGATTTTGGTGTAGGCAAAGATCCTTGGTCTTAGAGCATCTGCAGATCAAAGGTTATGTGTGCATAACTGCATCTCAAATGGGTTCAGAAAAGATTAGAGAAAGAGAGAGAGAGAGAAAGAAAGAAAGATATAGATAGATAGATAGATAGATAGATAGATAGATAGATAGATGATAGATAACTAAGCACAAATTGAGCAAAACGTTAATAATTGGTGAATCTAGATGAGGAGTAAATTTGTATCTGTTTTACTATTTTGCAACTTTCTGTAGGTTTAAAAATTTTCAAAACAAAAATGTGGAAGGAAACTCTTTAGAAAAGGAAGAAGGAAAAATAAATTTTGTACTTCCAAATAATGTAATGTAGACGTTACCTTCCAGGGAAGGTAAGTGAGTGGAATCAGGGAGATACATACAGTTAATTTCAACAGTTTTAGTAATGTACACTTTCTCAAGGTGGATGGTGGGTTCAATGTTTATTTTAATACAATGCTTCATCAATTCAAAATGAAATATATTAGAGTCTTTCATATGTATCAATTATTATGTAGAAATACATATTTTACCAAATAATTACCTTGCAAAAATGTTTTTATTAATATTTTTCTTTTTTCTTTCTTTTCTTTTCTTTTTTTTTTTTTTTTTGGAAACAGGGTCTCACACTGTCGCCCAGACTGGAGGGCAGTGAGCCATGATCATGCAGTGGCATAATCACAGCTCACTGCAGCCTTGACCTCCGGGATCAAGGAATCCTCCCACCTCTGCCTCCCAAGTAGCTGGGACCATAGGTGCATGCCATCATACTCAGCTAATTTTTAATTTTTCTGTAGAGATTGGGGTCTCACTACATTGTCCAAGCTGCTCTCAAACTCCTGGGCTCAAGCCATCCTCCCACCTTGGCCTCCCAAAATGTTGAGATTACAGGCATGAGCCACCACACTCAGTCAATATTTCTTTATATTTTTTATTTATTTGTCCTCAGAGGTAGATCAATGAAAGTATTTTTTGAGGAGGTCCTGAAATTCCATGTGTCTGTTATTGGCCAAAAAAGCCCACCCCAGTTGGTAGAAGGATAGAAGGTCTTTATTTACAACAACAGAACTGCTAGGCTGTTGATGGCTTGTTGGTGCTTGTTGGTGCTTGTTGCCAAAGATTTCAGGACTGCCTTCTCTAGTGATCACCAGCTCCCTGCTTTGATGGTTGGTTCACTACTGGCAGGGAAGAAGAGCACTTCTTTTTGCCTTAGGGGTTTTGCCCTGACTCTTTCTTTCCCTACAGCCACCCCCACCCCAACACCACCCCCAATGCCTAAAGTTGGTTAGGGGTGGCAGGCAAGTGCTGAAACCATGGGTGGAGAGGAGGATCCCCCAGCTGTGCGATTTCTCCCAGCAACTTGATGTTAATGGAAACAAAGCCTGGGGAGCCGCCAAACACAAAACCATGTAACAATGACCACACCAAGAGTACAAACCAGACAGAGCAGCCCCTGCCTAGACCTGTCCAGTGTCTTCCCAACACACCTCAAATGAACATCAGTCTCCTTGCTGTGACCTTTAAGGCCCAGAAGGGCTCCTATAAGCCTCTGTATCCTCATCTTCTACAACATCCTCTCCCTACCTTTTGCTCACAGTGTGGCGGCTGTGTTGGTTTTCTCTGCCCCTCATATGCACACACCTCAATACCCCTTGGGGATTTTGCATTTGCTCTTCTCGTCTCCTGGGATGCCTTTCCCCACAATCCTTACATGGCTGATTCTTCTGGTTGTTCAGGTCTCAGTGCCAATATCACCTCCTCAGAAAGCCCCTTCCTGACCCCTTAGTGTGAGACAGCCCCATCTTACATGTACTCATTTATTTTTTGCATAGTATTTTTTCTATACTTGTCTGGTTTATTTATTAACTTCTTTATTTTTCATTTCCCACCAGTGGGATATAATGGCTTGTTCATTACTGAAGCCCCAGCACCCAGCCAGTGACATCCTGAGGACCTCATTCACACATCCACTCACATGTGACTTAGGCAGTTATTCTCCCTGCCACCTTCAGTTTCTTGCTCCATAGAAAAAGTCCTAACACTTACAGCACCCATATCAATGTGAAGAAGAGAATATATATCAAGGGCAGGTATCACCGTAGCTACCGTGCACCTGCTACTGGCTGGGCGCTCTATAAATGCTGGTTTCCTTCCTGCCTCTCAGGTCCTTACAAAGCAGTTTTGACCTATGCTGTACCATTTGCCCTTTGTCAAACCTTTTAGTTAAGCTGTGTTAAACCTTTTGCAGTAGCTGGGGAAGCGATTGTTACCCCTATTCCATAGACAAGGAAATGAAAACTCAGAGAGATAAAATTACACAGAATCACACAGTCAGGGATAACATGGGCTATTCTTGAATCCAGTCTTCCTGTTTCAAAATTTTGAACCCATGTTCCTTACACTCCCTCACAATACAATGTGGTTACTTAAGGACACACAAAGATAGAAATGAGAGATGATGATGATGGGAAATATTCACCAGCTTTCCAGATGGTGGGAGAGAGAGACAGGGAAGTGCGGCCTTCCTTCGCACGTGTTTGTAGAGCTTGCTCTACTTACAGCCAGACCGCCCTTTCTCAGCTGTTGTGGCCCTTGGAGTCTGATTAGGAGAATGGACTTTTGTCCCAGAGCCCTTTGGTCTAGAGCCCTTCCTGGTCTGGACCGGGGGAGATGATCCCTGACACGTCCTTAGGAGCCCACATTTCTAAAAGAGTATCCAGAACAATCTCTGCATCTCCAGACCTCAGCACCAGGGATGAGCTCAGACAGGTACCAGGTTGCTGCCAGCTGTTCCCAGGTTAGAAATGACTGACTTCCTCATTGTCATTGTTCACTGAACAAAGCTGTGTTGCCTTGGTCTACTGGCACCATTGCTTCCACGTGGGTTATCTCTAATGTTTCTCCAAGAGCTAAAGATTTGCCTCCTCTCCAAGACCAGAAAGCTTCTTTTCCCAGCCATGGGAATGGACAGGATCCCCAACTCTGGCCTCAACCATCATGCACGCCTGGGCATAACCTCTCCTTCTGATGTTACCAAAACACCAGAGTTTCGGTCTAGGTCCCATTGCTTGCAGCACAGAAAGCCAATCACTGAGATGAGTATTGCCAGGAAAGAAGGCTTTAATTCAGTGCTGCAGCTGAGGAAATGGGAAATCAATCTCAAATCCATCTCCTCAACTGACTTAAATTAGGGGTTTATATAGCAAGGAAGAAATGTAACCATGTGTGGGAAAATAGGTATTAGGGAGGGTAGGGGAGAGGAACTGGTCCACAGGAAGCAGGTGGCCGGTCAGGCAGTCATGACAGGTGTGGGGGGGTGGTCTGGCATCTCATTGTCCAGATCTAGTGATCTGATGAGTTTCAGGTCCTTGATATAATCTGGGAGGCCTGATTATTGGTTTCCTGAGGAAGAAACTCAGGTAAGACAAATGTAACTTTCTCAAGTTTTAAGATTGGGAGAGTCAATTTCTATGTTTATTTAAAAGAAACCATAAACATTAGTTACATGGGACAATTGGGCCAGTGTCAATGTAAGCAATTCCTGGCAAGCCAGAAGTAAGAGGGGAGCACAGGTGCAGGTAATTAAATGATGTGTACCGGGGACTCAGTTTTGCTGCTCTGACTCAAACACCAACTCTGTGCATAGCAAGCTCTATGGCAGTAACATCAGCTCACAATGATGCTGATGACATGTGTAACACTAGCCTTCACTCTGCACTTCAGCTGTGCCAGGAGTGATACACATATGCCCCTGTGCACACTCACCCAGATAAAATCGAGGCTAAGAGAGATTAAATGACTTTCCCAGAGTTGAAAGAACTTTTAAAACTTTTACTAGTTTCTATTTTTAGCAAAGTTACAAATACATACAGTTTAAAGAGCGTAACAATTCAAGTTTTGTTATAAAATATCATTGCCCCTACTCATCAGCCCCCTTCATGGATCTTAGCTGACTGTTTTGGCATATGCTAACCTTTCTTGAAGAATATGTTTTTATTGCTACATCTTGACTTTTATATCACCCCTCTGCACACACGCCACTTTCCCATAACCCTGGCTCTCCCAACATAATTATTTCAAAATTTGTAGTTAGAGATAAATCATCAGTGCTTGAATTATTATGAATATGTAAATACTCCTCAGATCTTATTATGATTTAATTTTTGTAGTTATTAATACTCCAAAGTTAATCATTGTTTTCTTTTGATTTGCTTAGATTTCTGTGTATTTATCGTTCACTCAATCACAAATGCTATCAATTGTCTAAATTTCTTCTTACTGCATGAGGTTTTCTATTGATTTTAATTTCCTAAGGAGGTCTCCCCAGGAGCCTTCAGAGGGGCTCTAAATTGTCCTGATTTCTCTCTATTTCTATGTCATCCACAGAGAAAATGAAAAGAATGGCATGATCAGAAGTTGAGCAGTGTACATCCTGCACAGCCAAATGCAACAGGTCTTTTCCAGAGTCTGCTGCCACTCGGTAACCTCCTGTGTTGGAACTTCTCATTCCTATACCTCTTGTCTTCCTTTTTTGGATTTACTCTGTAATTTTGATGGAACACACACCTTGAATAGCTTTTGGTGGTGGTTCAGCTGGGAGTAGAATTCTAGTTGGAGATCATTTTTCTTCACTAGTTTGAAAGCATGCTTCATTGCCTTCTAGTTGGCATTGAGAACTTCAAAGCCTTCCTAATCCTAGGTTCTTTATAAGCCTCTCTATAGATGTAGGTATAGATATAGATATAGATAGATATACGTATACCTACAGATATAGATAGATATACGTATACCTACAGATATAGATAGATATACGTATATCTACAGATATAGATATACGTATACCTACAGATATAGATAGATATACGTATATCTACAGATATAGATATACGTATAACTATAGATACAGATAGATATACGTATATCTACAGATATAGATAGATATACATATATCTATAGATATAGATAGATATACCTCTTCTTTTTGACCACAGTGATGATGTGCCTTGTCATAGGCCTATTTTCACCCATTATGATAGAAACTTGGGGGACCCCTCCAATCTGAAAACTTATGTTCTAAAAAACTTGGAAAGTTTTTTGAATTTTTTCCATTTATTATTTTATTCCATAAGTATTCTTTAATCCTATTTCTGCAACTTCTATTAATCAGATGTTGGGTCTGTTGGACTCGTTCTCTAATTTTCTTTTCTCTTCTAGTTTCCATCTATTTCTTTTTGCTCTGTTTTTTGTAAGAATACCTCAACTTTATCTGGAAACTTATTTTGAGGTTTTCTTTGCTGCTATGTTATTTTCATTTCCAAGAGTTTATTTGTATTCTCTGAACGTTTTTTATAACATCTCGTTCTCTTTTGATTATTGCAGTTTATTTTCTTATCTCCCCAAAGCAGGGGTCCCCAATCCCTGGGATGCAAACCAGGGGCCATAAGCCAGGTCCATGGTGTGTTAGGAACCAGGCTACGCAGCAGAAGGTGAGTGGCTGGTGAATGAGCATTACTGCCTGAGCTCCGCCTCCCGTCAGATCGCTGGCAGCATTAGATTTTCATAGGAGTGTGAACCCTATTGTGAGCTGCACATGCAAGGGATCTAGGTTGTGTGCTCCTTATGAGAATCTAATGCCTGATGATCTGAGGTGGAACAGTTTCATCCCAAAACCATCCCGACCCCCAACCCCCTCAATCCCCCTAGTGGAAACATTGTCTTCCATGAAACCAGTGCCTGGTGTCAGAAAGGTTGCGGGCCACTGCCGTAAAGTATTAATAGTCTGTTTCTAGAGTGTCTTCTTCCTAACTATTCTGTGCCTCTTCTGTCTGATTACTTTCACCTTTATTTTATTCTAAGTCTGTCTTTCTCAACTAGGTTCTTCTTTTGAACCACAGATCATAGAAAATTATTTGTGACTATTTTCTTAATTCCGCCCCCTCAAAGTGGTACATAATAGGATGATTCTATGTCCATCTGGAGGCCTTAGGCTTACTTTCAAGGAAATCCTGATTATTCATGAGACAGTTGTGATATGCTGAATAATGGGCTTCCCATGCCCTAATCTCCAGGACTTGTATATAACAAAAGGAACTTTTCAGATCAAGTTAAGAATCTTCAGATGAGGAGATCATCCTGCATTATCTCAGCAAGACCTAAACTTAATTACCAGGGTCCTTAAAAGAAGGAGGCAAGATCAACAGAGACAGAAGGCCATGTGACAACAGAAGCAAAAATTGGAGTGAAGGGGCCGTAAGCCAAGAAATCTAAGCACCTCCAGAAGCTGGAAAAGGCAAAGGAACATATTCCTTGGACTCTCTAGCAGGAACCAGCCTGGCCAATACCTTGCCTTGACACAGTGAAATTGATTTCAGACTTCTAGCCTCCAGACCTGCAAGAAAATAAATGTGTATTGTTTCAAGCCCCAAGTTGATGGTAATTCGTTATAGTAGTCATAGGAAATGAATCCCATTAGTAACTCTTAGTTTTCTGCTAGCATTTCAGAGTAAGGAACTAAATGCTAATTGGAAGATCAGAGTGCAAGAACCACACTCAGCATCTGCAGCTCCACTGTAGGAGACTCCAGATGGGCCATGTTTCTGGGAAACTGCTGATTTCAGTACCTTTAACTCTTTCTTCTTTGGCTGGACAGACTCCCGAGAGAACACTCTCCAGGTCTCCTGACTGGAAGGTGAAGACTGACTGCAGCATCCTGGGAGCCAGGTCAGGAAAGCGGGCCGAGGCTCGTCAGCATCCAGCTGTCCCTCATCGCACTGCTGCAGTGCACAGCCCAGGTGTCCAGAGACCATGCCTTACCCTCTCCAGCCAGTCTTTGCTAAGAGAGGTGGGCAGTGGCCTGGCTGCCCACAGTGGGGTGAAGACATAGAGATCTGAGTGCTTGCTAAACACATCCTTCTTATTTGAGTCTTTCTGCCTTACCCCCAATTTCAGAGGTACCTGCTGCCCCTAGTTCCCAAGTTTTGTGGAATTTGCAGCACACATCTGCTGTTTTATAATTTTCCCCACTACGGCCTTCTGAGCTTTGTTTTCTTTCATCAGTTACCACTCATCTGTCTGTATTCCAACTCCCAAACCATGTTGTTGTCATTTCTTCTCCCATTTTTTCCATTGTAGTCGGTTTTGCCTTTTTCAAAACAATCCATTGCTTGTTATTATTCCAGTGGGACTTTAGGAGGAGAAAAATGCAGAGACATATGTTCAATCAGCAAACTTCACCTAGGAAAGTTTTTAATTCATTTATCCATCTTATATCTCATTTGTTTTTTGGTTTTTGTTTTTTTTAATTTAGAGACAGAGTCTCACCTGTCACCTGGGCAAATACAGTGGTGTGATCACAGCCCATTGCAACCTCAAATTCCCAAGCTCAAGAGATCCTCCCACCTCAGTTTCCTAAGTAGCTGAGACTACAGGTGCACGCCACCACACCCAGCTAAGTTTTTAATTTTTTGTAGAGATGGGGTCTTGCTTTCTTGCTCAGGCTGGTTTTGAACTCATGGCCTCCAGCTATCACCCCACCTTGGCCTCTCAAAGTGCTGGGATTACAGGTGTCACCCACCACCCCCAGCCTTATGTCTCATTTCTATCTTAATAACATCTATGTAAGATGGGTGAAGACCATATTCTCATTCCCATTTCATGAAAAGTGAGCCTCAAAGAAGTCATATGCTTTATCCAAGGATAAGAAATGTGGGGCTCTGAGTCCTGGTCTGGGATTCCATGGGCCAAGAGGTGCTATCAGTCACATTCTGTCACTGTCACAGAAACCTGCAATACCCCAGAACAGACATGGGGAAGGTCAGAACATAGAGACGGAGGCAGTGAAAACAATTGAGGATGCTAAATTGTCTCAGAAGTTTCATTGAGGCCAAATTTCAGAAAGAAACAAAGAAAGAAAAGAAACAAGACACAGAGATAGGGAGGGAGGGAGGAAGGAAGAAAGGAAAAAATAAGAAAGAGAAAGGAAAGAAGGAAGGAAGGAAGAAAGGAAGGAAAAAAGGAAGGAGAAGGGAAGGGAAGGGAAAGGAAGGGAAGGGAGGGAAGGAAGGGAAGGGAGGGAAGGAAGGGAGAGAAAGAGGGAGGGAGGGAGGGAGGGAAAAGGGAAGAAGGGGGAAAAGGAAGGAAGAAAAGAAAAGAAGGAAGTAAGCAAAGAAGGAAGGAAGGAAGGAAAGAGAGAGAGAGAGTCTGGCACAAATGAGAATTCCCCATGAGAAAGCAATCCCAGGAATGTTAATAAATTTTTGAATGAAAGTCAAAGCTTGGACTTTTATTGCATGTAAAATTATCCAGTCACTCAAAAATATCTATTGAACAATTTGCCAGTTATTGAGCTATTATCTCTAAGCTCCAAACTTATCCTTTTCTACCCAGCTTTGTAATGCCAGGGCTAGAACTCTGCATCCACCATTCTGCCCAGCCAGCTGCTCCTTGGGATCCACCAAGAGTGAGTAGTAAAAGGAGACCGTGAGGCTGGGGAAGGGAAAGTGGCCCTCTTCTTCCTGTTCCTGAGTACTTCCTGCTCCTGAATACTTCCTGTTCCTGAGCACTTCATGTTTCTGATTAGCTCCTATTCCTGAATACTTCCTCTTATTGTCTGCATCACTTCCTCAATGATAACCCAGGCACTGGAAGTTCTTTCCTGTAGCAGTGACTCCATCCAGTTTGCAGTTTTTACAGTATACACAGACCCAGTTTCAATGCGGCCTCACTCAGATATCTTAGTCCCAGCTCCATGGGGCCCCTCCTCTGAGCTTCTACATTTTAATAGTTTTCTGTTCTTCCTTCTATTTCATCACCCCTAGGGGAAGTAGCTATTTCCTGCAGTTGCCACCACCATGATTTCTTAGAGTTCTCTTTTTGCCTTTCTGCGAAAGAACCCAGTTAACAATTTTTATATAAAATTATGCCTGTTAAAAGGTATGGTTTTATCTCCTGACTGATGAAAGCACTCACTATGAACCACCACTAAAGCTCTATATTAGGTAAAAATCTGGGAAGAAAGAGTCCCCGCTACATAAATGCTGACACATTGCCAAAGGATGAGAAGGTGGCTTTCCTAGATGAATCAGGCTTTGTATGTATGCTGCATTGACCAAATGTTTGGACCAGTGCAGTTTGTGGTTCCCATGGACAGTGTCCCTTAACTCCAAGAAAATGACCTCAGATATCAAGTGCCCCAGGGCTGTCTCTGATGTGCCAGGAGACAGCATGAATCTTGGACAATGGTGCTATCAATTTTCTGTAAGTCAGCCAGGATGATGGCTTTGCTCAGTAAACAGATTTCTATTTGAGCACTTTCAAAAGCCAGATTCATTCTTTCAGGCATGGTTGCTATATGTTTCTGTGCTAGGCAGGTTATTTTATAGCTGCAGAACCAACAGAACATTTCAGATCTCATCAGAGTTCCCTGGACGGCTGTAAAATGTCTTCTTTAAATGTCCTCAGGATCCACATGTGAGACTGAACCAGTTTTTCAGGTTGGGAAAGCCAGTGCTGGAAAGGAAGAGGCAGTTTCCGGCAGCCACAGTTACTCAGAGCTCAGCTCTGGCCTCTGAAAGCTATCTCCTTTTCTTCCTGGGTCAGACTTATGTGTCATTTTGTTAAGACACATTAACCCCCATGGCTGGTTTTGTCTGTGTCTCCTTCCCACCCTGTCTCCACTAGAATGAGCTTCTTGAAAACAAGGCTAGGGTCTTGTTTATTTGTCAGAAGTGCAGCCTGGTACCTACAGCCTAGCTGATACTCTTGTTTTTCTAGAGCTGGAACAAGCTGAATTGAGCATGATAATTCCTAGTGGAAGTTTTAAGCACTATGTAGGAACATGACTCCATGCTCTGATAACCACACTCTATAAATTTTTGTGGGTACATACATAGTAGGTGTATGTATTTATGGGGTACATGAGATATTTTTACATAGGTATACAATGTGTAATAATCACATCAGGGTACATGGGGTACCCATCACCTCAAGTATTTATCTTTTCTTCATGTTATAAACATTCCAGTTATAATCTTTTAGTTATTTTTAAATGTATAATCAAATTATTATTGACTAGTTACCCTGTTGTGCTACCAAATATGAGATCTTATTCATTCTATCAATTATTCAATTGACAGAACATCCTTCGTTCAATTATATTTTGGTACCCATTAACCATCCCCACTTCCTTCCCCACTACCCTACCCCCACCATCACTACTCTTCCCAGCCTCTGGCAACCATCCTTCTACTCTCTATCTCCATGAGTTCAATTGATTTAATTTTTAGCTCCTACAAATAAGTGAGAACATGTGAAGTTTGTCTTTCTGTGCCTGGCTTGTTTCACTTAGTGCAACCACCTCCAGTTCAATCCATGTTGTTGCAAATGATAGAATCTCATATTTCTATGGCTGCATAGTATTCTATTGTGTATATGTACCACATTTTCTTTATCCATTCATCTGTTTATGGACACTTGGGTTGTTTCCAAATCTTGGCTATTGTGAATAGTGCTGCAATAAACATGGGAATGCAGATATCTCTTCAATACACTGATTTCCTTTCTTTCAGGTATATACCTAGCAGTGGGATTGCTGGATCATATGGTAGTTCTATTTTCAGTTTTTTGAGGAACCTCCAAACTGTTCTCTCTAGTGGCTGTACTAATTTACATTCCCAACAACAGTGTACAAGGGTTCCCTTTTCTCCACATCTTTGCCAGCATTTGTTACTGCCTGTCATTTGGATATAAGCCATTTTAACTGGGGTGAGAGGATATCTCATTGTAGTTTTGATTTGCATTTCTCTGATGATCAATGATGCTGAGCACCTTTTCATATACCTGTTTGCCATTTGTATATTTTCTTCTGAGAAACATCTATTCCGATCTTTTGCCCATTTTTAATTGAATCACTAGAATTTTTTCCTTTTGAGTTGTTTGAACTCCTTATATATTCTGGTTATTAATCCTTTGTCAGATGGATATTTTGCAAATATTTTCTCCCATTCTGTGGCTTGTCTCTTCACTTTGTTGACTGTTTCCTTTGCTGTGCAGAAACTTTTTTTTTTTTAGACAGAATCTCACTCTGCTGCCCAGGCTGGTGTGCAGTGGAGCAATCTTGTCTCACTGAAACCTCTGTCTCCCCAGGTTCAAATGATTCTCCTGCCTCAGCCTCCTGAGTAGCTGGGATTATAGGCATGCACCACCACACCCAGCTTATTTTTGTATTTTTAGTAGAGATGGAGTTTCGCCATGTTGATCAGGCTGGTCTCGAACTCCTGACCTCAGGCGATCCACCTGCCTTGGCCTCCCAAAGTGCTGGAATTACAAGCGTGAGCCACCACGCTAGGCCAGAAGCTTTTTAACTTGATATAACCCCATTTTTCCATTTTTGCTTTAGTTGCATGTACTTTTAGAGTATTACTCAGGAAATTTTTGCCCAGACCAATGTCCTGGGGAACTTCCCCAATGTTTTTTTGTTTTTGTTTTTGTTTTTGTTTTTAGTAGTTTCGTAGATTGAGGTTTTACATTTGTCTTTAATCCATTTTGGTTTGATTTTTGTGGGTAGAAAGTGACAGGGGTCTAGTCTCATTCTTCTGCACATGGATAGCCAGTTTTCCCAGCACCATTTATTGAAGAGACTGTTCTTTACCCAGTGTATGTTCTTGGCACCTTTGTCGAAAATGAGTTCACTGACCATGTCTGGATTTATTTCTGGGTTCTCTATTCTGTTCCATTAGTCTATGTGTCTGTTTTTATACCAGTACCATGCTGTTTTGGTTACTATAGCCCTGTAGTACAATTTCAAGTCAGGTAATGTGATTCCTCCAGGATTGTTTTTTCGCTCAGGACAACTTTGGCTATTTTGGTCTTTTGTGGTTCCACATATTATTTTAGGATTATTTTTTTCTGCTTCTCTAAAGAATGTCATTGGTGTTTTGATAGGGATTTCACTGAATGTATACATTGCTTTGGATAGTGTACGCTACAACCTGTAATTGGTTTTGCCCTTTCCACTTCTGCCTCCCCTCCTTTTAATCAAAAGAGGGAGAGAGAATGGGCTGGACATTCTTTCCCATCCATGTCCTCAATGAAATGAAAAAGCCTACAGAAAGAGCTGAGGATAGGAGTACAAGGGCCGCCAGTGATCCCAGAAATAGATAGAGGCAGCCCAAGATGAAAGACACCTTCAGGCAAGAACACACTTCTCTATCCGCTTCTCTCTCTGTTTAAAATTGAGCCCTTCTGACTTTCCTAATAATAAAAATGCAAAATTTTAAAGATCATAAATCATCTTTTTCATCTATGAGATTTGATAGTTACTTATTAGCATTATTAACAGTAATAGGTATTAATAGTATTATTAACAGCCAATATATATTGAGATTGACTTTTAAAATTCACCTATAACATTTACAAAGATAAAAAAAATGGGGGGCACTAAACATATTTTAGAATGGGTTAAAAAATAAAAAACCTGGCAATACCAAGCACTGGCAAGGACGCAGAGCAACTGGAACTCTCAGAAATTGCTGGTGGAAACGCAGACTGGCTTGGCTGCTCTGGAAGAGGCTTGACAGCTTTTAAAAAGTGAAACATACACTTACTGTGTGACTCAGCAATCCCACTCCGAGGCACCTACCCAAGAGAAATGAAAACTTACGTTCATGCAAGAAAACCCTATACATAAATGTTTATGCAGCTCTATTCTTAATCAACAAAAACTGGACACAACCCATTTGTCTTAATGGGTAAATGGATAAGCAAACCGTGGTTCATCCACATGATGGAATATCTACCACTCAGCAATAAAAAGGAACGAATTATTGATGCATGCAACAGCTGAATCTCAAAGGCATTATGCTAAGTGAAAGTAGAAGCCAGACTCAAAAGGCTGCATATTGTGCGATCTCATTCTTGTAACATTCTAGAAGAGGTAAAACTATGAAGACAGAGATAAGGTCAGCAGCTGTCAGGGATGAAGGATGTGTTTGACCACAAACAGGAAGCACAAAGTAGCTTCTGGGCATGAAACTGTATATTTTCTCCCCAGTTTTACTGAGGTATAGCTGACAATTAAAAATTGTATATATTTAAGGTGTGTAACTTGATGATTTGGAGTTGTTCTGTATCTCAATTACAGTGGTGGCTTCACAAACCTATACCTATATTAAGATTCCTACAACTACACAAAAAACGCCAACTTTATTTTATATAAATTTTAAAACTAATAATAATAAGAGAGATTAAATATTAATAAATATATAAACAAAGATGGGAGGGCTCCTGGAGAAATGGCTGATGCCAGGCCTGAGGCAAGGAAAATGCAAGATGAGCCTGGAGCATCTCGTGCCAGAGAGCAGAGAGGGGCTCAGAGGACACAGGTCCAGCTTGAAGGGGCTGCCACTTGCCAAATTTGGGATGATCTGGCTGTCAAAATGGATAGTTACAGAAATACACTGGATAGAGAAAGAAGCCTTGAGTACAATCTGATACTAAAAAAGTTGAGGGATAGGATAAGAAGTTTTTCTTTATAGAAGAGTGATAACTTTTTTTAAAAGTAGAAAGAATGGGAAATGAAAGAGCACTTTATAGCCGGCAAAACAGCAACTGATCCAGGCAAGAATGATCAATAGATACTAAAATCACTGGGTAAGAGATTGCTGGGAAGCACGATATTCTGTCTCAAAGTATCACCCAGTAGGTCACTTAATAATCACAAAAGATCAGGGTACATTTCCAATGGAGAAATATAGCAGACACTCACTTAACTGAGTGATCAAAGTTAATGTCACAAATTGTGGACAAATTGACATCTTGTTGTTCCTCCTGATATGACGCCCTGAGAAGGAAGCAACAGCATCTATATAATATGCCTGCCAACAATATTTATGCTAAATCTAATCCTGAGGCTCAATCAGGTAAATCCAGGTCTAAGTACACTCTATAAAACTCTTCAAAATGCCAATGTCATGAGAGACCACAAAAAGACTGGAGATCTGTTCTGGATTCAAGAGACATGACTGCGAAACTCAATATGTGACCCTTGATTCCATTCTGGATCAAGACAAAAATCTGTTAAGTACAGACAGTCCCCAACTTACAATTGTTCAACTTACAATTCTTCAGTTTTACAATGGTGCAAAAGTGATAGGCATTCAGTGGAAACCGTATTGTGAGAACCCATAAAACCATTCTGTTTTTCACTTTCAGTACAGTATTCCATACATTACATGTGATATCTAACACTTTATTATAAAATAGGCTTTGTGTTGGATAATTTTTTCCAACCGTAGGCTAATGTAAGTGTTCTGAGCACATTTAATGTAGGCAAAATTGTTATAATATTCAGCAGATTTAGTGTATTAAATGCATTTTTACTTACATTTTTTCAACTTATTATGGGTTTATGGGATGTAATCTCATTTTAAGTCAAGAAGTGTGTTTATTCAATGACTTGATATAGATTCTGTATTAGAAAACTGTATTTTAGCAATGTATTTTAGCAATTCCCAAGTGTACCAATTATATTATGCTTAGGTAAGGGTGTGTCTTTGTTCTTAAGAGACACACACCAAAGCATTTAGGCATCAAGTGTTATGATGTCTATAGATAATTCCAAAGTGTGATAAAAACTAATAGAGAGCAGATGTGGCAAAAGGTTAACACCGGGTGGATCTACATTTGGTGAAGCACTTACAAGCACACATTGCACTTGTTCGTACAATTTTTTTCAAAGGCTGTTTTTTTTTTCCTAAAGAAAAATAAAGGAGAGAAAAAACTGATGAGGAAGCCTAGTATTGACAAGGTCGTGGGGCACTGGAAATTCTCCTGCGCAGCTGTTGGGAGTGTGAGCTGGCACATGCTGCCTGGAGGGAAGTCGGGCACATAGTAAAGCATAAATCGAGCATACACTTTGACCCACAAACTCCACAGCCCACCGCTTTCAGGTTAACTTAGAGAGAACTCACTAACGTGCAAAGATGTATATGCCCTAAAGTTTCACTGCAATCTTATTTTTTATACCAGAAAAGTAGGAAATGGCTTAATGTCCATCACTGGAAAACTGGTAAGTAAATTATGTTCATTTCTAGCCTACTAGTCAAGATCCTGGGCTCTGAGGTCAGATACCCTGGCAGTGCTGATCAATTTTCTTGTGCCACAGCCTGTTCATCTGCTTAATGGGCATAATACAAACTCCCGTTCTGTAGAGTCATTATGAGATTATGCAAGACCATGTATGTGCCTGGCATATAGCAGGTATGAAATCAGTATTATATACCATTAGCTTTATGTAATTGATAAAAAACGATGAGGCCTACCTTTATTTATGGACCTGGAAAGACGCTTCTGTCATAGTGTTGAATGAAAAAGTAGGTTATGGGATAGAGGAGTACAAGGTCTGATTGCACTTGTGTAAAAGTACATTTTTAATTCCCGTTTGAATATATTCGTAGCAAGATGTCTGGAAGATTGGCCACCTAAGCGTTAATAATGGGTCCCTAAGGTGAGGACGCTTCCAGTCTTTTATTTCCTTCTTTGTACATTTCTATATCCTTCCTTTTTTTCTTTTTTTCTTACAACACATGTAACAGTTTTACAATCAGATTCTATTTAATTGTAAAAATATTAATAAATCAGATCCATGGATCTTGCCTGCTCAGACCTGACTTTGTCTGAAGGGTTGACCAGATGCCCTGCTGATTGAGACCCCAGAGGCTACTTGCCTACCTTTGGTACAAGTCACTGTCCCTTCTCTCAGCCTGAGTGTTCTCTCTGCCAGGCACGCCGGAGGCATTTACGTGTTCAGCTCTTTGTTCTCTCCATGGGATTATGTTTTCCCCACATTTCTACCTCATTTTCACGCAGCCTGCAGCGTGTGTGTGAAGCATGTGTTTGGCTCAAGGGATGACAACACACCTGCAGAGGATTCACTGAAGCCTACCTTGGGGGGCACTCAGCTCTTTTCTGGGTGTTTTCTAAGGGCATCCACACTGTCCGGCAGAAATCCAGTTTGCAGCACCGTTTCCTCCCCAAGCCTGGTTTTCTGCAGCCTGGTCCCTCACCAAGGTGCCAGGATTGAGCTGACCACGAGATGGCAGTCTTTCCTTGCATCAGGCTGGCCGAAGCCTGCATCCCCAGACCTGTGTGCTTCTGAATCCAGCTTCTGTGCTGCCCGAAGCAATTTCAGCAAAGAGATTATTGACTAAAGAGACCTTCACTAAAGAAGAAAACAGTAGGATTAAATATTCGGAAACAGAAGAACTCGAAGAAGAAAATACAATTTCCCAACGTCACATGCTCACCCATCCTTCTCCTCTTCAACAAAAGTCACAACAGTTGTGTGTCCATTTGCAGTCTGGGGTAGAATTAGAATTGCCAAGCATCCCAGTGAGGTCTGAATCCACATTCCTTTATTTCTTTGTGCCACTCAAAGCCAGATATTGATGTCTGAAAACAAGATACATAAGCTTCATTATTTAAGTGTCTCTTCCTTAAACAAGACCGCTTTAATACTTAACAAGGTAGGGAAGCTACATAATTTAAAATCTATGCGACAAGAAATAAGAAATTATTTGTAGCGGGCTCCACTTTTACACCCACCAACAAAGAAAGACATTCACAATTTTTTGCCTTCCCAGGGCCCCAAAATACAACACAGGCCTGTTCTCCTGCTCCGGGCAGAAGCCGCAGCTGAAACTGTTCTTTATCAGCTTTTCTTTCTCAATATTTACCAACCAATAAATCTTTTTTCCCCTAAGACAACTGACATTCGAATCCTGTTCATGTGGAGGCTTGTTATCCAAATAATATTAAATAAACTGCTTCATTTTCTACTGAAAAAGTATGAAGATGGTTTTTGTTTTCTTTGCTGGTCAATATTGCAGAAGAGAGGGGCTGCTCTCATCCATGGGAAGGACAGCTGCCTGCCTGCAATGAGCACATCTCAATCTCCGAGCCTCCTGCAGAGGTGCCTCCTCTCTGTCCTGTCCTGGAGCCATGAAAGCTCATCTTCAGGCTCCCACAGTCCCTGCTCTGTGGCACCAGCAGGGTCGAGCCTGTCTGTACCATTGTCACGGTCATAACTGAGGACCCCATAGAATGTTGCCGGAGCTGCAGGAGTATTTTGCCCATTTTCCAAAGTGGAATAAGTCAGTCTTTTGAGAAAAATTACAATTCTGTTGTTCCACAAGCCAATTCCAGCTTCCTTTTTTTTTTAGACAAGGTCTCACTCCATCGCCCAGACTGGAGTGCAGTTGCGTGGTCATGTCTCACTATAGTCCCACGTGATCTTCCCACCTCAGCCTCTCAGGTAGCTTGGGATTACAGGTGCACACCTCCACACCCAGCTAATTTTTTATATTTTTGGTAGAGATGGAGTTTCACCATGTTGCCCAGGCTGGTCTTGAACTCCCGGGCTCAAGCAATCCTCCTGCCTCAACCTCTCGAAGTGCTGGGATTCCAAGCATAAGCCAGGGCGCCCAGCTCAGCTCCCGCTCTTTCCTCTGTCAGAGGAGTGTGTAGTGCCAATGGTCACAGAGCTGGCCAGAGGGGTCAGGAGGGAGGACGTCTGGGCTAGCTCTTCTGCTAACTTCCTGGGAGGATCAGCAATGAGACTTGCGTCTCTGGGCCTCAGTTTCTCCATTCATACAAGGAAATGTTGGACCTGACTTTCTTTTAAACCTTCCCATGTTGCTACTTATCAAGGATCTGAAATAAAGGAGGAGGCTTTGGAGCTGGCTTGGTCTTAGTGGAAATTAAACATCTGAGTCCCTAAAGAAACTTCTAGGGAAGAAAAAAAAGCTTTTGAAGATTAATAGTAGCAGATAATATTTACTTGGAGATGTCTCTGTCCTAGGTACCATTCTAAATTTTGGTCATATGATTTAATTTAACTCCCATAACACCCCCATATTTTTGTACCCACTTGACACTCAAGGGAGCTGAAGCACTGAGGGGTGCCTGACTTCCCCAGGGATCGCATCGCTTGGAAAGATTGGAAAAATGGGAAGCCAGGTGGCTTGGCTCCAGGGTTCATTCTCTTAACTTCCTAACCCCACAGCTGGCAGCAAGCCCAGGAAACCTCTGAGGGCTGCCGCAGCCAGGGTGGGTTGTGGGGTGGAGCTGGAGCTAGAGGCTCTGGCAGTTGGAGTCATGGGCCCTGGCCTTGAGCACTGCTCTGTGAGTGCTCTTGTCTCTTTCTCTCGTCTTTATTTGGCCTTTACTCAGATAGACGTTGCCGGGGTGATAGTCATGCTCATCAGTATACCCAGATTTCTGACATGATTTTATTACTACATAAATAAGACATGAGTAATGTTTCCTCATTAAAAAAAAAACTCCAAGAATTACAAGTAAGACTAAAAATCCCCTTTGAGCACCACTGCTCTCGGTTTCCTCCTCTCCTACTACAGGAGATATTGTCATCGTTTTGGATGTTGCACTACAAATTATTTTCTATGAGGTATGTACCCTTAGAAAACCTGTGGTCACGCTTTGTAGTTTATGAGGTTCTGTTTCCTTCAGCAATGCTATCGTGCTGCGTGTATTATTTGGAAATCGCTTTCCTCGGTCAACAGTGCATCTTGAGACACTTCCATGTTCCCACTTACAGATATGTCTTGTGAGCATCCCATTGTATGAATGAATCTGAGTTTATCTGTCCATCCCCGTTTTGATGGCCATTTAGGGCATTTCTAAATTCGTATTTTTCCAGAAATTGCCATAATGTATTTCCTTTCACATACTGCCTCATGCATGTGTACAAATATTCCTTTGGTCTAAATGATGAAAGTGAAATTGCTGGGTATCATCATATTTTATTAAACTGACATAAATATCATATGAGATTTTTATAAAGGCTCCCCCCAAAAATGTTGGGATTTGAAACTCTTTATTAACCTCAAATTGCTATAAGTGGTAACAAAACATCAGTAAGATTTGAGGGCCATGAGATGCAATAATGGTGAGAGAGGAGTGGGTGATGCCTGTGAATTGTAAGGCTATGCTTTTCCCTTCCACGCAAGAAAGCACAGCAGAATGAAAGAGGGGTGAAAATGACGTGAATCATGAAAACTCTTAAATGCATTAGAATTGGAATTTTTTAAGTAACATACTTGCAAACATGGCTGAGATCTGCTGTGATTTACCTGCAGGATCCGTCCTTCTGCACAACCCATGCTGTCAACCAGGAGCTATTCTGTCCCCACCGACTCAACGAGG
This sequence comes from Homo sapiens, assembly GCF_000001405.40. Classification (NCBI taxonomy): domain Eukaryota; kingdom Metazoa; phylum Chordata; class Mammalia; order Primates; family Hominidae; genus Homo; species Homo sapiens. Next base: position 21,612,610 of record NC_000020.11, on the reverse strand, counting down.
CAGCAACCAGTTCTGTACATGAAGATTCCAAGGGATCCCAAATGGCACGTGTTAGAACAGACACTATCCAAGAAGGAAAGGACATATCTGTCAACCATGCTACAAGTGTCATGCCACCATGGAAGTTGATTGCTAGATACTGAGCTGGCATACACCACACACACACACACACACACACACACACACACACACACACGCTGAAGCATCCTCAGAATTCCTGCAACTCCAAGGTTCAAACGTCCAAGAAGAATACTGTGGGGTGAGGACTGTGTGCTTGGCCAGGCTCTTTGGAGCCTACTTGGTGTCTCTGAAGGACTGGAAATAGAATTTGCTTTCAGTTAAAGGAGCCCTAATACCAGTCTCTGCCAGAATGCCAGAAGTTACAAATCCTCATGCCCTGTCCACCCTCTCTCCAGTGGAGACTCTTTGTGTGTGTGTGTGTGTGTGTGTGTGTGTGTGTGTGTTTTCCTGTTCAGTGTTTTTTCTTTTTCTTTTTTTTATTATACTTTAAGTTTTAGGGTATGTGTGCACAATGTGCAGGTTAGTTACATATGTATACATGTGCCATGTTGGTGTGCTGCACCCATTAACTCGTCATTTAACATTAGGTATATCTCCTAATGCTATCCCTCCCCCATCCCCCTACCCCACAACAGGCCCCAGTGTGTGATATTCCCCTTCCTGTGTCCATGTGTTCTCATTGTTCAATTCCCACCTATGAGTGAGAACATGCAGTGTCCGGTTTTTTGTCCTTGCGATAGTTTGCTGAGAATGATGGTTTCCAGCTTCATCCATGTCCCTACAAAGGACATGAACTCATCATTTTTTATGGCTGCATAGTATTCCATGGTGTATATGTGCCACATTTTCTTAATCTGATCTTAAGATCAACCTCAGGCTAAAAAACAAAGAGTGAACAAAGTCAGTCTGTATGGAACCCTAACATTCTCTGTCTTGGCGCTTCCCCTGCTGAAGACAGCCCACTTCTCTTACTTCTTACACCTGGGTCCCACATATTTTACGGCTTTTTCCTTCGCACCTTTCCCATTCCAACTCTGCCTTCCTGAAAATAGCTTCTGTTTGCTCTCTAGACCTGTGCTAGTCAGTGAGTGGTCCTGGGCACCTGAGCTTGTGCACTGAAGATTTGTGCTGATCTGCAGTGAGATGGGTGGAGATTTGGAGGGCAACCACTTAGAGACTTTGATACCAATTAAGCAGGGTAACTTTAGGTCTGTTAAATCTAATAATAATTTTAGGCTTGAATTTTAGTGTATATTTTTATTTCATTTTCTTAGTAATTCATTGTCATTGCATTGTATTTTTATTTTTATTGTTTTAGAGACAGAGTCACTCTGTAGCCCATGCTGAAGTGCAGGGTTGCCATCACAGCTCACTGCAGCCTCAAACTCCTGGGCTCAAGTGATCCTCCCTCCTTGGCCTCCAAAGCACTGGGATTACAGGAGTAAGCCACCACACCCAGCCTGTTATTGTATTTTATGAAAATGCTCACCTATGGTGGATTGAAAATGCACTTAAACATCTATTTTTAAGTCAAGATGTCCTCTCTCTGTCTCTTAACTTTCCATGACTTGACTAGCAGGCACATTCAAGGTACTTCATGCATCATGAAGCAGATGGAACAGGCGGCTCTCCATTCTAGAGATCCCTGGCTGTAAGGGTCTGTCCCTTTGCTAGTGTGGGAGGTCAGCCTGCCTTGCAGAATGAACCATACGGATTCAAAGACTAATCCCAAATATGCCAGGATTGTCACTTTCATTTCATTAGACTTTCTAAGCCCAATGTAAGTGTTGTTTATGCTGAATGGTTGTGTTCCCTACACCTGGTAGAAAAGAAGCCAAGTTCATGAAAAGGCAGGACAGCAGGTGGTTTGTATGATCGTGTGTTTAGATAAAGCCACCTGCTTGTAAAGAGGCACCTTGGATCTTTTGGGCTTTTCCTCTCCAGTGTTCCAGGAGGAGTGCAATTTTTTAAAAGTCCACATGTGAAGACTTTGCCTTTTGAATAAGACCTCCAAGAGTAACCAAGATTTTGCAAGGTTTGTCTCAGCCCTTAAGGGCAAACATGACCAAACATTTGCTTGAACTGATGCTCCAGTTGTCTGTTGCTGGGTACCAAACCTCCACAAAACTTGGTGGCTTAAGCCCACAGCAAGTTTGTTTGGTTCCTGAAGATGCCATTTGCACAAGGCTCTGTAGGAAGAGTGCATCTCTGCTCTACTAGGCATCAGCTGGGCAGCCCAAAGACTGGAATGGAGTCATCAGAAAGCCCCTCACTCATGGCTGGTGCCGGCCCTGGGGAGATGCTAACAGCTGGGGCTGGACAAGCAGGGGGTCCTCCCTGACCCCAGCATCTCTCTCTGTCCTTATGTGGTCTCTCCACATGGTCTCTCCAGCCCAGCAGCTTCAGGGCAGTTGGACTTCCCATGTGTGCCAGGCTCCCAAGGCACTTGACCCAAAGAGAGAACCATGAGGAAACCCTACCACCTTCCATGACATAGCCCCAAGGTCACACATTCTATTCACCAAGGTAGTCAACAAAGCCATACCCTTGCAACAAAGTGCAAGGGGAGGGAAACAGACACTACCTCTTGGTGCAGATGAGGCAAGGTTCTGGAAGAGCATGTGGAACAAAAATACTGATGCAACTGCCTTTGAAAAATACAGTCGATCACCACAGATACACAGCTACAGAAGAAAAACGTGCAAAGAGTTCACTGACAGTGTCGAGCAAGGCTAGGTGTGAAGGTGCTCGAGGGGCAGTCAGCTCTGCTTCTCCAGCTTTGATGCCTGCGGTGGCCCAGATGTAGCTGAGAATCCCCCAACCCACTGTGGTCATGGCAGGCACTTGAAGCCACCTCTTCAAAGAAGAATGAATTGATGGGACCCTTTGCTCTTTCCCACACATTCCACATGCATGTCTGGAGTCAGAGTCATTGCCTGTGGCTCTGACACCAAGCCCAGCTAAATGAGTGGTCTGCCCTGATCTGGCGGGGCCATCCAAATCAAGAGCCCCTGCCTCCATGCAGCCCTCCTTGATCCTTCTCCTCTGGCAGGATGCAACATTCCATCTTTTGTGCCACAGCTGGACCCTCCCATAAGCTCTCTACCCGAGTGTGTTAGCATGTCAGTGCCCTGAGTCATTGGCTTGTGTTCCCCGAATAGCCCATAAGTCTCTCAAGGCCTGAGGCCACATCAGCTGTTTGTCATATGCCTCACTGTGCCTGGCACAGTGACTAGCACACACAGGCCAAGGACTTTTGACTGCTGTATAACAAGAAAAGAACAGGCAAAATCCCAGAGATTTCAAGCTGTTTGTTTTGTTTTCATAAAGAGAAGTTGAAATTTTATTTGGTTTATATTTGTTTCATTGGGAAACCCACTCATATACACACACTTATATGTATCCTTGATGTGGTGAACATGCATTTGTATGTGAGTGTGTATGTCTGTGTGTAAATGTGTGTATGTATATGTGCATATTTTGGGTAAGAATAAGTCTGTGACTGTGTGTATAAGTGTACAAAAAGTGTGTAAGTCTGTATATAAATGTGTTTGTGTGGGTGTGGAAATATTTTTGTGTCTGAGTGTGCATGTGTTTGTGTGTGTCTGCATTGGTTGTTCATGTGTGTTTGTGTGTAAATGTATGTCTGTATGTCTCTGTGCATATGTATTTATGTTTTTGTCTATGAGTACATATATGAATGCATGAATATATGTATGCTTGCATGTGTGTCTACACATGTGCATGTGTATTTGTGTGTGTGTGTGTGTGTATGTGTGTTTGTCTGAGAGCATGCACAAAATCACCCATCCAAGAGGCTGGCAGTGGGTCTCTAGGCCTGGGCCAGGAGGCATCCTGCCTTCATTGGTAATTCCTCCAGCGTCCCAGGAAAGCCATCTTCACTTCCTCTCCGGGACGAGGAGCTAAGCAGAGGTCAAGTGACTTGCCCCAGACCCCACAGCAAGTCGGTGGCGGCTCTGCGAGGGTCTGATTGCCAGGCTCACGCCCCTCTGCAGGCCGAGCTGCCTCGCTGTGGCATGTTGGCACCCGGCCCAGGCCGCGCCGCCCGGCTCTGAGAGCTCCCATTGTGGCCGAGAAGTGGCCGAGTGCCATGGCCTGGCATCCGCAGGTGACGGCAGAGGGAGGAGTGACTCCCGAGGCGACAGGAAAAGGGCACCCCTCATTTTGTGTGGCTAAAGGGTTGGAAATAACAGACGTGTAAAAAGGGGAGGGGGAGAGAGGAAACCAAAGCTAATGAGGAATAATGAAGACGTGGAGAGGGACACACACGGAGAACGGTGGGAGCCGTGGGCAACGCGAGAACCCCGCACTCACACAGCAACAGGAAGCAGAGCCAGCCGGAGGCCGCCGGCTCAGGAAACGTTTTGTTTCCTCCTTTAATTGGTGACCCCGCTCAGAGTTGCTGGAAATGGGCACAGCCCGAGAGACTCGAGTGTGGCTGTGGCAAACAATGGGCTGCTGAATGGCCTGGAAAGGCAGCCAAGAGTGGGCGCAGTCCCAGCGCCAGTGGATCTTAGAGTGGCTCTGCTGGGCACAGAAGGAGGGCTCTGAAACTCTCCCGAATTGTGCTCCCAGCTGGGCTCTCCTGGAAACCCACCTGCACAGAGGTGCCCGTGAATGGGAGAGCTCTCCATGAGAGATGCCCAAACGCCACTGGAAATAGAATCACATGAAGAAAACTGCACTCACCGGAGCATGTCTCATCTAGTGTGGCCAAAGGAGATTTTTTATAATAAGCTTCTAGGGGTAGGGAATCAGAGTTCCCAGGAGTCAAGCTTAGGTAACTACAGGTGGTCAGTGAACTTCTACCTAGAGCGGATGGTGCTGGCTAAGAACTGGCTTTTGTTTTGTGGGCTGGGGCCTGTGAGTTAGGGACTAGGCACAGTCACCTGGGATGGCCAAGAACCTGTCAAGCCACCACCAGCTGCTGCTGTCCAGCACCCCTCCCAGACACCTCTCCTCAAATGAACAAATATTGAAACATCTGTTGAAAGGAACACCAAATTATTCCCCATACCTGGGCTTGGCCAAAAGCAAGACTTGTTCTAATACCAGGAAAATTAACCCAAAGTAGAAATCTTAAAAAAGGGACAAATTGTAGATAGAGACAGGGCATACTATTTGTCTTCCTCTTCTCCTAAGACACCTTGAACATGGAGGAATCAAGGAATAAAAATCTCTTAAGATCAAAGGATAACAGTAAGGAAACCAACAAGCAAAAGATGAGAGGTTTCTAAAAAACAATGCTAGGGCCTGCGTGGCCGGAGTGTATTGATGAACAAGGCTGTGTGAGGGAAACGGTGGCTCAGAAGGCACAGGAGGGGACAGCAGGGAAAGGGCCACCCTGCCAGCAGGACACAGGCTCCTCAGCCAGCAGACCAGGGCTGAGCAATTGAGGAAAAAGGACTGCAAAAGAGGAGAGGAATTAAAAACGTACTCCCAACCCACTGCACCATTCATTTCTTACACCCTGCCCTACTTTTCCTCCAACTCTGAGCACAAAGAGGGCAGGCTGCCCACCCAGCTTGTACCTCTGGCTCCTGGGGAAGAGAAAGACAACAGCGACGACAAAGCTTTCTTTTCTAAATTGAACACGCTTTCTAGGAGTTAGGATCCAGGACTCCTAGAGTGTGTAAAAGCACCCATGGCCATGCCCTCCTCATTCTGGCATTTGGGGGTCCCCAGGCCCAAAACCTCCTTGCCTGCCTCTTCTCTCTAATGTGAAGCCTATCAGTCAGTTAGCCCTGCCCTCATGCAGGCGCCTCACCCAAGCCACACAGCTTACAGCAGCAAAAGTGCACACCAAGTTACCTAGAAAAATGGATCCATGTCTTCCTTCTTAAAAATGAACACCGAAACAGATCACCAAGAATATGGAGAATACTAACTACTACACAAAGCAGAAGCACCAAACAAACAAAACTAAACAACGCCAGAGGAAACAAACACAATTCAGGCAACCAAAGAAGAAATTAAGAAAAAAAAAACTCTAATTAATGACCTCAGAAGGATTTGAGATTATATCACATCTACAAAACAAGAATGAAATGCTCTAAAAAAATGAACAAAAAATAAGAAAGAGCTCTTGGAAATTAAAAATATGTTTTCTGGTTTTGAAAATCAGATGGAAATGTTGAGAAATAATGTCAAGGTAATTTTCTGGAATCCAGAGTAAATACACAATGGCCAAAATCATAATAGAGAAGATACAATGCATAGAGAGTCAATTCAGGAAAATGATCTGAGCATTAGCAGTTTCAGATGAAATGCCGGGGCACGGGGGTAGTGGAGAGGGGATTATCAAAGACATGCAATGACAGAAGAAAGGCTGCCAGAGAATTTAATCTGAATCTTCATCTTTAAATGGCCCACAGCATGCCAGCAAAATGAGTGAAAAAGGATTCAGAACTGTGTACATACTTATGAAATATCAGAATCCCAAGGATATAACGAAAATATAAAATGCTTAAAGACAGAAAACTTAGATCATATACAAAGGATTGAGGATCATACTAACATCAACAATACTGGGTGTTATTAGCCAATGCAGAAAAGTATTGAAGTTTCTATCAGAAAATTAATTTACAATAATTTTATACTCAAATTAATGTATGTGAGAATTTTATACCCAACCAAACTATTATTAAATCTGAGATAAAATAAGCATATTTTTAATAATTCAAGGACTCAGAAGGTAAATTTCCCAATATCTTTTTCACAGAAATTACTTAAGGCTGTGCCACAACAAAAGAAGAATAAAAATTAATAGACTGAAAGAGTCATATACAAAAAAACAGTAGAATGAGCCCTAAAGTGCAACTAAAAGAAATGCAAGGGTGAGAGTTGTAAAGTAGGTCTATAAAGCAAAACTTCAAATCAGAACAGAAAATAAGTAGGCTCCACAAAGAATATATTCATGAAAGACTGGGATGAAACCAACTGATAGAATCAGTAAGAAGTTTAAAAATAGCTGTGATGTGGTGACATATCTCTACAAGAAAAAAATATATAGTAGTTTTCCCTAATTCTCAATGAATATGTTCCAAGAACCCCAGTGGATACCTGAATCCACAGATGGTACTAAACCTTATGTATACTGTTTCTTCTATACAGACCTACAATAAAGCTTAACTTATAAATTAGGGACAGTAAGAGATTAACAACAAAAACTAATAATAAAATAGAAAAAGTATAACTATATATTGTAATAAAAATTAGGTAAGTGTGTTCTCTTTCTTTCTCAAAATCTAAAAACAGTTGACTGCAGGTAACTGAAACTGCAGAAAGCAAAACCTGGGATAAGAGGAGGAGTACTAGGGAAATAAAACTGCACAAGAGAATCAAGCTCGCACTGCAAAACAGACTACACTGTGACATGATTGTGAGAAATCAATGGTGGGTAAAAGGGGGACTCTATTTGCCCTTGGTGCTAGAAACATCCTCCTTTGAGTGATGTAGGATTCTTGGCATGGAACTCATGAAGAAGGAAAGGCAAAACCACTTGGCCCTGCAATTCTAGATAGATATAAAGGCATAATAATGTATACTTAGTTTATTGGTTTTCAACTTTTAGAAACAACTTATAGGGAAAAAAATCTCAAGATTATTCAAATGTTATTACAGAAAGTAAATGTTAGCAACGTAAACACTGTAAAAATGAAGACAGAACTAAAAATACATATAGAAAAGTAGAGAAAAGGTGGAAGAGAAAGGAGGGGAAATATCTGATCTTAGACTGAAAAGAATCAGAAATACAAACTACCATCAGAGAATACTATAAACACCTCTACGCAAATAAACTAGAACATCTAAAAGAAATGGATAAATTCCTGGAAACATACACCCTCCCAAGACTAAACCAGGTAGAAGTCAAATCCCTGAATAGACCGATAACAAGTTCTGAATAGTTCAACCATTGTGGAAGACATTGTGGCGATTCCTCAAGGATCTAGAACCAGAAATACCATCTGACCCAGCAATCGCATTACTGGGTATATACCCAAAGAAATATAAACCATTCTACTAAAGACACATGCACACGTATGTTTATTGCAGCGCTATTTACAATAGCAAAGACATGGAACAACCCAAATGACAATCAGTGATAGACTGGATAAAGAAAATGTGGTACATATACACCATGGAATACTATGCAGCCATAAAAAGAATGAGATCATGTCCTTTGCAGTGACATGGATGAAGCTGGAAGCCGTCATCCTCAGCAAACTAACACTAGAACAAAAAACCAAATACCGCATGTTCTCACTCATAAGTGGGAGTTGAACAATGAGAACACATGGACACAGGGAGGGGAACAACACACACTGGGGCCTGTCGGGGAGTGAGGGGCAAGGGAAGGGAGAGCATTAGGACAAATACCTAATCCATGTAGGGCTTAAAACCCAGATGATGGGTTTATAGGTGCAGCAAACCACCATGCCACATGTATACCTATGTAACAAACCTGCATGTTCTGCACATGTATCCCAGGACTTAAAGTAAAATAAAATAAAAAAGAATTAAGATATAGTGTCTGTACTTGACGGAACAAAAAATAGAAATCCATATATTTTGCTTAAAATTAACTATAAATTTAAAACTAAATCTTTGTTTGGGCTAACCCAGAAGCAGATCCTAAATTAAGGATTCAGCCACAGGTGGTTTATTTGGAAGGTGAATAAAACATCGGTAGAGGAATAGGGAGGTGGGATAGGGAAAGGAAGCAGCCTTGAAAGGGCCCATTATCAAGCCTGCCATCCCTGTGGGTGATCGCTGCACAGGTGGGAAGTCAAGCTCAGATCAATAAATGCAGGTGCAGCCAGCTGGAAATCGGGCCAGTGTGCCCCTGAAGTGGTAAGGGCAGTGGGATATGGTTATGGCAACAACAGCCGCCATGTATGTCTATTACAAATTAGAAAGGGAGACACAGTTCCAAGTAGGCATGTGCCGTGCCATAGTCTAGGACATATCTAGGTAATAGGTGATGCCAAAGCAGAGGGAGGTGAAACTAAATGCTTAGAAGAGGGGATAGAGGAGATAGGCTGATTCACCCTGAGGAACCAGTTCAGGCTAAGGGGTTGGAGGAGCAGCTGTTAAAGAAAGGGGGTTGAGGTCTAAAGATCTCATGAAGAAGGTGGAATACTTCAGAGGGGAGCTGACTGAGTTCTGTTTAAGGAGCAGCCAGAATGCTGAGGGGAGGGAAAGGGAAATGGAGTCAGAGAGTGGAGTGGGAAGGGATTGGGGCTGCCTTTCTATTTCCCTGGAATTAGGGCTACCTTTCTGTTTTCCCAACAGTAATTCTAACTCAGATTTGCAACCACTTGCAGCCACTTCTGATGCTGAAATCCCTACCTCTGGCTAAGAGTAAGCACTCAATCAATATTTGCTGAATGGCTGAATGAATGAATGTGAATCCTATTGGAGTATAACCAGGTATTTCAACTGCAAAACACCCTCTATGAACTGAAGCTGGTTGCACCTTGTGAGGTGCCTGGTTGAGACATTTTGTTTTACCATAGCCATTCTGCTGTTAATAATAACCACAAACATACAATAAACCCCTATGTCTTCGATCTGAGAAAAGGATTGGAGTGTATGTAGTTATTTGAGAGATTACTTCAATAAACATGGGTAGGGGAGTGAGGAAATAAGGCAGGGAAGAGCGCCAATGAGCAAGTTAGTGCTATGAGCAATGGAGGCGCAGCCCTTCCAGCTTGGGAATTTGGGGAGACGGTGTAGAACATGAAGGTGGATTGTTGATTCACAAATTCCCATCCACCATGGTTGAGAGCTGCTTCCAGTGGATCAACGCTTTCCTTCTCCCCCCACCCCACTCCACCCAATCCCCACCTCCAGCCCTCCCTACCCACAGTAGAGCTTTCTTCCCAAGCCCCAGGAAGCCTCAGGTGGAGACGTCATATATGCTTAGGAGGAAGCCCTTGATAGTGAATGCTGAGGGGATATGAATGGGGCACTGACTGCATTTGCTACAGATTACTGAATGCCAGGCACATTGAACAATAAAAAGAAAAAGAGCTAGCTGGACTAAAAAACTGAATGAAGGCCAATATATCAAGAATATAATGAACAAGCGGGAGAATGGTAAGATTAAGCCAGAAAAGCGGTAAGAATCATGGAGGGCCCTGTCAGCCAAGTGTATTAATTGGGATTGGCTACATTATGCCAAGCAGTAACAATTGGGAGGAAGAAAAAAGAGCACAGATATCAGGAGATAGAGAAAATCTGGGAGTTATAGTGAACCCTAAGCTCAATAAAAGTTATAAAGGTAGCATGTGAGAATGGTGCCCTTAGGAGCACTTGCACATGTATGAAATGTGGGGGTCAGGGATCAGCCCTTTTGTTTTAAGCAGGCTTGGTTGAACTCTAATTGTGTCTAGATTTAGTCTTCTCACTTTCAAGTGTGTGTGGAAAAAACAGTAGAGGAGATTTGGCAAAGAGCAATGAAGAAAGTTGAGTTTGCATAACCAGCCCAGAAAAAGAAAGACAAAATAGCTGTCTACGAGCTTATTGATGTTTATTGTGAAAGGAACCCCAGCCAGAGGTTGCGTCATTCACAGGAGAAACGGTGAATAGAACCCTGAAGTCTGATTATCTCTGTCCTCAGAATCCCCATGATGCAGTCCATGCCACCTTCATCATCATCTCGGTGGTGTTCATGGTTCCCCTGCATTGGTCCAGGGTACTTCACTGGACCAACAATTCAGTTCAAACTTCCTTCAGCTTCCCCATGGAGTCATGGGAGATTTTTACGGGCTTCCCTGCCCCTAGAAGAATAAGTTGCAGCCCCTCCCCTCTAAAAGCTCTGATAGCAGGAGAAAATACCACGTTTGAGTAGTTTGGATGTTTGCTAATCTAAAGATGAGGAATTGATAAGACAGGGACATGGAACTCTTTCTGTTTTTATAATTCCATGGGCACTAAACTGTAGTCATGAGTCAGAATCCTACATTTTTCATTAAGGCTCTGTAGAGAAATCTCCAAAAAGATTTCTGTCTCCTGACTTTTTTGGTCCAGTTTCCAAATATCTTCATCAGTGGTCAGGAGGAAATAATGCAGTTTAAACAATAAGAATAATATTAGTAATAATAATCACTGTGAGCTTTCATCAAGTACTACTAAACAGCAGATGCTGTGCTGCACATCTGTTCCCATATATCTACTGTTGCATAGATAAACCACTCAAAAATTTGGTGGCTTTTTAAAAACATCATTTATTTAGTTTATGAATCTGGCATGTCAGCCTGGACCAGTGGGGAACATCATCTTTGCTTCATCTGGTGTCAACTGGGGAAGCTCAAATGGAGTCTAGGAGTTCATTTCCAGGATTCTTCAGATATGTGGCTGGTAAGTTGGTGCTGCTTGAGCGCTCAAGCAGGGTGGGAGGCCAGGATTCTCAGTTTCTTTCTTTCTTTCTTTTTTTTTTTTTTTTTTTTTTTGAGACAGAGTCTTGCTCTTGTCAACCAGGCTGGAGTGCAATGGCACAATCTCAGCTCACTGCAACCTCCGCCTCCTGAGTTCAAATGATTCTCCTGCCTCAGCCTCCTGAGTAGCTAGGATTACAGGTGCTCACCACATTTTTGTATTTTTAGTAGAGACAGGGTTTTGCCATGTTGGCCAGGCTGGTCTCGAACTCCTGACCGTATGATCCGCCCGCCTCAGCCTCCCAAAGTGCTGGGATTACAGGCATAAGCCACCGTGCCTGGCCTCTCAGTTTCTTTCTATGTGGGCCTCTCCATGAGCTGCTTGGGCTTCCTCACAATATGGTGGCTGGTTTCAAAAACAAACAGGACAAGAGGACCAGGTAAGAACTGCATCACCTTTTATGACCTAGCCGTAGATGTCACATAGTGCCATTTCCACCATACACGTGAGTTCAGATTTAAGATAGTGGAACACAGAGCTCATCTCTTGATGAGAAGAGTATCAAAATCACATTGTAAGGCAACCATGGGGATTGAAAATATTGTTGTGGCCATTTTTAGAAAACACAATCTTCCTCAGAGGCATTATTCCATTTAATTCTCATGGCATCCCTGTAAGGCAGATAGTGTTAGCCTTCCCTTTACCAATGAAGAGACAAAGAACTTTTGTTACTTGCCTCTGATCAAAGCACTATCATGTGACAGACTTAACCTAAGTTCTCTGTGGCCCCCAATCCTTCCTCCTTAAATGCTATTTTATGCCATCTTCCACAAAACAGCTACAACTTCTGACTTGGAGCGATGGAATTAGAGCCAACTCTGTCACTTAGCTTTGTGATTTTGAGTCAATTCTCCACATGTCTTTGGTTCTCAGTTGCCTTTTATATAAAATGGGAGCTAAGAATAGCTCCTTGTTAATAACTCTCTAAGTCTGTTTCATGATTAGATGAGATAACAAAAGTGAAGAGTGATGCATAGCCTAATAGGTGATCTTAAATATTTGGAAATATTAAATCTCATGTACTTAGTATTACTTAACATTCAGTAGAACTCTTAGAGTGACCACCATTCTGATAATTTCAGCTAGTACCCATCTGTATCAGTTAGGTTGACATTGGACTTCTAGTCAGAGACACAAAATAATAGTGGTCCGAAGAGATGAGCTGTTTGTTATCACTCACATTAAAGTTTGGGATTGAGCTAGGATAGAAAAGTGAAAGGTTTATGTGGACAAACAAAAATGCCTAGTGACCAAGAACCATTTACCTTCTTCATCAACCCACTGAGAAAATTTTCCAAAAGCCCTCAGATTAGGGCATGTCCTACAACCACTAAATTGAATTTGATTCAACTGGTTGGAAAGGCAAACATCAAAAATTCTCTAGCTAAGTTCAATAACTTTTAGCAAAAGCATGACCTTCAAATGTTGTTGGACATACTCTGAATAAGAAATGAGAATTATATCACAATGTAATATACATATGCTTTTAATATCAATATAAAACAATTTTATAAAATAATTCCTACACTTACCATATACAACAACCCTCATATTTTCTATTTTACTCCATTTTGTTCTAGTCTGTTCAATTTCATTAGTTAAAAAATCAAAAATGCCCATAATCCAATGAACTGATTTCACAGCCTACTAATGAATTAAGGAAATCATTTGAAAAATACTGAGCTAAGCTAGGCATGGTGGCTCACACCTGTAGTCCCAGCTACTCAGGAGGCTGAGGTGGGGAAACTAGCCCAATTGTCCCATAGAATTGATGTTCACTGGGTTTTTTTTTTTTTTTTTGGATAAACATAGAAATATACTGTCTTGGTCTTAAAGCTTGAAATGCATTTGTCTTATCTGAGTTCCTTCCTCAGAATACCAACTGTCAGACCTCCCAGATGGTATCAAGGAACTGAAACTCACCAGATCACTGCATCTAGACAATGAGACACCAGACCCCTCACTCATCATGATTGCCTAACTGACCACCTGCTTCCTGTAGACCAACTCCTCTTCCTTACCCCTCCATAATTCCTGTTTCCTACACTTAGTTACATTCCTACCCTATGATATAAATGCCCCAATTGTAGTTGGTCAGCGAGACAGATTTGAGACTAAGATTTCCTTGGCTGCAGCACCCAATTAAAGCCTTCTTCCTTGGCAATACTTGTTGTCTCAGTAATTGGCTTTCTGTGCAGCAAGCACCAGCACCTAGAATAAACTAGTGTTTTGGTAACAGCAGGAGGATCACCTGAGCCCAGGAGTGAAAGACAAGCCTGGGCAACAAAGAAAAACCCTGTTTCTTTAAAAAAAAAAAAAAAAAAGAAAGAAAGAAGGAAAGAAAGAAAGAAAGAGAAAAGAAAAAGAAAGAAAGAGAGAAAGAGAGAAAGAGAGAAAGAGAGAAAGAAAGAAAGAAAGAAAGAAAGAAAGAAAGAAAGAAAGAAAGAAAGAAAGAAAAAGAAAGAAAGGAAAGAAAAAGAAAGAAAGAAAGAGAAAAACTGAGTGGTTTTGTTTCTTATTACAGCAAACTAAAACTCACTCCCCACTTGGATTTCAGCAATACTTAGTGAATGGTGCACCTATACAATAAAGACAAGTCACACAATGATTAAAGTAGTAGAATTTTGACAATAGTTTGCTCTACCCAAATGCAAAATATATATTTTTTTCTTTTTTCTGGTCATAAAACATAGGGAACTTCCAGTTAACCCTGGAAGGTTGAACAAAAGCACTTATCAGTGCTCCTTCCTCAAACCCTTCTAAAATGATTTAAAGTGAGGTGGGGTGGGGCAGGAGGGATTAAAAAGAGACAAGGAGAATGGGAAAGTCGATTGCAGCAACAAAATTTGGGGAGGTGGTAGAGAGCTGATGAAGGAGTTGCAACAAATAATAGACTTCCTGACTTATGCACACCTGAGAAAGATAATTCTAACCTGGTCATGGGAGTGCCCAGAAGCAAAACCTCAGAACCCATGAAGTCTACAATTCTGGAGGTACCTACTCTACAGAATGGGAGCCCAGCTGGGCCTGAATTGAACATAGGGGAATTGGATGCAAACCTATGGAGGAAGATACACTTCCAGAGAGCTGCATGTCCCTCACTGTGTTAGAAGACTGAGCTTGACTCTCTTGGAAATAAAGTAGAACGTTTCTGGCCTGGGGGATACCAGGCACATGGGAGGACAGGTGTCCATACTACAAATAGTTCATTTTATGGAATTTCCATACTGAATATTGGAACCCTCAAACCTATTTACCCCCAGACTCACTGGCCAATAAATATACTGCCCAAAAGGAAATGAGAAGCTTATTCTCTGGGAAATTTGACCAACACAAGAGAAAGGACCTAGATCCTGACATCAAGAGTTCTCCTATGATGACCCGAAAAGATTACCACACAGTGGAACCCATAAGTGATAAGCCTTAACTATATGCTCAACATTTCCAATCTACTTTTCAATGCTCCACTTTTAAATTTCAGCAGACAGCTAAGGATCCCCAGACATGTAAGAAAAGCTCTAGCATGAAGTAGATCCCCCCTAAGAAAAAAACAGATCAAAGTAAATTAGAGGAAACAGAGCCCATGTAGAAAGACAAAAATTATACCAAAAAAGTATCTTTAATATTTTCAGAGAAATCAAATGAAGCTATTATATCAATGAATCTAAAACAACATTATGTAGAAAGGGAACGATCAGAGAACAAAAAATGAGCTCTTAAGAATTTAAAAATATGCTGGGCATGGTGGTACTTGCCTGTAGTCCCAGCTACTGAGGAGACTGAGCCAGGAGGACCACTTGAGTCCAGGATTTCAAGGCTGCAGTGCCCTATGTGATCCCACCTGTGAATAGCCACTGCACTCCAGCCTGGGTAGCATAGCAAGCCTCTGTCTCTTAAAAAAAATAATTAAAAATATGATAGTAGAAAAAAACTCAGAAGAAGTTTGGGAAGTATAGCTCTTCTAAAAAAAAATAAAAGAGTTAGAATTTAAATTTTAAAATACCTTTAAAATTAGAAGATCAGTCCAGGAGGGTCCATAACCAGCAATGAAAGTTCAAGAATGTAAACACAGAGAGGAGAATATTCTTTTTTAAAGTAAATAAATTAACTCAATAAGGTTTACCAGAACTGAAAGACATGAGTCTCCAGGTTGCAATCCCATATCAAATATTCTTCAAAATAGGTGAAAATAGATTTATACCAAGGCTTATTATTTGGGAATTTTAGAGTATTGGAAACAAAGAGAAGGCTCTAAACATTTCCATAAAGAAAATAAAATTGTGTATACAAAGGATTAAGAATCCTTTGTTGTTGGACTTCTCAACAACACCACCAAAGCTAGAAAAAAGTGTTTCCAACCTGAAATTCTGTATTCAGCAAGATGTCGACAAGCACAAGGATAAAATAAAGACATTTTCAAACTTTTGAGGCCAAACTTTTGTGTCTCTTTTGGGTACACTTTTGCAGAAAGCAACTTGAGAGGTGCTTCCCTACATGGATTTTACAAGTTGCTGGTGAATGGTACACCCACACAATGAAGAAAAGGCACAGAATAATTCAAGTAGTGGAATTTGAAAATATAGGTTTTTCTACCCAAATGGAAAAAAATCTTTATTTTTTTTTCTGGTCTTAAAATATGGGGAACTTCAGGTTAAACCTGGAGACCGAATGCAAGTATTGATCACTATTTCTTCCTCAAACCCTTCTAAAATGATTTAAAGGAGCGGAAATTGAAAAGAGGCAAGGAAATTGCAGGGGTGGAGGCAGTAAATCAAGAAAGAAAGATGTGAGATCCAGAGCACATTCTTTTGAGGTGAGATCCATCCCAAAAGAAAAGCAGAAAGAACCAGATGGCAGTTCAGGGAGCTTCTAGGGTGGCCGAGCAGGTCAGGAGAGAGGCCTGCAATCTTGGGACAAGAGGACGGGGACATCTAGGAGGGGTGTCATCAAGATGATGAAACTGCTCCCAAAATACTTGAATGTCCTTGAGGCAGGAGACTGGCAGGACTTATTTTTGAGTCACAACCCCGCTGATGGAAGCAGGATCTAGTCAGAACAGGATGCAGGGAAGAAGCCACCCAAAACCAGCAGACAGCAATGAAAGCAACCTCCAGTTGGCCTAACTGCTCATTACCATGAAGACACTTCCACTAGTGCCATGGCAGCTTGTAAACGCCATGGCAACAAGCCATGGCAACAGCCTGGAAGTTAACTTAAATGGTTCCTGAAACTTCCCGCCTCTTTTCCAGAAACTTCTCAATAACCCACCTCTTAATTAGCATGTGATTCAAAGTGGTATAAATACAGTTGCCAGCGTACACTGCTGATGCTGGGCACACTGCCTATGAGCCAGGCACTGCTTGTTAAAAGTTGCTTTCTCTCACCACTGACCTTGAATTCTTCCCTGGGTGAAGCAAAGAACCCTCTCATGCTAAGTCTCAATTTTGGACCTTCCCTGCCCTGCATCATCTTGAGAAGAAACAGGATCCCAGCAGAAAGCTTGAAAATGAATGAGTGATTTTCTTTTAATAACAAGCAAAAGTTTTTTAAAAAGAGACTATTACCAACTTTGGAGGAGAAGTTGTACATGAATAGAAATATAAGTCTACACAGCACATGGTGTGGCTTGGCTGCAAGTGGTATTGACCTAGAGTCATAATAATGTGCATATCTCACATTGACTAACGATATGACCACAGTGGAATGATGAGGGATGGAAGGAAGGTACGGAAGGGGTCTGAATCCTCATCTTCCACAGCAGGAAGTCAATATATAATATCTAAAACTAATCAATAACAAATAACAGTAAAACCACTCAATTTAAGATGGAGTAATAAATATCAAACCTGGCTCTGCTCTTCATTAGCTGTTACTAAATCTCTATGAACCCCAGTCTCCAATCCCTAAAACAGTGCTCTATAAGAGTTCAGAGTTGTTACCTTCTAATACTGGTGGGGGTGAGGGAGGTGACAAGGTAGAATATCTCTCTTATTACCGGCCTTATGGGACTGTATGATTTTTTAAACAATATCCCTGTATGACTTTGTATTTGTGTAAAATATATATTTAAAGAAACCATCTGCATTTATAAAATTTAAATTTAAAAACTAATAAAAGGAATTCAGGCATATGTAAAATAGAATGAAGAAGCTTTTCTGAAACTCTTACCCCCAGAGATATCAACTAACTGCTTAATATATGTTCCCTTCTGAATGCAATTAAACTAAAATGGTACCACATTAAACCATATTGTAAAAATCCATTCTTCTCAAAGAACAATATCTCTTGGATGTCTCTCTTTGTTGATACATGTGGGCAATCTCAAAAACACTATTGTGAGGACAATATTAATGACTGCCGAGCAGAGCCATTTTGGGGATTAAATGCTTATGAGACACTGAATGTGGAATCACTGTGTAAATTATAAAGCAAGATAAGTAGTGTTGGTTATAGCTATAATTATAGTTAAAAATATAGAAAATTTGATCTGCAGCCAAAGTGCTTGATTAAGTGGTGTACTCCATGATCAACAGATATTCTCATTCATCATACCCAGAGATCACAGAAATCACAGGAGAAGCTGCTGGGTTTTCAGAGTACACCTGAATTAGAGCATGCCGTGCGTTATTTAAAACCAGGAGAAACAGCCTAACAGATGTTCTAGATAATGGCTGTTTGTCATCGATATTATCTCCTTTGTCTGGGAACATGTACTCATGTTTATAGAAGCCTCTCTTGGGTTCCACATACTGCATAATGATGGAAATGATTCTTTAAAATGCAGCTGCTGGACTATATTCTTTCAACTGTGAATCTAGTGTGACCAAAACACAGCTTTGGGCTCACAAGCCAACTGGTGGGCCTGACGTGGTGCAAAAAGCAGTGTGCAACCTAGCTGTGCTCCTTCTTACCTGTTACTAAATCTCTATGAACCCCAGTCTCTTGATCCCTAAAGTGGTACTAACAAGGCTTTCCATTCAAATTTGTTATGCAGATAAGAGATAATATGCATGATGTGCCCAGCATATTGGAGGCATTTACTAAATCAAATCTATTACTAGTTTGTATGTATTTATGTGGAAGTAATGCTAGGAGATAACTTCATTTGCTTAAGCTAAAGCAGTGAAAAGAATTAATTCCTAGACCCATCAAACTGAATTTGAATTCTTCCCATATTAATTTTACGTCTGTACACCTAACGGCAACCAAAATCTATAGCAAGTAGGCCATTTACTTTGGTGTCCAACCCAGGTCTGAGTCCAGGCTCAGCAAACTTAGAAACAAGAGGCCTTGGGCAAATTACCTAATACCCTGAAGCTCAGTTTCCTCATCTGTAAAACACGGATAATAATATACACCTTAGAGTATTGTTATAAAGACATAGTGAGGGCATACTTGTAAAGTATCTATCACAGTACCTGCTTCATTTTAAGTGATCCATCAAACATAGCTATTGCTATTATAAGACTCAGATCCTCTTAATATCTCTCACTAACAGGAAGACACTACTGCAGGCATTTCCCAAGGGGAAACATACTTGCAGGCTAGTAGATATTAAAGAGTTGACATGCTTTTGTAATGAAAGAATAACAGAGGTTTCGTGTCAATATTAGTGTGCTGATGCATTATACTCCGCAGGCAATAAAAGACTGTAAGTAACTTTCTTTTCAGGCTTTAATACGTTTAAAATGAAAAGGGTCTGACAGCAAATTGTTTTTATGTTAACTAAATTAACCAAAAACAAAAGCAGCAAGAAGGAATAAAGGAAAAAGAAGTTTGTAAACCTTAGAATCTAGCCTTGACTCTGTTCTAATTCGCTGAATGACCTTGGACAGGCCCAAGTCTTTGTCTCTTTGCTTGCAAAATGAAAGTGTCCCTCTGTCCTTGCGAGAATTCAGCATTTTCTTGGAGGTCTTAGTCAATGCAATGAGATGAGGAAAAGAAGTTAAAGGTGTAAGAATGTTAAACAATGGGTCAACATTGTGATTATTTTGCAGACAATATAATTATCTACATAAAAAATTCTAGAAGATGTGCAGACTGTTAGAATTAATAAAAGAGTTCAAGAAGATTTTCATATGCAAGACACACTAAAAATTAGTAATGTTCTTTTACACCAGTAATGACCAATTCTTGGAATCAGAAAAGAAAAAATCTCTTTATCATAGCAAAACACTACAAGACGCCCAGGAATAAATTTAACAAAAGATGCACACAACTTTCATGAGGAAAATTATAAAATGTTATTAAAAGACATGAAATGAGATTGAGAAGATGTTGAGGTGAAACAGGTCCATGTTTGAGAAGACTCAATATTATAATGATAGTGATTCTTCCCAAAACTAATTTATAAATTTGACAGGGTTTCAATCAACACTCAAACCAAACTGTTTTTGAAATTTGATACACTGACTCTACAATTTATACAGAATTATAGTTTATAACAAAGGGTGATTTTTGGCCCCAGTGGACATTTGGCAATGTCTGAAGTCCAGGTGTAGAGACCAGAGATGCTATTCATCATCTAGAGCACACAGGACAGACCCTACCACAAAGAATAATCTAGACCCAAGTACCAATGGTACCAAAGTTGTGAGGCCCTAATATAAACAAGCAAAGGCTCTGGAATGGATAAAGACTAATTTGAAAAAGAACACAGAGGGAGACTTGCCTGCAGTTATCAGAACTTAATATAAAATGTTAGTAAATATTAATAAAACTATGTGGAAGCAGTACAGGGGTAGACACATTTGTAAATGCAGCAGAATCGAAAGCCAAACCCACACATAGATGGGATATGAAAGAGGGCAGCTGGACAGCCACCAGCTGTGTGGCCTTAGGCAAGGCACTTAACCTCTCTGTGCTTCCTTCATTCCCTAAGTTCAAAATGAAGATAAAAGTACTACCTCCCTCATAACTAGTGGGAAAATTTGATAGTTAACCCAGGCAATGTGTGAGAACACAACCAGAACCTGAGAAGGCTGGCTATTGTTGATATTGTTGCCTTCCTGGCTGGGCATCATGGCTCACACTTGTAATCCCAGCACTTTGGGGAGCCAAGGAGGGTGGATCGCTTTAGCTCAGGAGTTCAAGACCACCCTGGGCAACATAATGAGACCCTATCTCTACAAAAAATACAAAAAAATTAGCCAGGTACAGTGGCGCGCCCCTGTGGTCCCAGCTACTCAGGAGGCTGAGGTGGGAGGATTGCTCAAGCCTGGGAGGCAGAGGTTGCAATGAGCTGAGATCACATCACTGCACTCCAGCCTGGAAGACAAAGCGAGATCCCATCTCAAAAAAAAAAGTTGTTGTCTTCCTAATGAATGTTACTTGTCCTACTCACCTAAAGGATTAATTGGACTGGGGGAAAAAAGGTAGTCAATTCTCAATTATCCATACTATTGGAAACAAGCAGTAACACAGAATATACATACCACAACTAAGGACAACCTAAAACTGCACTATCCAAGATAATAGCCACCAGCGACATGAACCTATTTAAGTGTTAAAGTTAAATAAAATTTAAAATTCAGTTCCTCAGTAGCAGTAGCCACATTTCACAACCCAATGTTACATGCAGCCACCACCACCATACTGAACAGAACAGAGGATAAATATGTGCATCATCAGAACAGTAAGCTCTGTTAGACAATGCTGATCTAAAAGCCATATGTGAAAAATGTACCTCCCTACTTCTATATGAAAAAAATATGCATTCTCTAAGAACAGGTAAGTAGGTTTCGGGGAGGTAGGTAGGTCACAGGTGAGGGGTCTTTCTTGGGTTACCATTACACACAGCAAATCACATATTCTACTTTGTAACCTACTTTGGCTTTTTCTTCATTTAAAAATATTTTATTTTACATTTTTAAAACTTACTTCAATGGAACAGCCCTTTAAGATGCAAATCTGGAAGTCAGGCACAGTGGCTCATGCCTGTAATCCCGGCACTTTAGGAGGCTGAGGTGGGAGGATTGCTTGAGCCCAGGAGTTAAAGACTTGTCTGGGCAACATGGTGAGACCTCGTCTCTATAAAAAATCAAAAAATTAGCCAGGGTTGATGATCCACACTTATAGTCCCAGCTATTCTGGAGGCTGAGGTGGGAGGATTGCTTGAGCCCAGAAGTTCAAGTAAGCCATAATCATACCACTGCACTCCAGACTCGGTGACGGAGCAAGACCCTGTATCAAAACAAAAAAGAAAAAGTAAAAATAAAAACTCATTTCTGTGGGGAAAAAATTCAGTTAAAGACATCTGGATAGCTCAGCATTACCAATTAAGATGCCACTATGGGTGGCACCGTGACTCATAAGAGAGGGCCATGGTGCTGGGCCATTTGCACACGAATATCCTGGTCTGAAGTCATTACAAATCCAGTATGTTTGCGACTCAGTAAGATGTCCTTACTTAGTTTTTCTATTACTGTTATCATGGTGGATCAAAACAGACAGATGCATTTACTGGTTCCCCTCTAACGATAATAAAAAGAAACAGTTTATAAAATCAGATTATATGAAAAATTGCCTAATGATAATAATTTATAAGCTCATTGTGGAATAATGATGTATTCAAGAGTTGTCGTTATATGATGAAAGAAAGGTAATATGAAAGATTTTCTCTGTGAAGAATGACTACAGATGAATTGCACCGAGATACAATTCTCTGATAAGGGACAATAAGAACCTCTAGAACACTTCATAATAGACTACTCAGGGTGAATTGAGGATTGCAATAAAAGCCCATAAATTAAAAAGTTTCCATATGATTTCTGATAAAAGACATGCCAAGGTGAAATAAAGAATCATTGGAATCAACTGATATCCTGCCTGTAGCCAGCAGGTCATGAAGGAAAAGTTTCTAGGAAACTATAAAAAATATAATTTCTTAAGCTCAGAATTTTCAAAACCTGGGTTTCAACTACATCTGTTTAGAATTGTTCTGCTAGGGAAAAGAAAATTTTAGAAAAGAAGAAGTAAGGTTTCAATGCAATTCAAACTGCATCCATTCTCATGTCAAGACCTGGGGAAAATGTGGTAGATGGTGTCTACAGTATAAGCACATCTTGTTAATCTGTTGGATGACTTCAACAAGCTCACATTTTTTTAACAGATGAAGAACCAGGCCACAAATGAGAAAAACAAGCAACAGGGAAGCTAAGTAAAGTGTCCAAGGTCACATATGTACAAAGTAGTGAAGCCACAATTTCAACCCCAGCAGGCTGACAGCAGGATGAGAGCTTGTGATCACCACTCTATAGTTGCCTGAATGCAGCATATCTGTCCCAAGCCACACTACACAGCAGCCAATAGAATGAGGTGAAGCCAGACATTCCTGGGTATAAAGTTCTTCAAGACATATCAAGCTAAAAGAAAAAGAAAGTGTGGGAGGGGAGATGGAGAAAGGAAGTTGCAAAATAATACATATGATCACAAGGATTAGACAAATCCTGAAAACAAGATGATGCCTTTTTTACATGCATGTTTGTGCATGTAAACACATAGAAAATATATGTACACCAAATATCTAGAATATACACCAGAACGGAACTGCAGGTACATTTGGGAAGGGCGGTGGGTTTGAAAGTGAAGAGGGAGAGGGGTTCAAATGGTATTTTCACTTTTTTCTCTGTGCACTTCTTTATTGTCTGATGTTTTCTATGATGATAATATATTCTTGAATTATTTAAAAATTAAATAAATAGCCTATGTGTGCATAAATATGTAGCACCTCCCCACACAGAAATATGACTAGACAAAATGACTACCTTAAAGTCATAAAATCTTTTAAAACATTACCAATTTGGATAAAAGAGGCAAATGCCATTCTATTACTTGCTAGAACTTACAAGTCATTCAGTCAGGTTATTAGTGATTTTTTTTCCAAACAGACGTCCCACAAAAGGAAGGGTGTGGGAGTCCAGGAAAGCATGGACTAGAACAGACCCAAGCTTGTGTCAAGACAAGCATACCTCCACGTCCTTCTCTGCACAGTAAGGATCAATAATCACGCCCCTGCCCAGGAGGGCTTCTGGCATCTAGTCCTTAAAGGCATGGGATGGCAGCATCAGGATGATTCCTGGAGCAGTCTGGGTTGTGCTTGTGCATTTCACCGAGCTCTCTGCTCTCCCAAAGATCCTGTACACTATCTGATATAGTTTCAGAAAACCAGCCAGGTATAGTGGCTCATGCCTGTAATCCTAGCACTTTTTTTTTTTTTTTTTTACTTTGAGATGGAGTTTCACTCTTGTTGCCCAAGAGTGATGGAGTGCAATGGCGTGATCTCGGCCCACTGCAACCTCCGCCTCCTGGGTTCAAGCGATTCTCCTGCCTCAGCCTCCCCAGTAGCTGGCTTACAGGCACCTGCCACCACACCTGGCTAATTTTTTGTATTTTTAGTAGAGACAGGGTTTCACCAAGTTAGCCAGGCTGGTATTAAACCCCTGATCTCAGGTGATCCACCTGCCTCGGCCTCCCAAAGTGCTGGGATTACAGGCATGAGCCACCTCGCCCAGCCCAATCCTAGCACTTTGAGAGTCCAAGGCAGGCAGATCACTTGAGCACGGGAGTTCAAGACCAGCTTGGGCAACAGGGCTAGACCTCATCTCTACTAAAAATACAAAAAATTAGCTGGGTGTGATGGTGTGCACCTGTAGTCTCAGCTACTTGGGAGGCTGAGTCAGGAGGATCACCCAAGCACAGTGAGCCAAGATCGCGCCACTGCATTCCAGACTGAGCTATGGGAGTGAAATCCTGTCTCAAAAAAAAAAGACAGAAGTCCATAAATCCGAGTTTCTTAACCTCAGCACCATTGACAGTTTGGGCTGGGTAACTCGTTGCTGTCGGTGCTGTCCTGTGCACCGTAGGATGCTGAGCAGTGTCCCCATCCTCTACCCACTCAATGCCAAAAGCACCTTTCTCAGTTTTGATGACCCAAGTCTCCAGACATTCCCAAATGTCTCCTGGGGGACAAAGTCACCCCTGTTTGAGAACCATTGCCCTAAGTTATTATACTAGCCAAAGCTGATATAAGCCCATCGTCATGGCACCTTCTGAATAGAAGACCCCTATTTTATATACTCCCACAAATAAATATAAAATTGCTTCCAAGTAGAAGTATGTGGAAAATAAAAATAAAATTTAAAAAATACAGTAGGGCAACTATAGTTAACAATAATATAATGACTATTTCAAAATAGCTAGAAGAGAGGTTTCCAATTGTTCTCACCACAAAGAAATTATAAATGCATGAAGTGACAGATATGTTAATTACCCTGATTTGATCATTACACAAGGTATGCATGTATTAAAACATCATATTATACCCATAAATATGTACAATTATTATGTGTTAATTTTAAAAATAAAACAAAATAAAAAGTATTGGTGCAATTAGACATATCCACTGAAGTTCAATTTTAGGAGACATAAGCCATCACATCTTATTTTGTAGCAGAGAGTATTTAATTGGTGGGCTGAGTGCTTACAAAATCTTGGAAGAGCGGAAGCAGCAGACTCTAGGATAGACTTCCAGTTACTCTCAGCAATACCATGGGCCTGTTCCTCAAGGACAACCACCAACCATGGGACCATCAGAGAAACAGAATCGAGAGGCTCTGGGAACACACCACCTTCTCTTTGATCCAAAGATCAGTAAGGAAACCATTATCATCTCAACTATTGGTCTAAACCACAGCACACCAGATAGATACACAAGGACAAAATAATGAGTGACCTTCCCTCCGTTGATCTCTTGACACTACAAAACTTGACTGCTGGAAAGGAACCACAGAACAACCCCACATCTCCAGGTCTGCTTGCCAGAAATGCAGAAAGCACAAAGTGGAAAAATCAGAAGGCAGGCTCCACTCCACCTGTGCTACAAAGACACTTCCCAATGATGTCCAGAAGCCCAGCCCCACGGGAGTCTGGAAAATGTGGTTTTCTGCTGAAAAGCCTCTTGAGGAGCACTGGGCAGGCCTGTCCACCAACGCCCCCTCCGCATGTGGCAGGGGGACTTGCGCTCACCAGGATGCCAGGGCAAGCCTTTCTGAGAAAAGCGTGCTTAGATGAGATCTGATGGCTGAGGAGTTATCTAGGCAGATCCTAGAAGTCTTCTAGAAAAGGCAATAATGGTAAGATACTAAAGAGACATGGCCCAGTGCAAACTGATGAGGAACACAGTGTTTATGGCAGGTGCAGGGAGAGTAGGCACGGTTTAGACAGTGCATGAAGAAGGGAACCTGGTATGGCCTGTGTAGCAGTCCCTGCAGGTGCCCTGCCCAAGCCCCTCAGTGCTACCCTTGCACACCAAAGGCTGCTTCCTGTGTACTCTGGAATGCACTGACCACAAGCTCACAGGGTGAGCCAGGAGTCCTGGCGATCCCATGCTTCTGGACGCAGCCCTCACCCAGCCACAGACAGGGATTGGCAGCACCAGGACCTCAGCTTCCTGGCCTCTTCTTTGCGAGCTCACCACCATCTCCCAGAGTTTCCTAGAGGAACGGTCCTCCAGTTGCCAGTGTAACTGGCTTCCCTTTCCTGTCGCACTGCCCCATCCCCTGAGGATGTTTATCCAGATGGTCACTCGAATCTTTGTCTCAGGGTCTGCTTCTGGGGAAATCCAAACTAAAATATCCTGAAACAGAAGTTGTTTTCTTAGTCCTACCTACTCAAGGGTTATAAGTCAATGTGAGGCAGATGTAGGGAAGCGTCTGAGGGAGTCCAGCCATGACTGGCTTTTGTAGTCAAGACTCTGGTGCTGTCCATAAGACTCCAAGAATAATACCCAACACAGCTGACCGCAGAGGTGCCTGATTTTTCAGGTCTGGCTCTGGTGAGAACTGCAGAGAGACAATGCTGCATTTTTTCAGACCTACACTTGGACAAAACATTTGCTAACTTAGCAGGGGGCCTCAGACTTTGAGCAAGTCATGGGACTTTTGGAAGAGCCTTCAGAGCTTGGAAGTGTCCTCAGCCCACCTCCCAACTACTGCATGCATCCAATTAACCTGCTCTGACTTGGACATTTCCAATATTCTACACAAATAGTAAACATTCCTCTTTAAGTGCATAAAGAGTTCACTTACTCGCAAGTGTCATCAGTAAATTCTGGTGGCTCAGTTTAGGTAACTGGCAGAGTGGCTCTGAGGAAGTGCACAGCCATTTTTATAGTGCTGCTTACAATGTAAATCCCATTCCCTCTGCAACAGGGAAAAGAACACTTGACTGAGTCTGTAAAGCAATAGCCACTTGGTCTACATGACTTCAATCTGCAGTGCTATAAAGGAAAACTCCAAACTTTCTACTCCAAAACAGCCTTCTAATAAAAACTGCCCCAACATAATAATTGGAAAGCAAGAGTTAATTCATATATGTGAGATTCTAGAAAAGGCAAAACAATAGTCCCAGAAAATGGGTCAGTGTTTACCAGGTGCTGGAGTTGCAAGGATGGGTTGAATACACTGCAGCATGGAGAGCTTTTGGAGTAATGGAAATGTCCTACATCTTGATTGCGAGGATGGTTACATGACTGTGTACATTTGCCAAATTAATCAAGCTATCCAACAGAAGTCTACAGATTCTATTGTATGTAAATTATACCTCAATAAAACTAATTGAAATACTTTTATAATTTATGAGAAACCATTCGGTAATTGTCCCAATGATATGTTTTTATCTGTTGATGTATGGTAATACATGTTACCTATTCAATAGATTATCTGTAGTTAATAATAATACTATAAATTTAAGATAAGCCATTTTTGTTAAGTGTATTCTTTATTCTCTGGAAATTTTAAAAACTACCTGATTGAAATTCTCCATCCTCTAAGAGAATGAAAGGAGACAATAAAGATCATGGTTTTGGAATCAAACAGATATGGGTTCAAATATTACCTCTGTTGTTTTTCTAGCTGTATGACTTCAGGAATTTTACTTAATCTTTGGTCAACCTCAGTGGCCACAGCTAGCTGCAAGGGAATCTGGAAAGTGTCCCATTTATTCTATGCAACCATCTCTCCAGCTATAAATTTTTACAGAAGATAAAGCCAGCAGGTTTGGGTGAGGAAAGGGGGTGCAGCTAGCCATATCCATCACAGGGTGCATTTCCTTTAACACACATTGGCCTTTGGGAACAACCACACCAAAAGCAAATTCTGTTTCTGTTTTAAAAAAATTACCTATCCTTCTACCCCACCACTCACACCAAACACAAGAGCCCCATTGACCCATGAGCGTTGGAAAGCCTGATCCCTCTGTGCCCACACAGGGAACCTCTCTGAGGGAGGCTTTCTCCCAAGTCACCCATGTTAGAGTGGGATCCGCCTCCCGTGTTAGCAGCCAGCAGCCATGGTGCAGTTCCTACCCCAGAGACCACCATTTTGGACAATCTTTCCCTTTGTTCTATTTGATTTCTCTCCTCAACAAGATGCAACAAAGCCCATCTATGCTCAGCTCATTAGCAACCACCAATATGGTCACCCTTGTCAACCTAAGTCCTTTGGAAATACAGTGGGCACCTGTGCCACGTCTACTTGTGAAATCAGAAAATGAGGCAAACGAGAGGAAAAGATTCTTTCAACATGAAAGAACAACATGTTACATTTTCTATATTATCAACCCAGACAATGGCTTTAAAATCAGAACAGCATTGCCGGTGATTCCAGCCCCTTGCTATTTTGTGGGGCTCCCCAGGGAAGATGGAAGGACAGACAGTAGTAACATAAGAGGCAAAGCATTAAATATGAGGATCTCGCATCCTTTCGGTGCCAGCAATAGCCATGTTTGCTCACGGCTAACCAGTCAGGGAAGGAGGATGATTTATTATAAGCTGTTGCAGAATATATTATGCAGGGTAGAGGCATGGAAAGGTCTTTGATATGTATCTGAAAGAGCTTCAAACCCATAAAAGAGATAAATTTTGTATGAAGAGTGTCACTGAGAAGCCGGGAAGAATCTCCAACACATCTTCATATCACAGGGAATAATGAAGGGCTGCTCTAAGCACACAATCCAGGCATTAATTTCACTTAAAGAGGCCGTCATTAGCATATCGATGCACACAACTTCACACTATAAGCCGTCCGTGCAATCGGGAAACACAGCTAAAGACTTCATGGTCAAGGCCTTGATCCATGGTCAAGGCCCGGAATGTGTGTTTTATCGATTGTTTCGCCTTGAAATGCTAACCTGATCTCTGGTTCCTTTCTTCTAATCCTCCAAAACCACAATTTAAGAGCAGTAAACTGTCTTCCTTTTCTTTTCCCTTAACTCCAAGCTCCTGTGTAATTCCCAATTTCTGATCAAAGCCTCCTGGAATACAAGCTCCCCTGGCCCGTGAGCTTGTTCAAGGGCCTGTTCTCTGAGGGGGCTGCCAGCATGGCCCTAGCTCCCCACGGCCTGTCTCCTTCAATCTGGCCTCTCCCCTCTGTCCAGGCTTTAGAGAAAGCAGGTAAGAGCTCTCCTGAAGTGGCTCACAGCACCCTGGCACACAACCAGTTACTAGGCAGACAACATAATATTTGTCAAGAATGCCTCTTGTTCTTGAATTATGGTTTCCTGCTCCAAGCTGCTGCTGCTGTTTGAATTGGGCTGCACCTAATTATGGTTTTATTTGCTTTAATAAAGAGATATCCAAGTGTGCAGAGAGTGGCACACAAAACAATAATAACAATAATAATAGTAAAGTGTCTCTCTAAACATCTGCAATTAAGGCATTTGTTGTTAATTGCATTAATTAACCTCCCCCATGAAGCAGCTGGTGAGGTTTCCACAACAAGGAAAAGAGAAAGCCAATTCCCAGAAGTATTGGGTTGGCAGCTTCTCGAGAGCCCATCCCTGGGTTACCGGCTCCCTGTGCTTTCGGATGGAGGTGCATTCCCACTGAGCTGCCCATCACCCTGGCACCAGGGACCAAAGCACCCTTCAGCTGGAGCATCATGGTCAACCTCTTGCAGGCCACTGAATCCTGATGGGATGGCCGGAGCTTACAGAGAGCCAGTCCTACTGAAATACCAATCATCACAACATTAATAATAATAAGAGTGACACTGATTCAGCCCAGTTCTCAAGTCTCCAAAGCTGGAGGACCCAATAAAGCAGCCCCTTCCACTATGGTCCAAGGGGTGGCGTCCTGCCCTTTGCAAGACAGAACAGGAAAATTTGGTGGAATCCTGATCCTAAACATGATTGCCCGTTCCACAGTGGACTAATGTGATTTTATCGTTTTGCAGAGACACCCAAATATTATCCCATTCTCACAAGTCCTGGAGACCCCAGGGGCATGTGACTGTCCCATTCTGCAAACAAGAATAACAGCACGACCAGGAGGCATTCACCCTTAATAGCCACATGATTTTCAGGCTCCAGGCTCCAGGTCTCCTGCCCCTGCTCTGTAAGCCACAGAGTATATGACCACTGTCCAAATTTTTTTAAAAACTGAGGTGACATGAGTGAGCCTTTGTTTCCTGCCCAAGGAATTAGATGTCCCAGATTTATCAAAATATTTTTTAAAATCTGAGCCACAGCTATTACACTAATTCTCCAATTTTGGTACCTTGGCTAACATTAATTGCCTTCCATTAAAAAATTAGGAAAATGTAAAGAATGAAATTTCATGTACTCAGTCAGCAAACAGTTGTGTGTCTAATATGTGTCAGGCATTTCACTAGATGTTGAAGATCAAACAAAGGCAAAGGAAAAAAATATAGTCATGAAGCTTCCATGAGGAAGAGGACATTAATCAAAGATGCTCACAGTGAAATATAAAAGTGTGGCCATGCTAAGTATCTGAAAGGAGAGGCATGTGGCATCATGGGACACATAACATGAAGGAGGCATTTGCAAGGCAAGTTGTGTATATGGGGAGGCCTGGGCAGGCAAGGAGAGGGGCAAGGGCTTCCTGAAGAGGGAAGAGCATGGTCAGAGGCCAGCAGTGGGAGGAACCAAGGCATGATGGGCTGGTGAGGTTGGAGAGCAAAAAGTGTTGGGGTCAGGGGGTAGGGAGAGGGGCCTGAAGAGGTGGGCAGGGGCCTGACCCAGAAGATCCTTGCAATCCCTGCAAAGACAGAAGACACTGGAAATCCACTGGGGGGTGTAGGCAGGGGAGCACCAGGACCAGGCTAGTGTTTTGAGAACAGAACTCTGGCTACTGGGTGGAGAATGCATGCTGGGAGGGCATCAAGAGGGTGGGAGGCCCAGCTGGATATGAACCCTGACTATGGCAGTGGAGAGAAGCAGAAGGTGGCATCAAGACATAATTGTAAGAAGCAAAATCAATACAATTTGGCAATGGAGGAGGGACAAGCAATGCCCCCTGAGTTAATGGTAATGCCACTCCCTGTGCTGGGGGAATCCTAGAGGAGGATGCTGTGGTTTGAACATGGTTTGTTTCCACCAAATCTCCTGCTGAAGTCTGATTCCAGTGTGTCAATGCTGGGAAGTGGGGACTAGTGGGAGGTGTTTGGGTCATGGGGTAGATTTCCCATGAACAGAATAATGCCCTCCCATGGGAGTGAGTGAGTTCTCACTCTATTAGTTCCAGCAAGAGCTGCTTGTTAAAAAGAGCCTGGCACCTCCCGACTCTCTCTTGCTTCCTCTCTCACCAGTGATCTCTGAGAGCCGGGGTTCCCCTTTCACCATGAGTGGAAGCAGCCTGAGGCCCTCACCAGATGCAGAGGCCCAATCATGAACTTTCCAACCATCAGAATCATGAGCCAACAAACCTTTTCTTCTTTATAAATTACCCAGCCTCAGATATTCCATTCTAGCAACACAAAATGGACTAAGACAGAGAACAAGTGTGAAGAGGAAAGACTGATTCAGGTTTTGGACATGAACATGTTAGGTGCTTCTGGACCATCTAAGAAGGGGCACTGAGCTGGAATACAGGCCTAGAGCTCCAGGAGAGATGCCAGGCAGCACGCAAATGTGAGGGTCATGTGTGTGGGGGCAGAAATTGAAACCACAGAAGAGGATGAGATCATGTCGGTGAAAATATGGAGTCAGGAAAAAGTATGGAATTGCTGAGCCCTAAGCAATTCCAATACTTAATTTCAGAGGATAAAATGGTGAAGGAGACTTCAAATGAGAGAAAGAAAGTGGCCAGAGGGCTGGGGGGAAAGCCCAGGGAGCGTGACACCCTGCAAGTCAGGCAAGGGAGTGTGTCCAGAGGAAAGGAGCTTGAGGTGCGACCGAGGGCTAAGGAGAGTGATGACTAGAAAATATCCCTTGATTTGGTGACACAGAAGGAATTGGTAACCTCAGTGAAGATGGCAGGATGGGTAGGGACGGGGCCAGATGGGTGCAGGGAGAGGCTGGAGAGAAGAAACGGGTGCAGTGCTTTCGAAAAGTCTGATTGGAAATGAGGAGGAGCAATTCGGGGCAGTAGCTGAATGGGCCTGAGGTGAGGGCAGATTTGGCTTGGTTTTTTAATAGGAGAGATTAGCAGATGTATTAAAAGCTAATGGGGAAAACTTGCCCAATGCTACATGTGAGAATTATGCATTTCACTGTAAATTTTTACTTAACAGAAAAAGCAACAAAAATGAATCTTGAAATCTGGTCAGTGGTATGCAGGCTGAAGTGTGTAGGAAGCGAGTATATAATGTCTGCAACCTGCTTTGAAATGCATTTTTTTAAAGTCTTGGTGGGCGGTTAGAAGAATGGACAGAAGACCAGATGTGTGATCCAGCACATACAGCAAATGCCAGTTGTGGCATCTGGGTGGTAAGTGCGTGATTTTCTCTGTACAATTCTTTCAACTTTTGCAACATTGGTGAAAAAGAAAATAAGAAGAGTCCAGTTGACAGAAAAAGACTATTCAAAAGTAAAAAGAAAACAGATGTGGTAAGTTTCCCAAGGAGCTGGGAGGAGATGGGGTTGATGAAGACATCTGGCTGAGATAGGAAGGTGAGGAACTTCACAGAAACAAGAGAAAAAGGAAAATGACAGCAACTCTCCCTACTCAGCCGTGATTAATCAAGCAGTAATCCACAATGGCCCTCCCATGGCATCACTGAGAGGCTTTTTTTTTTTACATAGATAATGAATCTGCAACAATCCCCATGATTTAAGGTAAACCCTACAAGGTGATTCCAAACACACTACTAACCAGGCTAAATTTCTTTTAACTTCCCGTCAGATGCTCTATCAGCCTGACGACTCCCACCACCCATGTCTTGAGAAAAGATAAGTGAAATGAGTTCCTGCCACATCCAAGCCACTGCAAGTTCTATCATCTCTTGATCCTCAACAAGCACAAGCTTTGGGATCCACAGACTTCAGCTAGAGAGTCCCAGCTGGATCCTTCACTAGCTTAGGGATCTCCGTCTCCTCCCCTGTAAAATGGGGGCAAGAACCACTCCTGCCTCTCCCAATCACTGAAAGGGTTACACGAATGAGGTCCTGCACACATAAAACCTCTAGGCCCATACTGGGTCTATAGTAACCAGAAAACACAGATTGTTATTTTCCAAAAATACAAAGCTTAAGTGCAATTCATGCACAAGGATGCACTGTTGTCACTCAGAAGACACTTTATAATGTCGAGAGAGCGGCGGTGCTCGTCTTTTGAAATCTGTTTTGCTCTCTACTCACATTTCAAGCTGCATAAAAAGTGTCCTTTCTGGTATCCCTGGTGCCTTAGGTCATGTTGCTCGTCCACATAAAAGCCCATTCGAGAATCATTATCACCCAAGCAGCTTCCAGATTGGCGGCTTATCACTTCTGAAGGGTCCCAAGGCGGCCATGGAGAAGTGCCCCAAAGCCTTGTTTGCTTCCTTGGGCCAAAGGTCCACCTGTGGTAATTAGCGAGATTGGTCCTGGACCAGACTCAGCTGGTGTAGCCACAAGACCAAATGATGCCCTTCAACATGCTGCATGGAAAAAGTGTCTCTCTGATTATCTGCTCCCAGATCTGAAAAGCTACCTTCTGTGAGCTCAGTGGAAAACTCCAATTCATTAACTGATTTCAACAGAAAAAGACAATCTCAAAAGGCTTGTTGACAACCACTGTAGCCATGGTGTAACCTTAACCTTATCTTTCATTATTCCGCTTTTATGAGGAAAAGAAAAAAAGGCGTTTGTTTTCATGGACATAACCTCACAGAAAGCTTTCATACACAAGATGCACAAGATGAAAAAAATACACTTATTGGAGAACGCTCGATATATTTGAAAGTGCTAGGAACATCTTCATTCTCTCTGTAGAAGTCACATTTCCTTTAGGATTGTGTAGCCTCAGATATAAAAATGTTGTTAATTCAATTCATGTGAACCCTTATAATATCCCACTGAAGGTAGACTTTATAACTGACTGCAGCTCAACCCTGCTCTCAATATAGACAAGACTCACCCACGTAGCAGAACTTTCTTCAAACAGAAATATGAGGCAGACAATGTTAATGGGTCCAAGCAACAACACATGGAATGGACAGGCAGTGGGCAAGGGGGTCACCTGCACCTGCCGTCAGCCCCTCACCTGTATCCCAGCTGACCAGGCACCTAGGAACATAGCAGCTCATGTTTATTATGCCTATTTCATTTGGCTTGCACAATGGTTAGGGATTTTTGAATTTTTAGTTAGCTGCTTATATTTTTAAATCCTGACATTTCTGATTAAAAAAAAAAAAAACCTGGATTTCCAGCTTTCTCATGAAATATCAGGAACTCTGACAAAATGGAGTCCCAGAGGTAGCACTAAGGGAAGACATAGGAAGCCCTAGACACCCCAGTGCCCTTCAGCACCCCAAATTCACCCTCCAAATAAACAGAAAATCTCAGTCTGCAACCCCCTCTTCCAGAGACATCCCTGGCCACACTCACACAGATGCCACTATGGGCCCCTCCCAAGAAAAATTGATGAGGCCCCAACCCCTACCAAGCTTGCAGGAGGAAAGGAGCTGCAGCCTCCTTTGGACAAGGCCAGTGACCTCTGTTCCACCTGAGTCACCACCAGACCCTGGCACTGCCCACCTGACCCCTGGGAGGAATCACTTTTGAGACCTGGACCACGATGAATGAACAAACTGGAAAAGGACATTGTTTTTAAATGGCAATTAACTCAAGATGCAAACAACCCTTATTATTTGTGGACTCCATATTTGCAAATTCAGCTAGTCGATAAAATTTATTTGTTATCCCAAAATCAATATTCCCAGCAATTTCCTGGTCATTCAAAGACACTGGCAGAGTGGAGAGAAATTTGAGTCATCCAGTGCTAAGGAAGAACAAGATGACATCCTACTTTCTGGTTCCAGTTCTCATACTTGTTTGCAGTCAAACAAGCATCCTTTTTGTGGTCTATTTAGTGCCGTGATTTTCACATTTTTGTGGGGTTTCTTTGGTGATTTCACATTTATAATGGCCCTAGGCATCGTGCTACAGTGCTGGCTAGAGTTCCCAGGCACGAGAGGCTGTGAGGTGCCTTACAGAGGAAATCCATGTGCTAGAAAAGCTTCCTTCAGGCCTGAGTCACACCATTGCTGGTCCTGAGTTCAGTGCTAATGGATTCACACTATACCACCAACAAGGCATCTGTCAACAGAAACATACATAGAATGATGTTATGTACCGATCAGCTGACAAAACATGACCAGAGGCCAGCAGGAATCTAACCCTATGCTTCTCCTAGGAGCAACGATTCAGCGTCTACTAGTTCAGTGTTCGTGGCAGCTTTATAGAACACAACTATCATGAGTGATGAGGCTTTAAGTCATTGCTGCCACAGGGGGCCACCAAGAAAGGGTTTACAACAGAAGTGATTTCTCTATGTGGTTTCAGGGGTGCCAAGTTGCGGGGAGGATTCAATGAAAGGGTTAAGAGGAATGAACTGTTTCTTTTGACTCTGGGTACAGAAAGGAGCAGAAGTACCCCCTGGTCCCAGCCTTGGGGTCAACTTTGAGGCTGCCCTGCCCTTTGACTAGGGCCTCCTTTTCCCCTTCCTACCTATGCCAGGCCCTGTTTTGCTGTGTCTGGAACCCAGTGCAGAGCCCACCTCCCCGTGACTGGTGTTCCCTCCTTCCATGGATGGAGTCTGAAGAACCAGGTCTTTGCACCTACAGGAAGCCCCCAGATCAGAGCTGCCAGGGAAGTTCTGTGTCTGCAGAAGGGAGAGGCGCAGGAGTGAATAGATTGTTTTTTATGTCTTCAGGCTTTTTCAGCTTTCTCTTTTTAAAAGAGACTAACTCTGCATATAAAATGCATTATCTCTGTATACCTGCTAGCAAACAGCCTTCCTTAAACAAATCAACCTATCCAGGGCTAGAGTATACAGCTGCCCAGCCTGGGAACTGCACAATCCCAGGGAGGAAGAATGCTTTTCACATCAGAGTTTATATGCAGCACAGAGTCCTGACAGAGTGGGATATACTGTGAAGCTACATCTTCCATTGCATAATGTTCTCCTTTGGGAACGTGAATCTAAGTATCTGCCTTCCCCACCCAAGTCAGTGGGAAGTGGTTTCATTGGCCACCAGATTTCACAGATAATAAAATGGGAGTGTTTTCCCTTTCCTCCAGAAATACTTTTTATCACCAAGTCACCACCTTACTCCAACGTTTCTGGAACTCACTACTGTTTTTGTTGGTTTCCAAGCAGCAGCTGGAGACCTCCCTGGACCAACCAGCAGCTGGATGCAAACCCAACTCAGGTTAGAGCTTAACTCCAGCAAGCACAGCGCTGCCTCCTACAAGCCCCCACATAGCATTTGCCTCCAAAACTAGTTAGGCAGGATCCCATAGGCCTCCCTGTAACAATATCTCCATAGGAAGGAAGGAAGGAAGGAAGGAAGGAAGGAAGGAAGGAAGGAAGGAAGGAAGGAAGGAAGGAAGGAAGGAAGGAAGGAAGGTATCTGCCCCAAAGCTGTTCTTGACCTTTTTTTGAGTGACTTCACTTTATTTTAAGCTTTATGCAGAAAGTGCAATTGTATTAATATTTGTATCTTGCTATTTCATATTCACTGCAATTCAATGTGTAAAAGCTGCCACAGTGACACTAAGTGGTAAAGAGTTAGTGGTCTTCCCATCCACTAAGTGCATGGAACCAGAACAGAGCAGGGGCCTGAGCCCCACCGCCTGAGGCCAAGTTTCCATCCTTCTATGGACTTCTCTTCTCCCGTTTTTCTCATCATTAAAAGAGAGAGTGACCATGCCTATTTAAGAGGAAGGTTATAGAGATTAAGTGACATTATTCAACCTGTCTCAAGGGGCCACTGGGGAAAGTTTTCTATCTGTAATAATGGTGTTTCAGTAACCTCACAAGCTAAGAAAACCATCAATGTGGACAGATGAATCCTGAATTCATAAACAGCACCTTCCAGGTAGCAGGAAGGCAGGTGAAAGCTAGCTTCCCTCCAGGAACTCTTTGCTCATCCCACCTCTTTAATTAAATTCTTGGGCCAAGTGTAGTGGCTCAGGCCTATAACCCTAACACTTTGGGATACCAAGGCAGGAGGATCTCCTGAGGCTAAGAGTTTGGGACCAGCCTGGGCAACATAGTGAAGCCCCTGTCTTTACAAAATATTTTTTAAATTAACTAGGCAACTTAGGAGGCTGAGGCAGGAGGATTGCTTGAGCCCAGGCATTCGAGGCTGCAGTAAGCTATGATGGCACCACTGCACTCCAGCCTGGAAAATGCCTGAGCTATCTAGGTTATTAACCACCAACCAAAGGCTGAAATCCAATAGGTCTTTAGTTCTCTTTCTTTATTTCCCTCCAAAATGTGATGCAGCTTTTTCCCTGGGGCGCTGGAAGAAGCTAGGGCAGACAGATAACAGCAGTTGAAGGTGGAGATGCTGAAAAGCATGCTTGGCGTGGATGGAAATTTGGCCTCAGGCAGTGGGAATCAGGGAAGACCATTAACTCTTTACCACTTAGTGTCCCTGTGGTAACTTTTACATATTAAATTGCAGTGAATATGAAATAGCAAGATACAAATATTGATAAGATTGTACTTTCTTCATAAAACTTAAAATAACATTAAATCACTCCAAAAATTGTCAAGAACAGCTTTGGGCAGATTGCATTTTCTCTTTCTTCTTCTGTTAATTTTGCATGTTAATTTTCTTCTTAACTGTTTAACATGTGCTGCTATTTGATGATACAATTTTCAAGAGCAATGAGAGGCTGGGAAATGTTTCCTGGTGTGGCCACCACCTAGGAAGACAGTTGGTGCCACAAGAGCTTGTGTAGGGGAAGTTCATGGGCCCGAGGGTTGACCTGCTGGAGCGGGCAGCCGTGCACCCATGCCGGACTCAAGGAGGGCATCACACATGGAGGGGGCAACACAGGCCAGGATGTAAAGCTGGAAAAGTGCAGGGCATGTCCGGGGGCGTCCAGCTCAAGTGGCTGTTTGAGAATTGCTTGTGCTATCGGACGGAGAGGTCACGCACATTGGACGCGAGAGGATCGTGGGTCACAGTCTGGGAACCAGAGCACCAGAGCCCAAGGAGGGAGGACCACAACACCCAGGCCCCTTACCACGCTTATTCCAGCAAGGTAAAGTCCCTCTGGAATGGCTCATGCACCCGGCTTGTGGACAGGAGTGGGATGGCGTGGCTGAGACGGAGATAGGAGGGAAGCAAGGGGAATGGGAAGACAGCTGCCTTGGAGGCCACTCCCAAAGGAAGGAGAGCAGGATGAGAAAACCCCAAATCCACGTAATGCCCTAAAGTGCACTGGGGTCAGCTAAGGCGATGCAGATTGAGGAAGAGGCTCCGAGTCAGTAAGACCAGCACCTAAAATTCCTCTAAAGAAAGGCACTAAAACTCCAGGGCCCCTCATCAGTGTTTGAAAAGATATTTGGCTGCACTTATACTTTAACATGTCCCATAACGTGCCCTGAGATACCATTTTTCACTTATCCAGTTGGCAAATAACATAACGCTCAGTGACTCCGGTGCTGGTAGAGGTGAAGCAGAACACACAAGGGTACAAACTGGCAAGGCTTCCACAGACGGCAACTTGCAGTTCTTTTTAAAAAACCCTCTGAGACAGGAATTCCACTACCAGGACTGTATCCTACATGTGTCCCCACACATGCACATAATGACAGTTGTACAAGGCTACTCATTGTGGCACTGTTGTCATAGCAAAGATTGGAACCAACCAAGATGTCCTTCAGGTGCGGACTGCTTAAATAAATAACACCTCATCCACATAATGGAATGCCAGGCAGAGAGAATGAAGAAATCTGTTTCTTCCTAATGACATAATCTCCCATTATTTAATGAAGAAAAGGGGCAGGCTATGTATGTCAGGTACAATTATTGGTGGTTTTTGAAGGGAAAATGAGAAAGAGAAAGAAACTTTTTTTTTTCTTTTTGCTTATGCATGTACTATCTGTGGAAGGATACAGAAGACGCTGATTACTTTAGTTGGCTCTGCTGGGGAGAACGGAGCGGCTGGAAGACAGAAGAATAAGGAAGATGAGATCTAACACCTTTCTGTTGTTGTCGAATTTTGAACCAGATAGAAGTTTTATCTATTTTCTAAATAAATACAAAAACAAAAACCCCAGGCCCTGAATACAGCTTTAGGTGAAAACGGTGTTCCCAATTCCCACTCCTCACCCATACCCAGCCTCCTATCTCCCTCTCAGCCACGCCATCCCACACTTCCCACTCCTCATCCATATCCAGCCTCCTATCTCCCTCTCAGCCACGCCATCCCACACTTCCCACTCCTCATCCATACCCAGCCTCCTATCTCCCTCTCAGCCACGCCATCCCACTCCTGTCCAGCCTTTTCCTTCCATTCCAATTTTATAAAACTTCCCTTCACCTCACTCCTTTGGCGGGATGATTTTTAACACTTCACAGTTTTACAAGCTTTTGCATTTCAGATTTGAGTCTCTGACTTAAATGAAAAGCTGGAAGTGTTTCTTATAGAAAAACTCACATATATGTACAAAGTATTCTTGCAATGGAAGAAAAATGAAAGGCATCTAAATGTCCATCTGTAGGGGAGAAAAATCAAACAAATCAGATTATTTCCACACTGCACAACAGCATGCAGCGGTAAAACAGTCAGATCACTTTGTGTTTAAAAACCTCAGGCCGGGTGTGTGGCTCACACCTGTAATTCAAGCACTTTGGGAGGCCAAGACAGGAGGATTGCTTGAACCCAGTAGTTCAAGACTAGCCTGAGCATCGCAGGGAGATCCTGTCTCTACAAAAAATTAGCCAGGCATGGCAACTTGCACCTGTAGTCCTAGCTACTTCGGAGGCTCAGGTGGGGGGATCCCTTGAGCCCAGGAGTTCGGGGCTGCAGTGAACTGTGCCATTGCACTCCAGCCTGGGCAACAGAGCAAGACCCTGTCTCAAAAATAAATAAATAAAAATAAAAATAAACCTTATACAATATATTTTCAGACTTTATATAGTACATAAAAATATATTATCAATATAAGCATAAACTTTATATAAACATATTGTATAAAGCATAGAATTAAATGTATTATATTTTTATATATTTATATAAAGTTTTAAAATATTTTTACATTTGTAAATATAAAATATATACACATATATGCCATACAAAATATATTTTATGCTTATTTATAAGTCATACACTTCATATGTGCACATGTAATGTATATTTCTACATGTCTACATCTCTGTGTAACATATAGAAACGAATATATAATATACATATATATCATTTGTAAATGCATAGGAAAGGAATGTAAATGTTCTCTAGGGGTGTAGTAAGATCGGGATGATAAAAGGAAATGCAGGAAAGCTTGAGATTGTTACTGTATGAACCTGCATGGGCTTGTGTGATGTTTTTAAACAATAAAAATTATTAACCATCTTTTGGTGCCTGGCATGACAAGTATCTGCCACTAGAGGGCACTGGAGATCGCTAAATATTTCCCAGGATTATCTTTGAGGGAGGGGGCGCGGGTGCAGGGGATTTGAAGGAAGCCCCTTTACCTCTTTATAAGGGTCCCTTTTTCACGCTGGGGGACTGGGCCCTGAACCTGAACTTTCAGTGAGGGTAAAGCTTGGCTGGAAGCCCGCAACCCTTCTCTCTCCACTCCCTCAAATAGGCCCCTGCAGCCATTTGGGGTGGGAGTCCTTTATCCAGCCCACCCCATTTTGCCCACCAGTTTCGCCCACCAGCCCTGGTCTGCGGGACGCTGCTCCGGTGTGGAAGGTGGAACTGGCATCGAGTGCATTTCAGTGAGCTCACCTTCACTCCTTATTCCACATGGGTGTTCAACGGGGAGCCCTGAGACATTGGAAGGGGCCGTTTGTGATTGCTCAATTATAGTGGAGACATCTTCGCATTTGGGGGAGGAAGAGGGAAGCTAGAATTTCTGAAATGCTCAAAATTCAGCCTGAAATGCATGTCGGTGAACAACCAGTTGCTAATTACCTACCCTAGGCCCTAACTCTCTGACACGTAATCATAGAGCATTATCGCCTGGTTTAGTATGAGCGGAATATGCAGGAACCCAGAGTCAGTCAACGTGTGTTGTTGTGCCTAGAAATTTACTGAGCGTTTTTCACCAGTATGGAAAACCACGGCACCATGACGCCAAGCCGGTAGTGTCTGAGTCACTGGTCCTGTGCTCCAGGCTTGGCCTGGCTCTGGGGTTGTCGGGATCACATTCTTACAAGACAAACACCTGGATACTTTATTACGTCTTCTAGAGAGCTTGTGCCCAAGCATTTACCTATCGAATATGTGTGTGTGTGTGTGTGTGTGTGTGTGTGTGTGTGTTTACCAAAAGTTACCTTTTTCAACTTCTCTTTTGTTTCTCCTTTATATTACAGAAAGAACTTTTTGTAATGATGCATGTAAGTAGATTATACAATCTGTGAATTTCATTTCAAGATAGGACAGGAAGCGTTACAAAATATTCGTGGTCTCCAAAGTGATTCTGACACCTCATGATGACTAAGACCTTTGGTTGCCGTTGCCTCAAATAATTTCCTCCTAGAGCAGCAGTTCTTCACCTCGGCTACACATTGAACTATGTGGGAAGCTATTAAAAATACAGATGCCTGAACCCCACAGCCTTCATTATCTTGTGAGCATCTGGGCCAAGTTCAGTGCTGGTGCTCTTGTTCAGATGGATGTAGCTGGTGGTGCAGAGATCCATGAGCTTGCTTTTATGGGACTTTCTGCTGTTGTTGATCTGGGATGCAGTCAGGATACTAGGGCTTTTTTAAAGCTCCCCAGTTGACTCTAATGCAGCCAAATTTGAGAACCATTCTCTGCTCAATACCTTCAAAAATGGAAAACTAACAACCTCTCACTCAGTGCCACCCCAGGTATGACGTGCAGAACAGCAGCATCAGCATACCTGGGAGCTTGTTAGAAATTCAGAGTTTAGGATCTATCTCAGACCAGCTAAATCCAGATCTTGGGAAGTGGGGCCCAGGTACTTGTATTCCACTCCACGCCTCCACAACATTGGCTTACTTTTAATTTAGCTTTAAATTACAATTTTAAAATGGAATTAACCAGAAGGCAAGGGTATACGGGAAATTTTTTTTAACACTTCTCATGTAAACTCAAGTCTTTTATTCCTTTTTCAGGGGTAAAGCAGGCTTTTCCATTTACAAGGTTATTCATGAGTTGCAAAAATTCCCTCCCTTCCTCCATGCTTTTGTAATTCCTACATTCCGCCATTTAGTCTTGGTGGCCACAATCAAACAGAAATCATGAGGGCCCTTTCCTCTTGCATCCGTAGTGGCAACCTTTGCAGCAGACAGTAACTGCTCCAGATCTGTCAAATAAACGCAAGTATCTGTATTTCTAAATCACCTCTCAGTAATACTTTTGCATACTGGAGTTTTCACTTTGGCATGCCCTAATCCTTACACAAGCACGAATTCCTCTAAATCCCAGCCTGAATTTGTTTAACTTACCAGAGAAGGCTTGCCCATTGAAGATTGGTTCTTCAGCCACTGCTTTTCATTCTCATACCAAACAAGTGCATTTTTAAGAACTCGCGAGAGTCTTGCTACTCTTCAACAGAGAAAGTCATCTCCAAATTAATCCACAGTCAGGAGCACCTCGTGCTGCTTTTATATATCATTAAAGTCCTGTAAAAGCAAGCTCACGGATCTCTGCACCACCAGCTAAATCTATCTGAACGAGAGCACCAGCCCTGAACTTGGCCCAGATGCTCACAAGATGATGAAGGGCACCCCTCCTCCAGCCTGTTCTTGTCCTCTCTCCCAGGGAGGC
The DNA here is from genome assembly GCF_000001405.40 of Homo sapiens. Classification (NCBI taxonomy): domain Eukaryota; kingdom Metazoa; phylum Chordata; class Mammalia; order Primates; family Hominidae; genus Homo; species Homo sapiens. The sequence goes on along the minus strand of NC_000020.11, from coordinate 21,569,926 downwards.
TTAGTCCTTTGGCACAAAAGCAGTGGTGGCCATTCATTCCTTGCCCTAGTGAAGCCAACTTCCTCCACATTCATTCTGCCCATCAGCATCTGATGCCCCCACAATGGCAAACACTGCAGGGGACCAAAGTCTGACTCCAAAAGGAGGCAGAATGCCAGGTCTTCTGCAGTGATGCCCTCGAATGGCCATCTCTCACTGCCTGGGATTAGCCTACATTGAGATCAATGATTAGCAGGTAACTTGTGAAGCCGACTCCTAAAAGTCCCATTCCTCCATCTTAGCTCATTTGGGAAAACAGTTTTTCCAACACTTCTTACGTAAATTCAAATGTTAGATTCTTTTTTTGGATTTCACAAATAGGACTAATAATTGATCCACTCATGTAAATATGAATACAGTGAATTGCATATAGTAGGCACTGGATTATTTGTTAAAGTGTTGAATTAGGCCAGACACAGTGGCTCGCACCTGTAATCCCAGCACTTTGGGAGGCCAAGGAGGGCAGATCACTTGAGGTCAGGAATTCAAAACCAGCTTGGCCAACATGGCGAAACACTGTCTCTACTAAAAATAGAAAAAAAAAAAATCGCTAGGCGTGGTGGTGGCACACATCTGTAATTCCAGCTACTAGGGAGACTGAGGCATGAGAATCTCTTGAACCCAGGAGGCAGAGGTTGCAGTGAGCCGAGATCGCACCACTGCACTCCAGCCTGGGTGACAGACTCAGACTCTATCTCAAAAAAGAAAAAATGTTGAATTAATACATGTATGTGAATACACTATATGTATGTGTACATGTGCATCTATCTATATAGCTGTATCTCCATCTGTATGTTCATTGATCTATGTGTCTGTATATCTACAGATAGACTGCCCCACCTGACCCAACAACCAGTCCAATAAATGAGCCCTTATTCTGCACTGCCAACCAGACTTCACAGCATTCCTAACATGTTTCACTGAGTCCTCACACAAAGCCAAGAAATAGGTATTATTCCTGAGGTCTCATAAAACCATCTGAGAAATGTGTAGCAGAGAATCAAAGCCATGTATGGCAAAAAATAAAAAATTAAAAAAAAAAGGCACTGGTGCAAAGATTTCCAGAAGTACTGGAGGAGCCATGGGCCACCTGAGAACTATGGACTTCACAAGATCAGATGCAAGGGAGAGAAATTACCTGGTGTAGGGGAGGATTAGACCTTGGCCACCTGGATTCAGTTTCCAGTTTGCCAGGGCCTCAGCAAATTCTTCCTTTTGTGCACCTGTTTCCTGGTAAACTTCCTGCAGAAGCAGAGAAGCTGGTAGGGCTTGGAGGAAACTGAAAAACAGGGACAATGAAAACAGTCCTTTGTATGACACATTTGGCCCTTGTCAAGAAATACAAACGGGGAACCTAGCTTAGGAAAAGCAAGACGTCTTCATTCATTTCCTCAAGGAAGTGGCCCTTGCCTATGACTGCTACGAGTCAGTTTCCAAAAAGCTCAATATTAAGCTCTGATTGCTCCCTAGCAGAAATGGCTGCTTTCATTTATTCTTGCCCATCTGGCACAAAAGCAATATGCAGAGCTCAAAAGAGGTACGCAGAGGTGGCCCGGTAAACACTGGCCTCCATTTCATTTCAGTGGGGGTGGGTCATGGTTCTGCGGGAACAAACGCTGAATCCTTGCTCCGGGTGCATGAAAGGCCGCATCCAATTTTGCCTCCCGTTGCTTTCCCAGTATCCAGCATGCCTGGCCCCACAATAGATGCTCAATAAACACTTGAGTGAATAAATTATTAACATATAATCATGAACGTTGTTACCAAATATTAAACACCTTTTATAGACCAAGCTCAGGGCAAATTGATTTACATATCATTGTTTCATTTACTCCTCCTGACATCTGAAGGAGGTAGAGGGACCATGGTAGATAAGGACGTTGAGAGGTCAGAGGAGTAAAGAGATTGGCACAGGATTGCACAGCCTGTCCTCAGCGCCAAAATTCATACAGAGACAGTCTGACTCCAAAGCCTGTTTTGAGGAAGGTTTTGTCATGTAATTTTGTAATGTATTATGTAGTTTTTATAAAATTGTAATTTATGTGATTTTTATCTATTTGTCATTTTAAATTTTTTAATTATGTGGTTGCAATTTTACATGATTATAACTTATTACAATTGAAATTTTATGTAATTGTGTAAATTTTAATGTAATTTGGAAGATGGCCCTTTTTAGGTAATGAAGTTGCATATGTATAAATTTCACAAAATATTTAAGTGAGAAATAACTCCAATCTTTTAGACTGTCTTTCAGAAAATGGAAGAAAGTATATTCTTCAACTCATTTTTGAGACTAGTGTAGACTTGAAACCTTAATTCGTAGTGGAAGGGAGATGACAGATGAATATCATGTATGACCGTAGATGCAAAAATTCTAAACAACAGAAAAAGTCAGTCTGAATCCAGGGATATGAAATAGAAGGATACTTCATTACTAAATTTAGTTTATCTCAAAGACACAAAGCTGACTTAATGTTAAAAAAATCAATCAATATAATTCATCACACTGAGAATATAAAGCAAAAACGTGATTGTTTCACAGATCCAAAAATCAAGTATAAGGTGTAACATTCATTTATTATTTAAAATAAATACTATCAACAAACTAGAAAAAGAAGGGGACTTATTAATGTGATATTGTTTACCTACAATAAATCTTCAGCAAACATCTAACTTAATAATGAAATATTAAATACTTTCCTCTGGAAATCATGATGAGGACAAAGATGCCCATAATAACCACTTCCCTTCAACATTTAGAGTAGAGGTTTCAGCCAATAGAGTAAGACAAGAAAAATATACTAAAATGCACAAAGATTTAAAAAGGAAAGAGCAAAAGTATTCTTATTTTGAAGATAATGATTGAATACATAGAAAACTGACAGAATAAGATATTAGAAACTGTGAGTTTTACAAGGCTACTCATTACACAACAATCGACTACATTTCTCTGTGTTAGTAACAAATGGCTAGAATATTAATTTAAAAGAAAAATATATCATTTACATTTGTGTTGAAAGGAATATCAAGTACCTAGGAATAAATCTAACAAAACATTTCGAGACCTCTATGCAGAAAACTGTAAATTTTTATTAAGGAAGACCTAAATAAATGAGAAGCAACACCATATTCATGCACTGAAGGGCTCAATGTCATAAAAATACCAATCCTACATGAACTTGGTGTATAGATTTACTGATCCCAACTGAAATCCCAACAAGCAGATTCTAAAATGTATATGGAAATGAAAAGACCAAAAGTGGTTAAGCTATTCCTGAAGAACAAAGAAGAGAGTGGATTTGCTCTGCCCAGTATCAACTTAAAATAACACTACATTAATTAAAGCAGCCTAGTGTTTGTACAAGGACAGATAATAGATTAATGGAATAGGATAGAGTGTTCTTAAAGAGATCCAGATATATATGGACACTTGATTTATGGCAAAGATAAAATTGAAGGAGGATAGAGAAAAAACTATTTTAAAAATGTATGTGGCTGGGACAATTGAGTATCCACAAGGAAAACATGAAATGAGGCCCCTACCTCAAACCATATACAAAATTCAATTCCAGGTGGAGTATATGTGAAAACCAAGTTGAAAAGACCAAGAAAAAAAAGCTTTTAGAAGGTTAAAGAAAACTGATAAATTCGAGTACATTAAATATAAGAATTTTGTTAATCGAAAGACAACATTAAGAGAGCGAGAAGGCAAGCCACAGAGTGGGAGAAAATATTAGGGGAACATAAAACTGACAGAGAGCTCAAACTACATAAAGAATGTCTATAAATCAGTAAGGAATAAACAAAACATAGAAAAATGGGCCCCCAAAACCCTGATATGCGTTTCAAAAAAGGGAATCCAAATAGCCAACAGACATATGAAGGATGCCCAACCCTGTTAGTAACCAAGGAAAGGTAACTAACATAGTGTTCCTATTAGCCCAGATCTGGAACAACTCCAATGTTCATGAACTGTAGAATGGATAAATAAATGGAGGCATAGTCATACAATACAATACCATACAAACAATAAAAATAAATAAACTTCCCAGGCACGGTGGCTCATGCCTGAGTAGCTGGGATTACAGGTGTGCACCACCACGCCTGGCTAATTTTGTATTTTTAGTAGAGAAGGGATTTCACCATGTTGGTCAGGCTGGTCTTGAACTCCTGACTTCAAGTGATCCACCCACCTCAGCCTCCCAAAGTGCTGGGATTACAGGCATGAGCCACTGTGCCTGGCCTATTTCCACCTTCTTAATGTAAGGATTTTTGAGATTCATGAGCAGCCCTCATCAAATACCTGTGGATTCTTTTAGCAGTGGGATTTATGTGTTGTAGAAAAAACAGTAATAGCTAATATCAAGCCCTCTTCTAAGTGCTTTAATTGTTTTAATTCATTTAATCCTCATAACCACCTTGCGAGTCAGTGATCTACCAAGGGCAGGTCACTGGGGCATTGTCTGTAGAAAAGTTAACAATAATAGTAATCCTGATAAAACTTTTCTGCTTTTTATTATCATGGTCCAGCAATTCTTAAAGAGATCAGGAATAAAATCCTCCTCTCTAGAAAAAAAATATTTTGTTGATCAAAGGTCTAAATAATTCATGATGATTACTGATAAGTTATAATCTTATATAAATAAATGTAAGTTTCAAAATAGCATCTTTTTATTACAGATCCTTTAATAAACATTGCATCCTATTCAGAAGTTAATTCAGAGAATTCTCAGTTCTACAGCCGGCACCTGACTCATGTGGACTCAGGCTGTTTCAAAAGTGGGTTTCTATGGCTGTGTTGTCTGAGCTGCCTTTCCTTCAGGTGCAATCACAAGACAAGCCCTGGGATGCTGCAGATTCACCATGAATGGTGGATTCCAAATAAAAAATGATAGCAGGATGCCTAGAGAGGTGAAGATGCAAACTTTGAGTTATTTCAGTTCTGTCTCCATGGGACCACGTGGAGTTTTTATTTGTGTTTAAAATTCCAAATGACAAAACAGAATGCAAACTATGAGATGACTAATTTAATATGAAACGGGCAAAATTGAGTTCGGATCTGAAAAAACGGTACCGCATTTGAATAGTATCTTTAAAATTAAAATGTAAACCAGACGTTCCCCTTCCCCCTCGTAGCGCTCTGGCTCTGCAGGAGCCTCTGCACGGAGCAGAGAGCCTGGACATTGCACTCCTGATGCCCCTGGACGCACACCCGCGGGCACTGTCCCAGACCTCATGGGGCACAGGCAGTACTTGCCTACCGGGCAGTGTTTTGTGCCAGTGAACTCAAGGGGAAGTAACTTAAATAAACACTGACCATGGCTAAAATGTCTCGGTGTGAGAACAGGAGGTCAGAGTCCAACAGGGCACATGGTGAAGTGCAGCCGGCCGGAAACCTGGGGCAGAGCCTGGGTCTATTTTCTGGCACTCAGCCCTGGAAAGACTCCATTAGACCAGAGTCCCTGAGGGACAAGCACCCTGTCCTTCTTACACATTATCCCCTGCCATTCGCACAGGTGTTTCCCCCCAGATCATCTCATTCCACAGGTTCCCCTCTATTGACCCCGCCACCTCCCACCCATCCAGCTCCCCAAGCTTGAAATGCTGGTCTTCAGCATCTCCACACTAAAACAGTCGCTCTCTCCTCAAAGTCGCTTGAGTCTCTTATTTCCTTCCTTTTTTTTCCCAGTGGGAATACCCAGGAAAGGCCTCCACTGCCTGCCATCTGGGCTCTCCAGCCCCTTTCTTGGGTTCCCAATGTCATCTCTGCCCTGAGCCTCTCCTGCATTTCACACTTCGTTTAGTCACACGTCTGCTTCAGGGGCTGACTTCCTGCCTGAATTAAGCCAAATCCAAAACTTTTCTGGATTCAGTCAACTCCTGCATACTCTCTCCATCATGTACCCTCAGTCCTAGCCAGCTCGCCAATGTCATTTCTTCCTCTTTTCCACCTGAGATCCTTCCTCCACATAGACTTTCACAATTCTCCACAAAACTGAGCCCATCAAAAGCAACAGATATTCTGGTGGGTCGGGCACCGTGGCTCATGCCTGTAATCCCGGCACTTTGTGAGGCTGAGGCAGGTGGATCACTTGATATCAGGAGTTCGAGACCAGCATGGCCAACATGGTGAAACCCCATCTTTACTAAAAATACAAAAATTAGCTGGGCATGTTGGCGTGCACCTGTAGTCCCAGCTATTCAGGAGGCTGAGGCAGGAGGATTGCTTGAACCCAGGAGGCTGAGGTTGCAGTGAGCTGAGATCGTGCCACTGTACTCCAGCCTGGGCAACAGAGTGAAACCCCGTCTCCAGAAAAAAAGAAAAGAAAAAAAAGCAACAGACATTCTGTAATCCTATTCTAACCATCCCACTGCCTGTTTGTATTTTTGGTTTTTGTGCTTGTCTTTAATGGCTGCCTTCACCCCACTCATCATCTCCACTGAAGCCACCACCTGTTTCTCTGTTTGGGGTTTAAAGGTGTCTGAGATCTTTCCCATCATGCAAATAAAGAGAGATTTCATGGCTTCTCCAAGCTATCACCGAACTTGGCTTTCAACTGCAAGTCTTCTGGATTCAAATCCAGTGTTCCTGCCCCTACACCAGGGATACTTAATAGCATACAAGGTAACTTTAGCTGGTACTCAGAAGAAATTTTAATCAGTTCTATATTGATTTTAATGTGTATTAAAAAAACTAAAAACCGTCACATCCTCAGCTCAAGTTGCCATCTCCCAAGTCTAGTAATAGCTCTTTTAATGCACCACCATTCTCAACAGAAAAACTGTCCACAGTCTTATTTACTGCCATTTCATAAGTGAGAAGTAGCAGAGAACAAGAGTCTGTTTAAGCTAGTGGTTCTGTCAACCTTGGCTGCCATGAGAATTATTTGGAGAAACATTTTTTTAAAACACCAGTGACTGGATCCCCGTCCCCTCCCTGCCGTGGTAAAATTGGTTGGGAGTAGAGTCTAGATGGTGTAATATACCCCAGGTGATTCAAATTGAAATCACGGTCGAGAGCCTCTGGTTTACATCAGTGACTGCACAGCTGGGCCTGATAATTGCATTTCTTTTTCTTGTTCCTTTTTTTTTTTTCTTAGAGATAATGTCTCACTCTGTCTCCCAGGCTAGAGTGTAATGGCACAATCATGGCTCACTCCAGCCTCGAACACCTGGGCTCAAAAAATCCTCCTGCCTCAGCCTCCCAAGTAGCTGGGACCACAGATGCAGGCCACCACACCAGCTAATTTTAAAAATTTTTGTAGAGATGGGGTCTTGTTATGTTGCCCAGGCTGGTCTCAAACTTCTGGCCTCAAGCTATCTTCCTACCTTGGCCTCCCAAACTGTTGGGATTACAGGCGTGAGCCACCACACCCAGCCATGAATCGCATTTCTAAAAGCTCCCGTGTGATGTTGATGCTTCCCCTTAGATTCAGGGAACACACTTTGATCACCACTGATGCAGATGAATCTGGGAGGACCACTGTGGGTTTTTTCCTTCCCAGCATACTTTTGTTCTCTAGTAATAGCTCCTGACAACATGCTTTGGAGAGCCATGCCTCCTCAACTCTTAGGTGTAGGTGATACCTCACCACTTCAGGAGCAGAAACCAGACTCAAGTCTGGCCAATCCACAGAATCTGTGTCTGCTCCAGTGAGTAATGGGTTCAGTGATGGGTGCATAATATAGTCCAGTGAGAGTCAGTGCTGAGACTTTTGCTGAAACCCTTGAGAAAAGGTGCTAAGTTGGCAAGACATAGGCCTGGAGCTGCTGGTGACTGTTTTACCTTTGCCTGAGAGGAACCTGCCTGAGGATGGAGCAGGCAGGTGAAAGCAAAAGAGACTGTGAGACGAAGTAGATGGCACCCTTTTATTCCCTGGATCCAGCCAAACCTGAATCCAGACATACATTTTTCAGTGGCATGAGCTAATAAGTTTCCTTTCTTGCTCAAGCCAGTTTGAGGTGGGTTTTTGTCAAGTGCAGTTCAGAAAGTGCTGATACATGAAACATCACAGTGCACCCGCCACCCCACAGAGGGGGATTCCAGCCTCTCTTCTGGAGGCTGCCTCCATCAGGCAACCATCTTCAAAAAGGCCCCAGGATGGAGCAACAGAACCCTTAGATGTCAGTCAGTGTCATCACCTCCCTGCTTATATGGGAAGACTGGGGGACAAAGAGGGGTAAGGAATTGCCCCAAGTTGTGCCTTCGACAGAGCCAGATAGGATATCAGCCCTTGGCTCTATCAGTAGGCACACCCACGCCAGGGGGCGGGTGAGAGCCAGCAGGGAGCGCCACCCTGGTCTCCTTCACAAGGACACCCACTGTAGGGAGGGGATCTCACTACTTCATGAAAAGTGGCTTTATTATTGCCCACTTCTCAATGTCTCCGTGTTTCTAATTGCAATCTAAAAAACACACCCTTTTTTTTTTTTTTGAGACAGGGTCTCACTCTGTCTCCCAGGCTGGAGTGCAGTGGCGCAATTCAGCTCACTGCAAGCTCCGCCTCCCAGGTTCAAGCGATTCTCCTGCCTCAGCCTCCTGAGTAGCTGGGATTACAGGCTCCCACAACCATGCCTATCTAATTTTTGTATTTTTAGTAGAGACGGGGTTTTGTCATGTTGGCCAGACTGGTCTTGAACTCCTGACCTCAGGTGATTCTTTTACCTCGGCCTCCCAAAGGCTGGAATTACAAACATGAGCCACCACCCCCAGCCAACACACCTCTTTTTAAAAAGCCATATCAAATCCATGATTCCTGGGATGCTATTGCTTAGAAAAGTATTTGTCGAACTGTAGCCTTCTAATTAGCAACATCAGAATCACCTGAAAAATTGATAAAATGCAAATTCTCAGCCCCTCCCCAGACCTACTGCACCCTGAGGGGGAGATCCAGCCATACGTCATTGAACAAGACCTCCAGGTGATTCTGATACATGTTCAACTTTGAAAGCCACTGGCTACGGCTAAGTAAATTTTTTAAATTGGTTTAAAATTGATTTAATGAAAATTACAAAGTAAATGTAAATGATTTGTGAATATAGCAAAAATGTAGGAAGCTGTACAGAAGTGATTAAATATGAAGAAGTGCCATCCTATAACATTGAAGCCTCTAGGAGTGCAATGGAAGGAAGGTCTATAACAGCCCAGGGAGATTAAACCCACCCGCAAACACTGAAAGAGTCCCCCTATGCTGGCAAGGGGGGCTTTATCACTTGTTTGTGTGTTGTTTTGCTGAGGGACAGAGAGTTTACCTGTTTGACCGTTTATCCCTCACTATTTGGAAAACTATAAAATAGAAGAGTCCTCTCTTTTAAGATGATCTACCCAGATGACTTGGGGACTTTCCCTTTGTTATAGATAAACAGGTTTTGGCCCTAAGGCTTTGAACATTTCCCGGTGAATAACAGTCACTGCCGGTTATACAAACCCAGCTCACCTTGAGCACATGAGACCCAGTGAAACCATCCCGTCACATGGGAAGGGTGGGCCTGAAAGAGCCTTCACAATCACAGAGCATCCATAACGACCTTGAACGCAGATTCTTAAGAAGGACCAGGGATGCACGTGGTTTCCTTGATAATGAGAGCGTGGATTTCAGGCGGGGCCCTCGGAATGCTTGAACCCAGCCCCACCAGGGGCTGCAGTCCCTCGTGAATCTGACGCATCTGCTCAGAACAGCCTTGAACCACATCCATGAAAATCATTGTCGCCACCGTTGGACCCACCTCCCCACTGAATAGGAGAGCAGAGTGCTTTGTTGAGACCCCTTTCCTAAAGGGTTCGTCTATTTCTTTAACCATGTTTATGTGGGATTCTCTGACATTCAAAAGATAGCAGACTCGCATTTAATGTCTTTATAGCGCAGCACTGTGTGTACCCTCGACTCCAAATGCAGAATGTAACTCATGAGCATAAAAGCTCTAAAGAAACCTTGGTCACTCATGAGGATGGCATAAAATCCAGAGGTGCTGTCTCAAGATGGGGTTCATCTGTCCCTGAAATGAAGACACAGTGGTGGTCTTTAATCAGAAGACAGCTCTGGGGATTAATTGGTGTGAGAATGATGAAAAACAGCATTGTTTCTTTGTAGTCTATTTCTTTTTGTCGTTATTTTTTATTTTTTTTAAATTGGGATAAAATACATATAACATAAAAGTGATCATCTGAACCATTCTTAACCATGCAGCCCAGGGCATTAACACACATTGTTGTGCAGTCATCACCACCATCCATCTCCACAACTCCTTTCATTTTGCAAAACTGAAACTCTATGAGTGAAACAACTCCCCGTTTCTCCCTCCCTCAGCCCTTGGCAACCACCGTTCTACCTTCTGTCTCTACGAATTTGACCCTAGTCTGTTTCTGAGTGAGACCTTTACCCGACTCGTTACTGGGTAAATCCTAATGAGAGTAAAATTGTCTCAGCCCCTCAGCGAGCAAGTTTCAGATTCAGGCATCTCTGGGATACCGGTATGACCATAAAGCAGAACTCACAGAATGTGGCCACAAGTGGGGGTTTTCTGCTCAGTATTTTGCTCTGGATTTGTTTATGTGAACATCCCTGGGGTAGCAGCAGGCACACTGGGTTTAGATTCAGAAGAATTGGGATTGAAAACCCAATGCTTCATTATCTTGGAGAAGCCACCTGCTCTCTCTAAATCTCTTAAGTTGGTTCTCATTTTAATTTTTCTTTTTTTTTAATTTTTTTTTTTTGAGACAGAGTCTTATTCTGTCGCCCTGGCTGGAGTGCAGTGGTGCGATCTCAGCTCACTGCAACCTCCGCCTCCCAGGTTCAAGCGATTCTCCTGCCTCAGCCTCCTGAGTAGCTGGGATTACAGGCATGTGCCACCACACCCTGCTAATTTTTGTATTTTCAGTAGAAATGGGGTTTCACCATGTTGGTCAGTCTTGGCTCAAACCCCTGGCCTCAAGCGATCTGCCCTCCTTGGCCTCCCAAAGCTCTGGGATTACAGGTGTGAGCCATCGCGACTCGTCTGGTTTTTATTTTTAAAAATCAGAGGATTTCGTGTAAAAATCTCAATTTCCAGAATCTCTTGAAAAAAATTAAAAATCAAAACAAGCACCCATTTTTTTTAATGTCCAAAAACTTCAAAAAGGCACTTTACCAAAGAAAGATATACAAGAAGCTAATATGCCCAAACAAAGATGCTCAACATCATTAGTCATCAGAGAAATGCAAATTAAAATCACGATGAGATACCACTTGGAATGACTTAATCAGTAAAGCTGACAATACCAAGTGCTGAAGAAGGCACAGAACAACTGGAACCTGCATCCATAAGCAGCCTGGTAGCTTCTTATAAAGTTAAACATGCACTTACTGTATGTCCTCCCCTACCCTAGAGAAATGAAAAATTATCTTCACACAAAAATACACACCTAAATGTCTATAGCAGGTTTATTCATAATTACCCCAAAATAACGCAAATCTTCTTCAACAGGTGAATGAAGAGAAGCACTGGTCCATTCATGTCCTGGAAAACCACTCAGTAATAAAAAGAACACATGACTGGTATGACCAACATGAGTGAATCTCAAATGCCTCATGCAGTGGAAAAGAAGCTAGACTCTAAAGACTGTCCACTGTCTGATTCCATTTCCATGACTTACTGGAAAAGGCTAAACTTCAGGTCAATGGCCACCAGGGGCTGGGGTGGGGAGGGTGTTGCTTAAAATGAGCATGAAGGAATTTTGTGGGGAGTGCCAGAACTGCTCTATATCTTGATTTTGGTGGTGGCTACACAACTATTGTATTTATTTGCTGAAAACTCACAGAACTGCACACTAAAAAGAGTGAATTGTCCTACCGATAAATCATACCTCAGTAAACTTGACCACCGCACCCCACCCTAAAAAAAATACCTAGCACCTCTGGGCCCACCTTCCTGCACAGCCACAGTTGGCGGTTAGGCAACGGGCACTCACCTCCTGGCTTAGCTTGGGTTCCCTCCGATGCGGTTCCTGTGCTCAGGACAGGCAGCTCCCCTGTGAGGGGGTGGCAGGAAGCAAAAGTGACGAAGAAGAGTAGATAAGGGCGCATTGATGATTTGGTTCATCTGAACAGCAGTCACCCTGAGGCACTTTGTAGAACCAGCCTCCACATCCTCCGGGTTCTTCATTCGCAGGTCAGGAGGCTACCACACTTACCCGGTCACTTTCCTCGTTGTTGGAGTCACTCTGCACACCATGAGCAGCCCCCACCGCTGTGCTGGGTAACAAAAGCTCCTGCAACTTGGGAGAAAGCTCTGTTTAAAAATGTGGGGCCATGCAGCAAGCTCTGCAAGGTCGGAGCTGAGTATGGCAGGTGTGGCCAAGAGCAGCGGCGCCACTGGGGGATGACAGAGGCTGCAAAGCATGCCCCCCGCCCACCTCCATGAGGAGCCCCACCTCAGCCCTGTGCCCGCTTGTGTCCTTGGGCCAGCCCAGGGAAGGGTATGAGCTCATCACTGCTGCTGGGTGTGATACAGCGACTGCTTATAAACAACAATCGGGGTGGATGAGGGGTGGAGAACACGAGGCTGAAAATGAGTAAACCTGGTTTCTATTTCTGGTTCTTCCAACAACCAGTTCTGAGACCTTGAGCAAATCATGCCCCTATAACGGGCCTCAGTTTTCTTCTGTGTAAAATGAAGAGAGATAGAATTAAGTAAGCTCTCCAGTCCCTCTGCCATCCCTTAAAAAGCTATCATTCCGTCACGCCTCCAAGGAGTGTCTCTCTCTGCAAAGTAGTCACTTTAGAAAGCCATGGTACATGGTACAGTTCACTGGAATTGTTCAAAACATGTCAAGGCTTAGAACACATGCTTTTGGTTATCTCCAAAGGTGAGGAGCTCCCAAATCTGGGGACGGATTATATTTTGGAATTTCGATGTTTATGAACCATATGGGGATCAACCTGGAAAAAGCTTGATCCAAAACCAGGTATAAAGCAGTGCTTCCAAAACGTGGTCTGAGGACAGCCTGTGTCAGGGGCACTCGGGTGCTTGTTACAAAGCAAATGTGCAACAGACCCAGATTGAGGGACCTTCTACAAAATAACTGACCAGTACTCTTCAAGATTGCCAAGGTCATGAAAGGCTAAGAAAGACGGAGGAACCATCACAGATGGGAGGACACTACAGAGACATGACTGTGAATGCAATGTGGGGTCCTGGCTTCCACCTGAGAACAGGAAAAGGACATAGCAGAAGAGCTGAGGGAATCCAGATAAAACCTGGAGTTCAGTCACTAGTATTGCATCCATGGTAAGTTCCTGGTTTTGACCATTGCACTATGATTGCATAAAACAATAACAGTGGGGTGAGCTGGGTGAGGAATAAACAGAACTCTCTGTACTGTTTTTGCAACCCCTCTGTAAGTCTAAAATTACTACAAGATACAAAGGATTTACAAAACAGAAATATATATTGCTGCAGCCACTGTTACAATTACTACTAAAAGATAACACTCGTTGAAGGTTTACAATCCACCAGGAGAAAGAGTAGATGTGGGTCACCTCCCTACCACCACCATCCTGTTGAATCCAATTTCCTGGACTTGGAACTCAGAACCTTCCTTTTCACACATTCTCCAGGGGATTCTAACACAAGCTAAAGTTTAGGAGCACAAGCAGTAAAATAGTAAAAACTTTGTGTGTGAGTGTGTGTGTCTGTGTGTGTGTGTGTGAGAGAGAGAGAGAGAGAGAGATCCGAAGATAAGACAGGGGAAATATTAACATCAGTCAGATTAAGCTGGCGGGTACATGGGTATCGATCATTTCTGTTTGGGTAAAATATGAAATCCTTTTTTAAATTAAAAAATTTAAATTAATAAATTTTCTGAACTGATTTGGCCTCTCAACTTTTCCAGCCTTCAGCTCATCATGTGCACTCAAGCTGCAGGCCTGAGAAACACGTCTGGGAGTCGTCATCACAGGGGAAAGGAAAGGGCATGAGGACAGTCTTGAGTGTTGCCCTGTATCCTGGCTCAAGACTCAGAAGGATCAGCAAAGAGAAGGAAGGCAGGAAGGAAGGAAGGAAGGAAGGAAGGAAGGAAGGAAGGGAGGGAGGGAGGGAGGGAGGGAGGAAGGAAGGAAACAGGGATAAGAAAACAAGGCTGAGGAAGTCAAACAGAACTGAGAAATATGATTTTCTTGTTGGGTTGAAAACACAGTGTTTTGTGTAGATATATGTATGGGTGTATGGGTCTACCCAAAGGTTCTGCTTCTTTGTGGATAGACAAACTTTTTGTGGCTTTATGTCCTGTGCCTAATGTCAAAAGCCATCCTAATTTGTTCCAACTCTGGGCCCCGAGGGCCAGGGGTGAGTGACACAGGAGGGGAGTTTTCACAATTTGTTTTGTTCTGAATTGGCAGTCAGTTCCAACGAGAGGCAGAAAGGAATAAGATGAAGACTCACAAAAACTCAAATGTCATCTTCTTTTACTCCCTCTGTCTCTTAAACTCAACTCTGTAATCATGGGGAGAGCCAAACATTGCACATTGCCATCCTTTCAGCAAGCTCGTTCACTCTGAAAATGTCAGCTCAAGGTCAAAATCACTTCTGAGTCCTCAAAGACTCAATCCCAAAAGGCCGGTCTTCTAAGAGCAGGAGATCCCGAGTAGAAAGAAAAGACCACCCAGCCTCCCCTCTAAGTGCACAGTCCAGCTCCTGGACCACCTGCCCTGGTGGCCCACCAAGTCCCCGGGCTGCCTGCACTGGATCAGTGCCAGGGCGTTGGAACAAGTCCTCCTTTGAACAAAAAGACGCCTAACAGTACCATTGAACAGACACACTGCTAGGATCCCTGCACCCACTTCCTGTGAAAATTACTAGGATGTTTACATCAAAATCACAACAGCATTTAACTGGAGAGAAGGGGCAGAAAAAACAAATACGATGGTTCAATTGTCTTTTATTCTGCATTTCTTGCATTTCAGAACCAGAGAAAGTGGAGAGGAAAAGAAGAAGCACTTCTATATGCAGCTTAAACTTTAAAGATCATATTATTCAAGACACAGCTTTATTGGGGGAAAAAATAGGGATAAAACAAAGCCAGATGAACTTAATGCGAATGGGATGCTTTTATGGAATCACCAACGTTTCCATTGTTCAGCCTGAATTGCCCATATTTTTGTATTCACTGCAGACAATGAGTTCTTGTGACATTCTGGCATATATTATACTGGGGGAAGAAAACCCAACCTGCTTTATTTGTTCCATTTTCTGCTTTTAGATGTAATGGAAATGTTAACATGCTTAACATCCGTGGCCTCTCTTCCAGCCTCGCTTCACTTTTCGTAGTTATCATGAGTCTTAGTGAGGGTACGCGGTGCTTCCAGACAAGAGGTGGTGCATGCTAATGTAAGCTCAAAGCCAGCCTGCTCTATATCCTTCACCGTGCAAACTCTCCCTCTCATTCTTTTAAAGACTTTCACGGCATATAGTCTCCATTATGATTAAAATGATCTCAACTGTCCTTCAGAAAAGAATGTAAGGCTTTTGACTACGTGAACCAGTTCAAGGAAAATCTCCCAGGAGTCCAGGACATGAAGATCACATTGTCGAACCTCTTTTATAAGCATTCAATTCCACCTGGTTTTATAGCTGCCTCACTCCCCTCTCTGGATGGGTTTCTCTTACATTAATTGATAACACTATGTCTAATTTGAAGTTCACGCCAAAGGTGGGAGTTATATAAATAAACGATTTCAGCTTCATGAGAGTAGGAGAAGGCAAAAGTGCTCTCATATTTTTAAATCCTCTACAGGACTAGAATGACCATTCCATCTCAGTTGCCTGCTTTTCCAAAAAGGTGTGCATAAATTTCTTTCTTTAAAAAAATGTGTGCGGACGGGCTTGGTGGCTCAAGCCTATAATCCCTCAGGTGGATCTCCTGAGGTCAGGAGTTCTAGATCAGCCTGACCAACGTGGTGAAACCCTGTCTCTACTAAAAATACAAAAATTAGCTGGGTGTGGTGGTGGGTGCCGGTAATCTCAGCTACTCGGGAGGCTGAGGCTGGAGAATTGCTTGACCCCAGGAGACAGAGGTTGCAGTGAGCCAAGATTGCACCACTGCACTCCAGCCCGAGTGACAGAGTGAGACTCCATTTCAAAAAAAAAAAAAAAAAAGTGAACTGTTCAAACTCTACACATTTTTTTTTTTTGGAGACAGGATTACCCAGGCTAGAATGCAGTGGTACAATCACAGCTCCTGGGCTCAAGCAATCCTCCCACCTCAGCCTCCTGAGTAGGTGGGACAGGTGCATGCCGCCATGCCCAGCCAATTTCTTGTATTTTTTTTTATAGAGATGAGGTCTCACTATGTTGCCCAGGCTAGTCTTGAACTCCTGAGCTCAAGCAATCCTTCCACCTCAGTCTCTCAAAGTGCTGGGATTACAGGTGTGAGCCACTGTGCCCAGCCCACATTTTTTTAAAAGGGGAATTTTCACCTGGTAATAGATATTTTCCTGTATGGTTACCCTTTGGGCCTGTCTTTACTATTTCCATACTGTCACAAATCCCACCACCAACTCCCTGCAAAAACAGGGAGAGAACCTATTATACGGAGAAAGATAGAGATTTGGCTGCCGAAAAGCTCCAAGTAAGTGGAAGGACACTTCCCAGCCCACCAAACCCTCCTCAGATGAATCAGGAGAGGCCTCCTGGTCTCCTTTGGGGACCTGAGAGGGATGGAGGGGGAGGACCGTGAGGAAGGCTCTGCAGCTCAGTTCCATGAGGTTTTCCCAGGTGGGTTCATCTTAGGCTGGGTCCCCAGCATAATGCTGGCACCTCCATGAACATAGAAGCCTCATAAGGCCCCAAAGGGGGCTGCAAGAGTAAACAGAATATGATTCAGCCTTAAAAAGGAAGGAAATTCTGACACATGCTACAACACGCATGAACCTTGAACACATTAGTGAAATAAGCCCATGACAAAAGGACAAATCCTGTAGGATCCCACTTATATGAGGTACCTAGAGTGGCCACATTCATAGAGACAGAGCCTCCATTCATATCATGGAGTTTGCCAGGGGCTGCATGGACCAGGGAATGGGGAGTGATTGTTTAATGCATACAGAGTTTCCATTCTGGAGGATGAAAGGTTCTGGAGATGGACGGTGGCGATGGTTGCACAATATGGATGTGCTTAGTGACACTGGACTGTACCCTTAGTAATGGTTAAGATGGGAAATTTTATATGTATTCTACCAAACACACAAAAAAAATTTTTCAAGCAACCAGGAGTAGCAGACAGCCACTAGACAGTGTTTTCACTGGTACTTCCCAAGGCATCTGAATTTCCAACCATGACCATTTGTTCCTGTGGGGTGGCCCATAGATCCAGCTTCAGAAGTCACCCACACCTTTATAGGAGCCAGAGCCTGGAAAATGCCACCTCTGTGGATGAGGCTGGATAGTGCTGTCTGCCCCACCACGGTCTCTCTCAGCCCTCGATGGCCCCTCCAAGACTCCAAGGGAGACCCTCCTTCCTAGATGTCACTTCAAGCTTCTCTCTAGACCTGCCAAAGCCCACAGCTTCCTTCTCATCCACTCATGAGAATCATGATCCAGCAAGTAGAAGAAAGAGACAGGACAATATTCTTTTTTGCTTGGTTTTGCTGTGGGCGCTTTATACAAAACACTAATTTAATATGATTATAATAGTAAAATACATTAAGCACATTTTTTAAAAATCCAGTTGCATTAACAACAAAATAAATGAAAATTAAAATAATAAACCAGGACAGCACAAAAATTTCAAATGATGCCCTGTGTTGTCAAAAGGGCAGAAAAACCAACACTTCTCATAAACTATGAAAGAGTAAGCTCTTCCTGGAAATCAATTTGGTTAATACACATAAAAAATCTTTAAAATTTGCACTTACTTTAACCCAATAACTTTATCTTTTAAATTATTTTATTTTATTTTACTCTAAGTTCTGGGATACATGTGCTGAACATGCAGGTTTGTTACATAGGTATACATGTGCCATGGTGGTTTGCTGCACCCATCAACCCATCATCTAGGTTTTAAGCCCTGCATGCATTACATATTTGTCCTAATGCTCTCCCTCCCCTTGCCCTCACCCCCTGACAGGCCCCGGTGTGTGATGTTCCCCTCCCTGTGTCCATGTGTTCTCATTGTTCAACTCTCACTTATGAGTGAGAACACGTGGTGTTTGGTTTTCTGTTCCTGTGTTAGTTTGCTGAGGATGATGGTTTCCAGCTTCATCCATGTCCCTGCAAAGGACATGAATTCATTTTTTTATGGCTGCATAGTATTCCATGTAAACCCAATAATTTTAAAGAAATAACTTATAGGGGCTCGGCGTGGTGGATCCTGCCTATAATCCCAGCACTTTAGGAGGCCAAGGCGGGTAAATGGCTTGAGCCCAGGAGTTTGAGACAAGCCTGGGCAACATGGCACAACCACATCTACAAAAAATGCAAAAATTAGCTTGGCATGGTTGCATGCCCCTACTGTAGTCCAGCTACTTGCGGGTGCTGAGAGAAGAGAATCACTTGAGCCCAGGAGGTTGAGGCTTCGGTGAGCTATGATTGTGCCACTGCACTCCAGCCTGGGTGACAGAATAAGACCCTGTCACAGAAAAAAAAAAAAAAAAGAAAGAAAGAAAAGAAAAAGAAAGAAAGAACTTGTAGGAATTTACAGTGAGAAAATTATCAATGGATTTATATCTCTGCCACCAAGCACAGTGCATGGCACACAGAGGTGCTCAGTAAATGTTTGCACAATGAATATTATTTACAAATAATATAAATTTTATATATGTAACTTACAACTTCTAATAGCTGTGTTAGAAGTTGAAAATGGTTTGCAAAGGAGGAACATCTACTATCTTTACTTAGCAAATATTATTTATCCAAAGAAAAGCAGCTGCATGATGCATCACAGTTTTGTTTTCTTGTGTTGTTTTTTGAGACAGGGTCTCTCAGTGTTGCCTGGGTTGGCCTCAAACTCCTGGACTCAAGCAATCCTCCAGCCTCAGTCTCCCACGTAGCTGAGTACATCACAGTTTTCAAAGCAGTTTCATATGCATCACTTCCTTGGCCCTCACAGCAACAATGAGGATATTACCAGCCCATTTTATAGATGAGGAAACTAAGGCCTCGGAGAGATTAAGTAAATTGTGAAAGACATTTGAAAATGAAGAGTCCTTGAAACAACGTGTTCTTTCAGTCCAAGCTCCCCAGCTTCCCGACAGCCCGGGTGGTAGGTTTTCTCCACCTCTTCCTTAAGTCAGTTCCAGCTCTCCAGATTAAACTAGCAAGCACCTAATTTCCATTCTGACTCCCAGCCATTGTCTCTTCTTTGCTTCTTGTGGAAATGATGTAGGAGTTGCTCCCTTGAGCACTCACTGTAGCTTTAGATGTGCTTCCTCTCTGCAGCATGAGCTACTCGGCCTTACTATTCCCCGTACTTAATTTGAGAATATTTGTTCAATTTGAGTGTGTTTTTGACCTGCCAGGTATCTGTGAAACAAAATAACTCCTACTGATAGCTTCTTATCAAGAGTAATTTAAAACATCCATCATCTACTGCTGAATGTCAAAATAAAGGTTGAGAGAAATTCCTGTTTCCCTAAATATGTTTTCTTTTCACTCTTGTCAGCATCATTGTCAATCCTGAAATTATAGTGTGCCATGGAAGACCTCAGAAATTGAGGCTTCAGAAACTGTTACAATGAGAACATACAAATCAGCCCGTGGTTCCCAAAGGCCCTGGACATAGTCGCCCCGGCAGAGGAGCCTGGGACCAACCTGTGCCAGGATCCGGAAACAAAATGAGCACCCTGGAGAGGCAACTGTCCCTCCTTGTAATCCTGGGTGGAAGTTTATAGTATTCAATTAGTTATTCCAGAGCCTTGTTGGTGTGCAGACTATTTTCTACCGCCCTCCTGACAATGATTAAGCAGAAGGAGGGAGAAAAGGACAAATCTATATTAATAGCCCCCTCTATTTAAACAACCCTGTGATTTTCATCATGTGGAGGCTGGAGATTGTGTTTTTTCAGTTCTTTCTGTCACCAACTCAGCTACTGGATGTACCTGGGTACACACCTGCCAACAGAGACCCAGCAAGAGATGGAGGCTGGAGGGAGAGGCATGAGCTTAAAGCACCAGCCATAACAGAGAACTTACAGAAAGATAATGTCATTCAGTGTTATCTGGTAGAAAACTCCAATGTTCCTAAGATCCAGCTAAGAAGTGCTCCCATTCTCCATTCCCAAGGTTCACCCCTGGAACAGTCTGGAATTGTCTTTAGAGGAAAAGAATTCAATCACTTCAGAAAATCAGCAAATATATATTAAGCACAAACAAAATTCAAGGTATGGTATACCTGCAAATAGATTGAGATATGAGAATTTTCCCATCTTTAAGGGATTTATCATTGTAAAGGAAGTTATTAGAAGTAGGACCTGGGACGTGGATGGTAGGCATAGGCTGGCTGTTCAGAGGCCTATGCACAAGCATTCCCTGCCACAAGGGTGGAGCTCCATTTCCAGCTTGTGACTGCTGGAGAGACAGTGGTGTGTGGAGTTGGGGGGCATTATATGGATGTGTGCCCCTTTAAGAAGGTTTTGATGGGCGGGGCGTGGTAGCTCACACTTGTAATCCCAGCACTTTGGGAGGCCAAGGAGGGTAGATCACTTGAGGTCAGGAGTTCAAGACCAGCCTGGCAGACATGGTGAAACCCCGTCTCTACTAAAAATAAAAAAACTAGCCGGGCATGGTGGCAGGCGCCTGTAATCCCAGCTACTCGGGAGGCTGAGGCAGGACAATTGCTTGAACCCAGCAGGTAGAGGTTGCAGTGAGCAGAGATCACACCACTGCACTCCAGCCTGGGTGACAAAGTGAGAATCTGTCTAAAAAAAAAAAAAAGAAGGTTTTAATGACTAACTTCAGTAGCCTTGTTACCTGCCTGAGCAAGCCCACTCCAAAAATACCCTCTTGTCCCCCAGCCACTTTGCAGCTAGCAGTGGTCATAGGGTAGGGTTCTGGTTTGGGCCAGCGAGATGTCTGCTGGGAGAGGCTTCCAGAAAAGCTTTGCATTCCAGATGAACACACAGACTCAGCTGGTACATTTGTTTGCCATTTAGTGTGCTCCACCCTTCTCCCCCTTCTCCCTACCTGGAAAAGAATTGTGAGGCCTCCAGGGACAGGGGACGGTAGCCATTTAGCCACCACAAGGCAACATGAATCATTCATATTCCAAAGCCCTAGGGATGTAGAATTGAAACAGAAGTGTCCTCTACCCAACCTCGACTACCTACTCAAGACTTCCTGTTATGCAGAAGGAAAAAAGTCCCTGTTAATATCTTCCGTAGCAGTCAGGTGTTTTGTGGTTTGCAGCCGACTTCACCACTAACAGAGATACCAACACGCTTAAGTTATGCGACCAATAGACACAGAAGATGAAAGTCGTTGCAAGAAATTTCCATTGTCTTGATCTTGAACTGACTTCATCAAGAATATTACCTATCTCTTCAGCTGTGAAACTTCTGACCAATGGAAGAGGATTTGCAGATTCTCAGGGCAAAACCAGATGAAATGGTTGGCAACTGTAAGGTTTTTATTTTATTGCAGGTGGCATTTAAGGCCCTCAGCTGAGTGGGTGCCTACGCGGCAACGTAGTTAAAACAAATGGCATAAAGCAGGTCTTCTGGTCACTGTGGAGTGGCTTACTAACTCAACTGCTCCAACCAACAGGCTGCATTTGGGCTTTTCTAAGACAGGAACCCTATCTTCTCCAGATATTATTTACTTTCCTTTACTTTCCTCCTTTTTTTTTTTTTTTTTTTTTTTTTGAGACGGAGTCTCACTCTGTCGCCAGGCTGGAGTGCAGTGGCGTGATCTCGGCTCACTGCACCCTCCACCTCCCGGGTTCAAGCGATTCTCCTGCCTCAGCCTCCATAGTAGCTGGGACTGTAGGTGTGTGCCACCACACCCAGCTAATTTTTGTATTTTTAGTAGAGACAGGGTTTCTCCATGTTGGCCAGGATGGTCTGGATCTCTTGACCTTATGATCCACCCACCTCGGCCTCCCAAAGTGCTTAGATTACAGGCGTGAGCCACTGCTCCCGGTCTTACTTTCTTCTTTCAAAGGGTCTCCTGATTCTGTTCTCACTGGGAAGCAAGGCTTCCAGAACTAAAGGCACAGAAGTAGACCATGGCTGGGAACCGTACTCTGGGATAAGACCTCTGAATGAATGCACTACTTTTTTTTTTTTTTTTTTTTTTTTGCCCTTGATCAAGTTTTTTTTCATTTTTAAATTTTTAACTGTGCTTAAAAAAAACATAAAAATTTACCATTTTAACCATTTTTAAGTGTACGGTTTGTAGGGTTAAGTATATCTACATTATTGTGCAGATCTCCAGAGGTCTTTCATCTTGCAAAGCTGAAACTTTGTGCCCCCTGAACAACAGCTCCCCATTCTCCCTCCCCAGCCCCTGGCAACCATCATTCTACCTTCTGTTTTTATGAATTCGTCATTCTAGGTAGCTCGTATAAGCAGAGTCATACAGTATTTGTCTTTTAGTAACTGATGTATTTCACTTAGCATAATGTCCTCAAGGTTCATCTATGTTGCAGCATGCGACAGAATTTCGTTTCTTCTTTAGGCTGAATCATATTTCATTGTACGTGTCTATATACCACACTTCTTTATCCATTCATCTGTTGGTAAACATTTGGGTTTGCTTCCTTGATCATGTTTTTATTTCTTTTATCTCCCAATCATCAATCCCTCCTGAAAATATCATTTAGAGTGCCTTCACTTGGATAAAAACTATTGGTTTCCATCTATTATTTCTACTTGAGCGTAATCATTCAAAAGGGAAAAGCCTAGGTGTTTGAATGTTCAGGATTATATTGTAGCCATCACAGGCCAAAAATAGGATGTATATAGAGGTAAGAATACCATGAATAGCAGCTATGAACATTCTAAAGAAATTATCCACAGACCACCAAAAAATTAATCCAACATTTCAAGATGGTATTTGAGACAATCCCTAGACTATTCTCTGCCCTGTTCTGTGAGGTTAAATGCATGCTTTACAATAAATGGAAGGTTTTTAAAAACATAGCTGTAATGTCCTGCAGCTCCCCCCATCAAAAAGTTAATTCTATTTCCCCATCCCTCAAGTCAGCTGGCTTTGAGCCACAGAACGTGACATGGTCCAGAGCTTAGGCTGCAAGGGAACTTACAACCTTCACCTTTGCCCCTTGGAACACCCTTTGATGATGTTGAAAGCTACTCTGTAAGGAAGTGGGTGAAATCTCCTGGAGGGCAAGGGCCACGTGGAGAGCCTACCCCAACTGACAGTTCCAAGTGCCAGCACTGAGTGAGGCCATGTAAACCTTCCAGTCCCACCCGCTTCAAGCTAAATACAACCGCAGAGGAAAGCCCTGGAGAAGCCAACAAAGGAAACACCCAGCCAATCCACACCACCACAAGAAGTAATAAACCTCTGCTGTTTTAAGTCACTATGTTTTGGGGGTGGATTCTTATGCAGCAACAGTTGACTGATACTCTGTGTAGGCACTAAGTTATCTCAGGGCCCATATTCCATTCTTAAGTTGTTTGTTTGTTTTGCTGAGTAAACAACAATTTAAAAAAAAAGGACAAATAGGAAAAAAAAACCTTTAATTCTACCAAGAACTATTAACTGATGTTAATGTTTTATTATTAATATCCTTTCTTCTGTACATAATTTATTTTTACTTTCATTGAGATATAAGCCACCCAAAAAAACTGTTTGTTTTTTTAGAAACTAACATGTGCTTGAGGCAATTTGTTCAATCAACTAATATTTACTGAGCATAATTTTAAAAAATCAGAATTAAGTTGTCCCAGTTACAAGCTTTGGAATCTGACAACCTGGATCCATTGAATCACTGCACTTACCGGAACCTGAACAACTTATCTGGCTGAGTCTCAGTTTCCTTATCTGTAAAAGGGGGGATAATATTACCTGACTTGCAGAATTGCAATGAAACGATAAATGTGATTGTGCAGGGAAGGCATGGAGCTGAGCCCCTGGAACAGAAAAGGCATGTGATAAAGAACATCTTCCACACCACGGAGAATACTCCAGGGGAGAAAGGCCAGCCCCAGCAATCATACAGAGCATCTCAGTCAGGCCACCCTGAGCTGAATTCTTAGAGTAACAGGGGATTTACTGCCTGCAGGCGTCTCTGGACAGCTATGTCTGCTCAGAAGTTTTTCCTAATACAAAGTTAAAATCTATTCTGCTCTAATTTTCAGTGATCTATCATCATTATTTCAACCCTCACATCTAAATAAAGCATGGAGATAATAAATTATCTCCCACATGGAAGCCTTTTCCAGCACTTTCCAATAGAACTTCCGGTGACGATGGAAATATTCCACATCTGTGCCTCCAGTATTAGGCACCTGCGGCAATTGATCATTGGGAATGTGACTACTACAACTAAGAAACTGAATTTTTATTTTATTGTATTTTAATTAGCTTTAAATAGTCCCATATGGCTAGTGGCTTTCAGATTGGTCATAAGTGTTGGACATAAAAAAAGCAACAAGAGTCCCCTCTCTTTTATTCACTAAATCAAACATCGTCCGTTCCTTTACATATCATCTATATGTGATCATCTGAGTCCTTCACATCCCAGTTCTGTCCTCAGGGATTCACTCTAATTTTCCACATCCCCATGAAAGGGTAACATCAGAACTGAACCCCTCTGCAGGTATCCCACGAAGGAATACCAAATTCTGATTAATAGAAACAGAGCAGCATCCCCGGGGCTAGCCTCGTATCCTTCATTTCTGTATTCCTAGCATCCACCCCAGGAGATAGCTCATTCATAATTGATGAGTGGATGAATACATTTTCTCAGCAGGGTGGAATACAGTGGAACTCTCACTTCCTTTGTTCCAGATATGAATTTCCATGACCGGAATCTAAGAACACATTCTCTCTTTTTTTAAGTTAATTTGGTGGGGGGAGACATCTTGACCTATATTGACCTTACTGTCAACTAAAGCCCCTCTTTTCCATGTCATCTCTCCTCCAACCTTGTGCTGTTGGGTATGGCTTTCCAAATGCAAGCCTTTACATTTAACTCTGTGATATGGTTTGGATATTTGTCCCTGCCAAAATCTCATGTTGAATTATAATCCCAGTACTGGAGGCAGGGCCTGGGAGGAGGTGATTGGACGATGGATTAGCACCATCCCCTTGTTGCTGTTCTCACGATAGTGAGTGAGTTCTCCCGAGATCTTGTTGTTCAGCAGTGTGTGGCACCTCCCTCCTACTCTCTCTCTTGCCCCTGCTCTCACCATGTGAAGTGCCTTATCCCCCTTTGCCTTCTGCCATGATTGTAAGCCTCCTGAGGCCTCCCTAGAAGCCAAGCAGATGCCATCACCATGCTTCCTGTAAAGCCTGCAGAACTGTGGGCCAATTAAACCTTTTATGTATACGTTACCCAGTCTATAATTGCTCATTATAAAATATATCAATGCAAGAACAGCCTAACACACTCTGAATATCTTTTTCTCTGATGTCCCACTTATGATGACCATGAGGACTCTGATTCACATGGCCACAAGTATCTATGGGCCTCCATGCCAACTGGAGATGGCTGCCCCTCTGGCTGGACAGCTCATGGCTTGACCATGGATAGCCATCTCTCTGGGAAGATTTGGAAAAAGCACTCACTCTGCTGGGGAACAGCCATGCAGGTTTGCTGAGCAAATCCCATGTCTGTGAGAATAAACAGTTATCCCTATTCTGAATGGACGCCCAGGTCCTAGACAGCTGGGCTTGGGAATAGGAGCAGGGGCTGAGTTCTGGCTCCCTCCCCACTGCCCTCCTGTTCCAATCCATCAGATAGTCCATCCAGTATAGATGGTCTCTGATATATGATCATTGGACTTAAGACTTTTCAACTTTACAATGGGTTTGCTGGGGGGTAGCCCCATGATAAGGGGGGAAGCATGTATACATTGCTTCCTAATTTAACTCTCTTATCTTCTATAATAGCACTATGCAAACTATCTGAGGGTAAGAACCAGGGTTTTCTAAATTTTTTATCATCCTCAGATTCACACTTTTGTAAAATACAACAAAAATAAATTATCAGAAAAATAAAATTTTAAAAATATAAGCCCAAACTTTATTTTTAGGTTAATCAGAGGGAACATACATTTCAGTAAATATAATCAAAACTAACATAATGAGGAAAAAAACAATTGTAAAAACTGGACATGCTCCTTTGAGAAGATGTGTATAGGCAATTATCGTATACAATTGCAATTACACTCTAAGCTTTTTGCTGCTCAGCAGTTACAATTGTGGGACAGTTAATCTGGGCAATACCTCCTTTAACAGTCCTCCCCTGGGAGGTGGATGTGTCCCCTCCCGTTGAATCTGGACAGGTTCTGTGACCACATTGACCAATGAAATGTGGGAGAAGTCATGCTTTACCACTTTCTGGAGCTGAACCTCAAGAGGCTGGGAATTTCTACTTCCTTTCTCTTGGAACCCTACAACATCAAGTAGAAAATCTAGTGACCTTGTTGGAGGGACCACAAAGAGAAACCCTGATTCTATCTGGGGTACAGCCCAGTCTTCCAGCCATCCCCTCCAAGGCTCCAGGCAGGTGAGCAAAAATGTCTTAGACCCTCCAGACCAGAGTAGCCACTGGCTGAATAATACCCAGGGATCCCAGCCAATGCCAGGTAAAGCAGAATTGCCTGTTGAGCCATGTCTGAAATCCTAACATAAAAAATCACTAGATATAATAAAATGGGCCAGGCATGGTGGCTCACGCCTGTAATCTCAGCACTTTGCGGGGCCAAGGTGGGAGGATCACTTGAGCCCAGGCATTCAAGACTAGCCTGGGCAACATAGCAAGACCCTGTCTCTACAAAAAATACAAAAATTAACCAGGCATGGTGGCATGTACTTGTAGTTCCAGTTACTCAGGAGGCTGAGGTCGGAGGATTGCTTGAGCCCAGGAGGTTGAGGCTGCAGTGAGCCATAAGCCATGATTGCACCACTGCACTCTAGCTAGGGTAACAGACTGAGACCCTGTATCAAAAAAAAAAAAGATAATAAAATGGTTCTTGTATTTAAGCCATTAAGTCTTGAGGGTAGTTTGTTCTATAGCAATGCATAACCAAAAAGAGAACTAAAGAAAAATATGTAAAGTTTTTAATACAGCAAACGAGCCTTCTTCTCGCTTGTTAACATATATAACCCAGATTGGATTGACAACAGTTCTGCTCACAGGGCATAATATACAGCTAAACCATTTCTAGTTTGGCTTGAATAACACTCACAGTAGAGAAACCTGTTGACAAAGGTACCTTTTTAGGAACTTCTTTAAACAATTTCAATAAATTTATAATATTCACTTTAAATTTTTATTCCAATTGAAGTAAGACTATTTTCAAAATTCATCTTCAACTCTTCATCAGAGGCCAGTTACAAAACTTTATCTTGTAAAGTTACAGGATATAGCAAAGATGATGAGACGCTTCTTCCATGATTAGATTACATAAGGCTGTGACTCCGTTTTGCTAGTAGACTCTTTTCCTTGTCAGTTCTGATGAAGCAAATTGCCATGTTGAGGAGGCCCACATGGTGAGAACTGTGAGTGGCCTCCAGCCAATAGCCAGCTAGGAGCTGGAGCCATCAATTCAACAATCCAGAAGGAACTGAATCCTACTGTGTGCCAGGATGTGGAAGCTCCCCTGGTAGAACCTTCAGATGAGACCCCAGCCCCGGTCTGCACTTTGATTCAGCTGTGTGAGAAACCCTAGAACAGATAATCCAGCTAGGCCATGCCTGAATCCCCAACCTTCAAAAACTGTGAACAGGCTGGGCATGGTGGCTCACGCCTGTAATTCCAGCACTTTGGGAGGCTGAGGAGTGAGGATTGCTTGAGACCAGAAGTTCAAGACCAGCCTGAGCAACAACGAAATACCCTCCCTATCTTTACAAAAAAAAATTAGCTGGATGTGGTGACACATGCCTGTACTACCAGCTACTTGGGAGGCTGAGGCAGGAGGATTGTTTGAGCCCAGGAGATTCAGACCAGCCTGGGCAACAAAGTGAAACCCTGTCTCCATAAAATACAATACAATACAATACAAAAGACAAAAAGCTGTGAGGAAATAAATGTGTGCTCTTTTAGGCTGCTAAGTTTACTATAATTGGTTATGAAGCAATGGATAACTAGTATAGATTCTGGTACCTGAAAGTGGGGTGCTTCCATAACAAATTAAAATGTAAGAGTGGCTCTGGAACTAGGCAGTGAACAGCAGCGGGAAGGATTTTGAGTGGCATCATAGAAAAAGTCTAAAGACTGGTGAGTAGAAATCTGGACTTTGAGGGTGCCGCCAGTGAGGGCTCAAAAGGAAGTAAGGAGCATGTTCTTAGAAGCTAGAGGAAAGGGATCCTTGTTATGTAGTGGCAGAAAGCTTAGCAAAGTTGTCATCTGCAGTTACATAGAAAGCATAATATGCTTCTGATGAACCTGTTTGTCTAAAGAGATTTCCAAGAAAAGAGCTGAAGATATCATTTGGTCTCTTCTTGCAATTTATAGTAAAATGTAAGAAGAGAGATAAACTGAGAGAAGGATGACAGCAAAACACACCTAACTTTTATCTCCCACTGGCCCTGTTCACTTTACTCAGTGCGGGGGAATCCTTCCTTGCCACAGATGGAAACTCCACCAGAGCCTCTGATTTTTCAGCTCATTCCTGGGAAGCAGAAGTCTTACAAACACTTTAAGCCAAAGTCTCAGTGTCATAAATCAGGGTGTCCAGTTAGTTATCAAAAGCTTCCCTCAGTCAAGAGTTAGACTTCTCCCCACCTTTCTCATATTCGTCTTCATATCCCCTTCAGGCACAAGTGTGGGTAGCCTCTGCTCTCCACCTGTCTATGCCCACCTCCTCCTCCATTTCCTGGTCATTGTTTTGGGCCAAGCTTCCTCCCCAGAACCCACCTGGGTGAATATGACTGGCATGTGGGGAAGAGGCCAGGCACTCAGCAATCCTTACTCAGCTAGGAGTTGCTCCCCTCTGTCTGGCAGGTATGCACTGGACATTTTCTCTTGGACACTGCCTTGAGTCCTGTGGAGATTCCCGCAGCCACTCTCTCCTGCACATCCCTCGGCTAAGGCAAGCATAACTCTATGCTAGGCAGACACTTGAATTGTCCCCGCAGGACCCTGGGATCCAGAGGCAAAGTTCGGTGGATTTTGCATACAGCTAATGAAGCTTAGGCCTGAAGGGCCCCCCGCATATCGAGCATTACAATTTATTAAGTGACTTTGAGCAACTCTTGAGATTCCAGTATAATTTTTCTTCATTGCTTTATTAATAGATTGAACTACATGAGTGGGTTTTGCACAACTCTCCATAACAATGTGTTTTTAAATTAAACCACTGATAGTTTATCTACATCACTGATTATTTCAAAGAACCAGTGCTTGGGTTTTTTCTTTAGCATGATTGTTTTTCTGTTTACAAATACACTTATTTCTGATTTTTTATCTACTTTAATCCCACCCTTCTGCTTTATTTAGATGTTTTGTTGATCGTTTTCTTAACTTCTTGAATAGAATACCCTTTATTTTCATTATTTCTTGTTTAATAATGAAACTGTTTACTTTCTTTCTGAAATTTATGGAAGTTTTGTTGTAGCTTAAAATGTGGTCCCTTTTTTGTGACTCTGACATGGGTGTCTGAATAAAAGTGTAGAGATTTCAACATAGATGCATGATGTGGCTGGTCTGTCATATGTAAAATTGATCTGTCTTATTACTTATCAATATTTTTACTTTTTATTTTGAAGAAATTCAAAACTACAGGAAAATTATAAGAATAATGTCAATGAACCGCCATATATGCTTCACCAGCTACTCACACTTTGCCATTTGTATGTGTGTACAGGTGTGTATGTGTATACATGTATGTGCGCATGTATGTATGTGAATGTGTATGTATGGATATGTGTATTGTGTACATGTGTATATGCAGATGAGTATATGTGGATGTATATGGATGTGAATGTATGGGTGTGTATATGTACACATGTGGATGCCTGCATACATATATGTATGTGAATGCATGTATGTGGATGTGTGTGGATGGATGTGTGTATGTATGTATGTGAATATGTGGATGTGTACACGTGTGGATGTGGATATGTGCTGTGTGCACGTATGTGTATATGTATGTGAATGTGTGTATGCATATATGTAGATGTATGTGAATGTGTATATGTGTATATGTGGATGTGTGTATATGTAGAGGTGTATATGTGGAGGTGTGTGTGTGTGTGGATGTGAATATGTGTATGTGGATGTGCACGTGTGTGGATGTCTATGTGTGGATATGTGGATTGTGTGTATATATATGTATGTGAATGTGTGTATGTGTATATGTAGATGTGTGTGGATGTGTATATGTCTGTGTGTGTGTGTGAACCATTTGAGAGTAAGTTGCAGATATAATGACCCTTCACCCCCAGATTCTCTACCATGTGTCTCCTAAGAACAAGAACCATCTCTGTAAACCAAAGAGCAAATATTTAATTCAGGAAATTGAATACTGATACAATGCCATTATATAATATCAAATATATTTAATATTATCTTTATTCACATTTCACCAGTTTTCCCAATATTCTCCTCCAAAGCAATATTTTTTCAATCCATATTCCAATCCAGGATACTTATTTTTTTGTTCCCCTTAACCTGTATGATTGAGAGAGATTTGGCAGACTTGTGTTGTGCACATTTCTCTTCGTGTTTTTTGCTTGCTGTCTGTACTTTGATGCTACATCCATGTATATGCACTGGGGCACTGTGTTTGGTAAGGAGATGTCATCCATTCAAGGATGCGTCCTTCCACTATAAGGACTTTGCTGGAGATGAGGACAGTTCTTCAGCTCACCCCTCCTAGATTTTCATGCTGAGTAGACGGGCTTGGAGAGCTTGCGCTGAAGCAGCTGAGAACCACCACATTTTCCCTAGAGGACGCCATTTAAGATCAAGAGGATCCCTGCATCTAAAACTCAGTTTCTGGGGCAAAAAGGACTTCTGAAGATAAACTCTTATTGAGATATTTCCTGCTCAGTAAGGAAAAAAAAAGGCTGAGTGCCGTGGCTCATGCCTGTAATTCTAGACTTTGGGAGGTTGAGGTGGGAGGATCACTTGAGGCCAGGAGTTTGAGAACAGCCTGAGCAACATAGCAAGACCCCATCTCTTAAGAAAAAAAAAAAAGAATAAAATGGGTAATTAAAAAAGGATAAAAAAGAAAATTAAGCCAGTCGCGGTGGCTCACGCCTGTAATCCCGGCACTTTGGGAAGCTGAGGCGGGCAGATCACGAGGTCAGGAGATCGAGACCATCCCGGCTAACACGGTGAAACCCCGTCTCTACTAAAAATACAAAAAATTAGCCGGGCGTGGTGACGGGTGCCTGTAGTCCCAGCTACTCCGGAGGCTGAGGCAGAAGAATGGCGTGAACCTGGGAGGCGGAGCTTGCAGTGAGCCGAGATTGCGCCACTGCACTCCAGCCTGGGCGACAGAGCAAGACTCTGTTTCAAAAAAAAAAGAAAAGAAAATTAAAATAGGATAAACCAAACAGAAACAAATGAATCTAATATTACTTCAGATGAGTAACATATCCATACTGGAGAAAAGAAAAAAATGTTTAATTAATTAAAAAAACCTATTCCAAGTAATTTTGAATGCAGTACTCTATTTCTCCTCAGTTTAAAACCAAAAAGAACTAAATAGATATTGAACTTCAATTAGAATGTTTGTTTATCTCAACGGTATGTGTTTGCAACACTGAAGCTTTTTCTATATTATGTGGGATTGAGCAAATGAATAAATAATCAGAGCCAGGTTTCCCACCATTAAAAAAGGGAATTAGAAATAGTGAATTTGGCCAGGCATGGTGGTGTGTACCTGTGGTCCCAGCTACTCAGGAGGCTGGGGTGGGAGGTCACTTAAGCTCAGGAGGTCCAGGTTGCTGTGAGCTATGATTGCACCAGTGTACTCCAGCCTGGGTGACAGAGTAAGACCCTTCCTCAAACAAAATAAGAGAGAGAGAGAGAGAGAGAGAGAAAGAAAGAAAGAAAGAAAGAAAGAAAGAAAGAGAGAAAAGAAAAAGAAAGAGAGATAGAGAAAGGAAGAAAAGAAAGAAAGAAAGAGAGAGAGAAAGAAAGAAAGAGAAGAAAGAAAGAGAAAGAGGAGGGGAGGGGAAGGGAGGGGAGGGGAGGGGAGGGGAGGGGAGGGGAGAGGACAGGAGAGGAGAGGAGAGGAGAGGAGATCCATGGAAAGTACCAGATAAGTCTAGAGAAAGGAAAGGATCCATGGAAAGTACCAGATAAGCCTAGAATACATTGTTGTGCCAGAACACATAAAGAAGTGCTCAAAAAATAATGAGATGGGCCAGAAGGACACTGGGGCTGGCTTAATGGAGCACCCTCTGGAAAAACCCAGGACCACCTGAGCATCAAAATGATAAGATGGTAGTAGGTCATAATCCTTGTAATAAAATAAGAATCAATAGACCATACCAGTATTAATTAGTTATTTATCTCTTGAGAAAAGGTAAAGTCAATTAAATAATTTAAAACTGCTAAAGTTACAAAAGTCACTAAGAAAGGCCTTTTAGTTAGCTGACCTAAGTTCTAAGAACTGAGAAGGCAAAGTTGGATTCTTATATGGAGAAATCCTCCTGAGGGCAAGACTATGGTGTCTAGAAAGAAGGCTATGGCCATGGAGCCTCAGGCTCACCCCTAGAGCTGGCTACCACATTCTCTGTAGGATAGGTGCTAGGGAAGGGTTCACTTCCCCAGGTATGATAGCTGGAGAAAATCCAGAACATGCTGGAAGTACCCTGCCTGTGTTTGCTGTCACATTTATTTTCTATTGCTGTGTGATAAATTACCACTAAGTTAGGAACTTAACCAAGGCAAACTTAGCCTCGGTACAGGTTAATGGGAGTGCTCTGCTCAGGGACTTCACGATGTCGGTTGGGGCTGTTACCTCGTATGAGGCTCAGTGTTCTCACCCAAGCTCACGAGTTGTTGATGGAATCCATTTCCCTGTGGTTGTAGGACACAGGTCTCTGGCCAGGGACTCATCTCACCTTCAAAGCGGTGCTCTGGTTCCCGGCCATTAGGCCCTTAGGTAATTCCCAAAGTGGCTGTTTGCTTCCTTCCTGGCAAGCACCAGGTCACCCTGGATGTTTTACCCTCTTCAAAATGGCTCCCATGACCAGGTCAGACCCACCTAGATAATATCCCCTGTGATTAACTCAAAGTTAACTGGTAAGTAACCCAGTCACAAAAGTGATATCCTGTCATATTTGCAGAAGGGAAGGGTTCATAGCGGTGTGTACACAAGAGGGCTGGAACCTCAGGGGCCCCCTTAGAATTCCATCTCCCATGACTGCTGGTAACAGGAGAAATTCAGCCAGGAATTCAGTCTCACTGTGGATAATAAATCACTTTGTAGATAATGAGAGGGGCTTATACCCTAAAACTTAGGTATTTTGCTTAAAAATTTAGGAGAAAAAAAAGCTGCAACAGTACTTGTGATAATTCATTCTAAGAATATAATTGAAAAACTATACTCTAAGATATGTACAAAATAATGCCTGCAACATTGATTATAAAAGTGAAAAATTTGAAACCAACTAAATACCTGTCGGTAGACTAGTGAAATAAATTATGGAGCATCTTTTTAAATGTTAGATCTATATTTACTGACATGGAAAGGTGTCCTAGAGATCCAGTCAAATGAAAAAGCAGCTTATGGAGCAGTGGATTCCAAATAACCTCAATTGTTTTATTTATACATATTTGCTTATACCTATGCATTTAGAAATCAAGAAATACACATATCAAACTGTTAACAGTTGTAATCTCGGTGGGGTGGGATTACAGAGATACCTTCACCTTTCACTTTATACTTCTGTACTACTCAAATTACTTTTAACAAGAATTTAATTTTCTTATAATTAGCAGCAAAAAGTTAAGTTACTTCCACTTTGACAAAATAGAGTAAGGAATCTTAGAGGAGGATATTATTTTCTCTTTTGGTCACTAAAATTACAATCCAGCCTTTTTTCTCTCCATCTTCAACTTTTCATACCATCCTGTCAAACAATACTAAATTGAGTGTTTTTTAAGAACAGAAAATTTGAGTTCCTTGCTTATGAATGACAAATATATAAAATGCATACAACTATAGGACATGTGGAGTAATTGGAACACAAAGTAAAAGGCCGTACTATATATTTCTAGAGCAATATGGTGATAATCGCAAACTCAAACAAAATCATTCATGTACTACAAATGTATTACTTGCTTATCAGCTTCGGATTCATTTACTTTTGAAATTTGCTTATTCCTTCTGTTAAAACATTGCTAAAACCATCAGCCAGTTCATCTTTAAGAAAATGCGCACTGGCTCTCGTGTCATATTGATTTCTCAATGTGTCATTACGGTTAAGTTATTCTACACCAAACAATGCTAATACTCTGAAATAATAATAGATTTCAGCCTTGCTCCAGTATTAGCTTCCAACATGTGGCTGTTTTGCATGTTAAGAATTAATACAACCTGCCAGGAGCCTCTCGTCAGTTTGCTTCCCAAGTTCTCACACACAGGCTGTGTGCTTTCCCATCAGACATATTTTATCCAAATAATTTTACAAAACAGTCATATTTTGGAAATGTCAAAATTTAAAATATATGCTCTATATGTGCACAGATGGCAACTCTGGCTGCTGTAAGCAACAGAAACTCAAGACCCAGACAAGCAGAAGTTCTTTTCCAGGAAGCTGCTAACGGAAAGCTCAAGCAATATGACACTGCAGACAATGCCTGGAAATAATTCATTAAGGGTCTTTATATAATCTAAATCACTTCTCCTGGAAAATCTCAGCTGTCCTC
Organism: Homo sapiens; assembly: GCF_000001405.40. Taxonomy (NCBI): domain Eukaryota; kingdom Metazoa; phylum Chordata; class Mammalia; order Primates; family Hominidae; genus Homo; species Homo sapiens. Next base: position 21,534,898 of record NC_000020.11, on the reverse strand, counting down.
ACTTCCCCTGTGTGGAGAAGCTATACTTAACTCCACCGAGATGGTGGAATCCTTTCTTGGGAGACACAATCCCCTGTTTAACTGCAATAGTCTACATATTGTCCTTGACAGTTCAGCTTGCCATTCAGCCAGACTGTAAAATAACAATAGCACCGGGGTGCCATCTGTTCCACCCAGGTGTGTGTGTTCTGTGACTCTGCTCAGCCTGCTGAGTGTGATGGGGGTGGGGAGGTTGGTCACTCAGCTTCTGTTTGGTTTTCATCATCTAAAGTGCCTTCTGAGTGGCTTGAGAGCATGGTTTTGTGCCTGGTACTCTTGTGTCATTATGTTCCATCTTAGAACCTGATGAGTCACCTGTATGTGTTTGTGCCTGGAACAAACACAGTGTTTTCACCTGAAATAACATAGGCCCGGTGAGTTTAGATTTGGCAAGGGCTGTCTCTGTTCTTGGTGAAAGGACTTCCATGCCCAAGAAGTAAGAGGTTCATCCAAAGCACAACTTCCCTGCAGGTTTTGGCGCTCTTCGTAGGAGCCATGCTGTAGTAACAAGCAGGAATGAGCGTGTCTTAGTCCCTTTTGTGCTGCTAGAACAGAATACCACAGACTGGATAATTTACAAAGAAGAGAAAATCATTTTCTCACAGTTCTGGAGGCTGGAAAATCTAAGATCTAGGTGCTGGTATCCAGCGAGAACCTTCTTGCTGTGTCATAATATGGAGGAAGGCTAGAGGGTGAGAAGAGAGACAGCCTACTCTCCAAAGCCTCTTTGTAAAGGCAGTAAGCCCACCCAAGAGAGTGGAGCCCTCATGGCCTAATCATGTTTTAAAACCCCACTTCCTTATACCGTTACATTGACAATTAAATTTCAACATGAGTTTTAGAGGGGCGAGCATTCAAACCATGACAGAGAGTAAACATCTGCCTAACTTCAGAAACCATTTGAAAGCCAACACTTCTCCAAGGTTCTCAGGCTGGCTGGTCTTCTCCCGGTTTTCTTTAAAGTAACCTATCTGGGCCAGCTGATGAACTGAAGTGGGATAGGATGAATTTCATAAAACATGCACAGATCCTCATTTTAAAATAACAAAGATAGGCCCTTCAATGATTACATAGACTATTAAAGAAAGAGAGTCTGGTCGTCCCCGCCTAACAGTCCAGATGGAAAAGACGATGAAATCAGAGTTCAAAGTATATGAAAAGAAATGTTTTGGTTTATTTGAGTAGTACAGCCTGAAGCAACCAGCAGCAGGTTTGAAATTTCCTTGGCCACTCATGTTTTATCATAAAAATTGACGTAAATTCTGTGTTCTCCTCCGCAATATATCTATATTGTTCATGTCAAAAAATAGCATTACCAACATTTCAACACAAGGGGAAAGAGGGGCCATCTCTTACCTGTTTTGCTGCATGACTTGCAAGATGCTGTACTTATACCCTTCTTTGGATTCTGGAAAACAGGCCCCTGTTGAAGAGAACTGCCACTGCACCTCAGAGTTGGCAATGAGCAACTTCTTCTCTCTGTTTTGGCATTGCCACGTTTTGAGAATCCAAACTTACTCACAAATCATGCATTAAAATATCCCTCAAGGAAAATGCACACGTACACACACACACACACACACACACACACACACACACACACACTGCACTGCACATGCCACATAAAGTATTGAAAAGCGTGGCAAGAAATAACACCAAAGAGCAGCAATTGAATGAAGGACAAGTGAACACAAAGCAAACAGACCATATTGATCTCAGATCATACCTAATTATGGAATTACCATTGTCTTGTCCCCTGGTGTTGTCGCTCACTTTCTCTCCTGGCATTCTTTTTCGGGTGCCTTCTATTCAGCCTGCTTATTTCCTCAATATCATTTTCCAAACTCACCGCTTTCAAATAAACACCCTCTCCCTTAGGTTCTTCTCTGTTTCCCATAGCACACATAAAGCCCAGTGCCACCGTCTCAGGTCCACTTTATGTGCTCCAGCCCTGCTCTTGTCCATTCCCAGTGCCGCTTGCATGCCTTCCCCATGGTCCAGAGGATCCCCACCACTGGAAAATCCTGTTGTCACCTCAGTTTAAGCCTGGTGGGATCCTTGCCCACCACGACCCACCTTGAGATCCTGTTCTTTTCAGGACAACTCAAAGAAATGACTTTGCAAGGGCAGTGAAAGTTACTAGCATAAAAATATGATACGACTGGTTGTTGTAGGACAAGTGCCAAGAAGTATAGAAAGTAGACAGCAACTACCTTCCTCTTCTGCAAGTAAGGAGACTGATTGGCATGGTTATGGGAAGTAGAGAAGGGAGTTATATTTTGGAATGCTATGAAGAGATATTTGAAACTCTTGCAGATTTAATTATTCATCTCTTTTAAGATCCACTTTCTCCAGGAACTACGTTATGGACCAGCAGGTAGACACATAGACTAATGCCTTAGGTTGGCACTATGTAGAAAAGTGTTAAATTCAGCCTCTTAATCCAGAAATTCTTCTAGGAAACTAAATAAATACTCTCTTATGGGTTCAAAGGTTAGTACATTCGAGGATTGTTTTGGTGCAGTATTAATTGGAGTTAAACTTGGAAACAACTTAATGTCCATTAGGAGGTAAGTTAAAGAAATTGTGATGCATTGATACTGTGGAATATTATGCAGCCATTAAAAAGGATTAGAGACCTGCAGAGATCTTCAAAATACATTGATAAGTGAAAAAAAGGCAGACAGAGCAATGCATACTGTATGATAATATTATATGTATATGTTTGTGTGTGTACATGAATATATGTACATTGCATGTGTGTACACATAGACCCAGTGCTATCCACATAAGGTTCTATGCAAATTAGAATTCTCCTGCAAAGCACTTCATTTCTATTTGTTGTGAAAAAAAGTTATAATAAATAAACAAATCTTTAGAAACCTAAACAGAAAAAATGAACTTTCCTCCTAAGACCCTCTGGGAAGTTATATTCTAAATACCAGAGCTTTAATTAACTAGGAATTAACTAATCAGAACCCCAACCAATTTTTGACATGCTACCTGTTAGAGAAAGGTGAAAGTCCCTCATTAGAATAAACTTGCTCATACCAGGGATAAAGCATCTACTTCTCCCACCCCAAAAGGAAAAATCCAGGTCATTCTCTAGCATTAGGACCCAGTCTAATCACCCACACTCTTCTTGTCTTCAGAAATTGTGCAATAACTCCAGAAATCACAAGATCCTCTTAAAATGCTCAATTATCTTTAGAATACTTTAATCACATTGGAAGAATTGTGGACAGATACATTCTAGAAATACTTCCAACAGCAGATTAAAACAAAACAATTATATTAGCTCTAAATTAAATTTTAAGTGTTTTACACATAAAAATCCCACTCTTCAAGCTCTTATTGTAGTTTAAATTTTTACTCTTAAAATGATGTCAGCTAGAAGGGAATAAAATAAACATTTAACCCAAAATCTCACTAATGATTTGTAGTTTTGGTTAAAGAAAGAAAACTTTTTTTTTTTTACCTCAAAACATTTTAGGAAGTAGTTGATACTAATGAGCTTCATACCATCTTCCCTCAGGGAAAATAGCAAGTGTTTGTTTGTTTGTTTGTTTGTTTGTTTGTTTTTCAGACAGAGTCTCACTCAGTCACCCAGACTGGAAGGCGCTGGAGTGCAAGGGTGAAATCCCGCCTTACTGCAAACACCGCCTCCCATATTCAAGCGATTCTCCCACATCAGCCTCCCGAGTAGCTGGGATTACAGGCACCCACCATCATGCCCGGCTAATTTTTGTATTTTTGTAGAGATGGGGTTTCACCATGTTGGCCAGCCTGGTCTTGAACTCCTGACCTCAGGCGATCCACCCACCTTGGCCTCCCAAAGTGCTGAGATTACAGGTGTGAGCCGCCGCGCCTGGCTGCAGGTAGGTTTTAAAGACTCATAATTCAGAAACCATCACACAAGGTCTCCCACCCCACCTCTTCATCCCACATTTACATCATCTGAGATTCTTCAGACACTATTTTCCAATTCAGTATTAACCACAGGAGAGGAAAAGGCCTTGGGCACACTTTTGAACACTTATCAACCTTGGCTGTCGGAACAGTTTGTTACCTCCACCTCCGTATGGCCCCCACGTTTCCTTTCCTTCTGACCTCACCAGAGGCAGAGAGCAGGGGTCCCACTCTCTCCCTGCAGGTGGTCTTTCCTATCATATTCAAAAACCATTGGTAAGTTTTCCTTCTGCCTGAGGAAAGAAACACCCACTGTGTGAAAGGGAACATGGATAAATTTTTAAAGTTTTTGGAGCATCCTCAAAAGCACAAGATGGGAAGAGTAATCCACCACCACCCTCCATAAAACAAGAAAGAAGCATCTGCCGTGTCCTGCTCGAACGAACAGTACGGGATGTTCACCTGAACAGTCGGTCCCTGCAAATCCCGAGAGATGTCCTGCATATGCATCTTTTGGAGTCTATCAATATTGATGCTGTGTTTATGAACTGAGTCACCATCAACCAAGGTCTCTCTCGTCCCCTCCAGCCTGCCCTATGTAAACACTTCTGTGATTCGAAGTGTGCGGTTTCTGGAAAAACAATACATCTAATTTTCTCCTTGTTCACAGAAATCATCTGTTTCTGCCATAAGGGCCTGTGAGAGGTAGAAGATTGTCATCCTACCTTTTCCAAGTAAAAACCTTGGCCCTGCATACAAATGACCTTCCAGTTCTGCAGACGTGGACCAAGAGAAAAGGTGTGCTCAACATCTGGCCACAGACAACTCCACTGTTGTAACAATGAAGTGGTATTTCCCCCAGGATGGAAACACGTGCTCAGGAGAATAAACAAACCTCTGAATGCTATCTGTAACAGCTCCATCTGCTGGTTCCCAGATAATGTTACAGATCTGACAGGTGGTCATCGATCATATTGATCCAATAATAAACAGTGCGTTATAATAGAAGTTTTGTCGTTTTTCTTCTCAATTCATCCAGAACTGCTCCTGCCCCAGATACCAGCTAGCATACGCAAACAGCAACTGGGGAAGCTAAAATGGAGAACAAGGATAGCTTTGGAAGACAATCTAGCTCAATGGAGAACTCTCCAGAATAAAGAATATAATAAAGGAACAGTGGGGCCCTGTCTGTCCGTCTTTGAAGCATCAGACAATAGACCTTGCTGTCCTGTTCCTTGGGTTTTCCTCCCCTAAGGTGGAGGTAGTGATACTTGTAACTGGGGTCCAAGTGATGTTAAGAGGATTACAGTAATGAGGCCATGCTTGGTATGCTGTGAGCTCCTAAAAGTCTTGAGTCATATAAAGACAGAGGCCTTATAATTACATCTTTATATTCACTGGAAGTTATTATTAAGCCTAAAATCTCCCATTAATTCAGCGAGAATTAGATGTCTATCAGAGACGTACAGTTGGATATTGTAATATCCAAAGGAAGTATGTTTGGTGAAAAAAAAAGATGTGAAAGGGCCATAGTAGGCAGAGCTCAAATAGGCCAAGTTCATCATTGTTTCACTGGCAGGAAAAACAGATCCAGGAAACTTTCTTGTCTTTTTTATTTAATACATATATGCCCACTTTCCTAATGGGATTGCTATCCCAAATTATTTTCATCTGCTTAAAAGTCATATACCATCAAATCCCAGAGGCCCGCCACCGCACTGAACACCCAAACCCAAGGCGTTTGTACTCAGAGGCAGGCACTAGAATTGGACTAAATTTTGGCATCACGAGGGTACGATGGCTTGGAGCCTTTGGGCCTTCTGTGATCTTCATCATCCCCACCCTAAACTCATCCAAAGTGTCATGGGTTAAATTGTGCCCCCTCCTGTCCAGAAAGAGGTATGTTGGAGTCCTAATCTGCAGTACCTCAGAATATGACTTAATTTGAATATAGGGTCTTTACAAACATAATCAAGTTAAATTTAAGTCATTAGGGTGGTGCCTAATTCCAATATGACTGGCATCCTTGTAAAAAGAGAAACTTTAGAAGCATGGACAGATGGGTAGAGATACAGAGAGAAGATGGTCATCTACAAGGCAAGGAGAGAGGACCCAAACAGACCCTTCCTTCACTACCCTCAGAGGGAACCATGCTGCCAACCCCTTGACTTTGGACTTCTGGCCTCCAGAAATGGGAGATTATAAGATTCTGCTTTTTAAGCCACCCAGTTTGTGGTACTTGTTACTGCACCCCCAGCAAAAAAATACGTCCAGTAAACACACCGTTTACGTAAAAACAGTTCGCTTGTTAATGTATCAATTCAATCATTTTAGAACAAGTCTAGAGTCATTTCATTCCCTCTGTGGCAGGCAGAATGGCCATGCCATTTTCTCTGAAGTGAAATCCTTACAATATAAAAAGTTGATCTGCAAACAATTTTAAATGTTAAACCCAAGAAGATTTCTAAATTCTCAGATGAGCTCTAAATTGACAAGAGGAAAAAAAAAGGAAACTTTTCCTCATTGCCAAGTCCTTTATCAAGTTCACTTCCATGGTGCTTCCCATTGAAATTGAAAACTGTCAAAGAATCGCTGAGATTTATGATGAGTTGTTTCTATCCACAACAGAACATCAACACCAGTTAAAATTTGACAACCATAATCTAGATGACAATTTTGTGATTGGGTCTAAATGTAATTTTTTCTTCCCCTGCTGCTGTAATTGACCAGGCCTTATCTTTTACTTTATTGAGATATCAGCCATGATACCTTTTTTCCCAAAAGATCACCCAAAGCGTGTAAACTCACCAGGGTCAGGTAAATATTAACTTCTCAAAGAAAACCCTAGAGGGCTCAAAAGCAAACCTTGTAATTCAGCCGATGCATTGTGCATCACCTATGGAAAGCTGTTCAGGATGGGAAAAGTATAACTAAGTATAATTTCCTGCCTTCGCTCTCCCACTCCTAACATGTTAGACATGTCAGAGAGTCGGCGACCATGAATCCAGAATAATTCCATGAAATGCCAATCCACTCTCTCTGCACATCTTTTTCTAAGTGTTTTACTTCCAATATTTACATTTGCATGATGCCTTCGAGGAAAAACCTAGGCTCATTATTTATTCTCCATGTTGTACCTGCCAGAGCAATATGCCCTGCCTTGACATTCCCTTTCTCAGTGGGGTACTCATAACCCCCAAAGGGAGGAAGGACAAAGAAAAAGGAGGGGGCACTGACTGTGATCCATGCAGTGCAAGAGAGAAGGAGCTAACCTATGGTGAACCCACTGTGATGAGACAACTGCCCCACCCTCTAGACTGCCTTGAGCCTGGAGCCCTTCTAACCACAGGACTCAGTGCAATTCAGTCCTGTTCCAATCTAGGGGCTTTGCATCTGTAAGATAAATACATCACAAATACAAACCCTCCAACCAAAAACCAAAGGATCAGATTTACGTGTCAAATTTAATACTTCTCTAAACCAATATTACTGGAAAGTGACATGATTTTCCACTGCAAACCTCTAGTCTTCTGCTGCATCTTTTTACTGGAAAGCAATAACAGGATGCCTGAGTCAATCATTTATTTAGTCTTGAATGCCAGCAGCTGAGATAAATAGTGTCCCTCATTGCCACCAGTAGAATGGACTGAAGAGAAGGAAAACACTACAAGGGAAAACAAAATTAAAAGAAATGGAAATGGAGGAGAAAAACCAAGTACATGTAGAAAAAAACGGGAGAATTCAGACAATGAATGCTACAAGCCTCTAGGTGAAAAGTTGTTGGAGAATATGGGGATATTTACTCAGTGACAAAGAATATTGAAACAATGCCAAAGGTCACTTATCCCTCAGTGACTTCTCAATCACTTACTAATTCACATGAGATGATTTGGTGGTCACCACCTTAACCAAGTGATCAAACTTAGCCTGTCTAATAGAAGAACATGATTTGCCTCCTAATGAGATGCAATGTGACACACTACCTTGTGGCATTCTTCCCACAAATGTGTAGCATATGCCTCATCATGACTCCAGATCTGGCATCCAGTTTCCAGTTATGCAGGGGTAGAAGAACAAGGCAGATAACACCAGGAGAAAGCAATCTGGCAAATCCAGAATGTAGGGTGTTCTAAAAATGCCTTGGGTTCTAAAAAGTCAATGTCAGGGAGGGAGGAAGGAAAGGAGGGAGGGAGTAAGATAAGGAAGACTGTTGTAAATCAAAAGAGCATAAGGACATTAAAATATTTTGTAAACCAAATACAGTACATGAGCCTTGAATAAGTCCTGGATATGGAAAAAATAGACTGGCTATAAAAATACATTTTGTTTTTGGTAAAATGTGAGAAATGTAAATAAAGAATTAATATCACACAGTATTATGTAACTATTGTTAATTTTTAAGGTGTGGTAATGGTGTCGTGATTATATTGAAGAATTGTATTGTTAGGAGATGCCTGCTGAACTATTCCATGGGGAAGTTTCTGCAATCTTCATTCCAAATAGTTCAGCAAAATGAAAGTACACTTATATAGAGTGATAAAGTATATGTGGCAAAATACTAACAAATGTTGAATCCAGGTGGAAGATACCCAAATGTTCACTATTCTTTCAACTTTTCTGTGTGCTTGAAAATACTCAGAATAAAAATTGGGAAGATGGAAGACAACTTTCAGGATCACCTGTCTTCCCCCAGTGCCTCCCTCCCCTCCTAGCTTCTATCCCAGCACCTTCTAGCCCACATAAACAAGAGATGCATTGGCTTTTTAAACAGCTTTATTTTATTGAGATGTAATTCGTACACCATACAATTTACCCATTTAATGTGTACATTAATTTACCCATTTAATGTCTACTGAATATGGCTTTTAGTGTGTTCACAGATTTGTGCAACATCACCAAAATCAATCTCAGAGCATTTCTCTCACCCCAAAAAGAAACCTCACACCCCTCAGCCCTTACTCCCCAGCCCCCCAGCCCCTATCTCCCAAGTCTAGGCCACTGCTAGTCTGGTTTCTGTCTCTAGATGAATTTGATTGTTGCTTCTTGAAGATTTTATACATGTTGCCAAATTATTTGGCTGTGGCCAACTCTTTAACAAAACAATCTGTGTCCTGCAGTGTCTGTTATCCCAGTTCTCTGGTTCTCTGCAGGAGATAAGAAGGAACTGGTATTACTCTTGGCTTCTGAAAGCCCAAGAGCCTCATAAGACCATGACTCTTGCCTTCTGGCTCTGCTGCTGAAGGAACTGAAGGAAGAGCATCAAGTCTGCTGGAGAGCACATTCAAACTTTCACTTGCTGAGGGCACACGGAGAGGCATTGCCCATCTTCAGCTCCCCATTGTGCACTGGGATCTTTGCAGAAGTACATTGCTTCCTGAGAGCCCTTTGTGGTCTGGGGTTGGGGTACTTACTTCCTTCAGACTCCGTCTCAGCTCTCACCTCCATGGTGCCTCTCTGGAGGCCACACGTGAGGCTAAGGTAAGGTGTGAGCAAGGCACTTAGCTTCCTTAGTTGAATCAACTGCATAGCAGGGCCAACAGCTATAACAAGCAAAGAACTTCTCCATGAGAGGACCTTTGAATAACTCTTTTCAAGACAATTCCATTATATCCTAGTTCAAGTCAAAACACACTAGAGTATTTATTTCCGCTGACTATGTGTTGACTTGCAAGTGAGAACTGATCACTCCTAGAGGGGAACAACTGTAGCTGATGGTGCGTCTGCGGGGAGCTTCGTGGAGGAAGGTTTTTCCAGTGTGAAAAGTCAGTGAATTTTGAGTCCATGAGTAGGACAGGAATGTTTCTGAAGTAAGAATAGCATAAAAGATGGTGGAACTAAGAACAGCATGCAATCTGTTGAGGTTGGAGGATGTAGTGTATGAAGTTTAGCACCGGATTGCTGAATAAGGCCAAAGAGAAGAAACAGGAGTTGTATCTAAGCAGTCGTATTTCATTTATGCTTGCTCCCCACTGCATCTTCTTTGTCATGGATTTTTATTATCAGTTAACTAGTAGATGCCCTGCTACATTTGCTGGTTTAAAATGGGTTTTCCTAACTAGGGAATGATGTAAAGCCTGCCTTGATATACTCTTTGCTTCGTGTCTCTCAGTTTTCCACCCTGGGAGCACCAGACACTGACTTTCTAAGCTCCTTGTCTGCGTCTCAATCCTCTGCCTAGCACATATCTGTGGTACATGCAGGAAGAAAGCATGAGCTTCTTCACAGGGCACTTGTGAGACAAAGACACCCATTCCCACGAAGACTACAAATGTGAAGGCCTGCCTTCAAATCCCCTTGTCTAATTTTGGTCATGAAGCAATATTTTCACCCAAAGAAGCAATTGATCTGTAATCTCAGCGCTTCCACTTGGAGGTAATGTAAACCCAAAAATAGACCCTATAGTTTGGTTTTTAACCATAAATAAAGATGTAAAAATCCAAGAAAAAAGAGTGAAAAACAGTGTAATTTCCCAAGATCAACCACTCCTGTAGCCCTGAAGCTAGTCCCAGGTTTTTCTGCAGTTAACTAAAGCTTTCTAGGAGCTCATCTAAAGCCCAAGAGAGCAAACCCAGAGAGTCACTGTTCCTGCTCAGCACTTCAGGTTCAGAGGTTCATTTTATAGCTCTTTTTGCCCCTATCAAATGGGTCTCTCCTCCCCACCCCCAGCTCATGTTGGTTCTCCCCTTCTCTCCCACCCTCTTTCAACAGCATCATTTTTCCACCCTTAACAGCCACCTAAGGACAGTTATCTAGTGAACACAGACCTGGGGTAACTGGTAATAGTAAAGTGAAATGCTTATGTTTTTCCCTGCAGTAGGGCAACATTTTTCATCTCTTATTTTCCTTGGCCAGACGGAAGATGCCATTCAGGGAACCCCAGGTGTTTTGAAGATGAAAAGGAAGGTAGGGGGCCTGGCTCAGTGCTTATTAACCACAGAGAGAATTTGGTTCACTTCAAGAAATAGTAAAATAATGGCAATGGAGAGACAATGACTGTTAATGAATTCATGTGAGTAAAGTGCGAGGTGACCAGTTTGGGGACATGCAGTCCTAAGGCCGCCTTCTGAAGAAGGAAAGCAAAACGATTGTTTTCTATTAGAACAGAGTATTTACTTCCCTTTCCTGCAGCACCCAGGGCCACCGGATTCCATATTCCGAGGCCAGGGCTGCCTCTCCCAGTGCTCCGGCTGCCCCTCAAGTTAAATAAGGCAGGTGACATGCGACACTGGAGTCGACCACCGCCCGAGGCAAGAATAATTTCAGGTGCTCCCTCAGCCAGGTGAACTGCTCCGCTTCCCAAAATCCTTCCCTCAGGGCTCAGGAGACCCCACCCTCAAATCCCGCCCACCCACAGAGTTGGGCATCTCTAGCACACTACCCTTGCTGTGTCAGATCTAGGTCCCATGAAACGTATCAACTGCCTGGAAAATAAAACAGCCTCCCAGGGGCCCGTAATAAAAGGAAGCCAAGAGCAGGGGAAAGAGGAAAGCTACGGAAATAAACCCCAGAGACTGCCTTTAATCCTGGACAGGTGGCATTTTGGCACAAGCGCACTGAAATCACTTTCCTCCTGGGCTGCAGGGGTGAATCCCTTTCCCGGCAAGACCGACACCCCTCAACCTGGAGAGGAGATCGTGCTGGGGGAGGAGCCTGGAGCCGGGGCGAGAGGTCTGTGACCTCCCGCGAAGTCGTGCTATCGGCCTTGGATCCGCGTATCTAGTGTAAACGCGGTTTCACACATAAATAACGTGCCACATCTGGCCCTTTGGTTTTATGGCGTCTTAGCGACCGAGCAATTTATAGATGGCGACCTTGTTAACCAGCAGTCCGGGCTCGCCAGGAGCTGCGGAGTCCAAGGCACTGCTGGGGACGGAGGAGGGGCGAGGGTCAGGAGAAACCTGGGGTCCCAGATCTCCTGCTCAGAGGGGCGCAGGAGGGAGGGAATCTACCCGCGCGTTTGGGGGCAGGGGGCCGAGGCGGGGTGGAAGCCCCCTCCCCGCAAAGCCTACCATGTGGCAGCTGAAAGAGCCATCGAAGCCCAAGTGTGTTTGCGCTCATACCCAATTTATTACCGCTGAACATATGGCCAATATTTTGACTCACGTCAGTCCGGCAAGGAAAACAAACAGAGCGCGCGCGGCGCGGGGGAGCTGCCCCCTCCGCTGGGGCTGCGCGGTGGCCGCGGGGCCGGAGCTAGGAGGGTGGGGCCGCTGGGCCGGGAGCCTGGAGCCAGGAGCCCGGAGCCGGGAGGGGGAGCGCTCGCCGGCCGCGTCGAGCCGCCGCCCGACCGCCCGCGACTCCGCAGCCGCCCGCGACTCGGGATAAAGAGCGGCCGGGACCTGCGCGCTCGCCCAGCCGAGGCTCCAGCGGCGCAGTCGCGCTCCAGGTGAGCCTCCAGCTCGCACGCGTTTCCGGTGAACGCGGGATGGGGATGGCGCGGGGCACCCGGCGGAGCCCGGGAGCCGCAGCGGAGCCCGGCGGTGGCGATGGAGGAAGCCCGGCGTCGCCCTCGCTGCCAGGCGCTGACTGTCTGGTCCTCCTGCCACAGCCGCCCGGCGCGGGAACGCGCTCCGGGCACGGTCACCGCGGCCTGCCAGCAGAGAGGGGTCTCGGGGCACCGTCGTCGCCGCCGAGCGGCGCCGGAGCTCGGGTTCACGGCGGACCCCGGTTATGAGCCCCTCGCTCTCCCGGGTCCTGACTCGGCTCGATCCCCAAGCCGCGTAGTCCGGACGCAGCAGGTGGGCAAGTGCGGGCCTCCGAAGTTCTCCCCGACTTTGCGGATCACGGCAGGAGTGGCGAGCACTCGAGGACGGGCAGGGCCCCTCTGTCGCGCCTGCAGTCAGGAAAAGTTTTACCAGCCGCCGAGGCCAGGTGATCCCGCCGCTGCGCACTTTCCGGTGCGGTCAGGGAAAGCGGGACTGTCCCAGGGGCTGGGAAGGTGCGGGGCTGGGAGGCGGAGGAGGAGGGAGGGGCGCGGCACCCGCGGCGGTCCCCGCCTGCGGTCCCCTGAGCCCCGCCTGGTAGGGCGCGCGGTGGGGGAAGGGCGCAGAGCGAGGGGGGTCCGGGTAGGTGGAGTACTAGATAAAGACGCGCCTTGAAATGCGGCGGGGCTGTCGCCGCAGCTCCGGGAGTAGAAGGCGGAGCGGGCGCGCGGAGCGCCTGGCTAGCTCCCTCCCGATTGCCCGGGGCCGGTTGCGCCTCGGCTGGCGGGGCCGCGGTGAGGAAGGGGCGGCCGCTGCACCCACCTCCACCGGGTAAGTCGCCCCCTGTGCGTCGCAGGGAGCTCGGGATCGGGGATTGAAACAGAGGCAGAAGTCCCGAAGGTAATTTGGAGATGGCGCCCAGTGGAGACAGGGGCTTCTCCTCAGACGGAACTGGGACGTGAGGGGACGGTGGTGATGAGCACGAGGGCAAGTGGTGGGAGTCGCAGACAGGAGGAGCCGGGGCTGAGGGCCCGCGCAGTGGACTGAGGTCTCTGGAGAGGCGACTGAAGACTGGAGTTTGGGAGGCGAGTGTCGCCTGGGCCGCGCCCGGCGCCGGACAGTTCTCGTTTGTGTCAGTAGAGATCGCCAGAGGATCAGAAATGAACCTCGGTGGGGTCCTTGTCTCCGAGGGGCGCCCCCTCCGCCCCAACCTCCTCCCACAACACACACGCACACACTACCAGGAGGCCCTTTGGAGCTCCTCTGGCGCCTTCTCGACTTTAGTGGCTCTTGGGGGTGGAAAGGGGACGTTGCGTCTAGGGGAAGGTTGTGAACCTCTGGGGCTCACATTGGAGAGAGAGAGACAGAGCCCTAGGAACCCCCTCTCTGTGCCCGAGGGCCCAAGGGTGCATTCCCTGTCCTTCCCGGAACCAGCCCTTAGCTCCAGCTAAGAGCGTGCCTTCTCCGCGCCACCGACAACTACTTTTCACATCAGCCTGCCCGACCCAGCTTTAAGTGCTGAATGCAACCCGTTAGGAGAGCCGCTTGTTTTCCAAAGTCTTGTGGTAATGATTTTGTCACGTGTTAAGAAGTAAATTCAGATAAGAGAGTGCTTTCAGCGCGTGTTTCCTGGAGAAACCCAGATCTCCCGTATTGAAATCGCCCTCATCCGGGGAAGGTCGGGCTTGGCTGAAAGAACGTTCCTGAAGGCAACACTGACGATGCGTAATCTCATTGTAACATATTTAGTCATTAGAGCAGCGCGAACGAATAAAGCCAAGGAGTTCGCCCAGGGGGACGTGGCGTTTGGTTCCCCAATAAACCGGTGATAATGGATTGGCTGGGACAGGCTCGTTTGGCCCGAGGGGGGCTTAAAGCTAGGTTTTTAAAGAAAATATTGGAGAGAGGCCGGTTCCATTTTGTAGCGTGCCCGGAGCCACAGTTCGTGTTCAATTTAACATCCATGAAAGTTAAACGGCTTTCCTCGCCTTTTATTTTATTGGATGCATTTTTAAAGATCTCATTAAAGTGCATTTATCAAAGTCCTAACATATGCCCGCAGGGTCTTATGCCCACACAATGAAGCTGATTAATAGAAAGACAAATACTAATTTCTATTACTATTTACATCCTTGGGAGATATGTGCCCCTTTTGTGGTGGGAGGGAGGCAGATAATTGGGAAAGTGTTGTATATTTTGCCTTGAAAAAGAATAGGGAGAAGGGAGCTCACCTAGATGCCTTCCTCCTGCATCCACAGTTAATCGCAGGGGGACTCCAGGCTCTAGGTCCCAGGATCAGTTCTCTCCGTGGCATCAATGGGGTTCCCGCCACTCTGTAGGAACGGGGTGGGGATTTTCCCCCAGACACAGAATCTGAAAGTCTCTGGGCCTGGAGAACTTATCTACCCAACTCCTTCTTAGTTGACTTGGGAGGATTGTCCATCTGGGAGGCATCCACTCATTCTTCCCTTCCTGGGGCAATTTAAAGAGTTAATATAATATGGACCAAAGGAAAAAAAAAAACTCACCTTAGGCTTGAACCCAAAGCAGGCTGAGATTTCCTTTCTTTTCACACTAATGCCCACTTTCTCGTCCACCTGTCCAATGGCTGTGAGTCTCTCCTGCCAGAGATCTGCCGGGCACGGTCTGGCCTCTCCAAAGTTGCAGACTCACACAGCTTTAGGCCTCCCCAACCCAGAGACTCCACTCTGCCACCCCACAGACAGAAGGGATTTCCTATGACCCTGTTTCCTTCTCCGGGGGCAGAAGGTGAGGGCAATTGGAGCTGGGATGGATTTTCATTTTCTGGTTAGCAAAGGTCCCAGCACGGGGTAGTACTCCTGGGGTGCATTCCCCTATTTCTTTCATCCAGGACGTGAGAGCTGACACCTCTGCTTCCTGCAGCCCCTGCTCCCGCATTGGAAGTCGAAGCCAAAGTGGGGCTGTTTTGGAGATGCCATCCTTAAGGTGAACGTCTTTATCGCCACACTCAGGGACCAGATTGGGTGACATTTTCCTTCCCCATTGATTTCAAGTGCATGCCACGCTCTGAGTCTCCAACCCAAGATAAAATAAACCTTCCCCCTCCGACAAAACCTTTGTGTCCGCGCCGTTAATCCTTGCTGGAGCAGGAAGGTGCAACGCGCTTTGTTTCCGGAGTGAATGAAGACAAACGCTTGCACCTTGGCGCTAACCAGACAATAAACTAATCCACTTGAAGGTTGTTATCTGAGATGGGATGTGCGAGGGCCTGAGAGCTCAGCCACATACTGTACCAGGAAAGGAGTTTCTTTTCAACCCTTTTTCATTCCAAAAAAAAGACGAAGAAATGAAATGAAGTCAAACAAATTAGTGTTTCCAAATAAAGGGAAAAGACCTTGTGTGTTTAATGATTGGAAGCGCTTTTGTGGGTGGGGAGTGTGAGGTGTGCCGCCTAGGGCTGCTGAAGCTTTGGGCTCCTCAAGGTCGCCCCCTCTTTAGAGCAGGCCCCAAGACCCCACCCCTACCCCCGAAGACTTTCTCTGCCCTTTACTCCCCAGGAGGACAGGGGGCAGGTACCTGCACTGCAAGCTTTCACCACCGGCTTGAACGGGGAAGGATGCGAGCGCCGTCTCCAAAGAGGTGCCCAGAACAGGGATGGGGGGAGGGTCGGATGCCGTCCACGGAGCCCACTTCTTCCACAGGCACAAGAAAGGCTCCCCTCCGTAGGGTGTGCCGAGGCCTCGCCTGCTCTCCTGTATCTTCCTTTCTTGCCTGGTTTGCTGTTGTTTAGAGCGCACCCCCACAACAGGGGGCGTAAAGCTGAGGCGTGGGAGGGCAGAAGCCGGGAAAGCAGGGTGCCTCTGGGCGGCCCCCGTGCCCTGGAGCGCAGAAAAGGCGCTCGTGTTTGAGCTACCTGGGAAAGTAAACAGGTAAACACTGAGCCGACTTAGAGGGCCACTTGTCCTGGAGTGGGGCCACTTAGCCTGTGTACATTCGCCTCCCCTCCTGGGCCTCCGGCGATTGTTCAGCCTCCCCGCGCCCGCTCCAGCCGCCTGAACCCGAACTCAATTCGTTGCGGAACCCAGAGCAGCAGAGAGAGCGAGGCTCTCCTCTAGCTTCCAGGGGCACAGGTTCTCTTCCTCCCCTCTCCTGCCTTTCCCCCGGGCGTAGGACTCCCAATGCGTCCGTTCTCAACCTAGGAAGAATGAATAGAGCTAGAGATGTGTACGGAATCTGGAGCCCCAATGCTGATAATAAAGATCGAGTTGAGGGGTCCAGCTGTTCAGGTTACCCCAGCAGGGGCGCGCGGTGTTCGGGACGCTAAGGAGACACCAAGCAAATCTCCTCCGGCCCGGGGCATGCTGGGTTCAGAACTTCCAGCACCCAGCTCAACTTCCTCCCCAAGCATGCAGCAGAACGAGGCATCTTGCAGAGTGCCTACGAGGTCTCCAGACCACGGCAGCTGAGCCCAAAGCTCAAACCCAAACTTGACGGAACGGAGGACATTGAACTCGCTTGGGTGCAAGACGGTACCTGGAAAGAATTTACTAAAGAATGCCGAGTGGGGGAGACCAGGAGCTGAAACTGGTGCAGGCAGACGCTGACAGGGTGGGAGTGGTGGGCCCTTACTGAAGAACCCTCCGGAGGGGGAAGGGAGCGGGGCAGGGCCTCTCAGCCTGCGGGTGTGCGGGATCGCAGAGAACCAAAGCTCCTGGGCTCTAGAAGGCCTAGCTGTGGTACTCTCGGGGAGGCCTCTTGGGGAGTCCTCAGGATGCAATCACCTGTTTAATTGGGACAGAAAAGGTGCGTTTGGCGCCTGGCCCCTAGGCTCTTTGGGCGCAAGCCGGGCCCAAGAAATTGAGGAGACACTGGACTGTGCTCTGGGCACCGGACTTGCCCTGGCCGCCAGCTGGGCCTGCGCAGGCCTCCCGGCGTCCACAGGCCGCTCCTGGGGGACTTGCATTTTATGATCTTCCACTAACAAGCCCAGTTTCTCCCCTTCAATTACGGACCTCCCAGCGGTCTCCCAGCGCCTTTTCAATTGCAAATGTTAACGCTCTGGAAATGGACGCGGGAACCACACGGACGAGAAGTGATGGGGAAATGAGTCTCGAGGTCCCGGGAGAGGCTGAGTGCTGTGGACCCGGAAGCACCGATCGCGGAGGAGGCAAGGCCGAAGCTCTCTCCAATTCTCTCCCTCCCTGCCCAGCTGCCCCCAGGCCAGGGGAAATAAAAACTGGAAGACTCGCTGGGGTGAAAGTGTAGGAGGGGCCGGAGTCCAGGAGGCGTCCTGCGAGGGCAGGGGAAGTGGGCGCCTCAGGTGCTCCGACAAGAGGACACCGCAAGCTGAGACCCAGAAGGATTCGGCTGGTCATTGAGGCTAAGGGGCAGGCGCAAAGGCAAACCCGACCTTTGAGAACTGGGCTGAGGGCCTCCTTCTCTAGGCGCCTATGGCAGCACTCCCTCCCCGTGATTAATTCCAGGAGCCAGGATTCCCCTAGGAAAGCAATCCTCTCTCAGGCGCTCTGCGGACCTTGCAGGCTCCCACGGGTGAGGGGAGGGGACTTGATCAATAGCAGCGGTGCTGATTTAGATCCTGAGAAGAAAGGGTCACTATGCTGGGGAAGGGGGAGAGAAGTTGGGAACTACATGGAACTTCAGCGAGGTGGTTCCCAGCTGAAGAAATGAACACGCTTTGGGAGGCCTCTGCGGGCACTCCCCCACCTAAGAGGGCTCTGGGGATATGCGAGAAACGACACTTGCTGCCAAAGACCCCTTTGCCACCTGACCCAAGAATTTGCCTGGCCCAACCAGATCCTATTCTGGGTCCCCAACCTAGTGGCTGCCCTGGACCCCAAGACAGCCTCCACCCCCTTAGGACTGAGGAATAAGAGGAGGAACAAAAGGAGGGTCTTTGCTGCAACGCTTGGGTTGAGGAACTTTTTTTCTCTCCAGTTATTTATTTAGCAGCTGAGTAACAATAGCAGTGGCAGGCCCACTCCCGCCCCTGGATCCAAACTCGACGCTTCCCCGACTCCTGGAGAACCAACTTCCCTCCTCCGACGGGGCAGAGCGACGAGCTCCCACGTGAAAGGGCGGAGGAGGGGGGGCGCTGAGAAAGACAGAGACGGAAAGCGAGCAAAAAAAAAAAAAAAGCACGAAAAGTAATGGGTTCGAGGAAGACGATTCAAACAAGTTTCTAATTCTTCCAGGGGAAAAAAGGGGGGAAGGAGGGGGAGAAAGGAGAAAAGAAAAAGTAGGAGGAGAAAGAGGAATCGGGGAGCGTCGACATGAAGGGGTTTCCTTAATATTGTGGACGGATTCAGAAATGAATGAAGAGATAGTCCATTGAAAAGGGTTGAATGCCATGACAACTAGGAACAACCTTAGATTTATTCCAAACAGTTAGGACACATTGAAAGAGAGCGTCAATCATGTATTATTTCGCCACTGAAATAAATGCAAAAACCGAGCCGGGACAAAGGCTTCCAACGGGAGCGGGACATTTGTCTACATTTCGCTCATTGTCCGCAGCTTAGCAATCGGTTTGTATTTGTGTTTGCCCGGGTCCGACCACCCAGGACGCGCCGACGAGGGGCTTGCTCTAACCTGGGCCATTGTCACCCACGTCACATACTGGGGGCGAGGCAGCTAGGGCTGCAGAAAGCCGCCGAGCGGCTCGGGGAGAGGTGCCCTCACCCAGCGCTGGCAACCCGGGGGCAGCTGGGGCGCGGCGGCGTCCGCTGCAGCTGCGCGCGAGGAGGACCCGGTGCCCGCGCGCTCAGCTTGGCCCGCGCGGAGGAGCCCAGGTTGTGGGAAGACTAGACCTGGACCCCGCAGGGGTGGCCTTCTGTGCCCCTCCCCGCCCCCAGACAAAGCTCCTTCCTGACACTCCTCTGGGGCGAACGAGCATCAGGTAGCCAATCTACACCCCTGCACCCCCCCCCCAAAAAAGTTTTAACTAGAAGAAGGGGTGGCAAATGCGGCGTGGTCTTTTCCAACCCCAGCGCCGAGGAGGAAGTGCAAGTCCCGGGAAAGTTCAGTTCCCAGAGCCGAGAGTGGCTGGAAACTTCACACTAACCTGACTTAACCTGGAAACGTGGAGCGCGTACTCCGAACGCACCCAAGGCGTCCAAAAAGAGACCACACTAAAGAACTCGCGTGGGAGAAGAAAACTGGGGAGAAAACGAGGCATCGTCGGGCCACCCAGCGACCCCCCTCCCCCGCAGCTTTCTGGGTCTTCACCCAGGCTGGAGACACAACCCCCACCCCCACCCCCGCAATCCCGCCCCGCCGCCTTCCCGCTGCTCCACCTCTAGCCAGAGGCTGGAGAGGGAGGGGGCCGGAGAGGGAGGGATAATAGAGGGCAGGAAAGAGCAGGGCCGTCTGCCCTTTCCTCCACCCGGGGAAAGAGGCCCGCAGAGCCCAGAGGCAGCAGGGCCAGGGTCCGACCCCAGACGAAGTTGGAGCTCCTCACTCTTACCCCGCCCTCCCCGGGACCGCCCGCAAAGCAGAAAGTGAACTGCGCGTCCTCCTTGGCCGCAGAGAGGTGGAGGCGGGGGGTTGGGGGTGGGAGGTGGGGGGAGGCGGAGTGAAGGAAATAAATGAGTCTTTAGCAAATAAAGGGCGGCTGGAAGGGGGCGGGTCGCTTGGTGGTGGCTCTGGCCGGCCCGGAGCGGAGCTCTCTCCTGGGTTTTGGGCTCTCTCGCGGTTAACTGGAATCAATTACTTGCCTTGTCATTTCTAGCACTCATCCTTAAGCCTCAACCAAAATATTGACCTAGGAGGCTTACAGAAGTTGGGCTCTTGCCATTTGAACCGGATCTTGTTTAGGCAACCACCAACGATGGAAAGGAGAGATTTCCGCAGCTCGGCCTTCGCCCCCTCCCCCTTTTCCAAAGGCGCCACAAATCGCCAATTTTCCGGCTTGCCGGGGGTGGGCGCGCGGGGGCGGGGAGGTAGGAACCGGTGAATGTTAAAGAGGATTTTTTCCCTCCTCCTGGTTTCTGTTTTGTTTTCTCCCCTCCTCCTCCCCACCCCCACCTTTTTTAAGATGCAATTTGTTAAAACGGCCCTTTCAAGTGTGTGGACTCGCGAGCGACGCGGTGGCCCTTTGTATGTAAATACTGGGTTTAAAAAAAAAAAGGCTCGCCCCGTCTTTGCAATTAATTGACACGTTACACCTCTCATCTTGCTCTAGAGGGCCGTTGGCTGGGAGCGCGGAGCTCCCCAAAACCCACAATTTCACATCTGCAAATACTGTCTTCATCCACTTGACTCCCAAGACCCGCCCACACGTGGCCAACCTTTGCGTTTTTAATGTCTCTTCCCCCTTTTTTCCACCCTTCTCCCGCTCCCTCTCTCGCTCCCCCTCCCTCCCTCTTTCTTTCCCTCCCTCCCTCTCTTTCTCCCCCTCTCCCCGCCTCCCCAGGTTCGTGAGTGGAGCCCAGCCTTATATGGACTGATCGCTCGGGCAATGGCCCATTTTTTCCTCGCCACCAGCCGCCACCGCGCGCCGAGCGGCCGCCGGAGCCCGAGCTGACGCCGCCTTGGCACCCCTCCTGGAGTTAGAAACTAAGGCCGGGGCCCGCGGCGCTCGGCGCGCAGGCCGCCCGGCTTCCTGCGTCCATTTCCGCGTGCTTTCAAAGAAGACAGAGAGAGGCACTGGGTTGGGCTTCATTTTTTTCCTCCCCATCCCCAGTTTCTTTCTCTTTTTAAAAATAATAATTATCCCAATAATTAAAGCCAATTCCCCCCTCCCCTCCCCCAGTCCCTCCCCCCAACTCCCCCCTCCCCCGCCCGCCGGGGCAGGGGAGCGCCACGAATTGACCAAGTGAAGCTACAACTTTGCGACATAAATTTTGGGGTCTCGAACCATGTCGCTGACCAACACAAAGACGGGGTTTTCGGTCAAGGACATCTTAGACCTGCCGGACACCAACGATGAGGAGGGCTCTGTGGCCGAAGGTCCGGAGGAAGAGAACGAGGGGCCCGAGCCAGCCAAGAGGGCCGGGCCGCTGGGGCAGGGCGCCCTGGACGCGGTGCAGAGCCTGCCCCTGAAGAACCCCTTCTACGACAGCAGCGACAACCCGTACACGCGCTGGCTGGCCAGCACCGAGGGCCTTCAGTACTCCCGTAAGTAGCAAAACTTGGCTGCCGAGGCCGTGGTCCCCTCCATTCCTGCAGCCGCAGCCCGGGTTGGACGCTGGGAGTGAAAGGGGAAGGGGCCATGTAAGCCCGGACCCCCTCACTCGGATCCGTAGAAAGATTTTTAACACCTGTATAGGATGTCCTCTGCCCTCCTCTTCAAGCCTCCTTAGTTCCGGGAAAGAACTTGGTCTCCAAAATTTTTTTCAATGCGAGAAGTTAAGGAGAAAGAGGGAGAAGGGCTATACCTCCCAGGGGCTGGTATATGATGTCAACCCGGACCGATGGCTCCAGCCGCAGCCCCCGGACTCCGGCCGCTGGGAGGGACTGGCCTGGCGCCCTGGAGGTAGCCAGCGAGCCTCGTCCGGGTACGGGTGGAGGGTGGGGAGGCTTCGGGTGGCCCGGGTATAAATAGCTCACCCTGCCCCCTGCGCGATCATAGAGGACGCTTTGTGCAGTGCAGGGGGTGTCTAGAAGGCCCGAAAGCAGAAACGAAAGCCCCCAAAAACCTGCCTTAAATGGCCGAGCCGATCAATGCTGGGATTGTGGGGTATTTCTTTTAAAAATCTGCCCACGTCTCGCCGGAGAGGAAACCGCTTAAGGGCGCCGGAGCCCTTAACCCGCGATGATCTTCAGTGCCACTTCCCCCCCCAAATTCTCACCCACACTATGTGAGCCCCTTGAAAGGCGAGCCCCTAGCCCCCACTCCTACGGATTTCCCTCTTTACCCTGGGAGGTCCCGACGTCTTCGTCAGGCGTAGAGGAAGGCAGGGGTCATGGCAAAGGCAGCGGGGCTGGGCTGCCAGGCGCGGAGGTCCAGGGTCGCACGGAGGATCCAGGGTGCTCCGAGTCTGGTGCAGGCTGCGCGCGGCCTCCAGACGCCTGACGCGCTTCTCTCTCCCCCTCCCCCCAGTGCACGGTCTGGCTGCCGGGGCGCCCCCTCAGGACTCAAGCTCCAAGTCCCCGGAGCCCTCGGCCGACGAGTCACCGGACAATGACAAGGAGACCCCGGGCGGCGGGGGGGACGCCGGCAAGAAGCGAAAGCGGCGAGTGCTTTTCTCCAAGGCGCAGACCTACGAGCTGGAGCGGCGCTTTCGGCAGCAGCGGTACCTGTCGGCGCCCGAGCGCGAACACCTGGCCAGCCTCATCCGCCTCACGCCCACGCAGGTCAAGATCTGGTTCCAGAACCACCGCTACAAGATGAAGCGCGCCCGGGCCGAGAAAGGTATGGAGGTGACGCCCCTGCCCTCGCCGCGCCGGGTGGCCGTGCCCGTCTTGGTCAGGGACGGCAAACCATGTCACGCGCTCAAAGCCCAGGACCTGGCAGCCGCCACCTTCCAGGCGGGCATTCCCTTTTCTGCCTACAGCGCGCAGTCGCTGCAGCACATGCAGTACAACGCCCAGTACAGCTCGGCCAGCACCCCCCAGTACCCGACAGCACACCCCCTGGTCCAGGCCCAGCAGTGGACTTGGTGAGCGCCGCCCCAACGAGACTCGCGGCCCCAGGCCCAGGCCCCACCCCGGCGGCGGTGGCGGCGAGGAGGCCTCGGTCCTTATGGTGGTTATTATTATTATTATAATTATTATTATGGAGTCGAGTTGACTCTCGGCTCCACTAGGGAGGCGCCGGGAGGTTGCCTGCGTCTCCTTGGAGTGGCAGATTCCACCCACCCAGCTCTGCCCATGCCTCTCCTTCTGAACCTTGGGAGAGGGCTGAACTCTACGCCGTGTTTACAGAATGTTTGCGCAGCTTCGCTTCTTTGCCTCTCCCCGGGGGGACCAAACCGTCCCAGCGTTAATGTCGTCACTTGAAAACGAGAAAAAGACCGACCCCCCACCCCTGCTTTCGTGCATTTTGTAAAATATGTTTGTGTGAGTAGCGATATTGTCAGCCGTCTTCTAAAGCAAGTGGAGAACACTTTAAAAATACAGAGAATTTCTTCCTTTTTTTAAAAAAAAATAAGAAAATGCTAAATATTTATGGCCATGTAAACGTTCTGACAACTGGTGGCAGATTTCGCTTTTCGTTGTAAATATCGGTGGTGATTGTTGCCAAAATGACCTTCAGGACCGGCCTGTTTCCCGTCTGGGTCCAACTCCTTTCTTTGTGGCTTGTTTGGGTTTGTTTTTTGTTTTGTTTTTGTTTTTGCGTTTTCCCCTGCTTTCTTCCTTTCTCTTTTTATTTTATTGTGCAAACATTTCTCAAATATGGAAAAGAAAACCCTGTAGGCAGGGAGCCCTCTGCCCTGTCCTCCGGGCCTTCAGCCCCGAACTTGGAGCTCAGCTATTCGGCGCGGTTCCCCAACAGCGCCGGGCGCAGAAAGCTTTCGATTTTTTAAATAAGAATTTTAATAAAAATCCTGTGTTTAAAAAAGAAAAAAAGAAAAAATCCCTGCCCTCCCGTTTGTCCTACTGCGCCGGGCCGGAGGCCTGGGCCTGGGAGCCGGGCCCGGCCGCCCGCGGGGCTCCCACAGGCGGTTCCTCTCGGGCGGGGAGGCCGGGGGTACCGGGGCCCTGGGGCGGGCGGGGCTCCCGGTGCAGGCCCCTCCGACCACAGGCTGCACCCCGCGCCTAGGATTGGGGCGGGGAGGAGAACGCTCGGCCTCCGGCCTGCGAGCGGTCGGCCGGAAGCCCAGGGCCGCCCACCCTCCCCCGCATCTCCCCTGGTCTCGCGCGCTGTCTGAACCCCGGGCGGCAGCGTCCGGCTACGGGAGGAAAAGTGACTTCGGGAGCCGCAAAGGCGAGGAGAGCAAACCCCCCTCGCTGGCCCAAATCTATGAGTGGCTCCTTCAGCCTGAGAAGCTGTTGAAGCCACTACACTCGATGACTTTCACTTTGTTACATTTGACTTACCTCACGCTAAGAAAGTGGGTGGGTGGGGGTCTGAGGTTAAGACTGGCTGCCTTCTCCCCACTCCCCACTCCTTTTCAAAATCTGCGGGCTGGTGCTGACCTAGGAGACCGCTAAGGCTGGGGGTGGGAACGGTCAGGGCGCGCGAGGCTTTGGCTTAGGGGGCTTGGGGGAAGTACGCGGGGTTCTGGGCTCGGGGGAGGGAGGGGATACTGCAGCCCTCCCTAGGATCTTTGGCCCCAGGAAGCCAGGGAGCGAGAATCTTTGGCAATCCCAGCAAACCATGCCTCTCCCTTCCCTTACGCTCCCATCCTTTCCGGGCTTCCAGGCCTCTCTCCGGGGACTGGATCCCGGGCCTCCTTCCCTCCAGCGTTCGGCGGTCCGAACCAGGGTGTGCGGTCCCCCCAGGTCAGCCCTTGAGCGTGGAACTGGGTGGATTGCTAGGAAGTAGAGGTTTGGGGGTGGGGTGAGCTCCCCGGATGGGAAGTGGGCACACAGCCCCGGGCACGCCCGGGAAGGGCGCATCCATCTTTCCGGCGGGGAACGGATTCCGTCCCACCCTTGTTGCTGGAGGAAGATCTCCTTGGCAGATGCTGGCGCACACTTGGCCACGCGGGGGAGCGTCTTAGGAAGCCTGGCCAACTGGAGGATGAGCCTTTCTCCTCTATCTCGCGGGTTTCTAAAAATACTTGGGACTCTAGCTCAGAGCCCAGCGGGTGCTGCAGACGCTGAGGGACTGAACGTCGGCGCATTTGGAAATTGTATCTCTGTTCTCTCCGAAGCTGCACCATCAAGGCTGGGGGGTTGGGTGGCAGTGA
Source organism: Homo sapiens (assembly GCF_000001405.40). Classification (NCBI taxonomy): domain Eukaryota; kingdom Metazoa; phylum Chordata; class Mammalia; order Primates; family Hominidae; genus Homo; species Homo sapiens. Next base: position 21,509,730 of record NC_000020.11, on the reverse strand, counting down.
GGAGGCCGGGCAAAAGGAGCGGTCCCAGCTGACTTTCTCGCTCCCTGTAGTTGATGATCAGGTTTAATTCAATATCTAAAGCAAACATGATTATCCGTGCGACCAAATCTGTGCGTCGATAGCACTCTGCGCAGCAGCCCAGGGACGCGATGACACTTTATTCCCGCGTTCCACACCGCCCCTGGATAATTGAGGGCTCGGAAGTCTTTCTAATACCCCAGTAAAGGTCCTTTCCCATCTCCGGGCTCATCCTCGGGGAAAGGGCAGTTTTTCTAAATGCTAAAAGGTCTCCCTTTGTTCTCCACACTAGCTTGGCAATGTTTGGGGGCTTATGTCTTACTGTTTTTAAAGGCCAACGAATTTCTCCCAAATAGTTTGTTGTGCAATAATTGAACGCCCAACCTGCCCTGGTACTAACCACTCAACATCCACTTGCAACTTCCCCTAATCCCAAAATCCTCTTGGGAGGAAAGGTGAGGGTTTCAAGTCTCTTGGAGCGGAGCTGTCAGAAGGCCTGAGGCCATTTTGACTTTTCCAGGCCCCAGGGCTTCCAGGGTGAGAATGATCACAAGAGACCCTCAGGTTTCCAGAGAGGAAGGGGGAAGCGTGGAAGGTCCTCACCCTGGCAGGCTTCCACCACTTGCTCATTGAGGACAAATTTGGAGCTGTGGCCAGGACCGCGGGCCTGCAATCTGGGTGTGCGCTCCTGTGGCCGGCCGGGAGCCCGGGAGGTGGACCCGGCGCCCGCCTCTCTCTGTCCTCGGGTCCCCATGGAGTCAATAAAAGCGCCTGCGGAGCCCTGTGTGGCCCTAACCCCAGCGCCCTGGGAGCGCACCCGGCGCGGGGTCCGCTTCAGCAGTCTATCTTCGCCCAATCTACAGCGGGCGGTACAAAACCGCACAATGGGAAAGCTGGGAGCCGGAGATGTTAGAGGCGTGCATATTAAAAAGGGACAGAGAAAGGATCGCGGGGACAGAGAGAGGGGAAGAAGGAGAAGGGGCCCGCCCCCCACCCCCCGCCCCACCCCGCACCATTCAGCGCGCTTATCGCCGGCAGTGAATCCCGGAGTCAGGCAGAAGTCTCCTTGGGGTTTTGTTGGGCCTGTCACTGGGTCCCTTTGTCATCCACGGGCTCCATGCTGGATTCCATATGGCCAGCTGGGCCGAGGGAGCGCGAGGAGGGACCCGCACAAAACCTAAATTGTGTCCGGCTTTCAAACCCTGTATTGTTGTCTGTGAAAGGAAGACGCATTAAAAATTCGTGCTATATCTATTGGGGAGGAGGCTGGAGGAGGGGAGAAAAAGCCACCCCTGTCTTTGATGGCTTCGGAGGGCGCTTGCCCCGCCTAGGCCCCGTGACACTGAAAGTTGGATCTCTCTCATTCTGTCTCTCTCTCTCAAAATCTCTCTTTTTCTCTCTTCTCATAATCTCGCTCTCATAATCTCTTTCTCTACTTTCATAATCTCTTTTTCTCATAATCTCTCTCCCTTCCTCACTTCTCTCCTTCCTCTCTTCTGTCTCCTTGACTCTAACGCTGGGATGGGAGTCCGCGAACCTGCGTCTTCAGGGTTTGGCTCACTTGTGCGCACTTTGCTCACTGCTGTGTGTGTATCAGGAAACTAACTTCTGCCTGGGAGCTCTGCACCATCGGACCGTCCTGGGGCTCAGGAGGCAACTCAGGGTACCCAGGGCCTGGGTGATGCTCGGTCCCCTACGGGCTTAGCGGCTCCTGGGTAGATGAAAATCCACCCCCTGATTTCGCAACCGACCGGCCCCGAAGCGCCCGCGCGCGGAGCCGCCCTTCCACTCACCGCGAGAAAGGTTCTGAGAGGCCAAGGGTGCCGCTCAGTCCCGGGCCCAGCTAGACTTGGGCTGCAGCCGGTTCCAAGGCGACTTGCGCCCGGCCGGACCACTTGGTTACCAACCCCGAAGAGCTAAAGACGCGCGCGTTCCTTTGAATTATGCGCGGGGATCCATCCCACTGGCCTCTTGGTGCGATGGGAAACCACTTCAGAAACTTCTTCCAACAGCGTCTCTCCCCATGTTGGAGGAGGGAGATACTTCCTCTTTAATTTTCAATGTCTCCTGTATCGCGTGCTTACAAAATTCAGTACCAGGGAGACACAGCAGGGCTTCCAAGGAATTTGCCCATTTTTTGCCTCCTCTAAGCGGTCCAAATTGGCGCGAGGCAGTCGGAAATAATTTGGGTCATGCCTTCTCCCCTGCAATTGCCAGGTCAAAACTCCCATAAGCAGTCCCCAAATAAACCATATGTACTAAACAAAAATAGTTTATGCTGAGCTCTGTGGAAATAAAAACTGGAACCCAGATATGTTCCCCACAAAGTCACTCGGCCCTTAATGAGCAGAACTGAGCTGGTGGAAATTCCGACTAATGGGAAACTTGGATGCGCCCCCTTTCCTATTTAGTACAACGGTCATATTTAGTAGAATCAGATAATTTGGTAAGAGTGGAAGTCCCCCTTCCCAACATTCCCCACCTCAGATGGGGAAATAACTTATTTCCTTACCTATTGACTGTTGGGCTTAGTTGAGACCTGGTGTGTATTTCTCGAGCCTTTTCAAGAGCCTGGTCATTGAAAAGCTAATCCAATATTTACCGAGCATAAGGACAGTTCTCAGACGTATTTATTAAGGCCCATCGCTAAGTGATTACTTGGACTGAAGACAAAGGCCAGGGGAGGGGGCGTCTAGGCATACCAGATCCTTCTCATTTGGGCTCTCCCCACCCAGAACCAGGAAACCGGGAGCGCGCTTGTGCGCTGCTGAAGTTCCCCTCCCGGTGTTAAGTGGCGGGCGGATTAGATACTGTGCTGGGCGGTATTTCAGGAAATATGTACTTGTGGCTCCCTGAGAGGCCAAGCGCAGTGACACTCTAAACCGTGTCGATATATCATCTTTTATCCAGGATCTGCAAATAAACCCCTGATCCCCCCGGCGCATTATAGCCGCCGCTATCTCGCCAAGGAAGCGATCTGAGTTTTATTGCTTTCACCAACGCCCCGAGACACACACACACACACACACACACACACACACACACACTCCTCTCTCGCACTCTGATTTTTAAAGGCTCTATTTTTTCCCTCCCGAGGCATCGTTATTAATAAAGAGGCGAATAGGCCTCAGCGCCGCCATCCGAGCAAGCGGGGAAATGTGGGCCAGCAGCCCAGGCCCGCGCGCGGATCCCGCGTACGCTCCACGCGCCCCCTCGGGCCGGAGAACCGAGCGTGTGCCGCGTGCTGCCGCCGCCAGGAGGCGCCCGAGCCCAGCGTTCCCGAGCGTCTCTGCGCGCGGGTCCGGGCAGAGCCCGGGAGCCGCCGGAGGCAGCTGCGCATCAGCGGACTCGCGGCCCGGGTCGGAGCCCGGTGAGTGGTGCCAAGAGGTGGCGGCGAGTCGGAACCTTGGGGAGAGCCGCGAGTCAGACGGCGGCGGGTGCCTGGGAGGTGCGAGTCGACCTGTGTTCGGCTGTGGTTTTCCCGCCATGCCTCTTCTCCTCCACGTGCGTACCACCGCCCGTCCCAGCCCCGGTTTCCATCGTGTTTGGGCACAGACCACAGCCGACTGGTCCAGGAGCGCTCTGGCCACTGGGAGGGCCCCACCAGGCGCCAGGGCGCGCTGTCTCCGCGATCTCAGGGCCCCTGGCGGCGTCGGCCGCGCGGGTGGACGCGGAGAGGGCGGTGCTGCGAGGGCCCGGAGAGTGGGTGCCCGCGTGGGGAGGCGGCCCGGGAGCGCGGGAGCGATGCGGAGGAGGGACCCGGTTTGGTTGCAGGTTTCCGGGGCGGGGGTTCCGGGAAGGAGAGACCCTCGCCTTCCGCCCGCCCTGGATCCGGGTCCCGCCGGACCCCCGGCTCCTGCCGTTCGTCGCCTGGAAGCGGGGCAGGCGCACAGTCCAGACGCCAGGGAGAGACGCCTCGCCGACCCAGACCGTGGGGTCAGGGCCCGGGAGGCAAGAACGCCCCACACACAGCAGGGCACCCCAGGCAACCCTCACTCCGTGCTGAGGCCTCGGCTAGGGTGCAAAGGTGTCCGGGAATGGAAGGGACACGAGGGTGTGGACGCCTCGCACTCTACTCACGCCTGGTGCCTTCTGAGAGGCTGGGCGTGGGGCAGAGGGTAGGGGACAAGGGGGTGACATTCCTTAAGGTCCTCCCCCCAACAAAAGTAGGGCCTGCAGTTCCAGCTTGATTCGTTGATTGTTGGGTGGAACCGCCTCACATCAAAGGCATCGTGGCTCCAAACACTGTCCCCTTTACTTTTCTAAGCCCCCGCTTCAAAACCAGCTGTCGGTGGGCCGGTGAGGGCGTCTGCAGTACCCAGGCTTTCCGCGGGGCGGCGCGGTTGGATAAGAAAAGGCTTCCCGGCTGGGGCGCGCAGCGCAGCTCAGACACCTGCGGGACTCGAGATGTCTCCGCGAGGTGTCCTCTACACCAGGGCTGCATTCCCTAAATAATGAAAACTCCCTGCCCTTGCACTTGGTGCCTGGAGTGCGATGAAGAGGCTGAAGGTATCCAGCCCGGCCCTTCTCCCCTCCCTCCTCAGACTGCTGATGTGACATGCGTGTAACTGTCACCCCACACAGGACGTGGAACACTTCCACCACCCCAAAATGTTCTCTTCTAATGGAATAACGTGTTCTGTCCTAACAAAAGAATAGCTCAATACTTAAAGGTATCAATTCAAAGCTGCAGATGAAAAATCTCATCCGCCCTTTGCTGCTTGTTCTCGCCTGTGGTATTTTTACCTTTCTTCATAAAATGATACAAAGAAAGCCCCAGGTCGCTGACCCCAGCCTCTCTCGCACCTGAAGACGATGACCATCACCGCTGCCACGTACTGAGCACCTTCTAGGCCAGGCTGCTTCTCCTCGTCGTCTAATCAGATCATCATAGCCAATCTGTCCTTCTGCAGAGGAGCCTGTTTCAGAGAAGTTAAGCACCCGATCTTATAATCAAGCCAGTGTTCTGACAAAGAAAAGCATTCTGGGAGTGGAGGTGGGATCTACCAGGGCGTCCTCTCCTATTCCAGAAGAGTGGGCAGGGGTGGGGGAGGACAAAGATGCCCTCCCACTCTGCAGAAGGCAGTTAGGTGACTTCTCCACAGGGCAGGGTTCTGCCAGTTCTCCTCTGGCAGCCAGTGCCCAGGTCCCATCCTGGTTGGTGGGGGCTGGGCCAACCCCTTGTCATCCTCGGGGAAGCCTGTATGTACACCAGCACCTCCACTGGGTGCCAAGTGGCCATCTCGGCCAGCGAGTGTCCCCTGAGAACTGAGGGGGAGTAGGCTGAGGGTGCACCTGAGGGGCACGCTCCGGAGCCTGTTCTCACTCCTGGGCCTGGGCCTGGGCCTTCCATGGTTTCGATGACATGAGCAACTCCCCTCTCCCCCCAGGATGATAATGTGTACCAAAAAATAGATTTTTCAGTAGCCAATTGATCTTACTGCTTTAATTAAATGATTACTTTTTTGCCTAATGTGGGGAAAAGGTAAAATAAGTTAACTTGTTCTTCTGTGCATAGTGTTGGGCTCCCTAATCTGAGAGATTTGCAACTTTTTGCTTTGTTTTGTTTCATTTTTTTTCTGAGACAGGATCTCGCTCTGACACCCAGGATGTAGTTCATTGATGCTATCATAGCTCATTGCAGCCTTGAACTCCTGGGCTCAAAAGAGCCTCCTGTCTCAGCCTTCCCAAGAGCTGGGACCACGGGCAGGCACCACCGTGCCCAGCTATTTTTTATTTTTGTGTAGAGATGTGGTCTCACTGTGTTTCCAAGGTTGGTCTCAAACTCCTGGCCTCAAGCTATCCTCCCACCTTGGCCTCCCAAAGCACTGGGATTACAAATGTGAGCCACTGTGTCTAACCACAAGAATTATTAAAAGGAATTTTACTTAAGTATCTACTTCCAGATCTCTCCATGTTTCTTTACTAGCTACAAAATAAAAGAATTACCCCATCAGCCTCTGTAGGGTAAGATGAATTGTGTGGAATGGGTATGAAATGAAGGATAGTTAGATGTAGAAGGTAAAACAAAAGGAATCAGCTTTTTGTGTCTGTGACAGAGGATCTGATACTTGATGGTCTGACCACAAGGCATCGCTCAGAAATCAGCAGTCCTTTTCACCCAGTGAACAGCCAGCTGCTTTGAGCAGAGAGAGCTGTGGTTGGAACTCCTGCTCTGTGACTCAGGGGAGGAGGCAGAGCTTGCCGCAGAATGCAGCCACTGCCCACAGCCCCTGTGCACTCCCTTTTCCCTTGTGCTGGCTTCCCGCTGCCAGCATCTGCAAGTCTCTGCCTGGAGGTGAGCAGGAGGGTGCTGGGCCCATTAGACAGGTGGCTAGGGCTGGGGAGTTCATGGTCTTCACGCAGTTTCAGGTGGAGGTTGCAGGATATATGGCCCAGCTTCCTGGCCCCAGGTGGAACAACCCTGAGACATGTTCGCCATTTCCCACAGGCCCCCAGTGGGACTGAGCCCTAGTTGTCTTCAGTGGCAATCTTCTCATTACCACCTCTCGTGTTGATTCTTTTTCCCTTCACTTTCTCATTTTTCCATTTCCTTGTTGGTCCCCATTAACTACTTGCACATGAATCTTTGTCTCAGGGTCTGCATCTGGGGGACCCCAAAGACACAGACACTTGAGCTGTTACTCTGCCTTTATCTTAGACCTAGCATTGGTCTCCAGAGGTCACTCATGACTTCAGGGCCTATTTTAATGGCCTCTTTCCCCATGTGTTCCTTGGGAATGTCCATTGTTGATGCGTCCTTCTGTACTAAGTAGAGTTTTTGGGCTGCAAGGAGGCAGTTAGCACAGGGAACTACGTAGTGAGGGACATGGAGACTAAACAGCAGCTGGCCCATCTCTCTGGCTTCTCATGGCCAAGCCTGGGACACACAGCTGCCCTCGTGCAGGTCCAGAACTATGGCACTTGTTCCCTCAGGACCCATCCTCAAAGCCAGTGACTTGGTCTTTTCCTATGACAAAGGAGCTCCCAGAATGTGGCAGTCCCCCTTCCTAGAGGGAGAATCTGACTGGGTCAGGGAGGCACCCCCGGTTTGCAGAGCCCCCATTGGTCAGGTTCAGTGTCCAAAACACCTGAGGGGCAAGTGGCTTCTCGAAGTCCAGCCCATATGGTTACTTTTGACTTGGACACTCAAGGCACAGGGACACATGACACAGGCACAGGGTGTGACAACTGCATGCAGAAAGAGCCACTCTCATTCCTCAGAAGAGGCTGTGGAGATGAGTGGCTGAGCCATGTGCCCCAAAATTCATGTTGAAGTCCTAACCCCCAGTATCTTAAAATGTGACCATATTTAGAAATAGAACCTTTAAAGAGCTAACTGGGTTAAAATGAATTCATTAGGGTAGGCCCTACTTCAGTATGACCGGTGTCTTTAGCAGAAGAAGAAATCGGTACAGACACGCAGAGGGGAGGGCATGTGAGGACATGGGAAGGAAATGCCACTTGCAAGCCAAGGAGAGAGGCCTCAGAAGAAACCAGCCCTCCTGACACCTTGATCCTAGACTTCCAGCCTCCAGAACTGTAAGAAAATACATTTCTGTTGTTTAAGCCACCTGGTCTTAGAGTTCTATCTTGAATTTCTCTCTGCTTCAGACTTTTCTGTTTTGTTTTTTAGCCTAAATGCTATTGAAAAGAGCAGAGAAGATAGAGTGCAGGCCCCTAGAGACAGGATGGAACGAAACACGCAGTGTGCATCTGTGTCCTGCTCAGCATACGCTCTTGGTCCCCACTGGGCCATCTCGCTGCTGACTGGCATCCCGAAGAACAGGCAGATTGCACAGGGGCAGCTCTTTCCTCCAAAGCTGCAATGTGGTGCATGAAGTCCTCAGATTTGGGAACTCATACAGGCACTTGAGCTCAAACATACAGTTCTGATCTAAGACATCACAGGTAAGAATATCCAAAAAGGTGAGCTTTCCCCCTGGAAACCATGACTTCCTCAGAAACAAGGAGAAATGTTTCAGCTGCCCAGGTTGCAGTTCCGAGTATGGAGGCTTCCATGTTTCATGTCAGGGTCATGGTGGAGCTGTTTCAGCTGCAGGTGGTATTCCACCATTTGGTCCTCCCTGATGTCTCCTGGCACCTTTCCTTCTTCAGTCTCAGCACTCTGAAGAAGCGTGCTTGTGAGCGCCGCGGGACGATCCAGGATGTCCAGGATTGTGGACGATCCTGTTCTTCCCATCTGTGAGGTAAGGCAGATTAGGAATGTCCACGTCTAGCTTGAATTTCACATCCAGCCATTGGCTGCCACCATGGCCAGGGGCTTCTGCAGATGGATCACCGTTTCCCTCCCAGGAGCAGGCAGGTGTCCAGTATCAGCCCCAGAACATCCCGGTCACCCATCTCCATAGGGCTTGGATGACATGATGATGCTCTCTGTGCCTCTGAGGACGGCGCCTTGGGTCTTTGTACACTAAATCCCACCTTGTCCTCTCCTCTATTTGAAACAGCCATTTCCCAAATCCCAATCTGATGAAATCCTGTTCTTCCTTCCCTCATGTTTCTCTAGGCCTCCTGTGGACTCCCAGAATGTAAAGTCAGCATTCCCTTGAGCCTTTTGGGGACTTATAAGCACATGGCCCAAGGTCCACCTAACTCTAGGTGTATCCTGTAGAACCAGTATTCTAATCCTAACTTTAAAGATCTTACAGGACCATAGGGTGTGCGTAAAAAGCCTGCTGCAAATCAGAGTGCTTCAACTGCGTATTAATGAGATGGAGGAAAGAGGCTGTGAGTGCAGACAATGAGTCCCTGAGTAAATAGACTCCAGAGCCAAAGGTGTTCTCCACACCGAAAGAATGACTGTACCCAGGGAAGGAGCTCAGACTCACCTGGACAAACCCTGAGGGGACAGCCATGTTCCAGTGTGGCTAGGAGGGTCTGGAGCTGGGCACGTCCCCCATGTCTGCTTGATTCCCCTCTGGCCGAGTTCTACTCAGGTGAGTTGTGCTCATTCTTGCTTCCCCAGGGCCTGGATCACAGTTCCTCAAGCTTTGGGATACAAACGAATCACCTGGGATTTGGATAAAATGCAGATTCGTGTTCAGCAGCCCTGGCATTCTGCATTTCTCATGAGCTCCAGGGAGACGCTGGTGCTGCTGGGGCAGGACCACACTTTGGGTGGCAAGGGCTTGGCAGGCAATTCCAGGTGTCACCCTAGAGATGGCCTGCTATTGCACTGTCAGTAGGTAGCTGCCACAGTGACGGCCGCTCCAGATCAAGGGGAGGACCTTTTGAAAAGGGTCCTTGAATCATTTGGGAAATAAATCAAGCCATATGAGTAAAAAGTAATCAAAAAATATGTTGAATATTGGAACCAGAGGAAATCTTAGCATCATTTTGTAATGACTCCCTCCACGAATTTTCCAGATAAGGAAACTGACAAAGCCAGGTGGCCTGTGGCTGAGGAGCGAGACGGTCAGCGAGGTCTCCCTGCTGCACTCTCGTGCACTTCCACAGTGAAACCCTGCTGAGAGACACAGGAAATGTTGAACATAGTGTCTTTAAAATTAAGACTATGACTGCCCTAAACATTTACAAAGCACAAACCATGAGAAAAAAGCCTGTACCAGAAATCAGAAGATGGCTTTTGTCCATGTGCAACCTTGGACAAGTTAATTACTTATCGCTGCTCTCTGAGCCCGTTTCCCCACTGGTTACCGAAAAAATAGAAAAGGATATGCCTGCCCTTCCTAATTCACAGGGCATCGCAGGGAGGTAGGTAGTTAATATGCTGAACCACTTCAAAACGGTGGAGCTGAACTCACAGCAGGAACCCTGTCACACCTTTCCATGACAAGGATATCAGTGGGGTGAGGGAGGTGGGGAGAGGCATGAGGATGGGAGACAAAGGAGTGGGGTGGGGGGCGGGGGAAGGAGGAAGCCAGAAGGACAGGCCCAGGCTAGGCTCTGAAGTCAGCAGGTGAGCGAGGTAGAGAACTAGCAGCACCACTGTCCATGGATATTTGCGGTGATGGAAATGTACTGTATCCATGTTCTCCAATATGGCAGCCACTAGCCACATGTGGCTATCAAGCGCTAGAAATGTAGCTAGTGTGATCGAGGAACTGATCTTTAATTTTTCTTTAATTGTTATTAATTTCCATTTAAATAGCCACATGTGGCCAGTGGCTTATGTAGCAAAGATCTAGATCATTTGTTTGAAGCAGTAAAAAGAGAAATGTGAATCCCCTCTTCTTACCTCCTATAACATGCTAATTAACATCACTGCAATTAACCACCATTCACAGCTCTTCAGCTGCTCTGTGGAACCTCAGCCCACTCTGAAATGAACAGCCGCAGTGGCAGGGGTTACAGAATGGGCTGGGAGTGGCAATGTAGATTTATCTCTTCACACACTCTATGCCCTCTATCAAAAATGCCTCAGGCTGTGTAAAATTCCACAAATAATAAAGAGATTTTAAAAATGTGAGTCTTGATTGATTCCTTACTATGTATCTGGCTGGAATTGGGGTGGGGGGAAGCAAAGAGAGTGGCTGAGCAGTAAGAAATGGCCATTACTGCTCAGCTGGAGGGAAGAATGGTGCCACCTTCCAGAGGTTCTTAACACTTTGTGTCCCACAGGCCCCTTTGCCAGGCTGAAGACTCCTATAGAACCCTTCTCAGAAGAATGAGTTTAGGTTATAAAGTAAATTAGATTAAGAGGTAATTCTACCCCTTGGGGATGAGGGACTGCAGATTAAGGACTCTTATCCTGCAAAGGGTGACAGAGTCCCTTTGCTCCGGCACCTCTGCCCCTCCCCCACCAGCTGCCCTTTGTGCCAACCCCGGGTGAGTCAAGGAAAGGAAAGGACCAGCCAGGACTTCCCCCTCCCCTGGGAGGGTGCCATGGAAGGCAGAGGACTGCTCTCTGTGTCAGAGCCCCTGCGGTCACCATGGGCTACAACACGGTGAGACAACAGAAGGAACAGTATTGAAGGGCAGCTCTGCCCTGAGGTAGAATTTTGGTCTTAATGGACATGTAGGCTGGGTGAGGGGCTGAGATGTGCTGCAGCATTTGCTCTTATGTTAACCCTTCCCCACTCCCATCTCCTTTCTGTGAACATAATGGCATTTCATAAAATTAGGCATGCTATCTATCAGCAAAAGGTGAAAATTTAACAGGGCAAATTGAAATAACCACTCTTGATGCAAACACCCTTTTAAACTTTATCACCCTGATCCTATGCAATTAGACAAAGGAATTATGAACACCGCTGTCCAGCGCCTTCCCCAGACTCCCTGGGTGAAATGAAAGAGGTTCTAGTGGAGACTTGGTGGGCCAGGGCGGAGAGGCTGCCTGTGCAGGGGCTGCTGAAACAATGACCGAAGCTGGGTTAATTAATCAAATGAGGAGGCGGATGAAAATCCGTGTTGCAGCAGTAACCCAGAGGGTTCACATGCAGAGGCCACAACATAAACAAGGCAATCCACACTTGTCTGAATCCTTACTGTTAATGAATATAAAGTTGGAGGATCATGTTCTGATTTGAGTTCAACTATGTGGCTGAAAAGTACGAGAAGACAATACTGAATGCTTTAATAAAAATCCCCAAAAAAAAAAACTGGTAATATTATATTCAACAGGAAGTTATCCACTCTTATATGATTTTTTCTTTTTGTTTCCCCAACATTTATAATATATACATTTATGCCACAATATAGCCTTCACGAATTCTGATAAGGCTGGTCTTAAAAGCAAATGTATTTCTTTCAACATTCTAATACCCCATCAATTTAAAATGTTCTTCAGATTTTACAAGACATGAAAGTTATTCAAATAGAATTTGGATGAATATTTTAATGACCGTTTAGTAATAGAATGAAGCTGTTCATGGTTGTGGCATGTACTAAAAACATACTTTTACATTTAATATCGACATTTTAGAGCTTTCTGCTGAAAATTTCAATAAAGTCTGTGTCTAAAACGTATTATGGGCCATTGCCTCTTCATAAAATTGACACAATATGCTATACCATTTTGTACACAATGAAACTCTTAATAAGCATTAAAACTATGTGTCCTTTCTGAGTTAAATAAACAATTTAAATGCAGTGTGAATAACCACCAGAATTAAAAGCAGTCTCTGCGGAGTAGGTCGAGGCGATTTAAACTGCCCATTTTGTGCCTCCTACATTGTTTGAATGTATATTTCTACATGCATAATTCCAGCAATAATAACAAGAATAGCTAAAAATATGTATCTTTTCAAACACAATTAATCACAAAAATAAAAGGCAGTAATTTGAGACATAAAATTCTGAAACTATTCCAGATGACTTTTTAATATGAACAAAAATTCCTGCCTTTTATACCAGACTTCAGAAAATAAAGGACATTACTAACTAAAACCTACCCATCTTTTAAAAATTGGATTACTTGGCCAGGCACAGTGTCTCATGCCTGTAATCCCAGCATTTTGGGAGGCCGAGGCAGGCGGATCTCCTGAGGTCAGGAGTTCCAGACCAGCCTGACCAACATAGTGAAGCCCTGTCTCTACTAAAAATACAAAAATTAGCCAGATGTGGCGGCTCATGTCTGTAATCCCAGCTACTCGGGAGGCTGAGGCAGGAGAATTGCTTGAACCCGGGAGATGGAGGTTGCAATGTGCCGAGATCATGCCACTGCATTCCAGCCTGGGTGACAGAGCAAGACTCCCTCTCAAAAAAAAAAAAAAAAAAAAAAAAAAAAAAAAAAAAAAAAAAAAAAAAAGGGTTATTTATTCTTAATAATTCCAGACTCACTAAGGACCGCCCAATAATTGATTATATTCTTGAAAAATTGTAGTTTGCACTATTTCGGTGAAATTTAAGGAGACTGGCCCTTTTTTCTTCTTTTACTGCGTATCATTGTTTTCCCCCCAACACGAGGAAGTGGTCCCCAGCTTACTCAAAGCAAAACAGTGCCCCTTCTCCCTCTCCACTGGCTGCCCTCTTGGTCTTTCCTGATACATTAGCAGTACAGCCTTATCTTCAGGCTCACAAGCTGACAAAATATTTCAAGGATGTCTGCATTCAGAGTGCTGATTCACTTCTTCCCCTGCCCATTCTCCCAACAAGTCCAGGCAAAGCACTGGGCTGCAAAGCACTGAGTACAGCACCTGTCTGTTGTGGGTGTTTAGTACAAAGTCATCTCCCTCATTATCTTCCTATTACTACCATTATGATTATTTGAATGTGAAGTAATGGTTTAAAGTCCCAGCCAGCTGGGCGCAGTGGCTCACGTCTGTAAATCGCAGCACTCTGGGAGGCCGAGGCGGGTGGATCACCTAAGGTCAGAAGTTCGAGACCAGCCTGGCCAACATGGTGAAACCCCGTCTCTACTAAAAATACAAAAATTAGCTGGGCATGGTGGCACGCACCTGTAATCCCAGCTACTCCATGAGAGTCACTTGAACCTGGCAGACAGAGGTTGCAGTGAGCTGAGATCGCACCACTACACACCAGCCTAGGCAACAGAGGGAGACTCCGTCTCAAAAAATAATAATGATAAAATAAAATAAAGTCCCAGTTCTGTGATCAACTAACCCGAGTTTAGCTCTGAGGAATACTGGACTATATTAAATGTGATTATTTGCATAAAGCCTTTAGCATGGGCTCTGGTTAAGTGACCTCTTAATGAGTATCAGCTAATTTTATTAATAACAGGTACCAGTTAGTCTTCTTTCTTCAGTTTTTTCCACCAGTCTTGACTGGTTCTACATATTGTTTCAAATAAACCTTTGTAAATGTGGTTTTGTACATTCTTGCTTTAAAACATGGCACGGGGCTTCACTACCATTCACTTCCCTGGCTGGGTGCCTGCCCCTGCCACCTACTTCCCCACTGCAGGCCTAGAACAGCCTTCTGACCTATACCAGAAAGTCTTTCCATCTACCCTAAACGGCTGCATCTCTCTCCTACCTTGGTGCCCAATTTCTAGGTTTTCTTTCAACTGATGGAGGGGTTTAGTCCTGTGCATCCACCGCACTCCTCAGCTTGGCTGGCGGTGACTCAAGGGCAGAATCTGAGTCCCACTCCTGGTAGGTACTCAATGTTCGCGGTTGTTGATGAAATAAAATGAGGAAATGCTATAAAGCCCATAAAGCATGGTAGAAATGAAAGGTGTTCATTAAAATGTCACTTTTACATAGATTATTAATCATCATGATCAGAGAACTCTGAAGTGCATTAACAATCCAGGATCCTTCCAGATGATCCGTCTTTCTTCCTGGCATTTGTCACCTAATGAATCTTGAATGTGGAGCCTGTGAGAGCTCTAGTTTAATAAAGATCCAAGTGATAGGCTGTGCTCAGCTCTCCTGAAAAAGTTAATAGGGAACGTGCACTCCAAAAAGCCCTGGGCCAACGCTGTGAAAAGCAAAGGAGTGTGTCAAAGAAAAATACACACCTGTACCAGTCTCCCCAATGTCAGTACCTTAGTGAATCTTAAAACTTCTTAATCAGGTTGTATGAGCCTTTGTTTATTTTTCTCTCTGGAGTTAAGACAGGCTTATTTTTAATTTTTAAAAATACATATTTCTTTTTCTTTTCTCACCTATAATGCCAAATTTGATAACAAAGACAGCTTTAACCAAAGAAACACACCGCTAGGTTTTCTACGATGCTTTTAGAAGTCAGGATTTGGGATGTGCTATGAAAAGATGTCAGTTGGACAAATATAAAGTTCTTTTCCACATACTCATAAATACATTTTATAATATGCTATTGAATGTTTACTTTCATGATATCAATGGTATATTTTGTCAACAGGACAAGCTTTGATTTTTTTATTTGTTATTTTTGGTATTTCAATTATTCCCTTAAGGTAAGGAGAATCTGCTTTGAATACTTCTGTATTATAATTCCTTTTTTTAAAAGCCAGTTTATGGCTTCTCATCTGCCAGGCCAATTAAACCTACCAAAACAATTCTCTATATTTGGAGACTTCCTGCTGAAAAGGACACTTTTAAATTTTTTTCTTTAACTTTGTATTTTGAAGTTATTTTAGACTTATCCAAAATTACAAAAATAGTTCAGAGAGTTTCCATCTACCCTTCACCCAGACTCCTCAAATATTAACATATTGACATAACCATTGTGTGACTATCAAAACCAGGAGATTAACTCTGGTGTGACCTTCCTAGCTACAGACTTTACTTGGATTTCCCCGGTTTCCCCACTGCTGTCCTTCTGGCCAAGGACCAACTCCAGGACCCCACTTTCCATTCAGTTGTATCTTCTTATTTCTTCTCCAATCTGGGACAGTCCCTCAGTCTTCCCTTATCTTTCATGACCCTGAAACTTGTAAAGAGTACTGGTCAGTTACCTTGTAAATGTCTTTCAATTTGGGTTTATCTGGTGTTTTCTCATGATTGAGAGTAAACTGTGCATTTTTTTTTTTTGCAAGAATACCACCGAAGTGATGTTGGGCTTCTCTCAGTACATGATATCAAGCGTGTATGATGTTAATGTTGTATCACTGGTGATATTAACCTTGATCTGTTGGATAAAGTGCTATCTGTCTGGTTTCTCCACCATAAGTTTACTATTTTTCCTCTTTGTAATTAGCAAATATCTTGGGATGGGGTACTTAGACCATGAAAATAGCCTGTTCCTCTTCAAATTTTGCCCTCTGGTTTTAGCATCTATCGATGGATTTGGGCTGCAGCAATTATTAGTGTGGCATTGGCCTATTGGTAGTTTTGTATTTCTCTCCTTTGCAAGCACACTTTTGAATAGACCAGATGCTTTTCAAAATAGAGGTCATCTTCTTGGAGATTTCTTCTTAATGGTAACTTCTAAAGATGTTAAAAGCTATCTCCAAGGTCATCTCAGGGCATCTACTTTCTTCCCCATACCCCAACAATTGTTCACAGTTGAGTTTTGTCTTCATACTTAAAGTGTGCTCTCTGTGTCTCTGTGGGTATTTTAGTGTTCATTAGCTGGAATCTTCTTCCAAAGGATACAGCAACTTGTACTCGAAACAAATAAGACCATGCCAAAGGTGGCCACAGACCTCTGCTTTGTCCTGTTTCCAGGACGGCACTGACCATCCATGTTCAATAAGAGTACCTTATTCTCTTTGGTTTCCCAAAAGAAACATGGCCCAGGTGTGATGTGGGTTGTTTACCCAAGAGATGGAGGACTGAGCAATCTTCCACCCTAAAATATAAGAGGCTTTATAAGAAAAAACTTCCTGTGAAAGGGTCAAGTCTACCTAAGAACTATGAGTTATTCAAAATCCACAAGGAAAATAACGATGGCCCTGATTTTCATAAGAAGACATTTGGAAACAGGATTGAGAAAAGTGTTGCTCAAAACAGGAGCTGCCCAACCCAGGTGAAATCTGAAGTCTTAATTCTGAAGTAATTCTCTTGCTGTCTAAGTTATCCATACCCAGCCAGGTAAGCTCTCAATACCGAAGACGGGGAGTGCTGTTGATGCCGATTTAACTCCCAGTATTGCAAAATGAGGCTGCGTTTTTATTGCCTTTACAATGCATTATATTTCGTTATAAAGTTGCCTTTATAGTGAAGAGTGCTGAGATGACAACAAGTCAATTTTAGATGATAACTTCTCATCACTCATTAAAAGAAAATGATTTTTAATCATCGTAGTTCACATTTGCTGAGTATTTACTATGTTCAGGTACTGTTGCAAGTGCTTTCTATGTATTAACTCATTCTATCCTGACAATATCCCTATGTGACAGTACTACTCACTGCAACCATTTCATAGATGGGAAAACAGCATCGTGGAAAGGATTAAGTTACTTGCTTGAAATTACACAGTAAATAGCAGACCTGGGATTCAAATCCATGCTGTCTAAAGCCTGAGCTAGTATCTTAACCTTTTTGCTCTACTGGCTACAAAACGAATAGCTCATTCAGTAGTATCAAATAAAAGGCAAATGCTATCTTTTGTAATGTGAAATGTCAGAGAGGATGCTTAGAAAAATCACCACCAGACACCATCTGTCAATCCATAGTCCAACCTTAGTTGTTATAATTACATCTCACAGATATCATACATGTCTATCATGGAGCACAGTGAAGGCAGGAAGCAAAGGTACCTCTCATACCTGAGTGCATACTTACCTGAAACCCAACTCCCTTCCCCTCCTTCCCCACCTGACTTCCATCGGTAAAAGGAATGGGGATCGGAATGAATCCACTTATCATCAGAACTCTATGTGCTGGGCAGCTCCAGAGAAAGCTAATCTCAGCTAACAGGAGAACTCTTTTCTTCATTTCTTTTTCTTTTTTTCAAAGATGGGGTCTTGCTACGTCTCCCAGGCTAGAGTTCAGCGGCTATTGACAGGTGCAGTCATAGCTCACTGCAGCCTGGAACTCCTGGGCTCAAGTGATCCTTCTGCCCCTCAGCCTCTGGTATAGTTGGGACTACAGGTGTGACCCACTGTGCCTACTCCTGAGGATTCTTTTGGTGAAAGTAAGCCTCAAAGCAAAGAACAGGTCTTTTAGGATCATCTCTGGGTAATTCTAGAAAAAAAAAAAGCTGGTCAAAGTAATGCTACTAGAAGAAATAGGTTTTCTTTATGTCACACTGGAGTCTTTGGAAGAAAGTGAATAGCCCCTGGCTGTGGCTGGTGTGTTTTTGAGAATGCATTCAAGCAGCTGCAACAGCGCTGTCAGGGAGTGAAAATGGGAAGGGCAGTGCCCACAGCACATCCCAGCCCATAGAACTACAGCTGGTGCAGCCATCATTCTCAGAGCAACAGAACCCCGGGTAGGGAGAGCTCCTCTAACACCCAAATGAAGAAAAAGCCACTAGAGTTCATAAGAAAGAAAGAGGAATTGAAATCTGGGACTGCTTTCCTTCTAAGAAGGAGGCAAGTGTCCTAAGGGAGGTGGTGGAGAAAAGGAGAGACTTAAAAGTGTCAGAGGAGAAAAGGGGGGATGGGGAGACAGAGGCACTCTGCCCTATTCTTCAAAGGGTTTCGTAGAACTGTCACCTAGATTTCCACTCCTGTTTCTTTCAAATTTTTTATTCCTCCCAGAACAGCAGCTCTCTGAGGTGTCAGGAAGAAAGCAGTATTGAATTACTTGACATTAAAATGTAAATAGCTGCAGGACTCAGTCTCCTACAGATCTTGGCATTTCAGAAGGAGGATAAAGAGTCTCTATTTGGTTGGATTCCAGGCATGGTCATAAGTGAAGACCGTGTACATGATGTATAGGTGGTTATGGGCAGAATACGCCAACACAGAGAGACACCAGTTCTGTGCAAGTACCTTTCCTCAGGCTCCAGCTTCATACCCCTAGTTGTTACTGCTTTTCTTGGGCTTCTTTTCATCTCCACTGCATTGACTGAGATCCCTTCACTTTCTCTCATACAAACAGGGGCACCAGTAGCTTTTGGGTTTGGGTTTGGAGGCATGGAGATACAGCAGCACAGTGACAGTCTTTGTACGGTTGACAGATTTTTAATTCAGGTGTTCTGGCTATATATTGATGCTTAACAAATCACCACAACATTTCGTGGCATAAAACACCATTTGATTCTGTGCACAGATTGTGCAGGCCAGGAATTCAGGCAGAGCAGAGTAGAGACAGTTTATCTTTGATTCTCAGTGTCTGGGTCCTCAGATAATCTAAACTGGAGGCTAGAGCCAGAGTGCTGGAGGAATCACCTCCAGGAAAGCTTCATTATTCCCATGTGTGGTCCCCGGGCTGGGAAAGCTAAAAGTGGGCTCAGCTCAGACTGTCATGGACTATCAACCAGATGACTACATGTGCCCTTGCCAGCATGGTGGTCTTAGAGTAATTGAACATCTTACCTGGGCATCTTAGAGTTCCAAAAGCCAAGATTCCCTAAGGAAAAGACAGAAGCTTTATGACTTTTTATGACTTGGTCTTGGTCACAATGTAATTCTTCTGCCACACTGTATTGGTCAAAGCAGTCCACCCAGATTTAAAGGGAGAAGATAGGTCCCACCTTGTTATGGTCTTAATATGGCCCCCAAAATTTGTACATGGGAGCCTAAAATCCAAAGTGATAGTATTAAGAAGCGGAGGCTTTAGGAGGTTAAGTCATGTGGGCAGAGCCCTTGTGGATGAGATTCTGGCCCTTATAAAAGGGCTTCAGGAATGGGTATGCACTCTTCCGCTCTTCCACTGCACAAGGACACAGTATTCATCCCCTCAGGAGGATACAGCAACACGGAACCATCTCGGAAGCAGAAACGGCTCTCACCAGACACCAAACCTGCTGGTGCCTTGGTCTTGGGCTTCCCAGCCTCCCAAACTGTGAGAAATAAATTTCTGTTCTTTATAAATTACCCAGTCTCAGATTTTTTTTAAATAGCAACACAAGCAGACTAAGTCACAACTCTTGATAAAAAGAGGTTTAAAGAATTTGCAGCTGCATTTTAAAGCTGCCACAAGGAGGTGCTTTTTGAAACAAAAGACTGCTTCTGCCGCATGTTTATTTCCCATGAAAATTTTCCAGGAAGCCATTGAGAATGTTGCTCTGGCTATATTCAAGTGGTTCCTAAACTATAGAATGTGTAAGAATCGCTGAGGAGCTTGTGAAAAGTACACATGCCTAGGCTCCACCCCCACAGCTTCTCTCTTATTGCTCTACTTATCACCTGTAACCTGCACCCAGGTCAATCTGATATTTCTCTTTATTATTTGTTTTTCTTTTTGTATCTTTTCCTCTGCCCCTCTTAACTGATTTAGAAGTTATACAATCCATTTCTATTCTTTTAGTGGAAACTTTGAAATTTTACCTTGCACATTTACTTTAATAGTCTTATACTAATATCTTAACATTTCTCCTTTAATACTTTAGAACATTTAACTCTGATCACCCATTTCTCAAATGAAGGCCTGCTGATGTTTAATGTTTTAGTGCTATACATTTTGGATTCCAATCCTGCCACAGACGCTGTTGAGTGCCCTGCCATATCTCCCCAGTCAAGCCTGGAAGTCACCAGCAGCTTCAGTGGACAGTTCTTACACACATTGATGGCTGCCTGTCTCAAGCACCTGCATATCTCTTCTGAGGGTTTTCATTGATTGCAGGAGCATATTCTGCAGGCCAGAAAAGCTGACGCCAAAAGGCAGTTCTCAGCCAATACAAAACAGCAGTTAGTAGATAAATGCCCCAACTTCATCACTCTTTGGTGAGAAAATTCTAAAATGTGCCACACACAGATTTTCAGAGGATTCCCAGTGGGGTTGAGCCCTGTTGTCAACAGCAAGCAGTTACTTGCTCATTGATGCATCTTCTCTTGGCTTCCTTTCTGCTATGGACCAAATGTCTGTGTGTCTCTCTGAAATTTATATGTTGAGATCCTAACTCCCAGTGTGATGCTGTTAGGAAGTGGGGACTTTGGGAACGATTAGGTGAATAGGATTGGTCCCCTTATAAAAAGACACAAAAAAGCTCTCTCTCCTTCTCTCTGCTCTCTGCCACATTAGGTACAATCAGAAGTCAGCTGTCTGCAATCCAGAAGTGGGTCCCCACCAAAACCTGGCCATGCTGGCCCTGTAATCTTAAACTTCCAGCCTTTAGAAAAGAGAGACATAAATTTCTGTTGTTTATAAACTACTCAGTCTATGGTACTTTGTTACAACAGCCTAAAACTTAATATTTTTCTTGAATAATACTTTAGAACATTTAACTCTGATCACCCACTTCTCAACTGAAACCCTACTTTGTTTAATATTTTAGTGTTATACATTTTGAATTCCAGTCCTACCAAAGATGCTATTAGTGACATGCTGTATCTCTCCAGTTGAGCCTGGAAGTCACCAGCAGCTTCAGTGGACAGTTCTTACACACACTATTCGCTTCCTGTCTCAAGACTAAGACACTTCACTCCCCTATTGATGCTTCCTGGCATCATTTCCCAAATAAAGGATTTGTACCTAAATATTCGTCTTAGGCTCTGCTCGGGGAAGAACCTGAACTAAGACAGGCTGCCCCACAGATTAGAACTTTGTATTTTATGTAGAACAAACTTTAGATATGCCATGCTTACTAAATCCTTTGCTCATCTTTCCTTCCTCTAGCTCTGACATTTCTTCTAGTTTCATTTTCCTTCTTAAAGAACATGCTTTGGTGGAAAGATCTAAAGGGGCAATTCTGAACCTCTCATCTGGCAGTGGCATGTTCCCTGTCCCACTGTTGACCATTTATTCTGCAACCAAGACTTTTGTAGATTTCTTCTCTCGGTGCCTCCATGAGGAGTATAGGAGCAAGGGCATCTTTGTGCAGAGTGTCCTGCCATACTTTTTAGCTACAAAACTGGCTAAAATCCAAAAGCCAACTTTGGATAAGCCCTCTTCGGAGACGTTTGTGAAATCTGCAATCAAAACAGGAGGCCTGCAAATCCTGAACCAATGGATACCTGATCCATGCTCTTCTGGGCTCCATAATCTCAATCCTGCCTTCTTGGATTTATTTTAAAATAACCACAGATATGAACAAGTCTACACGGCTCACTATCTGAAGAAAACCAAGAATAACTAAGCATTGATAACTACATTTTAACTTGGCCAGATGCTCCAGCCTATGCATGTTCACTGCAAGGCACACTACTGGTCTTGAAAATCTGAAGTTGTCGTTTGACCAAATGTTAATTAAGAGGAAAACAGAAGTTGATTTTAGGAGTCTCTGACATATATTCTGGATACTACCAGAAGTAATTTTGAAGTTTAATATAAATGCTCATATCAAATGAATATAGAACCAATATTGTTGAGAACAGCTAATAGGAAGGAATACTATTATAGCAAATCACACAATGATAGACTCAAACATAAAACTCAGCAGTTTTATCTGCTCCAAAATGCCATTGATCATTATTCCTGTATTTTCTCTGAAGCTGATTATAAAAGGTAATGTCCAGCTATTCTTTTGTTTTTGACACTTTGAAGAAATGGTGATTAATTGATTTGATTTGTTTATAAGTGGACACACTGCAGTTTACAAAGATCTCTTTAAGGTCTTACAAAATTATGTTCCAGTTTGGACATTTATATAGAATTGTTCTTTATCAAGGGTAGCTAATGACATAAAAATAATTATGAAATATGGAGTTGTTTCTGACACACGAAACCCACTAAACTATGCTTTCTTGTAATGCATATTTCTTCTCAGTTTAAATGTATGTAAATATCGAAGCTATATGGTATGATTTATAAAGATAAATGGGCCAAAGTGTACATTGAAACTGGCACCCATCTATGGTACCACTGAAACCCTGACCCAGAAAAGTGGCCTGCTTGGACACCCAGCCTTCTTTATTTCTGCATTGCACCAATAATGCTCACACATGTGACACAGGCTAGTCCTATAAAAGTAATGACATCATAGAAATGTCATTATAATTTTTAAATTGATACTCTATAGGTAGGTACTAATATAATTAGTTTTAATAAAATATGCTGTAACCACGGTATACAACACAAATACATTTCTTTGGTGATTGAAATTAAGGCCACATTTACACTGACTTGATGTAAGACTGAGTTTTATCCTGCTTCATAACTTGTATGGAGAACTCACCAAGAAAGAATTCAATACTGTGAAATATGCAACAAAAAGATTGGCTTTTACATAGGCTGTGGTTCCTAAGCTCTGAGATTTAAGCACCAGTAGATTTGTATTTAAAAAAAAATTGGGGCCTTAGTTGCTGGCTTTAATTTTGCCAGCTAAGGACATAAAACAAAAACAAACAAATAATAAAAAAAAATAACCATCTGCTATCAACACCATTATGTAAAAGAAAACATATTTTAGCCCCTAAAATTAGGAAGAACATAATTTCAGAATAAAGGTTATCATTTAAATTGAATAAATATAGCTTTATGAAAAACAAAGAATATGCTTTAGAAATTTATTGGCCGGGCACGGTGGCTCACACCTGTAATCCCAGCACTTTGGGAGGCTGAGGCGGGCAGATCATAAGGTCAGGAAATCAAGACCATCCTGGCTAACATGGTGAAACCCTGTCTCTACTAAAAATACAAAAAATTAGCTGGGCATGGTGGCAGGCGCCTGTAGTCTCAGCTACTCAGGAGGCTGAGGCAGGAGAATGGCATGAACCCGGGAGGTGGAGCTCGGAGTGAGCCGAGATCACGCCAGTGCACTCCAGCCTAGGCGACAAAGTGAGACTCCGTCTCAAAAAATTTAATAAAGAAAGAAATATATTGATGACTGTCTGGTTTTGTTTTTGTGTGAATGTGTTTTTATTTCATGTCCATTCTTAAAGGATATTTTTGCTGGATGTAGAATTCTAGGTTGGTACTTTCTTTCTTCTAGCTTCCATTGCTGATGTGAAATCTGCTGTAACTCCGCCATTACTTTGTTGGTGATCTAACTTTTGGTCTTCTCTTGGTCTTCAGGATTCTGCGGCTCCACTATAATTTAAGTATGTTTCTCCTTTTATTTATCTTAGTATGCAAAAGTTTCATTTTTATTTTTTTTTTATTTTTTATTTTAGATGGAGTCTTACTCTGTCATCCAGGTTGGAGTGCAGTGACACAATCTGGGCTCACTGCAACCTCTGCCTCCTGGGTTCAAGCAATTCTCCTGCCTCAGCTTCCCAAATAGCAGGGATTACAGGCGTGCACCACCATGCCTGGCTAATTTTTGTATTTTTAGTAGAGACAGGGTTTCACCATGTTGGCCAGGCTGGTCTTTAACTCCTGACTTCAGGGTGATCTGCCCGCCTTGGCAGATAATCCCACAGTGCTTATCTGGCCACTGCGCCCAGCCAAGAGTTTCATTTTCTTTACCTGTAGATTAATATCTTTCATCAGTTTCAGAAAGTTCTTAGGCACAATTTCTTCAAATATTACGTCTCATTCTTTGTATTATCTCTTCTGGAATTCTGACTAGATATCTGTTACATCTTCTCATTTTATCTTTCATGATTCCTTATCTCTTGTTCATATTTTCTTTATATATATTTATGACCATCTATGCAAGGGTAACTCACTCGTGTACCTCTCAAGCCAAAATCCTGCTCTAGAAATTCAGATTTCCTATTTCTGACTCTATAGGATGTATGTCCCTGAAGGGCCCATTGACTCTTCAAGTCAACATTTCCCCCACAGTCCAGCCTCACATAACAAAATTAACCATTTTAAAGTTTTACAATTCAGTGGTATTTAGCACATTTGCAATGTTTGTACAACCACCACCTCCTTCTAGTTCCAAGATATTTTCACCACTCCAAAAGGAAAGCCCATATCCATTAAACATTCAATCCCTACTTCTCACTCCCTCCTGGCCCACTAGTCTGCTTTCTATCTCTGTGGATTCTAGATATTTCATATAAATGGAATCATACAATATGTGACCTTTTATGTATAACTTCTTTCACTTAGTTTAATGTTTTTGAGGTTGATCCATAGTGTAGCATGAATCAGTTCATCATCTCTTTTTATGGTTGAATAATATTCTATTGGCTATATAGACTACATTTTGCTGATTTATTCATCAGTTGAACATTTGGGTTGTTTCATTTGGCTATTGTTGATAGTGCTGCTATGAACATTCATGTACAAGTATTTGAGTACTTCTTTGCAATTCTTTTGGGTCTATATCTAGAGGTAGGATGCTGGATCATATGTTAACTTTTAATTTTTTGAGGAACTACCATGCTTTTTTCCACAGTGGCTGCACCATTTTACATTCCCACCAGCAATGCACAAGGGTTCCATTTTCTCCACATCTTTGCTAACACTTATTTCATTTCTTAAAGGCCAACTTAGTGGATGTAAAATGGCACCTGGCTGTGGTTTTAATTTGCACTTCCCTAATGACCAGTGATGTTGAGTATCTTTTCATGTGCTTATTGGTCATTTGTGTGTCTTCTTTGGAGTAATGTCTATTCAAATCCTTTGCCCATTTTAAAATTGTGTTGTCCCTTTGTGTTGTTACTTTATTTCTCTGCGCTGCATTTTGGGAAATTTCTTCAGCTCTGTCATAGTTTTTAATTATGACTAGTCTTCAGTTTAATTCATCCAATAAAACTTTTTTAACAATTATATTTTGTCTACAGCCATATCACCCTGAATGCACCCAAACTCGTTTGATCTGGGAAGCTAAGCAGGGTCAGGGTGGGTTAGTACTTGGATGGGAGACAATTATATTTTTATTTCTAAAAGTTCTAATTGATTCTTTTTAAATCCACTTTGTTATGTTTTAGTCTCTTACTGATTCTTCATTTTTGTGATTCCATCTTCCATACATAGTTATTCTATATTCTATAGGTGAAATTTCAATGTCTGAAGTCCTTGGGGTCTTAATCTGTTTTTTTTTTTTTTTGGTTTCTGCTGTCATTCCTCATGAACTTTGCGTGTGTGTATGTTCTGTAATCTTTGATTTTGAGCTCATATTTGGACCTTTGGTGTATAGAAAACTTGAAAGCCTAAATTGAACAGTCTTTACTCCAGAGTGGATTTGTAAGTGATTCTACAAAGATCCAGGGGTACTAATGACCTGGGATCACTTTTATCCCCTTCAAAGGTTGTCAGCTTAATCCTGGAGCCTTGAATTTGCTTTCTATATCCCCAGCTCTCCTCCCAGACTTTCTCTGCCAGACTCACACACACACACACACCCTTTAACCCTGGAAATGCTGATAATGGCCTTTGTGTGTTTGCATGCCTGGCTTATTGTTCTCCACTCTGGTTTCGGCTTACTTATATTTTTGCTACTCCTCCCCACCCCCATTGGAGATTTTCCTTACATACTTAAGTCCAGCAAAGGTCTAATTGTTCCACAGTAGAAGGATCCCTCAGGAAGTTCTCAGTCTACTATACTTCCCAAAGTGGAATGATTCTTATGTTTCTGTATCTTTGGCTCCACATTAGGTAACACTGCAGAGTACAATATAGGGCGTATGTGTTAGATTGTACTACTGTTCAACAAATATTCACTCTCCCCTCTTTCCCAATAGGACAAGTCTCTTCCCTTTTTCATTGATGTTAGTCTTGGCTATATGACTTGCTTTTGCCAATGGGATATAAGCAGAAGTGACAAACATTTTAAATGTCCAAGCAGACATTTAAAAAAAAATTGGAATTTCTGCCAGTACTTCTGAACTCTTACCCATTGCCATAAGACAGTGTGTCCATTAACACCCCACTGTCAACATTAGACAGATCGAGACAGAAAGTTAACAAGGATATCCAGGAATTGAACTCAGCTCTGCACCAAGCCTTCCTAATAGACATCTACAGAACTTTCCACCCCAAATCAACAGAATATACATTCTTCTCAGCACCACATCACACTTATTCAAAAATTGACCACATAGTTGCAAGTAAAGCACTCCTCAGCAAATGTAATAGAACAGGAATTGTAACAAACTGTCTCTCAGACCACAGTGCAATCAAACTAGAACTCAGGATTAAGAAACTCACTCAAAACCGCTCAACTACATGGAAACTGAACAACCTGCTCCTGAATGACTACTGGGTACATAACGAAATGAAGGCAGAAATAAAGATCTTCTTTGAAACCAATAAGAACAAAGACACAACATACCAGAATCTCTGGGACACATTTAAAGCAGTGTGTGAGGGAAATTTATAGCACTAAATGCCCACAAGAGAAAGCAGGAAAGATCTAAAATTGACACCCTAACATCACAATTAAAAGAACTAGAGAAGCAAGAGCAAACACATTCAAAAGCTAGCAGAAGGAAAGAAATAACTAAGATCAGAGCAGAACTGAAGGAGACAGAGACATAAAAAACCCTTCAAAAAATCAATGAATCCAGGAGCTGGTTTTTTGAAAAGATCAACAAAATTGATAGACCGCTAGCAAGACTAATAAAGAAGAAAAGAGAGAAGAATCAAATAGACACAATAAAAAATGATAAAGGGGATATCACCACTGATGCCACAGAAATACTACCTACCATCAGAGAATACTATAAACACCTCTATGCAAATAAACTAGAAAATCTAGAAGAAATGGATAAATTCCTGGACACATACACCCTCCCAAGACTAAACCAGGAAGAAGTTGAATCTCTGAATAGACCAATAACAGGTTCTGAAATTGAGGCAATAATTAATAGTCTACCACCCAAAAAAAGTCCAGGACCAGATGGATTCACAGCCAAATTCTACCAGAGGTACAAAGAGGACCTGGCACCATTCCTTCTGAAACTATTCCAATCAATAGAAAAAGAGGGAATCCTCCCTAACTCATTTTATGAGGCCAACATCATCCTGATACCAAAGCCTGGCAGAGACACAACCAAAAAAGAGAATTTTAGACCAATATCCCTGATGAACATTGATGCAAAAATCCTCAATAAAATACTGGCAAACAGAATCCAGCAGAACATCAAGAAGCTTATCCACCATGATCAAGTTGGCTTCATCCCTGGGATGCAAGGCTGGTTCAACATACACAAATCAATAAACGTAATCCAGCATATAAACAGAACCAAAGACAAAAACCACGTGATTATCTCAATAGATGCAGAAAGGCCTTCAACAAAATTCAACAGGCCTTCATGCTAAAAACTCTCAATAAACTAGGTATTGATGGGACGTATCTCAAAATAATAAGAGCTATTTATGACAAACCCACAGCCAATATCATACTGAATCAGCAAAAACTGGAAGCATTCCCCTTGAAAACTGGCACAAGACAGAGATGCCCTCTTTCACCACTTGTATTCAACATAGTGTTGGAACTTCTGGCCAGGGCAATCAGGCAAGAGAAAGAAATAAAGTGTATTCCATTAGGAAAAGAGGAAGTGAAATTGTCCCTGTTTGCAGATGACATGATTGTGTATTTAGAAAATCCCATCGTCTCAGCCCAAAATCTCCTTAAGCTGATAAGAAATTTCAGCAAAGTCTCAGGGTACAAAATCAATGTGCAAAAATTACAAGCATTCCTTTACACCAATAACGGACAGAGAGCCAAATCATGAGTGAACTCCCATATACAATTGTTTCAAAGAGAATAAAATACCTAGGAGTCCAACTTACAAGGGATGTGAAGGACCTCTTCAAGGAGAACTACAAACCACTGCTCAACGAAATAAAAGAGGACACAAACAAATGGAAGAACATTCCATGCTCATGGATAGGAAGAATCAATATTGTGAAAATGGCCATACTGCCCAAGGTAATTTATAGATTCAATGCCATCCCCATCAAGCTACCAATGACTTTCTTCACAGAATTGGAAAAAACTACTTTAAAGTTCATGTGGAACCAAAAAAGAGCCCGCATTGCCAAGACAATCCTAAGCCAAAAGAACAAAGCTGGAGGCATCACGCTACCTGACTTCAAACTATACTACAAGGCTACAGTAACCAAAACAGCATGGTACTGGTACCAAAACAGAGATATAGACCAATGGAACAGAGTAGAGCTCTCAGAAATAATACCACACATCTACATCCATCTGATCTTTGACAGACCTGACAAAAACAACAAATGGGGAAAGGATTCCCTATTTAATAAATGGTGCTGGGAAAACTGGCTAGCCATACTTAGAAAGCTGAAACTGGATCCCTTCCTTACACCTTATACAAAAATTAATTCAAGATGGATTAAAGACTTAACTGTTAGACCTAAAACCATAAAAACCCTAGAAGAAAACCTAGGCAATACAATTCAGGCCATAGGCATGGGCAAGGACTTCATGACTAAAACACCAAAAGCAATGGCAACAAAAGCCAAAATTGACAAATGGGATCTAATTAAACTAAAGAGCTTCTGCACAGCAAAAGAAACTACCATCAGAGTGAACAGGCAACCTACAGCATGGGAGAAAATTTTTACAATCTACTCATCTGACAAAGGGCTAATATCCAGAAAGAACCTACAAAGAACTTAAACAAATTTACAAGAAAAAAATCAAACAATCCCATCAAAAAGTGGGCAAAGATATAAACAGACACTTCTCAAAAGAAGACATTTATGCAGCCAACAGACACATGAAAAAATGTTCATCATCACTGGCCATCAGAGAAATGCAAATCAAAACCACAATGAGATACCATCTCACACCAGTTAGAATGGCGATCATTAAAAAGTCAGGAAATAACAGGTGCTGGAGAGGATGTGGAGAAATAGGAACACTTTTACATTGTTGGTGGGACTGTAAACTAGTTCAACCATTGTGGAAGACAGTGTGGCAATTCCTTAAGGATCTAGAACTAGAAATACCATTTGACCCAGCCATCCCATTACTGGGCATATACCCAGAAGATTATAAATCATGCTGCTATAAAGACACATGCACACATATGTTTATTGCAGCACTATTCACAATAGCAAAGACTTGGAACCAACCCAAATGTCCATCAATGATAGACTGGATTAACAAAATGTGGCACATATACACCATGGAATACTACGCAGCCATAAAAAAGGATGAGTTCATGTCCTTTGTAGGGACATGGATGAAGCTAGAAACCATCATTCTCAGCAAACTATCACAAGGACAGAAAACCAAACACTGCATGTTCTCACTCATAGGTGGGAATTGAACAATGAGAACCCTTGGACACAGGGTGGCGAACATCACACACTGGGGCCTGTGGTGGGGTGGGGGGAGGGGGAAGGGATAGCATTAGGAGATATACCTAATGTAAATGACGAGTTAACAGGTGCAGCACACCAACAGGTCACATGTATACATATGTAACAAACCTGCACGTTGTGCACATGTACCCTAGAACTTAAAGTATAAAAAAAAAAAAAGAAAGAAAGAGTGTGTCCAGGGTAACGATTGATCCTCCATCGCAGGTCACAGAATGAAGAACAAATACCCATAACCTATAGCAGGGCCATTGCAGCTGACTCACAGATATGGGGCAAGAAAAACAAATATTTGCTTTTGTGAGCCAATGAAATTTGGGGTAATTCGTTAAGCTACATAATAACAGAGAAGATGAATAATACTGTGAAATAAAATTTGTGGGAAGCCACTGATTTGCACTCCTGCACTAAGTCTAACAGACCAAATCAATATGGTCTTCTGTTTCCTGAGACTTGGTACCCTAGACACAAAGAGGAAAGATAAAGTGAAAGGGATCCCCATTTCAGAGGATGAAATGTGTGCGTCATCAGCGTTAGCCCCAGGAGAAAATCCTGTGTGAGGAACATAGTCCAATAGACCAGAGGAATAGTAGTATCAAATATTCCATTCAAATCTTCCTTTTCTCTCCTTCGGAAATATTTGCAAGCATTTTGAGTTAGTTGTGTTTCTTTGGGAAAGAAATGCATTGCTTTAGGTCCATCCTTTGAGACAAAGTATCCCTAGCAGAATTGCTGCATATGGCGAAACAGTGATGAGATAGTCAGAGGGGAAGGATGTTGAAGTCCCATGCAAGCAGCATCAAGTCCACCAAGATGCATTTGTAGAACTTGACAGCATTCTTGGGAATTCCTAGGAATACAATATAAAAGGAACTGATGAAAGATAAGGACTTTCTGCTGAAGATGGGATTTCGTACATTATTACCAGTATTAAAGGGGAGGACGGTCCTTGAAGGGTGAAGACAGAGAACAAAGAGGTGCTTATTTATTTCTCTCTTAACTTTTTAAAAGTTTAATATTCACACACAGAAAGGACAGATATAATAAGTATATGGCAGGCCAGGCGTGGTGGTTCATGCCTGTAATCCCAGCACTTTGGGAGGCCGAGGCAATTGGATCACGAGGTCAGGAAATCGAGACCATCCTGGCTACTAAACCCCGTCTCTACTAAAAATACAAAAAATTAGCCAAGCGTAGTGGCAGGCGCCTGTAGTCCCAGCTACTCAGTAGGCTGAGGCAGGAGAATGGCATGAACCCGGGAGGCGGAGCTTGCAGTGAGCCGAGTGTGTTTTTATTTATTTATTTATTTTATTTTATTTATTTATTTTATTTTTCTCTTTATTTATTTATTTATTCATTTATTTTGAGACAGAGTCTCGTTCTGTCACCCAGGCTGGAGTGCAGTGGCGTGA
This sequence comes from Homo sapiens, assembly GCF_000001405.40. Classification (NCBI taxonomy): domain Eukaryota; kingdom Metazoa; phylum Chordata; class Mammalia; order Primates; family Hominidae; genus Homo; species Homo sapiens. The sequence goes on along the minus strand of NC_000020.11, from coordinate 21,478,742 downwards.
TCTCAGCTCACTGCAGCCTCCATCTCCCGGGTTCAAAGGATTCTTGTGCCTCAGCCTCCCGAGTAGCTGGGATTACAGGCGTGCACCACCACGACCAGCTAATTTTTGTATTTTTTTAGTAGAAACAGGGTTTCACTGTGTTGGCCAGGCTGGTCTTGAACTCCTGACCTCAAGTGATCCACCTGCCTTGGCCTCCCAAAGTGCTGGGATTACAGGCATGAGCCACCACACCTGGTCAAAAGCTTTATTCTTTTAATGGTAGCCTTTCAGATATTAACATGCACAATTATCTGTCCGTTTTTTTCCAACAATTATTCAATATGTCTCATTTCCTACAGACCACGATGACTTTAGCATACTTTATCCATTGAATACTACTCAACACTCCCTTCCTCATATTGTTATTGTTTAGAATTTGAGTTTTACCTTTTTTTTTTTTTTTTTTTTTTTTTTTTGTTTGTTTGAGACAAGAGTCTTGCTCTGTCTCCCAGGCTGGAGTGCAGTGGCGCGATCTCGGCTCACTGCAAGCTCCACCTCCCAGGTTCACGCCATTCTCCTGCCTCAGCCTCCCGAGCAGCTGGGACTACAGGCGCCCGCCACCACGCCCAGCTAATTTTTTGTATTTTTAGTAGAGACGGGGTTTCACCATGTTAGCCAGGATGGTCTCAATCTCCTGACCTTGTGATCCGCCCGTCTCGGCCTCCCAAAGTGCTGAGATTACAGGCTTGAGCCACCGTGCCCAGCCCGAGTTTTACCTTTCTTACACCCCAAAAGAGGCTTCTCTTTTTTTAGTTTTGCAGTCAATAAATAATTAATTTTACCAATTGACATAGTCACTTTTGTTTCTGATAGCCCATAATCTCCTGTGATATCTTTCTTTTTTTTTTTTTTTTTTTTTTAGATGGAGTCTCGCTCTGTCACCCAGGCTGGAGTGCAGTGGCACAGTCTCAGCACACTGCAACCTCTGCCTCCTGGGTTCAAGTGATTCTTCTGCTGCAGCCTACCGAGTAGCTGGGACTACAGGCGTGTGCCACCGTGCCTGGCTAATTTCTGTATTTTTAGTAGAGACGGGGTTTCGCCATATTGGCCAGGCTGGTCTTGAACTACTGACCTCGTGATCTGCCCACCTCAGCGCCCCAAAGTGCTGGGATTACAGACGTGAGCCACCACGTCCAGCTGGTATGTTTTTAAAAAATTTACTCAAGTGTATCCTTAAAAAAATGTTATTTTAGAGAGAATCTGAAAATAATATTTGTATGACTAAAAATATTTTTATTTTGCCTTCATTCTTGAAAGATAGGTAAATAGTTATTTTTCCCTCAACATCTTGAAGATCTTGCTCTACTGTCCTTGACATTTATTGTAGCAATGAGAACTCTGCTCAGTTTAGCCACAGTTCTGAGTGGAAAGCAGGGGATTCCCTCAACTCTGCCCTCAATACCCTTTATAAAGTAAGATAAAATTGTATCCAGTGAAATGCATAGCTCTTAAGTATATAATTGGATATGTTTTGATAAATATCTACATCTATGTAACCCCCTCCTAATGAAGATCTAAAATGTCTCTATCACTCTGGAGTCAGAACCTCAGTGCACTTTCGGATTGTTGCTTCATCCTTGCTCTTCCGTGACCTCATTATGATAGGTCTAGATGATTTATTTTTATGTATCCTTTCTGGAGTTGAAAGTACCCTTTTGACTTCAAGACAGGTGGCTTCTCTCAAATTCTGGAAAATTTTAAGCTATCACCCCTCTAAACGTTGTTCATCTTCCATGACCTCCATTCACTTCTCTATTCCCTGTTAGATGACTGTTGGAGTCATTTAGTCTATCATCTATATCTCAACTAATCTTTCATACAGAGGTGTTTCACATATGAAATGATTTTAAAGTCTCTTTCTATCTCTGTTCCACATCAGAGTGAAATCCTTTTAGCTTCCAATTCACTGATTTTTCTTCTCTTTAATTTTTTGATATAAGGAACAACATGGATTAATCTCAAAATCATTATGTTGAATGAAAAAAGCCAGACATAAAAGAACACACATTGTATGGTTCTATTTATATAAAGCTTAGAAACAGGCAAAGAGTAATCTATGAGGATAAAAGTCAGAATAGTCATTAACTCTGGTGGAAGTCTTTATGAACTGGGAAGGAACCTGAGAGACGCTTCTAGGGTAAGGTTCCATTCCATGCCAGACAGGAAATGTAGCTTGTCTGGAATGGAATGGTGGTTATACATGGGTGTTTACATATGTGAATGTTTGTAGATATATATAGTTTGTGGAGCTATACACTTAAAATTATGCACTGTATGTCAGAGGAAGGAAGAAGGAAGGAAGGGAGGGAGGGAGGGGAGATGAAAGAAAGAGAAAAGAAAAAAGTTAGGGAAGGATGGAGGGAGGAATGGAGGGAGAAAGAGAGGATGAGAGAGAGAGAAAGAAAGAACCAAACCCAGGAATATGTTATCTCTCAGCTCCTGGGGCTCCTAGGAAAGGCAGATCCAGCAGTCCATGTCCTAAATAAGCACTGAGGTGCAAAAAATGGACTAATTTGAAAACAGGAGACTGATAGGCTATTATAAAGGCACTGGGCCTCATAAATACCTCCAAAGGTAATAGCAGGGCCAAAACAGGGACATCATTTATCAAGTGGTCAGAAAGAAAACAGAATTGGTTCATTCATTTCCTATACCACCATTTGAAATTCATACTCAGTGTCACTGAATGTAAGCAACACTGACTCTGTACTAATAGTGCTCTCTTATGCTTCTCCAAGCCCACATTTGCCAGGGACTGAAATAGGTGCCATGAGATGATTTGTCGCTGCTGCTGCTGCTGTTGCTTCGGAAGCTCAGAAGCAATATGAAAGCATAGCAATAAGGATTAGGTTTGTCTGGGAATGACAGAAAACCCTAAATGACAGTAGCATTTTGTGATGCTTAATTGTATGTGTCAACTTGACTGGGATAAGGGATGCCCAGATAGCTGGCAAAACATTATTTCTGGGCTGGGCATGTCTGTGAGGGTGTTTCTGGAAAAGATTAACATTTCAATTCATAGGCTGAGTAAGGAAAATTCCTCTCACCAGTATGGGTGAGCATCATCATATTTGTCGAAGGACTGAATAGAACAAAAATATGGAGAAGGGTGAATTTGCTTCTATTTGAGCTGGAACATCCATTTTCTCCTGCTCTCCAACATTGGCATTCCCAGTTCTCAGGTCATCAGACATGGACTAGGACTTACACCTCTGGACTCGAATTGAATTATCTACCAGCTTTCCTGATTCTCCAGCTTGAAGATGACAAATCATGAGGCTAAATCACTTCTTAGCCTCCATAATCATGAACCAATTTCTATCATCTCTCTTTCTCTCTCTCTCTCTCTCTCTCTCTCTCCCTCTCTCTCTTTATATATAGATGTATGTGTATTTGTATATAGTCAGCCCTTGGCATCTGTAGCTTCAACTTCAGATTAAAAACTTTGCAAACAAAACTGCATCTCTACTGAACATGTACAGACATTTTTTCCTTGTCATTATGCCCTGAACAATACAGTTAGCAATTATTTACATAACATTTACATTTTATTAGGTATTATAAGTAATCTAAAGATGATTTAAAGTATATGGGGAAGGGGCCAGACACGGTGGCTCAAGCCTGTAATCCCAGCACTCTGGGAGGCCAAGGGGGGCAGATCACCTGAGGTCAGGAGTTCAAGACCGCCTGGCCAATATAGTGAAATCCCATCTCTACTAAAAATACAAAAATTAGCCAGGTGTGGTGGTGCATGCCTGTAGTCCCAGCTACTTGGGGGGCTAAGGCAAAAGAATCGCTTGAACTCGGGAGACGGAGGTTGCAGTGAGCTGAGATTACGCCACTGCACTCCGGTCTGGACAACAGCATCTCAAAAAAAAAAAAAAAAGTTAGATGGGAAGAGGTAAATAGGATATACATAGGTTACATGCAAATGTTATGCCGTTTTATATCAGGCACTTGAGCATCTACATATTTTGTTACCCACGGGAGGTCCAGGAACCAATCTCCTATGGATACTAAGGGACAAATGTATATATCCTATAACCAATAGGAAATGTGTGTGTGTGTGCATTTCCTATTGGTCTGTTTCTCTGGAGAACCCTGAATAATACGCTTATATAAGATAGAAATTATTTTTCTTTCTTGCAAAATAAATGTCGAGGCATACAGTTCAGGACTGGCAAGGCAGCTCTGCAAAGTCATCAGAAACCTGGCTCTCTGAAGTCGTCTGTTCTACCATCTCTAGAATGACCCTTTTTCTCATGACCCAAGATAGCAGGCAGTTGGAGGCCTAGCTGCCCACATCCACATTCCAAAGTAGCTGGAGAAGTAAGGAATAAAGATGTGCCTCCACTCTTCAAGAAATACCATATAACACTTCTGCTTTAAACTCATTGGCCAAAACCTAGTCACATGGCCTAGTCACCTAGCTGGGACACTGGAAAATGTGGCCTTTTAGTGGATAATATGTTTGTCCTAAATAAAACTAAGCTTCTATTAATATTACAGGAAGAAGGAAAGAAGAGATTGTGCTAGGCAAACAGGAGTCTTCCACAGAAGTCAATATACATGAAGAATTTATAATCATTTCCTCCACAATACACATTTTTGTACATGAATAATGAGTTAGATATATTTTTAAACACTGTTTGTGGCTGTCCATATTGAGAAAAGATGGTCATTGTTATTAAAGATGCTCATTATTGTTTTGCACTTAAAGTCAGTCTGTATAGTTGAAGCCAGGCAAATAATTGAGGCAATCAACTTGTTAACAGTATTGAGAAAATAATCTCTAGGTCTTTATGTTAGTACTCACAAAATCTTAAAAACCAAACAATGAAAAGAATTATTCAATATTTCAATACATTTTTGGATAATTTGTATCACAAAGAGCAAGACAACCCACTTACCTCAAATGAATTGAGGGATTAAAGATAAACAGTGTATGAGGAAGGCTTAATTTTCATTATTTTCCTATCATTTGAAAGAAACTTTGCCATCTACTTATATCACCTTTTCAAAACTTTTTGTGGGCAGGGTTGCTCTGACACCTAGGCCGGAGGGTAGTGGCACGCTCATAGCTCACTGCAGCCTCGACCTCTTGGGCTCAAACGATCCTCACATCTTGGCCTCCCAAAGTGCCAGGACTACAGACGTGAGCCACTGCGCCCAGCCAGTAAAAAAAACTTTTTTTAAGAAAAAAGTGTGATTAAGATCCAAGGCTATCTTGTTTCTATGCATTTGGGGAAGAAGTGGAATTTGGGGATAGTGAGGTTCAAAATCAGCAAAACTCTGACATCCCCCCCTTTTGAAGGCTCATTCAGGGAAATGTAGCTTTGAAATGATGGTCATGTTGCTTTGGCCATGCCTGTTATTTTAAATAGAACCCATTTGTTCTCCTAGTGACTCATAATATGGCTTAATAAAAGCCTAAATCAAGAAACTGGTGCTCCCTCCTTCCTCAAGGATGCAATCCTTAGACAAAGAGTGGGCTTAGATTTGGTTGTAGTTTACATTTCAGTCGTGGTTATTTATGATTCTTCTGTTATGCCTATTCTAAACTCTACTATCGTTTAAACAAATTTACTTTCAATTCTCCACTGAGTTCACCAAAGACAAATAATCCTTCTGCAACTGGCAGGGCTGAAGATTAAGCCACCCTGGGCAATTAAGCGTATCCCAAGGTTCAGCTGGTATGCTGTAGTTTACATTCATTACAGCCATTTAGCAAGGTTCGACAGCTTATACTCCTGGTCTGAAGGAGGACTTGTATCCTTCATTAGCATTCTTATATTCAGCTAGGATGTTGTGGCATATACCACTGTCAGGCTGAGTCCCAGCATTACGAGATTAGGGCTGCAAATTTCACCCTTCTGCCACTAGTGGAATCCTCCAGGACTTGGCTTCTGTAAACAGCTGTGGCAGCTTTTGAAGGAAAAGCTGGAGTGTGTACCAATAAGGAAGTATAAACAACCAGGGTTGATTATCATGGTTATACAATTAGAAACTGGGAATTCAGCTTTGAATCAGGACCCAAAATGGGTACAAAAGAACTTAATTCAGGATCTCCAATATGGTGTCTTTTAAAAAGGAGGCTACAAATATGGTAGCAATATGGCATATCAGTTAACTATTGCTGCATAATAAACAGCCTCAAAAGAAATCTCAGCAGCATACAACAATAAGAACCTCAACCGCTTGCAGATCTTTGGGTAGGCTGAGCAGTTTAGCTGACTTCAACTGGGCTAACTCACGTGTCTGGGCATTAACCAGTCCAGCCTGGGCTTGGCTAAGGTGACTGAGCTCTGCTTCACATGACTCTCATCCTCCTGGCACTGGCTGGTTAGCCTGGCCATGTTCTTCTCATGATCATGATGGAGGCAAAAGAAAAAGACTTCACAAGTGTTGTCCCAGCTCTTTCTTTCTTGTCTGCTGATATCCCACTAGCCAAAACAAGTCAGGTGTGCAAAAGTACACCCCTTCTTTGCAAAGCTACATGGCAAAGGACACAGATTCAGAAAGGGATGAAGAATTTAATGTAATCTACTAGATGGGACAAAGAGACTTGAAACTACACATGTGATTAACCCGTTTATGTTTGAGGTTGCAATTTTTTGAATTTGAAAAATCAGACCTTGGCAATGACCTTGAGCAGAAGAATATAAATAACTCCCACATGCTTAGCATTCCAATAATGGAAAACTAGGCATAAATAGGTTCAGAATAAAGAAAGAAAATGAGTTAATGAACAATTAGGTCCTTCATTGAAAAAGTTGCTAAGAGTGCCAGGTGTGTTGAAGACCTAAAGAATCCTCGAACAGTACAGCTCTAACTGAATTTAGGGTCCTCTAGATCAGTGGTTCTTAGCCTTTGTGAGGTCTGAATTTTTTAAATATATGCGAAAATATACATTTTACAAGCATTCTGTGGACTCTCTGAAAGCCATCTGTGAACACCTTGGAAATACATAAACCCATTGTTAACAGGTGGAGAAGCTGAGTTACATTATGATTTATGCTCAGAGAGATCTTTCAGCTAGCGTGAAAACTGCATTTAGTTGAATTTGGTGTTGTACCAAAGTGAATATAAGCCAGACAATAGTCCACTGCTCAAGAACCTCCTAAAGCATTCCTTCACATAGTGTAGAACCTGTACTCCTTACTATGGCCTTCAAGGCCCTCCAAGGCCTGACCCCTGCCCACCTTCACAAACTTGCTTTCCGTCTTGCATCAGCATCCAACCAGACAGGCTTCTGTGCTGTTTCTTGCACTTGCCAAGTTTGGGGCCTGAGCAATTCTGTTCCCTCTGCCTGGGATGCTCTTTTCCTGCCAATTCACACTGCTATCTCCATTGTTTTATTTAGGATTCTGTACAAATAAAGGCCTTCTCTGAACATCACATTTAAAATGCCAACCCTCAATCACTCTTGCTTTATTTATAATCTGAGCCATTTGTTTTTTCTCTATGCCTGTGGTGGATACAAGTACCTGAGCGTAGAGACTTGATTTATTTTTTCCTTCACATATCTCCAGCATCTAGCACCAGGACTGAAACAGAGAGGGCACTTGAGTAGGTATTAAATGAGTAAATTGACATGTTACACTATAAGATATATATCCACAGGGAAACCCAGAGATGAAAATATACCAGAATACATTTCACAACCAAATTGTAAGAAAGAGATTTCATACAGCTCAGTCTTGCAAAGAAAGTGGAACCCCTCTCCTAGCTTTCTGAATGGTTTTCATTTAAGAATCTTAATGTTTAATTTCAAATAATAACAAGTCATCAAATCAAATGATTAGCCATAGCTAATTAGCCCTACCAAGGATTTTGTAGCGTTTTTATTACTTAGGAAGAGATCCATTGGTGCAGGTGGGAATGTTGTCTGAAATAAAGCTTTGGAGCAAAAACTTGTAATTGATCAATGGGTATGTGTGTTTCTTTACAGGTGGGCACCAAACATAAGGCTTAGTTTCTTGATGTGTAGCTTTCTTCTGTATAACCAGCCTAAGATTTGGAGCATCTTATCAAACACTGAATGGAGATGATGAGTTGGCTGTGAGGAGGTTATAAGCTGTCCTTAGCAGTGATTTATGGAGGCTCTGATTTCAGAGGTTAACAAAGATTTGCTTTAGGTTTATGTGCCATTTTCCAAAGTCATTCTGAACTGACAGATAAATGTGTAGCCCTCTTTGCTGGCGCCTTTTATGGGTAGGTGCAGCTGGATGAAAATCAGCCACAAAAGAGATCCCAGTGTTATCATTAATGGTGACTGTGTAACAGATGTTGTCTACATATTAGGGGAGGCTGCTTAATTTGTCTCTTGCAAACATGAAGCCTCTTAAAACTATTATGTACCAAACATTGTCTGGAAAATTTCATTCTTTTGTAACACAGTCCTCCTTTAGGAAGAACAGCAGTTTGAAATTAAAAGAATAAAAGAAAGACTCAAATGAAGGAATACTATGTGCATTACATTTTTGTTCATCATGATTATGGTGAAGAGACAAAAAAAAGACATTATGGTATTGCCAAGGGAAAATACACGTATTAAAGACAAAAGTCTAAATGAATAGGTACTGAACAAGTGATGAGAAATTAGGGTGGAGATGGGGTTTTGCCTCCTGTCGTTTATAAGCAAGCCTCCCCATTGACTTACTGCCTAGGAAGAACAGAGTGGGTGACAAAGAGTTAGAAATCTTGCCCATAATGGTAGGAAAGTGATTTCATTCCACTCACCATCTGGTCAGCTCAGCCTATTTTTCAGGCAAAAGATTAGTCGTTTGTTAGGTACATTAAGCCCCAATTCTTTACAAAGCCCACCACACACACACACACACACACACACACACACAGTTGTGATAGTCCAACACCATGTTTCTCTACTTTTCTCCTCTCTAAAAATATGCATGAATTTCATTTTCATTTTGGAGAGATTTTGGGGAGTTTATCATGCTATGATAACACAAATGGCTTCTACTTTTTTCTCAGTAAATAAAAGAAGGCTTTCATAAGACCGTAAAAAGAAAGTTGTGTATGGGAGAGTTGTACATTGGTATAGTCATTTTGGAAAGAAATTCAGCAATTTTGTCAAGAATTAAAATGATTTCAAACATTGTGCCCCAAAACTTCACTTCTGAGAACCTGCTCTTAAGAAGTTCAAAATAATAAAAAGGCACATCATAAAAATACATTTTATAATAGCAAAAATGGCATTTTTATAATAGTAAAATTGGAGGCAAACTCAAATTCTTATATTAGGTTATATTTAAATAAATTATTATAAGTTACCTAACAAAATAATTTTAGCATTAAAATTATAGATATGAATACTACATAATAACTTGAAGACATTTATGCTATATATTAAATTTTTAAAAGGAATGAAAAATTGAACATAGATGATTTGTATCCTTGTAAAATATGAATATGAAAAAAGTCTGTAGGGAAATATACCATTAAGATAAATATTTTTGTAAAAAAAAAAATAGAAAGAAAAAGATGGCTATAGAACGAAAGCAGGTTGTATCCGAAGAGTAATTGTTTCCCTCAGTAAGCACCAGCTAGTGTATTTTAGAAGCAGTTTCCTGCATATCAAACTACTTTACTATGTGTTTATCATTCCTGGCAATCCTCCTCCCCTGGCCATATTTTCAGATTATTCATTAGATTATCAGTATAAATAAAAAGGTAAATGTTTGCATCAGCACTCATTTTAACACTAAAATGGCAAGATTGTTTCTCCTCTTGATTTAGGGGGCCAAGGTGCAGAAGTCTTTCCATCCTATTCCCAAGGAACCTCCAGATTCTCGGAACAAAGGTAGTATGGGAGAACTGAAGCAATAAAATGACCTGCAATGTTTCATGTAAATTAATTCCCCAACACAGTGATTTCAGGGTAAGTCATTGCAATATACACTCAATAAATACCTTTCCACTTTGGAATCCTTCCAGTATTCTAAGTGGAGAGAGGTTGGTTGACTTAAGAGATTAATAAAGACCTCCAAAACTGCTTGAATTTTAGGGCCAGTATAAAATGCGGGTCTCAGGCATTATCACTGGCTGCCAAGGAGCACCACAAGCTGGGGTCAGGGAATATCTGTGAACTTACAGATATCCAGCTTCAAAGTCAAATGTAACCTTCCAAAAACTTTTTAAAATTGTTGCCAATGCCATATTGCTCATGTAGTGTAAAACAATTTACCTGAGCTGTACCTTTATTTTATAATTAATCCCCCCCCCCAACAATGAGGTGAGAAAGCCTTAGTTTAAAACAAAACCTCTGTGCCACCAGTAGACCAAGCAGAATGAAAAGATTATCCAGGATGTGGGGAAGAACCTGCCTCTGCTCTATGCCCAGTGCGGGCCTGGCTTTTGGTTGTTTCAAAAGCATCAGGTGTATTCCTGCCCTCAAAGACCTTCGAATCTTGTAGAGGGACACAACATGTGAGTAACTGATGCAGTAAATGGTCTCTACTCAGCAGGCAATAGACAGAAACTGGCTGCTATTTCTCTAGCCTCTGCTTCCAGTTTGGCCACATCAGGTCCCTTGTTCTAGTCCTCATCTTAGGCCTATCAGAGAATTTCTCCTCTAGTTGCTTTTGGTTATTAAATTCAGTCCATAGAATTCCATTGAAATCTTCTTCCCTCCTGTCCCCATTGTGGGCTTCAGCAGAGACCCCAACTGCATGGAGTGTGGGGAAATGGAATACACAGGATTGGAAAATGATGTTGGGATGAGGAGAGAAGGAAGAAACTTGTCTCATTCCTCAGCTGGCAGCAGCTGGCATTCTTTCTCCCCTGAAGTCATTGCTGCCCTGGCTGACAGTGCCTGGCCCTGAAGCCCACAACAAGGCAGACTCCATGTATCATCTCTCCTGGGATATGTGGATAATTTGGGGGAGATCCAGCAGCAGAACCTCCTAAAGTTCCCTGACATGGGAGAACTACCTTGCTAAGAACTGTCATCGTTCTCCCTTCTGGCAGGCCCTCTCTCTATTGGAGTCCTATGGAAGCCCCCTGTGACCCCCTCAGCACTCCCACTCCCTCCATATAGAGGAAGGGGATAACCTGACCCTACTAACCTTTTCCTTCTCCAAGGCCCACTCTCCCCTCCCAGTGTCCTCCTGACGAAGAGATGAGAGTTAGGCTGCTTGTAGGAGTGTTTGTTGAGCTATTTCTGCCACCTCTTAGGTGATGTGTGGAGGGGAGGTTCTGGCTTTAGTTGTTAGCTGCTTTCTTAAAATTAGGACATTGGCTCCCAACCTTGGTTGCTCATTAGAATCATTTTGGGGAGTTTTTTTAAATTCCCAATGCCTGGGTTGGCCCACCCCATGCGATAGCAGAGTCTTGGGAGATAGGCCTAAAAGACAGGATAATTTTTCAAGAAATGTGGTTTGAATCTGCAGTCAGGACCCAGAGCAACTACGGTCTAAATGTTTAGAGTGGATGTTCTCAGCCTTAGCTGCACATTGGATTAACCAGAGGGCTTTGAAAAGAGCATATGCTGGGTCCACCCCACAGATTCTGATGTCATTGGCTGGGTGCTTCCACTGCTGTGGGAACTCCTGTTTTCTGTAGCTGACATCATGGAATCCTAAAAGAAGGCTCCAGGGAGGAGGGGATCCTCAGGCCACAGAGGGCACCCAGGCCTGGTGTACCTCAGCAGCTCTGCCAACCTGAGCTTCGTCTCCTCTCCCTATAGGAGCTTCTCCAATGATCCTCCGTCACCTTTACCCCCACCCACTGCCCACCCAGCTACTTCAGTCACACACTGGTCTAAAAAATAAATCTTCACATCAAACTGTGTGGTAAGGCTTTTGGCTTATTGTGATGAGGAAGATTAAAAATACAGGCTGTACTAATAATAGAAATTTTACGTCATCCTTGGTTTACCTTAGCACAAGTTAAGAACAGAGGAACCCTGTCTTGGGACATCATGGGTCTAGTCTACCTATGGCTGCACACTTGCTACCCTCACAAACACTCAGAAATGATACTGAACTATGGTCTGAGTTTTCCAATATTATCTTTTTTTTCCAGCTTACTTACTCTAAAACAAACTCATCTGATAACTTTTCTGGAGGTTTCCAGTGGCAAATTATAAAGAAAATCTAACAGGGTGCTGGATGGGAGTCAAGCTTGTGAATGCCTTTCATCTTTCCTTCTCTTCCTTTATCTAAATTTTGTTCAACCTCCAAAACTCCCCTTCACCTCCTCCTTGAAGCCATTCCTGACATCTCCTGCTTATGGACTCCTATTGCTATTAAATCCAAAACCTCAAACATTAATACGTATATTTTGTGTATGTGTCCATATTTTTCTACATACATGAAACGGAATGTTGAGCAGGAACTTCTTTGTTGCCCTAGAATCAATGGCTGGAGAAAACAGATTCTAAGTCTCAAGCTGGGCTACACATCAGAATGCCTTGGGTCTCTCACAAGCCACCAGGTGTTCATGCAAAGGTCAGAGGCCTCAGCAAGACTTCTGGAAGATCTGGAGAGGAAAATTCAGACACTGGCAAAGTGATTTTTCATCTGGTAGACTCATCTGGTTTGGTCATAGAATCAGGCAATGTGAGAATGTGGTCTGGGAGAGCAGCAACCTCAGGGTGAGGGGCCCAGTACTGGGGGACAGGGAAGGGAAAGTGGAACTCAACAGCTGTGGTCTCTGAGTGGTTGAAAACACAGTCAGAATCCTCCCAGAAAAAAAATCTCCACAGTGGCATTTTGACACAGAGGGTCTTCAAGAGCAAAACTCAGTCATTCAGACTATAGTTGAGTAAGAACAGGGGTAACAGCTGTTATGTCCCCAAAAAACAGAATTCTCCCATCCATAATGCACAACTGCAGCCTAAAGATGCCAAAGACATCTCTCCTTCAAGGAAAGAGGGAAGAAACAGAGTAGCTTCCATGTTCCAGGCAAGGTACTAAGGATTTTCACAAACGTTATCTCACTTAATTCCCACATCAATCCTTTTAGGATAAATATTAACATTCCTGTTTTCACAGCCAAAGAAACCAGGGCTCAGAAAAGTTCAGTACTTTGCTGACGGCAGAGTTGGGATTTGAACCGAGATCTGACCCTACATCCCTTACGCCCACTTCAACTCCCAGTTTCCTTTGGGAGGCCTCAAGTGACTCCTTTTATCTTTCTAAAGTTTCAGGTAAAGTACATATCCACAGTGTCTCCCATCCTTGTCCAGGTTACCAAGGGGAGACCCAGGGCAGTGATGCCTTGAATTTCCTAGCATTGTACACCAGTCATGGAGGGGCACATTGTCTGCATTTCATCCTGGGAAGAGGATGGCAGGCCAAGAATAAAGGATACCAGTGGACAGGAAAATTTGGGAGATCAGCAAATATGTCCATTTCGGTGATGCCATTATTTATGTTGTCATGCTGTTACCCAGTTTAAAACAAAGTTTATTATGAAAATTTTCAACCATTCAAAAGAATATATAACAAATCCCCAAACACTCATTATGCAATTTCCACAGTTACCTAGATGCTGCCACATTTGCTTCATCTATCCCTTTTTCTTGCTGAACTGTTTTAAAGCAAATCCCAGACACGTCATTTCACCTCTCCATGATGTAATACACATCTCTAAAAAAATGCAAATATTTTGTTATGTAATCACAATGCCATTATTAAACCTCAAAAAAAAGGTATAATACTTGACAGGTATGAGACTCAGGTGAAGTAAGCAAGGCACCTAGGGCATGAAAATGAAGGAAGCATTGCTCTCTCGGCTGTGCTAATGCAGGGTCAGTGCCTCCTTAAAGTTTGTACCCCAAGGCACCTCGTGTGCCTCACCCCAGGACCAGCTCTGTTATTTGGTACTCAGTCCTTAATTGTATTTCCCCTATTGTTTCAAAATTTTATTTCTACGCTTTATTGTTCAAATCAGGATTCAAAAAAGAGCCAACTCTTCCTTATAGTTGCCATGTATCTATGCCTTTCATGTAGGATAATCTTCACCCGCTTCTTTTCCAGTTACCGATTTGTTGCAAATACTGGGTCACACTCTGCATTTGTTCCCTTCTTGATACTTTTTTAAACTTATTTCTCTCTTCTCTGTATTTCTGCAGAGAAGAGTCTGCAGCATATGGTGCTAGGAATACATTCAACTATATACCTATTTTTTAGAAAATATTTACTTCATCTACGGTTTTTTATTTATTGTTACAAAATTGCCCACATCAATGTTTTATAAGTCATCTGTAGCTGTATCTTTTATAAGTCTCTTCATCTGTAATTATATATCTTTCCTCATTGCAACAGATCTCTGTTTTATAACCACAATTCTATTTTATTAATATTTCGAAGAATCAGCTTTGAATTTCATTGAACTACTCTTCTAGGTTCTTTAATCTTTTATTTATTTTTATTTTATTTTATTTTATTAATTATTTATTTATTTATTTATTTATTTATTTTTTGAGACAGAGTCTTGCTCTGTCGCCCAGGCTGGAGTGCAATGGCACGATCTCGGCTCACTGCAACCTCCGCCTCCAGGGTTCAAGCAATTCTCCCACATCAGCCTCCTAAATAGGTGGGATTACAGGTGCACAGCTAATTTTTGTATTTTTGTAGAGATGGGGTTTCACTATGTTAGCCAGGCTGGTCTTGAACTCCTGACTTCAGGTGATCCACCCGCCTAGGCCTCCCAAAGTGCTGGGATTACAGGCATGAGCCACCGCGTCCGGCCCTTTTTAAATTATTAGTTATTTTCATCATTCCCTTTTCTCTGTTTTGCTGCCCGACACCTCATAGAAGTAGGGACAGGTTGGCCAGGCTGCCTCCAGTTCTAACCAGAAATAGTCCTTCCCAGGACTCACTGAACAGGTGCAACCATTCTGTAATAGGCCTCCCTAGGAATATCTTGGGATAGTTTCTTCTTTCGCTCAATTTCATTTGTCTTCCACTTTTCAAGGATTCATCATTGGTCCATTTACTACATACAAACCATTTCAAACTTGATGGCTTAAAACAGTAACAATTATTTTTTTGCTCAGAAATCTGCAGTGATCTGGGGTTGGACGGAAACAGGTCATCTCTGCTCCACGTGGCATCACCTGGGAAGGTGCAACTGAGTACTGGGGATCTGTTCTTAGATGGTTCATTCATATGGTTGGTAGCATGGTAGAGGTTATCAGTTAAGAGCTCAACTGAAGATGTGGACCAGTGGTCTTGGGTCCTCTCCACAGGCTGCTTGGGCTTCCTCACAACATGGAGACTCTGTTCTCTCCAAGAGAACAAAGCAGAAGTGTGTGACATTTTTATGACTTCTCAGACATCATGTAACATCCGTTATACTATCTCTATTGGTTGACTCACAGAAATCTATCCAGGTTAAGTGGAAGATCTACACCTTACCATTGGGTAGGAGGAACGTCAAAATCACACTGTGGCATGCAGGAAGGGAGATATTGTGGCCAGTGCAATCTGCCACTCATTACCTCTGATATTTTTCTGTTTTCCACTACCATTGTGACTTTACATTAAATAAGACTTGCAGTTATTTCTGGGAGCAGGCGCATGTATTGATCGGTAATTTCATGTTATTTTCTCTTTCTGATTAGAACTTTTCAAGCAACTTATAATCATTATTAAAGCTCATTAATGAGCTATTAGATGACAATTTTTGAGACTTGTCAGAGCTTACTCCCTTAAGCACTATGGATTAGCACTTCCTTCTGAAAGACAAATATGGTCTCTTTTGTGGCTGACACATGGGTTTCCTTTCCAATGGAGAGAAATGGAGAAGGAGCCCAGGAGTTTAGAGGTCACAGACAAAGATTATCTTTCTGCCGTGAATGATCAGAAGCACAGTTTGAGCCTGTGCAGCTGAGCAGCAAGGAACAGTAACTGTGTTTGTCCACAGGGAATAAGCAGCCGTTTTCATTCATCTTCAGGCTGGTGAGTTTCTGTGTGCCCCTCCCCTAGGCCCATTTTCCACCCTTCTCTACCCTGCTCTGCTCTGTGCCCTGGGAGTCTGACCTCTCTGTGCCATGTGCTCTGGGCCCCTGTGCACCTCTGGCTTCCAGCTGGGAGATAAGGGAGCAGGTAGAGAATGGAGCTGGGGTATCTATTCTCCCTTCATAACTTCCTCTATCTGTGGTTAAAGAGAAAATCCAGAGGAAGGGAAAAAAGGAAATATAACTTTTTAAAAGTGAATCACAATGAGATCATACATACCCTTAAATTTCATTAAATATTTTTTTAAACCCATGATTTACTAAAGTTGATACCTGGGTATGCCTTTGTCTTTAATGATAAGAATTATTTTTAGTCTAGACTTAAATACACCTTATATAGTTAACTTACTGAATAGAATCCAAATAAGTATGAATGGGCACATGAAAACTTTTAAATGTTAACTGGCACTATGTGAATGGTTGTAAAATTTGCAAACAATTACAATTTCAATTTTTAAAAATTTGATATTTGGTAAAACACAAAAATTATATTGTATTTCTAATGAACTACATAATGGAACTTGCTGATATGAAAATAATGTAACACTGCTGTGAACAACTCTGTATTTCTGACTTCATTTCTGATTATTTCTCAGTATACACCCCTAAAGAGGAATTACCAGGTCCAAGGCTATAATAAACATTTTCCTGCCCTTGGTCCAAACTGCCAAATCCTCTTCCAGGTTGGCTGTACCAATTCGCATTCCCACCAGCCATGATGAGAGCCCCAGCCCCAACACATCCTCAGTGGCATCATCAATTTTCAATCTTTTCTAATTTTATAAGCAAAGTGGTTTCTCATTGCTGCTTTAGTGGACATTTCTTTAATTATGGATGAGTCTGAATTTTTCACAACCTTTTTGTTATTTAGGCTTATTTTGCAAAATTACCTATTCTTGTTCTTTGTCCATGTGTCTATAGGGATTCTAGTGCCATCATATTTGGAAGCCATAAATTTTCTTTCCTTTTTTTTTTTTTTTTTTTTGAGACAAAGTCTCACTCTGTTGTCCAGGCTAGCGTGCAGTAGCATGATCCTGGCTCACTGCAGCCTCCGTCTGCCGGGTTTAAGCCATCACGCCCGGCTAATTTTTGTATTTTTAGTGGAGACAGGGTTCTGCCACATTGCCCAGGCTGGTCTCAAACTCCCGGCTTCAAGTGATCCACCTGCCTCAGCCTTCCAAAGTGCTGGGATTACAGGCGTGAGCCACCACCCCCAGCCTGGAAGTCATAAATTTTCATACTTTCTCTTTAGTTTTTAGTATTTACAGAAATAAAAGTTTATAAACTCAAAAATGCTGATCTTTTTCTTTGTGGTTATTTTCATTAGTTTTATGCTTAGAGAGTTTCTCCTCTTCTAGAGATTGGTTAAATATTTATCATTTTTTTCCCAAATATTATTACTTTTTATACATTTAATCTTAAATGTATCTAAAATTTACATAGAATTTTTTTTTCTTTTGTGATGGAGTCTCGCTCTGTTGCCCATGCTGGAGTGCAGTGGCACCATCTCAGCTCACTGAAACCTCCGCCTCCTGGGTTCAACTGATTCTCCTGCCTCAGCCTCCTGAGTAGCTAGGATTACAGATGCTCACCACATTTTTGTATTTTTAGTAGAGGGAGGCTGAGGCGGGTGGATCACCTGAGGTCAGGAGTTTGAGACCAGCCTGGCCAACATGGTGAAACGCCATCTCTACTAAAAATACACAAATTAGCTGGGCATGGTGGTGCACACCTGTAATTCTAGCTACTTGGGAGGCTGAGGCAGGAGAATCACTTGAACTCGGGAGGCGGAGGCGCATGTCACCAGGCCCAGCTACTTTTGTATTTTCAGTAGAGACAGGGTTTCACCGGTTTGGTTAGGCTGATCTCGAACTCCTGACCTCGTGATCTGCCCACCTCGGCCTCCCAAAGTGCTGGGATTACAGGTGTGAGCCACTGTGCTCAGCCCATAGGATGTTTTCTTATTTCCATAGATTTTTGGGGAACAGGTGGTATTTAGTTACATGAATAAGTTCTTTAGTGATTTTGGTGCACCCATTACCCGAGCAGTAGACACTGTACCCAATCCCTCACCCCATTCCCACTCTTTCGCCCAAGTCTGCAAAGTCCATTGTATTATTCTTATAAAATGTACATAGGATTTTGGCAGAGAAGGAAAAACTATGCTTTCCACCAAAGAGCTTGCCAACTTTCTCAAAACATGTATTAAATTACTTGCCTTTTACCTATTGATCTGTGATGCTTCTCTTATCAAATCTGTTTGGAGGCTATCTATTCTGCTACATTTATTTGGTTCTTTTTATACCTTAATCATTCTGTTTTAAATACTATAGCTTTAACGCATGCTTTTACATTTTATTTAATAGGTGATCTCCTATGACTGGCTTTAAAATATTTGCTTTTTCTCTTTCTCAGGTGAACTTTAGAATTATTTTCTAAAAGTCCTCAAAAACAAACCTTAAATTGCATTAAGTAAGTTATCTAATTTGAGAAGAATTGGGTCCCATTACCCAGTTTAGCCATCCTTCCCAGAAACACAAGTGTCTTCATTTACTGGAGTTTTCTTTTATATTTGTTTTTTATTGGTGGAATTTCTTGCTAAGATTAGATTTATTTTTTAAATGGAGTGTGCAAATCCTGTTACCTATAATATTTTCAAATTAGATGTTATATGAATTGTCTTCAAGTGCTCAAAAGGATCAGTTAATTTACTTTCCTGGCTGTTATGCATGTGTGTATTTCCATATTAATTTCAGTTATGCCACCTCTAATTGTTTCTTTTAGGTCTTACCTATACAGTCAAAATATAATGAAGAAACAAACTCAAGACCAAATAAAAATTACATGGATATTTCAGATAAAAGGGAAAGAAAGGAGAGTGCTGCTTGTTTGAATTGGATCCTTGGTAGAGGTCTTACATTAACTTTCCCTAAGTAGACATAGCTCATTAAAACAAACTACTTAACTTTGTAATGGTTATTCTAGTTTACTGTGGATTCATCTATGCAGAACGTGAAAAGTTAAATGTTCACAGTGCTTGTTGCACATAGCTTTTCTCCTCATATCTTGAGTTTCTGATACTAATTTGTCTGTCAAATAGTTTCAGAAGCATTTGGGTTTTGCCTTATTTGGACTGGCTGAATCAAATCTGAGTTAATCTGGTTCCCTGATATTAAAGCCACTGAAGAATCCTCCATAATTCAAGGATCCATATGAAAATATAACATTTTACGTATGTTTGATATTATTATATTGTATGAGTAAGGCCCCAAATGATTTTGTTTCAGAGTGATTCATTTTCTCTCAAATTTGGACTTGCTACTGATAATTTCTTCATCTCATTCTTAGAGAACATTTGTTAACATTGAATACATTTGTGTCACCACTACTTTATTTATAAAATAGGTGTATGAATTGCATTTCAAAACGAAAAAAAAATCCAAAAACATCTTTTAACTCTAGAAAATATTAGAACATTATATTAGAAAGTTTTCCAAATGCAGAATACTTTGCTAAAGATGATGTGAGATTTGTAAAAATAATGCAATCAATGTGCCACCTAAGAGAAAATATTTTATAGATAACACTAGTTCTCAATCCCAAATGTTTGTAAGTTTACATAACTCAACATATGTGAAACGTAATTGCCACAGACTTTCTCCCATGTGTTTCTCAGTCTGCATTTGAATTTTCTACCTGGGGTCTCAGTAAACTGCAATTCTTTCCTGATTAAGTATTTGAGTGTGGTCAGTGATTTTTGAAATTTTTCAACAATTTGCTTAAGTTCCACTTCAGGCACACCATGATCAACCTCTGAATCAACTTTCCCGTTTTCCTGCAGCAAATGCTTTCTGAAGGATGCTCACAAAGCCTCCATCACATCTGCTTCAGATAGCACTGAGCATCAAGCTATCTGACCTAAGCTCTGGAGAGCTGGACACTGCTTGATAGGTAGGAGTCCAGTGATATATTTTTCATCCAGGAGACTATGTAATTCTTTTGAAGAATTTTAAAGAGGCCAAGCCACACAGGAATCCTTATGACAGCCTAATTGACAAGCAGCTCTCCAACCAGATTGAAATTCCAAATCATCTTTCAGCATTTGTCATATTGATCAATACCATTTTGAATATCTGTAACTAGTTTTCTGAATTTCACCTTCACAAAATTCTGTCCATGAGGAGTTCTTTTTATTTCCCTTAACTTCAACCCACAGTCCCTGCCACCTCCAGTAATATTTAATTTTTTTTCAATAATAACAGTGTTTTGGCAATTGGTTGCTTTTTTTAAGTTCATATTATAGATAGAAAAATAGAGTACATATGTTTTCTTACAGCCAGGAAACAGATAAGAGTATATTGACAGACTTTTGTCTACTCGGCCCATATTTTTGAGAAAAAATTAGATATATTAAATATTCAAAGAGGTAAACATAAGAAACTTTCATGTAATTGCAGAACCTTAAGGACAGAAAAGACTACAGGTCCTCCTTGAGGACTACTACTTTACAGATATTATAACTACAAGTTAATCTATAAACAATTTCAGAATTAAAAACTTCTTGGGAGCCAGGCATGGTGGCTGATGCCTGTAATCCCAGAACTCTGGGAGACTGAGGCAGGTGGATCACTTGATGTCAAGAGTTTGAGACTAGCCTGACCAAGATGGTGAAACCCTGTCTCTACTAAAAATGCAAAAATTAGTCGGGTGTAGTGGTGCATGCCTGTAATCCCAGCTACTTGGGAGGCTGAGGCAGGAGAATCGCTTGAACTCGGGAGGCGGAGGTTGCAGTGAGCCAAGATCGCACCACTGCACTCCAGCCTGGGCAACAGAGCAACACTTGGTCTCCAAAAAAAAAAAAACACACACACACACACACATCTTCTTGGGGTCTTGTCATCAAATCATCAAGATTCACAAACATGTGAGCTATGATGTTTCTTATGTGTCAGTCCCTGTGATTAGTATTCACATAGATTAACTCATTTATGCCATATTTTTATCCTCCTAGGAAGATGCCATTATTATTTTCCTTTGTAGATGAGGAGAAGTTTAAGCTATTTCCTGTAGGAAGTGACAGCTGAGATATAAGCCCAGGATGGATTCCTGAGCACTCAATCTTCATCACTCACTATACTGTCCTGTTTTCTGTCCTTGAGCTTCAGCCAGGAATCAATCTTTGAATCTCCTTTTCCTCCACCCCGTCTATTCAATTACTCATCGAGTCCCATTGATTCTAACTTGGCTCTCAAAATTGCTGATGCACGGATCTCAAATTTCCATCCTCTCCATGACTGAGCTTGCACCAGCACACATCATCCTTCTCTTCCATGATGCCTACTGCCTCCCTACCTCAGTCTCCCTCCATTCTAATCAACCCTCTGCACTGGCACAGAGCAAGAACCAAACAAGACCGGGTTCCCCTTTCCAAATGCAGAGATGGCAGATGTGGTCATGACATTCTCCACTAGTGGCAGGATAAAATTTCAAGTTTCAATCTTGCCAAAGATTGTTAAAAGTTCTTAATGTTCAAGTTACAACCCACCTGAACCTGCCATTCGTTCCCATGAGTCCTATGGTCCAGTAATCCAAGACTAGCCAAAATGACCCACACAAACCAGGGATTTTCCTTCCCCTGTACCCTCGCTCCAGTTCTTCCCTCTATTGAAATGTCCTCTCTGACACAAACAAATGGAAAAACATTCCATGCTCATGGATAGGAAGAATCAATATAATGAAAAAGAAATTTACAGATTCAATGCTACTCCCATTAAACTACCATTGACATTCTCACGGAATTAGAAAAAACTATTTTAAAATTCACATGGAATCAAAAAAGAGACCAAATAGCCAAGACAAGCCTAAGCAAAAAGAACAAAGCTGGATGCATCATGCTGCCCAACTTCAAATTATACTACAAGGCTACAGTAACCAGAACAACATGGTACTAGTATAAAAATAGACACATAGACCAAGGAACAGAATAGAGAACTCAGAAACAAAACCACACACCTACAACCACCTGATCTTTGACAAACCTAAAAAAAACAAGCAATGAGGAAAGGATTGCCTATTCAATACATGGTGCTAGGAGAACTGGCTAGCAATACGCAGAAAATTGAAAGTGGACCCCTTGATTATACCATATACAAAAATTAACTCAAGATGAATTAAAGACTTAAATTAAAACCCAAAAACTATAAAAACCCTAAAAGGCAACCTAGGCAATACCCTTCTAGACATAGGAATGGGCAAAGATTTCATGATGAAAACACCAAAAGCAATTGCAACAAAAGCAAAAATTGATGAGTGGGCTCTAAATCAACTAAAAAGCTTATGCACAGCAAAAGAAAACTACCATCAGAGTGAACAGACACCTATAAAATGGGAGAAAATTTGTGCAATCTATCCATCTGACAAAGGTCTAATATCCAGTCTATAAGAAACTTAAACAAATTTACAAGAAAAAAAAACCCACAGACACATCTCAAAAGAAGACATTCGTGTGGCCTACAAACACTGATCATTAGAGAAATGCAAATCGAAACCACAATAAGACACTATCTCATTCTAGTCAGAATGGCAATTATTAAAAAGCCAAGAAACAACAGATGCTGGTGAGGTTGCAGAGAAAAGGGAATGCTTTTACACTGTTGGTAGGAGTGTAAATTAGTTCAACCATTGTGGAAGACAGTGTGGTGATTCCTCAAAGATCTAGAGGCAGAAATACCATTTGACCCAGCAATCCCATTACTGGGTATATACCCAAAGGAATATAAATCATTCTGCTATAAAGACACATGCACATGTGTGTTCACTGCAGTGCTATTCACAATAGTAAAGATATGGAATCAACCCAAATGCCCATCAATATAGACCGGATAAAGAAAATGTGGTACATATCCACCATGGAATACTATGCAGCCATAAAAGGAAACGTGATCATGTCCTTTGCAGGGACATGGATGGAGCTGAAGCCATTATCCTGAGCAAACTAATGCAGGAACAGAAAACCAAACACTGCATGTTCTCATCTGTAAGTGGGATCTGAATGATGAGAACACATGGACACATGGGGGGAACAGCACACACTGGGGCCTGTCGGTGGGGTGGGGGGAGGAAGAGCATCAGGAAGAATAGCTACTGAATGCTGGGCTTCATACCTAGGTGATGGGTTGATCTGTGCAGCAAACCACCATGGCACACATTTACCTATGTAACAAGGCTGCACATCCTGCACATGTACCCTGGAACTTAAAATAAAAGTTGAAGAAAAAAAAAAGAAATGCCATCTCCTTTATCCTACCTCTGATTCCTATTTTCTGCTAATTGAGAGCCTACGCTTTCTTCAAGACCCTGCTCAACTGCTGTCTCCTTTGCAAAGCCTTCTTTGACTCACGTTGGAAGTATTTGCTCTCATAAGACTTTCAACAGATCCACACTACTTTGTTCACAATTCAGAAATGTAAAATGCTCTGAAAACTAAAAGTTTTTTTGTAATTTTGATGCAAACTTTTTTGGTGGCCTGACCTAATCTGAACTGACATGAGACTCTTTGTAGTCAAATACAGATATTCATGCTTCAATTTAGAAACACTGGCTTTACTTTAGAAATCAAAATTGGGTTTGATTACTGCATGCTGGTCCAGATCCCACTGGAGAGTTATGTAAAATATAGTACATGTAGCATATTGCCTTAAATTCTGAATTTCCTAACACATCTGCCTCAAGTCTTCCAGATGAGGGACTGTGGACCTACACCTAGCACTCACCACAGTATTTGGCACCAAAGTTAGTTATCATCTATCTCACCACCCACCCAAAGGCAGGAATTATGACAGTTTCATCTCCACAGGACCAGGCATATACGTGGCTGACATCACCACATTCTTTATGGAAAGCAATGAGGGGCATCAGGTCTGAGTAAACCTCAGTACCTCCTCCATTCCCAAGTAGTTAAACCCAGCCCTGGCTCTCGCTCAAGTTCCAGAATGACATTATCAATATCCTAATGGTAAGTCTCTCATGGATGTTTCCAACTTTACCCAAATTACTTTATTATCTCTCTCTCTTCAAACCATCTCCTTCTTCTTTAGGAATTTCACTAAAATTCCTAACCACTCTTTCTAGCTTCAAACTGCAAGACTGATTTAACTCCTCTCTTTTCCTCCCTCCCTCTGCTAGCCCATCCTCTCCTCCACCCTTAGCCTCTAACGGGCTGGGCCTGGCTGGCTAGAAACCTGCCCAAGTGGCTGATACTAATGACACCATCCAGTCTCTTACTGGATTGTGGCCCACATTCTTTAAATTAAGAGTCAGAGCCCTTCCCCATCCAGGGGCAGTGTGTCTTCTGGCTTTACCTCTACGACTTACCTAGTGCTCCCTCCACTCCAGTTACACTCGGCTTCTCACTGGGTGGCAGACACATCGTACCATCTCATTCTCTCACTCTTCTGCATGTGCTGTCCTTTCTACCCTCCCCTAGCATTCCACCTGATGTTCCTACTCATTTCTCAAGGCCCAGTTTAAATATCACTTCCATTATCAAGTCTTTCCTTATCCTTCCTATCAGATTTAATTCAACCATATTTAATTTTCTGTGTTCCCACAGCACTTGATTTGAACCGCTGTTTTAGTGCCATTTGCAAACTAAAGGATAGCTCGGTTAGTGGCATACATACCTGTCTCTCCCTCCAAATTTTAAACTCCTAAGAGGCAGGGCTATGTTTGATTCAGTTTTTTTATTTCCAGCAACTCCCAAGCACATTGTAGGCTGTCAACAGAAGTTTAAAAGGACTTTCATTTCTGCACGCTGCAATTACTCTGGTTGCCCTGAGGCATCTCTAGCAAAGTCTGCCAATCTTATTTGAAATGCCTTTGTTATTAGCCCAATTACAGCTCTTCATTCCTTTTTCTACAGCTCATTTTCGGTTGGTTCCATATATAAAGTCTTGGCTTTCACTTTGCTTCTTACCTCTTTCCTGCCCTGACTCCTGTCTGGTATCCTGCACTATCCTGACGTCCTACCTTCCTCTTTCCTGCTGTCTTCTCTGGAACCTGACTTTCTGGAAGAGGTGGGATACACCCTGACTTGCAAGAGTGGTAGAGGTGATCATTCAATTCTCTCCAAAGATTTTCATCCTATTCTTTTGTCCCCATTCTCCAGCCTCTGCCAGGTGAGCTGTGCTCTGCACTGGGTGTGACCCTGTAGGCTGCATAACCACTGTATTAAACTCCTTGAGAGACCTCACAAATCATCCATTATAAACCCTTCAACTTGCAGGTGAGAAAACTGAGACTCAGAGAGGTATGAAGACTTGTCTAAGGTCACCTAGGCAGTTGGGAGCAGCCTTTTGAGCCCACTGCTTTTTCTACTTTACATCACCTCTGTTAAAAGAGCTTCCCAGGCCAGGCACGGTGGCTCATGCCTGTAATGCCAGCACTTTGAGAGGCTTAGGTGGGCAGATTGCTTGAGCTCAGGAGTTTGAGACCAGCCTGGGCAACAGGGTGAAACCCCGTCTCTACAAAAAATAACAAAAATTAGCTGGGTGTGATGTTGTCCACCTGTAGTTCCACTGTAGTTCCAGCTACTTGAGAGGCTGAGGTGGGAGGACGGCTTGAGATCAGGAGGTGGAGGTTGCAGTGAGCCAACCTCGGCCCACTGCATTCCAGCCTGAGCCACAGAGCCAGACCCTGTCTCAAAAAAAAAAAAAAGTTTCCCATATCATCACTCATAAATTTGAAACAGTCTTCCCATAAAAGCCTATTTCACAGCCCTAGCTCATCTTATTTAGTAACAGGCAGTCATGTTCCAATTTTTGATTGCCAAATGTATTTTATTTCTTCATGTTTGCTAAGTAGGCTTTCATGTATTGTAAATAACACAGGAGGACAATGTCTCACATATGGAAACTGATGAAATATTGACCTCTATTTTGGTAGATAATTGTAAAATAATAACCACCTGAGGAAAAAAGTCAGATATAATTTTCTATGCCATATTGTCTTCAATAACACTGGATTTGATTAACACGGAAAAAGAAAACCACAGCTGAAAAGAGAAATAATGTTATTTACATACTGGTTTGTTTGTATGTCCTCAAAGACACTGTAATGCAGCACAATTTCAATGATTGTCACAAAATTGGTAGTTCTCAACAGCACCGAAGATGCTCCATTGACCTGATTGTTCCTGGAATTCATTATAAAAGAAAGATAAGGATAATTTTCCTGGGATTATTGTCAAGCATCTGATTGTGTAAGCAACTACCATTTTCAGGTGTTTTCTGAGCACAAAAGCATAGCCAACAGAAAGCAGTGATTAGGAAGAAATCCACAAAACATGTTACAGTCAAACCTTCTTGCATGTTCCTGTATTTGTTCTGTCTTCTTTAAAATTAAAAAATCAGGCCAGGCACAGTGGCTCACGCCTATAATCCCAAAACTATGGGAGGCCGAGGTGGGCAGATCACTTGAGGTCAGGAGTTCGAAACCAGCCTGGCCAACATGGTGAAACTTCATCTCTACTAAAAAATACAAAATTAGCCAGGCGTGGTGGCGGGTGCCTGTAGTCCCAGCTACTCAGGGGGCTGAGGCATGAGAATCACTTGAACCCTGGAGGCAGAGGTTGCAGTGAGCCGAAATCACGCTACCACGCTCCAGCCTGGGTGACAAGAACCAAACTCCATCTCAAAAAAAAAAAAAAAAAAATTAAATTAAATTAAAAAATCAAAGAAGGCAGAAACTATTACTTCTTGGTTTCACCTTTACTTAATACTGTCTTCCCAAAGATCATGTAAATGTTCTTCCTACTTCTTGTATTTGGCATGTGTTAAGTGCTTTATTTAAAAAAAAATTCTAAACAATGCATGAGCCATTTCCAAAATAAAATGTCTTCCCCAGCTCCTAAGGGAAGTATATCCAACTACAAACAGAAGTTTAATGATGCCTAATATGAGTTTAATTATACAACCATTCATGTGATGATGTGCCTCCCTCACTCTATACAGTAGGATGTCCAATCTTTTGGCTTCCCTGGGCCACACTGGAAGAAGAAGGATTGTCTTGGGCCACACATAAAATACACTAACACTAACGATAATTGATGAGCTAAAAAGAAAGTCACAAGAAAAATCTCATAATGTTTTCAGAAAGCTTACAAATTCATGTTGGACTGCATTTGAAGCCACCCTGGGCCACATGCAGCCCATGAGCCATGGATTGGATGAGCTTGCTCTACAGTAAGTTCCATTAAACACAAATGGTTTGGTTTGGTTTCCTCCAGTAGCAGGTACTCCTTTTAAATGAAATTCTCCTAATTTTGTGTTTGTCTGATGTTTCCTTGAGATTATAGTGAAAATATTCTAATGACTATTAGAGAATCCTCTAAAACTACTCAGCCAGAATACTGCACAGGTGATGTCATGTCCTTCTCAGGGTATTGCATTTGAAGGCACACAGTGTCTGTCTTCCCCTCAATTGGTGCTGTTAATTTTGATCACCTGGGCAAGACATTGCCCACATTTCTCCACTGAATAATTACTGGGGTTTAATTTTCTCCTAGTAACTAATAAGCAGTCTGTGAGGAGACACTTTAAGACCATACAAATATACAGTCCCTCACCAAAATTTCCCCCTAGATTTAGCACCCATTAATGATTCTTGCCTGATCTCATCTTTACCATAATTATTGAAAAATGATGATTTTCCAACTCCTACACTCCCTCCATACTTACAGCTCAGCATTCTACTGCAAGCAAGACCTTCCTTTGCCTCTGTTTATTAATCCAACTATTATCAGCAGGTAATCATGAATTCCTACTTAGAAAAATTCCTTACTATACTTAATTATTTTGGTCCTCAAATTGTTCCAGAGTTGGCCAATGGGAACCATGTAAGGCTGGCTCCTGTGTCCTTGGGACGTGACTCATGATTTGTTTGAGCACTACTTTATTTGCTGGCATAACAAGATGATTCAGGATCATCTGGCACTTACCCTGCCCCAGCCCTGGAATCAGCCATTTGTCCATAAAGCCCTATTTTTCCTTTTAATGGAAAATAGTATTAGAGACCAAGATTTGGTCTGTAGGTTTGCTCATTGCTATTGGGGCATCTTTCCTTCTTGGCCCTTGTAGGGGAAAGAGCTAGGAAATATATGCATGTATATATATATGTACGCATACATATACATGCAATACACACATATATACACATACCTATATATTTATGCACATAAACATGCACATACCTATTTTAGAAATCATGAATTTATACCAATAACTCCAATTCCAGTTCATCCCTACAGGGTTATTCCTTGCTTTATCCTGTTCCATATTTATATATTCCTTCTCCCACAGTGAGAACCCTGGCTCCTAAAGACATTAACACATTTGCTTATTTGCTCAATTTGAGACTATATCCAAAATGGATTCAAAATTGAGGAAGATACTTTTTACCAGATTACTTTTCAGCATTCCTCAAATTCAACAGATGCTTAATAACAGAAACTGCTTTTACTGTAAGGCAGATGGAGCAAACCTAAAACAGACAAAACCATCCAAGTTTCACCTACCAAAAGATATAATACCTGAAAAGAGGTAGGAAGGTACTTTTTTTTTAAGACAAGGACTTCTCTACAATGCTTATGCCTGAATCTAAATGTCTGCCTAAGGGGTGAGGTGCAGAGGGGAGGCAATGAACTGAGAATTTTATAACAAGCTAAGATGTATAAAGGCAACATAGAGTTATGCTACAGGGGCCCAAAATGTACCATCCATATACTCTCCTTTAAAAACACATAAATAAATACATAAATATAGAAACAGCTGCATATTAAAATTTAGTATATGATAAAGGCAGGATCTTAGCTGCTTTAGTAGCAAAAAGGTATTTGATTTAGGACTAGGCAGTCACTTGGAAAAGTTTTTAATTGAAACTATTCTTCACGCTATGCATCAGAATAAATTCTAAATTGATGAAAGATTTCTATCTAAAAAATATGAAACAGGCCGGGCACCGTGGCTCACGCCTGTAATCCCAGCACTTTGGGAGGCCGAGGCAGGCGGATCACGAGATCAGGAGATTGAGACCATCCTGGCTAACACGGTGAAACCCTGTCCCCACTAAAAATACAAAAAATTAGCCAGGCGTGGTGGCGGGCACCTGTAGTCCCAGCTACTTGGGAGTCTGAGGCAGGAGAATGGCGTGAACCCGGGAGGCGGAGCTTGGAGTGAGCCGAGATCGCGCCACTGCACTCCAGCCTGGGTGACAGAGTGAGACTCCATCTCAAAAAAAAAAAAAAAAAAAAAAAAAAAACCATACAAATACTAGAAAAAAAACCCATGAATATCTCTATAACCCAGGAGTAAGGTTGTGACTTAAAAATCCAGAAAGAATAAGGGAAATATATTAATTACCTAAAAATAAATATTAAAAGCTTTTACATGTCAAAAATACCATTAGCAAAGTAAAAAGACAAATGACAAACTGGGAAAATAATTTTGCTACTTACATCAAGGCACAGGGTTGACATCCTATGTAGAAAGAGCTTGTAGACATAGAGAAGAAAAATGCCAATGCCCTTTTTAGAAAAATGGGCCAGGAAAATAAACAGAAAATTTCAGAAAAAGAAATTCAAATGGTTTGTACCATATAAAAAGATGCTCAACCTCACAATAAGAAAAATACAAGTTAAAACAATACTGAAATATTGTTTCTCATTTATCAGACTGACAAAAATTACAAAGGATGACAACACACACTGTTGGCAAGTCTGTCTCATACATTGATGATGAGAATAAAAAATGGCACAACCCCTTTGGAGGAGAATTTGGGAGCATGTAGTGGAATCATATATGTAGTTACCTTTGAGCCAGCAATTCCACTTAAAATACATATTGGCAAGCCAATAAAATGATACATGCTATTCATTGCAGCATCGTTGGTAATAGCAAAAGACTAGAAACAACTTAAATTTCCATCCGTAGCAGACTAGCTGAATAACTTTGGCACATCTATACCATGGAGTACCATGCAGCTATTTAAAAGAATGGAGTTGGACTGGTGGCTCTATAATCCCAGCATTTTGGGAGACTGAGGCAGAAGGGTTATTTGAGGCCAGGATTTGAGACCAGCCTGGACAACACAGGGAGACCCTGTCTCTACCAAAAAAAAAAATTTTTCATCAGCCAGGCATGGTGGTGCATGCCTGTAATCCTAGCTAATTGGGAGGCTGAGAATGGAAGGATAGCTTGAGCCCAGGAGTTTGATGCTGCAGTGAGCTATTTCGCACCACTGCACTCCAGCCTGGGTGACAGAGTGAGACCCTGTCTCAAAGAGAGAGAAAGAAAGAGAGAGAGAATATGAGAAATATATCTATATCTCTATAGAGTGATTTCTAGGATATACTGTTAGATTTAAAAAACAACAACAAAGTAAAAATTAGTGTGTATAGTATACTCCCATTTATATAGAGAGGATATATGGATGGATGGATAGATAGATAGATAGATAGATAGATAGATAGATAGACAGATACACATATATAGTCATGTATGAACAATGACAATTTTATATCATGGAATTATACTTACTTTTATATCTGATAATAAATAGTATTATAGGCTTTTTCAAAAAAACATACCTTAAAAAAAAGCATTAAAAGTATACTACAGTAGACCAAGAGATCAGGGGGAAAAGCAGAGCTCAAAAAATAGAGAAGTAGAAGAGAGATGTAAAAGTCTTTTTAAAATTTATGAAATTCATTATTTTATAAAAAAGATAATACATCGTAATGAAGTAAGGTTTATCCCAATAAGGCAAAATTGGTTTAATATTCTTTAAAAATCAACATAATTCACCACATTGATAGAATAAAGGAAAAAGCGAGGCCAGGCACTGTGGCTCATGCCTATAATCCCAGAACTTTGGGAAGCTGAGGCAGGTGGATCACTTGAGTTCAGGAGTTCGAGACCAGCCTGGGCAACATGGCAAAACCCTGTCTCTACAAAAAAAAAATTAGCTGGGTGTGGTGCCACCTGCCTGTGGTCCCACCTACTCCAGAAGCTAAATCACAAGAATCCTGAACTTGAGCTCGCGAAGCGGAGGTTGCAGTGAGCCGAGACTGCACCACTGCACTCCAGCCTGGGTGAAAGAGACCCCATCTCAAAAAACAAAAAAGGACAAACCATATGCCTAAAAAGCATTTGAAAAAATTTAACATTTATTGAAGATAAAAACTCACAGCAACCTCGAATTAGAAGAAAACTGAGCTGAGATTGCAGTGAGCCGAGATTGCACTACACTCCAGCCTGGGTGAAAGAGACCCCATCTCAAAAACAAAAAAAGAAAAAAAAGGAGAACACCATATGCCTAAAAAGCATTTGACAAAATTCAACATTTATTGAAGATAAAAACTCACAGCAACCTAGAATTAGAAGAAAACTTTCTCAAACTGATAAAGGGCACCAGGAAAAAAAAATAAGTATAGATAGCATAATACTTACTAGTGAATGACTGAATGCTTTCCCCCTAAGCTTGGAAATAAAGCAAGGTTGTTTTCTTTCATCGCTTCTATTCAATATTGAATTTATCTTTGTTATAAGTCAAGAAAATGAAATAAAAGCAAGAGATTGAAAAGGAAGAAGTAACACTATATTCATAAATAAGATAATATATGTAAAAAATACCAAAGGAATCTACCAAAAAACACTAGAACTAGTAAATGAATTTAACAAGGTCACAGGACACAAGGTAAATATGCACAAGTCAATTGTATTTTTATATACTAACAACAAACAATCCAAAAATTAAATTTAAAAGATATCATTTACAATAGCAACAAAACTATAACATATTCAGAGATAAATTTAAATATATGGAATACATATATACTGAAAACATTACTGGTAAAAATTAAAGAAGAACTAAATAATGTTCATGAATTGCAAAACTCAATATTGTCAGAATGATAGTTCTCCGTATATTGATCTGTGGGTGCAACATAATTACAATCAAAACTTCTGTGGACTGTTTTGTTGAAATTCAGCACGTCTACTGCATGACTCTAGGCCCCTTGGAATTTTACACAACCCATTCTTGACCTGATTGAAGCCAGTTTCCCAGCATCAATGATGTGAAACAAGACTGATCTCTCTCAAAGAAAGCTGTATAATATTTGTAATCTGCCAACCAGACACTCAATCAGAATATTACATTATTTGAAATACTTTTTTCATCATATATTTAACTCTTCAAATTTTTGCTGAGAGAACTTGAGCTCACACCTAAATGATGTTGCTTTCCTTTGTCAGACACACAAGTAAATTCATCTTTGATTGAGAGGAGGAAGAGAGAGAAAGAGGTGATGGCATATGGATTGGTAGTTTATATTGTAATAAACTGAAATGGAATTCAAAATGTTGGTTATATTCAGCATTTTGGGAGGCCAAGGCGGGTGGATCACTTGAGGTCAGGAGTTTGAGACCAGCCTGGCCAGCATGGTGAAACCTCATCTCTAATAAAAATACCAAAAAATTAGCCAGGCATGGTGGTGCCCACCTGTAATCCCAGCTACTCTGGTGGCTGAGGCACAAGAATCGCTTGAACCCAGGAGGCAGAGGTTGCAATGAGTCAAGATCACGCTACTGCACTCCAGCCTGGGCAACAGAGTGAGGCCTGTCTCAAAAAAAAAAAAAAAAGTTTGGTTATAAAACCAAAATTAAATGTAAAAAAATTATGTTGTATATATTACCACAATGAAAAGAGAAAGAAATGTTAATCTTTTAAATTGACTTAAAAATGTAAAAATCTATAATGCAAATAAAATTATACAACCACCCTTCACAAAAATTATAATAAAATATAATGTAAAAATTTACCAACTATTTGGATCTAAAACTCAGTAACATAAAAACAGAAATGAGGAGAGGAATGAAATTATGCCAAATCTCTTGCTTAATAAAACAGACTTTGACTTTGTATTTTCTTCTGTCTCTGAAGAGTATAGAAATAACGGTTAAATACTATTTGTGGAAACTTAAAGGTAATCATTAGCAGAATTTAAAACAGGATATATCCCTTTTTGATCACTGAAGATGAATGCAAAACACATAGTACACACACAGAGAACTATCTACAAAAGGCAAAGGAAAAAAAGATAAAAACCAGGAAACACAAAACAAAATGACAGAAGCAAGATAAGACATACCAGTTATAATAATTATTATCAATTATAATAATAATTAAAATACATTAAAAGACAAATTCTTTGATTCAGTAACAATAATGTGATATCACAAATGTTAAGGTCAGGCCAGTGTCTATCAGACAGATTCAAAGAATAAAAAAGCAGGGGTACAATACTAATATCAAACAGATTAGAATTTAGGGCAAAATATTAAATGGGCAAAGAATATCAGAGCAAATAAAAGAATACAATTCAAAATGAATTAGCTTCATGAACTTGTAATTTCTAAATAGAAATGCATCAAAACATACAAAAGTTATATATTTGTATCTTGCACTTGCAATAATAAATTTACCAGTTTTCATATGAGCAGGGCAGCAGGAGGTAGAATAGAAGCAAGGAAAGAATCTTTTCTGATTCTCCCTCTATCTCTGACAGATCAAATAAACAAAAAGTAACTATCATAGGTCAGGTTCTCCAGAAACAGACTCTGAGACCGAGATTGTGTTGCATTCAAGAGTACTCTCAGGAATAACACCTGTAATGGAATGGTGGAAACAGGATTGGCACAAGAGCAACTTCAACAAAGGCCTCAGCAGATCCTGCAGGGAGCTCTGGAGCCAATGTGGTGTTTCAAAAAAAAATGTCCCGCCCTTTATTTATTTATTTATTTATTTTTGAGATGGCGTCTCACTCTATCACCCAGGCTGGAGTGCAGTGATGCGATCTCAGCTCACTGCAACCTCTGCCTCCTGGGTTCAAGCGATTCTCCTGCCTCCGCCTCCAGAGTAGCTGCGATTACAGGCACGTGCCACCACGCCCAGCTAATTTTTGTATTTTTAGTAGAGACGGGGTTTCACCACGTTGGTCAAGCTGGTCTCGAACTCCTGACCTCGTGATCCACCCACCTCGGCCGCCCAAAGTGCTGGGATTACAGGCATGAGCTACCGTGCCCAGCTCAGACTTTTTTTAAGTCCATTGTTATGTCTTTATTTTTATTTTTTGCTTAACATTTTTTAAAAATATACTTTAAGTTCTGGTGTACATGTGCAGAACATGCAGGCTTGTTACATAGGTATACACGTGCCATGGTGGCTTGCTGCACCCATCACCCTGTCATCTACATTAGGTATTTATCCTAATGCTATCCCTCCCCTACTCCCCCACCCCTCCCCCAACAGGCCCCAGTGTATGACGTTCCCCTCCCTGTGTCCATGTGTTCTCATGGTTCAACTCCCACTTATGAGTGAGAACATGCGGTGTTTGGTTTTCTGTTCTTGTGATAGTTTGCTGAGAATGATGGTTCCCAGCTTCATCCATGTCCCTGCAAAGGACATGAACTCATCGTTTTTTATGGCTGCATAGTATTCCATGGTGTAAAAGGGGTTAAATCATCTGTAATAATAAGGAGGAAACCAAGAATGTCTCTGTTTTAAGAGTACCCCATTGCCCAATTTATAAAACTTAGCAATACTGCAGGACTTCCCCCAAAAAAATGCCATAAAAAGAGTATAAACAAACAAACAAAAATGTCCCCATTGAGGCAAGGAGGGCAGACTTTTGTATTCCTGTATCTATCAACCAGTCATTGGATGTACACTGCCCCCAGGGATGAGGCTTAACACTTCTGATGACAATTTCCGGGGAGAGATTCACCTCTGAGCTGAGTAAGAAGGACTATAATACTACTGTTCTCAACAAGAGAAGCAGGAGCCAGAATAAATGAGGCCCATTGGATCAGAATAAAACGTATGGAAGAGAGGTGAACTGAGCATAAATTTCTGATTATTCTGATATGCTTTTTCCAATCCAAGTCAGAAGCATTGAAATCTATCTGAATAATATAAAGGTTGGTTTAAATGATAAGCATCAAGCATTTTACTTTAAAAACAGAACTTACCTTCTTATCCAGCATCAGGAAACATTTATAAAATTTGATCAAGTATTTAGGTTATAGAAAATACTTAATTACCTTAAAGGCATAGTCTCTACAATGTTGTAGTGGAAGCAATAATCATAAAAGTTATAAGAGAATAACTAATCAGTAAAAAACTCAAAGTAGACTCCAAAATAATAAAGCTAGAGTCAAAATGACAAATAGAAATGAAGTTACTATTCCTAACAAACAAAAGTTGCTTATAAATTAAACAGGAAATGAATTAACACCTTAATAGAAACAAAAAACATTAACAGACAATTCAGAAAAATAAAGAGTACTCATGATTACCTAATATGTGAAATATGTTTGGCTTCACTTAAAATTTTTTTAATGAAAATCAAACAATATCAAGATACACTTTTCACTTATCAGTTTGGCAAAGGTTAAAATGATTGACAAGCCCATTGCTGCCCAATCCGTCTCCTGCAAGGATGGGGAAAGACGATCTAAATTGGACCATCTTCCTGGAAAGCAGTTTGACATTTGAATAAAAATATGCTTACCATTTTACTCAGCAATTCTACTTTAATTTATCCTTTTGTAGCAGCTTTTTTAAAGTTGAAGTATAATTTACGTATAGTAGTGAAAGTTGCCCTTTTTAGGGTACTAGTTTTGACAAATGTACAGTCATGTAACCACCACAATACAAAACAGTTGATCATCCTTCCTTCCAAATTCCTTCATTTTACTGCTTTCTAGTCAAACCATTCCCCCAGTCTTACCACTGATCTGTTCTCTGTCACTAGACTGTCACCTTTTCCAGATCTGTTCTCTGTCACTAGACTGTCACCTTTTCCAGAATGTCATATAATGGAATCATATAAGATGTAGCCTTTTGAGGCTAGCTTCTTTCACTTAGTATACTACATCTGAAATCCATCCATGTGGTTGTATGTATTCCACCATACAGATGTACCAAAATTTGTTTATACATTACCCAACTGAAGAATATTTCGGTTGTTTCCAGTTTTGACAATTTAATAGCTTTTTTCTTTTATGGATTGTCATATCTAAAAAATCTTTGCCTAACCAAAGATCACAACAATTTTCTTCTGTTTTCTCTGAAGAGTTTTATAGTTTCAGGTTTTATATCTATTTAGGTCTAAAATCTATTTTGTGTTCTTTCTTTCTTTTTTTTTTTTTTTTGGAGATGGAGTCTTGCTCTGTTGCCCAGGCTGGAGTGCAGTGGTGCGATCTCGGCTCACTGCAACCTCCGCCTCCCGGGTTCAAGCGCTTTTCCTGCCTCAGCCTCCTGAGTAGCTGGGACAACAGGCGCAAACCACCATGCCTGGCTAATTTTTGTATTTTTAGTAGAGACAGGGTTTCACCATGTTGGTCAGGCTGATCTTGAACTCCTGACCTCGGGATCCACCCGCCTCAGCCTCCCAAAGTGCTGGGATTACAGGCATGAGCCACCATGCCCGGCTCATTTTTTATTTCTTTCATTAGAGTTTTGCAGTTGCAAGCATACAGATCCTACACATAGTTTGTTAGATTTATATTTGAAAATCTCATTTTTGGTTCTATTTCATTTTTTGGTGCTATTTTGATTTCAGTTTCTAATTACTCATTCCTAGTTACAGAAATATAATTATATTTGCATGTTGACCTTATATCCTGTTACCTTGCTAAACTCACTCATTAGTTCTAGTACCTTTTCTGAAGATTCCTTGAAATTTTCTACAAAGTCAATTATGTCATCTGCAAATAAACACAGTTTTATTTCTTCCTTCCCACGCCATAAGTTTTTTATTTCTTGTTCTTGCCTTTTTGCATTAGCCAAGACATCCAGTATGTTAAATATGAGTAGTGAGTGGACTTCCTTGCCGTGTTCCCAACATTAGAGGAAAAGCACTCTGTTTGTTTGTTTGTTTTTTTCTTTTTTTCTTTTTTGAGATGGAGTCTTGCTTTGTCAGCCCAGGCTGGAGTTCAGTGGTGTGATCTTGGCTCACTGCAACCTCCACCTTCTGGGTTCAAGCAGTTCTGCCTCAGCCTCCAGAGTAGCTGGGATTACGGGCATGCACCACCACACCCGGCTAACTTTTTTGTATTTTTAGTAGAGACGGGGTTTTACCATGTTGGTAAGGCGGGTCTCGAACTCCTGACCTCATGATCCGCCCACCTCAGGCTCCCAAAGTCCTGGGATTACAGGTGTGAGCCATTGTGCCCGGCCAGAAAAACACTCTTTTTCTCTTTTATCATCAAATGTGATGTTACTGACAGGTTTTTTGTAGAGATGCTTTGTCAGGTTGAGGAAGTTCCCTTCTAGTCCTAGTTTTCTGAGAGTTTTTATCATGAATGGCAGTCGAATTTTGTCACATTCTCTTTCTGCATCTATTGGGATGATCATGTACTTCTTTCATCTGTTGACAAGGTAAGTTAATTACATTGATCAATTTTTGAATATTGAACTAGCCTCATTCATATTCATAGTTTTGTTATTGAAAAGGAAGAATTAAAATTTTCCTTATTCACAGACAATATGATTGTATGGAAAGTTCAAACAAATCTACAAATAAATTATTAGTAAGCGAATTTAGCAAATTTTCTGGATTTGAAGTATTTATATACTATATATATAACAGTGACCATTAGAAAATGAAAATTTAAAAATATAACTTATACAATAACTTTTACAAATTATATTCCTATAAATAAATCAAACAAAAGATTTATAAGAAGACCCTTATAAGGTAAACTATAAAACACTGAGAGACTAAACAAAAGAAGAAACACACCATGTTTATGGATTTGAAAACTCAACATCATAAATAAGGTGATTATTCCAAATTGATCTACAGAATCAATTCAGTCCCAAATAAAATTTCAAAAACGTTTTTAAGGAACTAACAAAGTGATTCTAAAATTTACATGGAAATGTATAGAACCAAGACTAGCCAAGATAATCTTGAAGAAGAACAAAGTAGGAGAACTTAATCAGGTATCCAAACTTATTGTAAAGTTACAGTAAATAAGACAGTGTGGTACTGGTTGACGGAAAGACAAATAGATTAATGGAATAGAATAGAATTCAGAAAGAGACCCAAGCCTATACAGACATTTGATTTGTGACAAAGTAGGCAAGACAAAGAAAAGAAATGATGGTATTTCCATGGTTAATTTTTACAAATTTGTGTTCTAGTATTTGTCATGTTGTACTATAAACTGGAACAATCTATTTAGGGGAAGAAACTGGATTTTATTCATATTGCATAACACTAGCTGCTAAAACAAGCTCTGGTGTATACTAGGTGCTTAATAAGTGTTGATAACCAGCCAGGCGCGGTGGCTGATGTCTGTAATCCCAGCACTTTGGGAGGCCAAGGCAGGTGGATCAACTGAGGTCAGGAGTTCAAGACCAGCCTGGCCAACATGATGAAACCCCATCTCTACTAAAAATACAAAAATTAGCTGGCTGTGGTGGCATGAGCCTGTAATCCTAGCTACTCGGGAGGCTGAGGCATGAGAATTGCTTGAACCCAGGAGGTGGAGGTTGCAGTGAGCAGAGATGGTGCCACTGCACTCCAGCCTGGGCGATAGAGCGAGACTTTGTCTCAAAAAAAAAAATATATTGTTGATAGCAAATGGCCAAAGCACTAAGGAAAGATCATGTGAAGCTACATGTTTTAGGAGTCCTATGCTGTTCCACTAATTGGCAACTAGGCAGTGATCAATGGAAATGACAGCAGGAGGATACTGCATCGGTCGGTGCTCTCTGAATCTATTTGACCTGTAACGCTACTGCCACTGCCACCATCAGAGAGAATACAACTGACTCTTCTCACTTCCACACACAAACTTCAGACCACATAAATGTTCTGTGACTACTTCCTCCTTCTAGATTAACCTGATTTTACCTTGTAAGTGAGAAAAGAGGGCATAAGGAATATAATTTTCCCTTCATCTCAGCCCTAGCACAACAGGAACATTCATTTTATAACTTGTCTAGAGACATGTGAAACAGGCTGTTCGAATGCATGGGGAAGTCCCACAATGGAGCCATCTCTATCTTTTCAGGCAGGAAATTAATACCATAATTCTTCTCTCCATGGTTTATCACCACACACAAAAGCCATCTTTCAACATCAGTATGAGGATTGTGCCTAAGGGGTCTCAAAATGCAGAAAGAGTTGTTCAGGACAAAGCAGAATTAAAAATAACAAATTTCTAAAATAGTATTCAGATATCCTTTATATAAAAAATAAGACTTGGTACAGTAGCTCACATCTATAATCCCAACACTTTGGAGGCCAAGGCAGGAGGATCACTGGAGGCCAGGAGCTCAAGACTAACCTGGGCAACATAGTTAGCTCTCATCTCTACAAAAATAATTTTGTTTTAATGAGCCAGGTGTAGTGGCATGCACCTGTATTCCCAGCTATTCAGGAGGCTGAGACAGGAGGAGTGCTTGAACCCAGGAGTCTGAGACTGTAGGGAGCTATGACTGCACCACTTCACTCCAATAAAGGGCAATAAAGTGAGAACCTGTCTCACAAAAAAAAAGAAAAAGAAAGAAAGAAAGAAAGAAAAAGAAAAGAAAAGAAAGGCAGGCAGGCTGAGCAGAGTTTAGAGGAAAACTATTGAGAAGATAATGTCACATAATGAGGTTGGGGTGTTTTATATTTTAGAATATAGCATCTTGGCTTGTGATGGTTTGATTTACTTTTTTCTTTTTTTCTTTTTTTTTTTTTTTTGAGATGGAGTCTTGCTCTGTTGCCCAGACTGGAGTGCAGTGGCACAATCTCAGCTCACTGCAGCCTCGGCCTCCCAGGTTCAAGCGATCCTCTCCTGTCTCAGCCTCCCAAGTAGCTGGGATTACACATGTGTGCCACCACACCTGGCTAATTTTTGTATTTTTAGTAGAGAAAGGGTTTTGCCATGTTGCCCAGACTGGTTTGGAACTCCTGACCTCAGGTGATCCACCCGCCTCAGCCACCCAAAGTGCTGGGATTACAGGTGTGAGCCACCTCACCTGGCCAACTTACATTTTTCAAAACTATTCTGATGGGTTTATCAGGGTATTAAATGCATTTTACACTTATGATATTTTCAACTAATGGTGAGTTTATTGGGACATAACCCCATCATAAGTCAAGGAGCATTTGTATTAATTTTTTAATTACCAGTTAGTCAGGGTTCTCCAGAGAAACAGAACCAAAAGGATATATATATATATATGAATTGACTCATGTGATTGTGGAGCTGGAAAGTCTCAAATCTGCAGACCAGGCTGGAGACAGAACTCCTTCCTCTGGGGACCTCGCTCTTTTCTCATAATGTCTGTAACTGATTGGACAAGGCCCACGTACATTATGGAGAGTAATATGCTAGCTCAAAGCCTACTGATTTAAGTGTTAATCAGTTTAAACAGTACCTTCACAGCAACACCTAGACTGGTATTAGACTAAACAACTGGGCACCATGGCTTGGTCAAGTTGATACACAAAATTAGCTATTATATCTTTATATCTTTAGTACAGATTCTACGTATTAGAAAGATGAAAACATCATGCCACTCCTAATTCCAGCCTTTCCAAATGCTTTAAGATGCCATGCAATCACATGCTAAAATCTGATTCACTGACCCAGAGAAATAAGTAACTACTTACTAATACAGCAGCCCTTGAACATGGTTCCATGATCTATTCAGACCTCTTGAAGGATGACAGAAACATTCTAATGGTAAATGAGAACAATATTTGACATTGCCATATTTTCTTATGAACATAAGCATAAACTACAACATTAAATAGTAACATCGGAGGATCATCAGATTGTATTAAAGTTTAACATTTTATAAGACTGACATGCTGCCAACTGTGCCAACAGGATGATTAAAGTTTAACATTTTAGATACCTGTTTTGGGGAAATTATGTCTGAACATCATGATTTTACTTTTATAGCATTATTTCATCATCATATTAGTATTGTGTTTATTTTCATAAGGAACAAGATATAGTTCTCTTTCAATAATCAACATGTAGGTACACTAAATGTGATTTTGACAGATTATAATGATTACATTGGTCATGTTATAGTATAGGTTCTGTCAGGATTGTACAGTAATTGCTTAAATTTTTCTGAGTTCAGAGCTTACTGATATAATTCCATTTGACTTAATAAACAAATCTAATCCATGTAAATGCTGACATTATGATTTATTTGCATTTTACTACTGAATTTTTAGTTTTAATTACAAGAAGCCAATATCACTCATGACTTGAAAATTATTGCCCCTGTTTTAAGTAAAATTTTGTCCAACATTTTCCAGAAAAGCGGGATCAATGATTGTTACTTTCCCATTTTTAATTTTTGAGAGGTTTCTATATTAACAATTTTTATTTCTGCCAAATATGTCTAGCAAAGAAATCTCTCAACCTCATGAACTTGAACTAAGTGTGAAATTCCTGTTGCTCTCTCAGAAATTTCTGGTTTGGAATTCTGACAAGCAGAGAAATGGAATAAAAAGGATTTCTGCAGTGAAAGACACTTGAATAATGCCTTGAAAATGAAAGCAAACTATCTAACACATAACAAAAACCTATGTAGGAAACATGTATCAAAGGATTTAAAAAGGCACAGTAGTATAGAAACAAAAGAATAGAATACTAATCTTTTAAAAACAAATAACTACAAATGGAATTTATGACACAAGAGCCTGGTATAGGACAAGCTTTACAGAATGCAAAAATTAATCACATAGCATAGCATTAAGTGGTGAAAAATGAGTAATATTTGATTCTTCAGTTTTGCCAACCCAATCATTCAGGCCTTGAAAATTAGTATTGAACATGGAGTCCAACTTATCTCAAACTAAAAATGGTCACAAAGATATATGTAGTTAATCTAAGTCAAAGAACCCACTAAACTGAAATGGCCATTTACACACTCAACAAAAGCAGGCATATCCAAGAAATAAATTCTATACTACGTTAGTTTGTAGTGATCAAAGTGGTTACCAAGAAAGACAGAAAATCTGAAAAGCAAGCAGTCAAGAGCAGTAACTACTGCCTAAAGAGAGAGAATAAGATTACTGACAATGATGGAATGGTTTCAGGAGGAAATGAGAAAATCACATGTCAACGAATGGAATTTTCACAAAGGAAAATAGCCACAGTTTACCCGAGCTTTGACACTCAGTAGGCTAGAAATAAATGCATTGCTGACATATGATTCATAGGACATTAGTAACTAAATCACCAAGTAACGAAAAAACTCAGAGGACAGGCATTATTGTTAGAGGAGTATAAGGTGGTTGTATGTCCACATGGTTGAGTCATTTAAAATCTGTCTCAACATAAAAGTCAGGGCCATCCAGCTGCCTCAGTGTAGATGCGGTCAACACCCACATCATGATCATTTGAAGTTCCTGACACAAATGTTTTTATTTTTAATAATGGTTGGTTGGTTGTCTCTTGCCATTAGCAACTACATAAACATGGACGTAAACTAGCACTTTGGGGAGCGAACTCTCTGATAT
Organism: Homo sapiens; assembly: GCF_000001405.40. NCBI lineage: Eukaryota > Metazoa > Chordata > Mammalia > Primates > Hominidae > Homo > Homo sapiens. Next base: position 21,436,110 of record NC_000020.11, on the reverse strand, counting down.
ACCAGTGCTCCCACCCTTCAGCACTTGAAGGAGCCTAAGGATATGTCAATGTAACTGCTCAGTGACTGGAGATTATAAGGAGTCTAACTCTGGTTTTAGACATTTGACTGCTATCTGCTTTTGAGCCTCACCCTCCCTCTGCCACTCTGCCCCATAACTGGGTAAGCTGATAAGAAAGTCTGGGGGCTCCCTCCTTTGGCACTGGGGGAAGATTCCAACCATGCAAACCACTGCCTGCATAAAGGAATCCTCTCTCCAGCCCCAGCCACAACCCCAATAAAAGCCCTAGCCAGGCTTCTCGTTTCCTGCCCTCTCAAGCCATTTGAGACTCACTTGGGATGCCTGCTCTGCTCTCTCCGGAGACCACAATTATGTACATAATTAACCTTTTCACACTCTTGGTGTGTGTGTGCGTGTGTGTGTGTGTGTGTCATCATCAGTCTCAACATCTGAAACAAATTTTGAAAGGGTGTCCATTGTGTTTCTCAGAGTGGCTACAATAGTAATTAACATATTGCTTAGCCAGGACTCTTTCCCTTTATACAGAAAAATCTAGCCTGACTTGTTAGTGGCTTACAGATGATAAAGTTGGTATAGATTTGACTAAGGCTGGAAATAAAAGGTTTGCTCAACTTAATAACAATAACAAGAGAATCACAGGTTCTACCTCTCATTTACTAATGATACACTTGAGGAAATTGTGTAAACCTCTGTGTAGACACACCAATGTCATCAAACTGGGCTCTAGGTTCTACCTAGTTTCTGCGATGTTCATAAGATTCCAGACCTGCCAAAAGGTGACTTCAGATTACCCTTCTACCATTCACATGGGAAGTCATTCTACCATTATCATCCTCATAACAAGACAGATCTTCCACATGTAAAAGATTTTTAAAAATCATTGGAACAATAAAGACATTTAAATATTTTTATAATATTTGATCAGGAAAAGAATAAAAAACCAAAAGCCACAAAGGAAACTCCAACAGATTTAGTTGCATAAAAATTTTAAGGTCCATGTATTAAAAGACATTGAATCAAAATTAAAAAACAAACACCAAACTGGGGGAAATATCTGTAATGTATACACAAAACAAAGAGTTAATATTTTTACCGTATAAAGAACTCTTACAAAGCAACACAGAAAAGATGAACACCACAGTAGAAAAAAGATACGAACAGACAATTCACAGAAAAAATCCAAATGACTATTAAGTATATTAAATGATGCTCAGTCCCATGAATGATTACAGAAATGCAAACTGAAACAATAAAATACCATGTTTCCACTGGTATGGGTATGGTTTTAGATGAAAAAGAAGGCTAAAGTTCATTGCTAGCAAGTGTGTGGGGGAAAAGGTGACCCTTATATACAGCTGGTGAGAGCATAAATGGTGCTACTTTTCTTTTCTTTTGAGATGAAGTCTCGCTCTGTTGCCCAGGCTGGAGTGCAGTGGTGCCATCTCGGCTCACTCCAAGCTCCGCGTCCCGGGTTCACGCCATTCTCCTGCCTCAGCCTCCTGAGTAGCTGGGACTACAGGCGCCCGCCACCATGCCCAGCTTATTTTTTGTATTTTTTTTAGTAGAGACGGGGTTTCACCGTATTAGACAGGATGGTCTCAATCTCCTGACCTCATGATCCGCCCGCCTCAGCCTCCCAAAGTGCTGGGATTACAGGTGTGAGCCACCGCACCCAGCCAAATGGTGCTACTTTTCTAAAGGGTAGAGTGTATCAAAATGAAAGTTCTATCAATTCCACGTCTAAGAAAATCATTGTTCAGGTGTACAAAGCTGTATATACACTGACGTCCATGGGACCGTTGTTCACAACATCTGAAAATTGTAGCAACAGGAACAACAGTCAATAAGGACCTGGTGAAGTAAACCATGCTAGAATTATACGATGGAATTTCATGCAGCTGAGAACATGAAAAATGCCATCAATATAGGAGTACATAAACAGAGAAGACTACAGTATGTAGTATCACCCCATGTATGTAAAAAAGGGAAATGTATGAAGGAGTCTAAAAGACTACATACCACATTTTTAAATGGCTGCCTCCGGCAGTTGTGTCTTGGGAAACAGGGCAAGGGCAGGCATGACTAAATGCCCTGGAATCATTTGCACAGGTGTCCCCCTATAAGACTGAGATCTGGAAAGCCAGACGGAGTGATGGAGACTGCAGGTGAAAGCAGCCTCTCCTCTGACCCCAGCTGGCTTCTGCTTGAAGGGAAAGGAAGAGAACTAAGGGGAGAGATGTTATCCAATTACAGGAGTCCCTATAAATAAGGTACCATAAGCACAATGAGGGTGGGTGGCTTAATGGGAGGCTTAGAATACATTTCATTTAGCGCCACTCAGCTAGTTATTCCTGGCTGTAATGCCCTCAAGAAAAGGGAGCTAAGAAGGTCTGTTATAACACTGGGGTAGAGTGGGGAGGAGGAGTGTTGCAAAGTGCTGAGGAACTCTGTAAACCCCCAAGCCTGGCATAATGAGTTGTGCTCTGACATCGGCAAAGGGGTGATAAGGAGGACTACTCACTTTATCAGGGAGAGAGGGAAATGACATCAAGAAAAGAGCAATAACTTGCCTTTTGTGAGTCATCCAAGAGTGTTGGGACAGAGTAACTTCAGAGTCACACTCCACAAGCAGTCAATCAGAAGACAGGCCCAGGGCTTTAGCAAACAGGTAACACCACAGTGTAGTGAAGACAACCTGGTGCAACCCTCAGAAGGTGCAGAAATGTTCCTATCTGTAAGCCCAGCTCCAGCTTTTTGGAATCTGGTGCTGAGCCATGTGCATGGTACAAAGTGGGAAGGAGCTTCAGTCTGTGAAGAGTGCCAGGGCAGAGATGAAAGTTTCCAAAGCCGAAGAAAGCCGCCGAATGGTACTTTGAGAATGACAGCTACTGGTGAATAGAACAGATGAGATCAGGGTTCTCAGGATGGATCAAGGTGAAAAACTTCCCCTCTCATTCCTCTCCCCCAACAGCCATGGCTATGCCCAGGAGTGACTAATTCAGAATTCCAGATCCTGGAGATAAAGGGAGGAGCACAGTTTTTAGTGGTTGGTGCTCTATCTCTACTCCCGACACCACCACTGCCAATAGAGACAAAATCTACCTACAACTAAGTATGGACTTGGAAAGAAAGAGTATCTTAGATTTAAATCATCTGGTGGACTACAGCTCTTGTCAAAGGAACCAAGGAAGTCTTGCTTTGGATGTAGGCAAGGAAAAAGTCAGGGTACCCCCAATCTTGATGCGCAATTCAAACTCAGGGCAGGCAAGATGAAGTTAGACAAAAACAAAGACACTTTTACTAGGAGGTCAGAGAAAGAACCATCTCTGCTTTCTCAGTAATGTTTTATTCTTGAATATTTTAAATATTCAAACGGATTTTCTGGAAGCCAGAAAGTAATTATAGGACCAGAGACAACCCATGACAAGGATGGCATAAATGGTTTCATTGTGACATCTGAAATATTTTCACATGACAGGCTTAAACATGTTAACATTTTCATTTCATTATACTGGCAACATAATTAGTTTCAGGATATAAGTACTGAAGGTGTTGATCCAAATGTAATCTCTGTATTTTAGCTCTGAGATATAAATGTCAATGAGTTACAGTTGTCTGAGGCATTTAAAAAAGTCAAAAATATAGGGAGAAATAGCTTTGCTTTGTACTTTTTTGGCATGTCACAGCTCAAGTAAGTGGTGAAATAGTGATGACAGTAAGTGTGAGGTCTTAACCACACTAATCAATTTAAAACTTGTGAGGTTTATAGATATACCCATCAATGAAATAAAAGAGAGAGTTCAGAAATTTTTGGTGTACACATATGTCAATTGATTTTCAGCAAAGACAAAAAGGCAGTTCAACAAATGGCGCCCAAATAATTGGACATTCATTTGCAAAAGAAGGAAGGAGAGAAAAAAGAAACTAGGTCAACACTTCTTCACACTTTTCACAAAAATCGACTCAAAATGGGTCACAGACCTAAGAATAAAATCTAAAACTTTAAAACACTTAGAAAAAGAGTGAATTTGAGGGGTTAATGAAAATATTCTTTATTTTGACTATGGTGGTGGTTACATGACCCTACGCAGTTCAACATTTATTGAACTGAATATTTTTCAAAGGTGAATTTTAATGTATACAAATTATACATTAATTTAAAATTTTTCAATGGCCAGGTACAGTGGCTCACACCTGTAATCCCAACACTTTGGGAGGCCAAGGTAGGTGGATCACTTGAGGTTAGGAGCTCAAGACCAGCCTGGCCAACATGGTGAAACTCCATCTCTACTAAAAATACAAAAATTAGATGGGTGTGGTGGCACACGCCTGTAATCCCAGCTACTTGGGAGGCAGGAGAATTGCTTGAACCTAGGAGGCAGAAGTTGCAGCAAGCCGAGATAATGCCACTGCACTACAGCCTAGGCAACAGAGTGAGACTCCATCTCAAAAATAAATAAAATAAAATAAAATATTTCAAAATTGTAACTGTTAAAAAAAGGGATCAATTTATATAAAACCAATCAACTCTGCCACTAGCCATCAAATGTGACCTGGGCAAAACTTAAGTTTCAGGGCTCAGTTCTTCAATTAATATACTGAAGTTAATATAAGTAGTATCTGGAACATAGAAATATATTCACAAATGTATCTTGGATTGATTAGAATAAGGAAAACACTGAATTATACACAATTTAGAAAATATGAATTACATAAAATTCAGAAATATTATTACCTCAAAATGCTATTTCTTAGCCCTTGAAAACAACTTTTAAAAGAGTTGGTGGCCGGGTGCAGTGGCTCACGCCTGTAATCCCAGCACTTTGGGAGGCTGAGGCAGGCGGCTCACTTGAGGTCAGGAGTTCAAGACCAGCCTGGCCAACATGGTGAAACCCGTCTCTACTAAAAATACAAAAATTAGCCAGTGTGGTGATGGGCACCTGTAATCCCAGCTACTCAGGAGGCTGAGGCAGGAGAATCGCTTGAACCCAGGGGGCAGAGGTTGCAGTGAGACAAGATCGTGCCACTGCACTCCAGCCTGGCCAATAAGAGCAAAACTCCATCTCAAAAAAAAAAAAAAAAAAAAAAAAAAGAGTTGGTGTTTTTTTTTTTAACCTTTGGGAACATAAATATTTCTTCAAAATAAAACAGTAAGATGTAAAACAACCAATCAAGGTTTTTCCCTCTTTCATCATTAACAATAAAGCTTCTAGTGCAAAAAGCAATACAAAGTTGCCATACCATGCCCAAGCTCTCTATTTTCAAAAAGCTTGCTACACACAGCAGTTTCCCAGCAATGTAGATAAATTCTAGGACACCTTAGGCCTATCTCTTCCCTGCACGAAACCTCCTGCAGAAGGAGAAAGTTGGCTTCTTGGGAAGCTGTGTACAGGCGTATTCTCTCTCCTTGCCTGATAGGCACACCTGTGAGCAATGTCCCTCCAGCCCTGCTACGCAGAAATGTATGCTTGGTGGCTGAGGTCTCTGAGGTCTTGTTGGGAGCATAGCTATGGGCTAGGCTGGTCGCATGTGTATAATCTGCTGTGGAGAAGCTCCAAGCCTAACCTCACCTGCAAACCTGAAATGCAGCTCAGGACACCACATCAGCTTCCTCAAAGGCCATCACCATTATAAATGGGTAAGTGGATTTAAACTATATTTAGACAAAAATTTGGACGAGAAGTAGCCTTTTTCTCCTTTGGGAAATTTAAAAGACACCTTGCAATCTGGAGAGACAGATGAATCCAGAGAGTTACAGCCATCACCTGCTGATGTGGAACAGAAGTGCTAGAGTCTTAATCTGAAAGGAACACTTAATTGGTGAGTGATGAATTGCTGGAGGTTAAAGGTGGACTAGTGTGACAGTGAGAAACTCTTGGAGAATGCAGCCTTGCCAAGGGAGTGTGGCGGGGGCGTGACATACTTTCATGGGTTTTACCTCCAGGAACCCCACCAGGTTCTTGCAGTAAAAAGTCAGGAAAGAGCCCCTCTAAGGCTCTGTCAGGGGAATGGAAAAGTGACCTTTGTGAAATACACCCAGAGCATTCCCCTACAAATGCCTGCTCTCAAGGGAGAAGCACTTTACCAGAGACTTGCCCCATCTGGGGGAAGAACAATTCTCCAACTCCAATCCCAGCTAGACTTCCCGACTCGCCAAAGGGTGCAGGAGGCAAGAAACACTTATGAAGATCACAGCCAGGAACACAGACCCATGAAAAGACTGAGATTTCATCATTAGAATGAGAATTCCATATTCATAAACATGACTTATAAGCAAGATCATTTAATTCTATAATCATAAAATCATAAAATTAGAGAACTTTTAATCTTAACCATAAATTTAAGATTTCTATATTGTCCTAAGATTACAGAACTCCCCTACATGTTACCACTAGACCAACAGGGCACCAGTATGATGGCTGTCCAGTGGATTATAACTGAAAGAGCTGTACGATTCAGACTACATTTAAGAAAGAAGATCCAAAACAACAGGCAAGCACACTACAGAAATCTGAAGCCTCTGGCACCTACAGCTATAGAAAACATGAAATACAGCCCAACTGCTAGCTAGATTAACATAAAAACCTCCCTTCAAGGCCTATTTACCTCAGTTCCTATTACTAGATACATAGTATTTGTCTTTCGACAAGAAAATTACAAAGCATGTTAAAGACAAGAAAAGGCTGGGTGCGGTGGCTCACGCCTATAATCTGGGCACTTTGGGAGGCCAAGATGGGTGGATCACCTGAGGTCAGGAGTTTGAGACCAGCCTCTCCAATATGGTGAAACCCTGTCTCTACTAAAAAATACAAAAAATTAGCCGGGCATGGTGGCAGGCATCTGTAATCTCAGCTACTCAGGAGGCTGAGGCAGGAGAGTCACTTGAACCCGGGAGGTGGAGGTAGATGCAGTGAGCCGAAATTGTGCCATCGTACTCCAGCCTGGACAACAAGAGTGAACCTCTGTCTCAAAAAAAAAAAAAAAAAAAAAAAAAAGGCAAGAAAAAGTCTAGTCTGAAGAGGCAAAGCAAATATAAGAACAAGATTTAGATATGGCACAGATTTGGGGACTATCAGACAGGGAATTTTAAATAATTATGATTACATTAAGGGCTTTAATGGGAAACAACAGACAACATACAAAACATATGGGTATTGAAAGCAGAAAGATGGAAACTAAGAAAGAATCAAAAGAAAATGCTATAAATCAAAACCACTCAGTGGGTTTGAAGAGATATTAATAGAAACTTCCCAAACTGAAATACAAGGAGAAAAAATAATGAAAAAACAAACAAAAAAAAAAAACACAGAGCATCCAAGAACTGTGGGACAAATTCAAAAGGCATAATATACACCAAGGGAACGTTAGCGGGAGAGAACCAAGCAGAAGGTAATAATGACCATTTCAAAATTAATGATAGGCCAGGCACAGTGGCTCATGCCTGTAATCCCAGCACTATGGAAAGCTGAAGCAGGCAGATCACCTGAGGTCAGGAGTTCGAGACCAGCCTGGACAACATGGTGAAACCCTGTCTCTAGAAAAATACAAAAATTAGCCGGGCATGGTGGTGGGCACCTGTAATCCCAGCTACTCAGGAGGCTGAGGCAGGAGAATCGCTTTAACCCAGGAGGCAGTGGTTGCAGTGAACTGAGATCATGCCACTGCACTCCAGCCTGGGCAATAGAATGAGACTTTGTCTCAAAAAAAAAAAATTAATGATGGACACCAAAATAAAGATTCGGTAAGCTCAGAGAACACCAGCAGGATAAATATTTAAAAATGACACCTAGGCATATCATATTCAAACTGCAGAAAACCAAAGACAGAGAAAATCTTAAAAGAAACAGTGGGGAGGGGAGACACCTCACTATAGAGGAACAAGTACAAAAATTATAGTGAACTGTTTATCAGAAACCATGAAAACAAGAAGAGATTAGAGTCAAATAGTTAAATGATCAACACCGTGGTAAGTGCTATGAGGAAGAGATAACATTATCTATAGCCAAAGAGTTAATTAACTGGGAAAAGGAGGTTAACATGTAAAAAATAGATAATTTACCAATCACAGCCACGTTTAAAAAGTGAAAATGCCTCCCTTTAATCCCATCTATTCCTATTCCCTAGGGGTAGCTCCTTGTAACTGTTTGGTGTAATTCCTTCCAAATAATTTTCTAAGATGATAAAACTATAAAAGTATATATTTAAGATATACAATGCTTTCTTCCCTCCTCCTCCAAAATGGGATCACATTGCATAATTTTACAACTTACCTTTTTTTGTCAACAAAATATCAGAGATATTTTTATGGCTGTGGATGCACCTGAATCCAGCCTGCCCTCACTGTTTTCAGTGACTATATAGCTTTTTCCTATTGATGAAAATTCAAATTATTGATAATACTACAAATTACCTACTACTACAAATTAACTACTATCTGGACAGTTTTTATGTATATCTTTGTCCAAGTATTTTTTCAGGATACTTTCCTAGAAATGGATTTGATATATCAAAGGGAAGTATATTTAATATTTTTAGACCAAAAAAGCTATATCACTTTAGGCTCTTAACAACCTTGTGACCTTGTGATCCTATATTCTCCAACTCTGAATATAATGTACATCTTTCTGGAGAAAAAGAATGGCTTCTCATGGCTATTTTATGTGCCAGTACCTAATTCCACTAGGGAACAAGCATCTTTTCAGGTGGTTATTAGCCATTTGTGTTATTATTATTTTTTGTAAATTGTCCATTCTCTATTGGCTTGAAGACACTTTTTTAAAAATGTTAAGAGATGGAGGTCTCACTATGTTGCCCAGGCTGGTCTTGAACCCCGTGGCTAAAGCAGTCCCCTCACCTCAGCCTCCTGACTAGCTGTGACTATAGGCATGTGCCATTACATCCAGTTTTTGAAGTCACTTTTATAGTAGAAATATTAATCCTTCGTATATATGTTGCACACATTTTCCCCAGTCATATATCTTTTAATCTTGCTTATGACATATTTTCCTTCACAGAAATTTTGAATTTCTATAAAATCAAATCTGTAATGTTTTCCAGTAACAAGCCCATACCCTTCATTCTACATGTGTGGAAACTGTCAAGTCTCATGCCCAATCATATATTCCAAGCTAGTACTAGAGCTGGCATCAGGATCCAGGTCTTTCCACATAATGTCTTCCAACAATGATGAAACAACAACAAAAAAGATAAATGAAATCATTTAATAGGAACTCTTAAGTTGGAGTAGCACATCAGTGGAGAGGGAGAGCAGAAGGGCTGGCCTAGCTGGGAGAGTCTTTATGGAAGAGAGAAAAATTTAAACTGAACCTTGATATATGGATAGTATGTGGATTGTTGGGAAGAGGACATGAAAAAGGCAGAGAGGCAGAGTGTGGTGGCATATCTATGGGGTAAAGAGAAGAACAGCCTGACTAGATCACAAGATGTAACCTGGAAGGAGGATGACTAGGAAATAGGTATCCACAGACAGAGATTACTAGAACCATAAGAATACTGAATTTTCTGCATATAAAGCCGGGGAATGAAATCCCTCTGTAAAATATTGGCTATTCACTTCCCTTAACCCATGAGATTGCTATGATGGTAAAGTCTCCAGAATGTCGAAGAGAAGTGGCAAAGCCAATCGCACTCATCCTCTCCCTGCTGGACATTCAGAAAAAGTAGAGAGAGGGAAGGATAGTAGCAGCAACCAGTCTGAAATTTACCAATCAAAAGCTTGAGATCTATTGCTAATCAGGATATGAAGGGCTCAGTTTTGAAATCAGTCATTATAAGGAGCAAAAATAGGAAGCGGAATCAATATAGGAATCATAGAATGAGCATGAAGCAGGCCCAGATACTAAAGAAGTTTTCCAGAAAGCAAAGATGATCCTCAAAGGAATAAATCTTTCTACAGGTCCAGATCCACTGATAAACTAATGTTACTTCTCAGCTATCTCCTTTGACATACTAGTAGCCAACCCTGGAGCCCACTGCTACCAGCACTGGTGACCCCACCCATCCCAGCGGTGAGGCTGCCTCATGTCTGTGTGCAATCCACAGGGGCCCAAGAACTGGCCCACCTGGGGCCTGCCACCTGGGACCAGCCTTCCTGGGATCCACTGACTCCACATCAGCAAATCTGCCCCCTCTAGCAGAGGGGATGCTGCCCACCCACATGTGCCCCTCAGGGGCCCAAAACCCAGCCTATTTAATGTCCTTGTCCTCAGCAAACAAACAATCACAGCTTCCACAAACAATCACAGCCTAAGCCACTGAGAAACTTGTGGATATTGCTGACGTTGATTACAGCTGAAGAAATCATATGGAGACTACACTACTGCACTCAACCAGAACCAAAGCCAGAGTATCATATCCAACCAACACTATAGCTACATCTACAGAAAAAGGTCTTTCCCTGTGAAAGCTACTCCATAAAATTGGAAGAAGTGACTGCACGTACATCAACACAGGGACAAAAGAAACATGATAAAGCAAAACACGACATTACCAAAGGAACACAATAATTTTCCAAAACAGACCCCAAAGAAAAGGAAATATATGAAATACCTTTTAAAAATTCAAAATAATGCCTGGCCAAGATGGTGAAACCCCGTCTGTACTAAAAATACAAAAATTAGCTGGGCATAGTGGCAGGCTCCTGTAATCCCAGCTACTCGGGAGGCTGAGGCAGGACAATCACTTGAACCCAGATGGCAGAGGTTACAGTGAGCCAAGATCATGCCACTGTACTCCAGCCTGGGCAATAGAGCGAGACTCTATCTCAAAAAAAGAAATCAAAATAATAATCTTAAGGAAACTCAGGAAGATAGAAGAGAACACAGACACTACAAGGAAAGCAGGAAGATGATTCATGATCTAAGCGAGAAATTCAGCAGAGATAGAAATCATTAAACAAAAAAACAAACAAATCTTAGAACTGAAAAATTCAATGAATGAAATAAAAATACAATTGAGAGCTTCAACAACAGACTAGATCAAACAGAAGAAAGAAAAACAACCAAAAACAAAACAGAAGAGAATGAGGAGGACGTGAGGGTGATCTGGCAGTGACATCTGTCACCCCACTAATCGCCAGGGCTGATTTGGCTAATCTGTCTGGCTAAGCAGGTGTCCTCTTCCTCCCTCACAACTCCATGTGTGTCCCCCCTTCGTGCTTGGTTGAAGAGGATGAAGTTCCCCAACAGAGGAGGACCATTCTTTAGCCAAGGGTATACAAGTAGCTGTGCTCCCCTACTAGAACCTCCAAACAAGCTCTCAAGGATGAAAAAAGCCTATGTAACACATGGGACACCATTAAGTAAACAAATAATCCAGAAAGAGACAGGAAAGAGCATAGAAAACCTATTTAATGAAAGAGGCCAGGTGCAGTGGCTCACACCTGTAATCTCAGCAATTTGGGAGGCTGAGGCAGGAGGATCGCATGAGCCCAGGAGTTCAAGACAAGCCTGAGCGACATAAGGAGACCACATGATATGGTTTGGCTCTGTGTCCACACCCAAATCTCATGTTGAATTGTGATCCCAAGTGTTGGAGATGGAGCCTGGTGGGATGTGATTGGATCATGGGGGATGGATTTCCCCCTTGCTGTTCTTATGATAGTGAGTTCTCACAAGATCTGGTTGCTTAAAAGTGTGTAGCACTTCCCCCTTCACTCTCTCTCTCTTCTGCTCCACCATGTGAAGATTATGCCTGCTTCCCCTTCACCTTGCAACAAGATTGTAAGTTTCCTGAGGCCTCCCCAGCCATGCCTCCTCTACAGCCTGTGGAACTGTGAGTCAATTAAACCTTTCTTCTCCATAAATTACCCAGCCTCAGATATGTCTTTATAGCAGTGTGAGAATGAATTAATACAGAAAGTTGGTACCAGAGAAGTAGGGGCATTGCTATAAAGATACTTGAAAATGTGGAAGCGACTTTGGAACTGGATTATGAGCAGAGATTGGAACAGTTTGGTGGGATCAGAAGAAGAAAGGAAGATGGAGGAAGGTCTGGAACTTCCTAGAGACTTGTTGAATGGCTGTGACCAATAGGCCGATAGTGATATGGACAGTGAAGTCCAGGCTGAGGTGGTCTCAGATGGAGATGAGGAACTTATTGGGAACTGGAGTAAAGGTCACTCTTGCTATGCTTTAGCAAACAGACTGGTGGCATTGTGCCCCTGCTCTAGAGATCTGTGGAACTTTGAACTTGAGAGAGATTATTTAGGGTATCTGGCAGAAGAAATTTCTAAGCAACAAAGCATTCAAGATGTGGCCTGGCTGCTTCTAAAAGCCTGCACTCATTTGCATAAACAAAGAAATAACCTGAAACTAGAAGTTATATTTAAAAAGGAAGCACAGCATAGAAGTTTGGAAAATTTGCAGTCTGACCATGCAGTAGAAAAGAAAAAACCATTTTCTGGGGAGGAATTCAAGGCTGCAGAAATTTGCCTAAATAAAGAAGAGCCAAGGCAATGGGAAAAATGCCTCCAGGGCATTTCAAAGACCTTCACAGCAGCCCCTCCCATCACAGGCCTGGAGGTCTAGAAGGGAAAAATAGTTCTGTGGGCCAGGCCCAGGGCCCTGCTGCTCTGTACAGCCTTAAGACATGGCACCCTGTGTCCCAGCCACTGTAGCTCCAGCCGTGGCTAAAAGGGACCACAGTACAGCTCGGGCCATGCCTTCAGAGGGTGCACAACCCAAGCCTTGGTGGCTTCCAAGTGGTGTTGGGCCTGCAGCTGAGCAGAAGACAAGAGCTGAGGTATAGGAGACTCTGCCCAGATTTCAGAGGATGTATGGAAATGCCTGGATGTCCAGGCAGAAATCAGCTGCAGAGGTGGACCCCTCAAGGAGAACCTCTACTAGAGGAATGCAGAGGGGAAATGTGGGGTTGGAGCCTCCACACAGAGTCCCCACTGGGACACTCCCTAGTGGAGCTGTGAGAAGAGGTTCACCATCTTCCAAAGCCCAGAATGGCAGATCCACTGACAGCTTGCACCATGTGCATGGAAAAGCCACATGTACTCAGCACCAGCCTGTGAAAGCAGCTGTGGGGGCTGTACCCTGCAGAGCAATAGGGGCAGAGCTGCCTAAAGCCTTAGGAACCTAACCCTTGCATCAGTGTGCCCTAGATGTGAGACATGGAGTCAAAGGAGATTATTTTGGAGCTTTAGGATTTAATGACTACTCTGCTGGGTTTCAGACTTGGATGGGGCCTGTAACCCCTTCGTTTTGGCCAATTTCTCCCTTTTGGAATGGAAGAATTTACCCAATACCTGTACCCCCACTGTATCTTGGAACTAACTAATTTGTTTTTTATTTTATAGGCTCATAGGCAGATGGGACTTGCTTTGTCTCAGGTAAGACTTTGGACTTGGACTTTTGAGTTAATGCTAAAATGAGCTGAGACTTTGGGGGACCGTTGGAAAGGCACAATTGTGTTTTGAAATGTGAGAAGGACATTTGAGGTTTGGGAGGAGCCAGGGGGAAATGAGAGGTTTGGGAGGGGCCAGGGGCAGAATGATAGGGTTTGGCTCCGTGTCCCCACCCAAATCTCATGTTGAATTGCTTTGGAAGTGGAGTCAAGCATTGGAGGTGGGGCCTGGTGGGAGGTGACTGGATCATGGGGATGAATTTCCCCCTTGCTGTTCTCATGATAGTGAGTGAGTTCTCATAGATCTGGTTTATTTAAAAGTGTGTAGCACTTCCCCCTTCATTCTCTGTCTCTCCTGCTCTGCCATGTAAAGACTGTGCCTGTCTCCCCTTCACCTTCTGCCATGATTGTAAGTTTTCTGAGGCCTCCTCAATCATGCCGTCTGTACAACCTGTGGAACTGTGAGTCAATTAAACCTCTTTTCTTCATAAATTATCCGGTCTCAGGTATGTTTTTATACCAGTGTGAGAATGGACTAATATACCCCTACTCCATTAAAAATATTTTAAAAATTAGCCAGGCATGGGGGCCTACATCTGTAGTCCCAGCTACTCCGAAGGTTGAGCCTGGGAGCTCAAGGCTTTAGTGAGTTGTAAACACACACTGTACTTCAGCAACAGAGAGGGAGAAAGAGAAGAAAAGAGAAAGGGAAAGGAAAAGAAGGGAAAGGGAGAGGAGAAGAGCGGAAGGAAGGGGAGAGGAAAGGAAGAAAGAGTAGGGGAAGGGGAGGAGAGGGGAAGGGAAGGGGAGGTGAGGGAAGGGGAGGGGAGAGAGGGGGAGGGGGAGGGGGAAGGGGAAAGGAATGGGGAGGGGGAGGAAAGAAAAGGAAAGAGAAAAGAAAACCTATTTAATAAAAGAATACCTAAAAACTTCCCAAATATTAGAAGCGATATAGACATCCAGATACAAAAAACTAAAATATCTCCAAATAGGGTCAGCCCCCAAAAATCCTCTTTGAAGCACATTATAATTAAAACTGTCAAAAGTCTAAGTTGGGGTTCAGGTGTAGTGACTCATGTCTGTGATCCCAGTGCTTTGGGAGACTGAGGCAGGAGGATCACTTGAGGCCAGGAGTTCAAGGATAGCCTAGACAACATAGTGACATCCTGTCTCTACAAAAAATAAAAATAAAAATTAGGCCAGATGTGGTGGCTAATGCCTCTAATCCAGGCACTTTGGGAGGCCAAGGGATTACTTGAGGCCAGGTTTGAAACCAGCCTGCCAAACATAGTGAAACCCCGTCTCTACTAAAAAAATACAAAAAAGTAGCTGAGAGTGGTGGTGCATGCCTGTAATCCCAGCTACTTGGGAGGTTGAGGAACGAGAATTGCTTGAACCCAGAAGGCAGAGGTTGCAGTGCACTGACATCATGCCACTGCACTCCAGCCTGAGCAACAGAGTGAGAGACTTTGTCGAGGAAGGAAGGGAGGGAGGGAGGGAGGGAAGAAAATTAACCAGGGTGTGTTGGCATGTGCCTATAGTCCTCACTACTCAAGAGGCTGAGGTGGGATGGTCCCTTGAGCCCAGGCGTTCAAAGCTGCAGTGAGCTATGATTATGCCACTGCACTCTAGTCTGTGAGACAGAATGAGACCCTGTCTCTAAAAAGTAAAAAATGAAAGTCAAGATAAAGAAAGAGAATTCTAAAAACAGTAAGAGAAAAGCACCAAGTCACATATAAGGGAATCTCCAACAGACCAACAGCAGATTTCTCAGCAGAAATCTCACAGGCCAGGAGAGAATGAGATAATCTATTCAATGTGCTGAAAGAAAAAAACCTGCTAGTCAAGAATACTACACCCAGCAAAGATATCCTTCATAAATGAAGGAAAAATAAAGTATTTTCCAGACAAGCAAAAACTGAGGGAATTCATCATCACTATACTGGCCCTACAAGAAATAATTAAGTGGGTCTTACATCTAGAAGTGAAAGGAAGATATCTACTGTCATGAAAACACACAAAAGTATAACAGTCACTGGTAGTACAGATACACAAATGAGAAAGAGAAAGGAATCAAATGTTATCACTACAGAAAGCCACCAAACTGCAAAGATAAACTGCAAAGGTAAACAATAAGATGGCTCATGCCTGTAAACTCAGCACTTTGGGAGGCCAGTGCAGGAGAATCACTTGAGCCCAGGAGTTGGAGATCAGCCTGGGTAACATAGTGAGACCTCATTTCCACACATACATACACACACATACACATACACACGCACACACACACACACACACAAATTAGCTGGGTGTGGTGGCATGTGTCTATGGTCCTAGCTACTCAGGAGGCTGTGGTAGGAGGATTGTTTGAGCCCAGGAGGTTGAGGCTGCAATGAGCCATGACTGTGTCACCGCACTCCAGCCTGGGCAATAGAGCAAGGCCCTGTCTCCAAAACAGTAATAATAATAAATAGCAATCAGAGAAGAAGAAAGGAACAAAGGATATCCAAAATTACGAGAGTAAGTCCTCATCTATCAATAACAACCATTTAAATCCCACAATTAAAAGATACAGACTGACTGAAAGAATAAAAAATAAGACCCAACTATATGCTGCCTACAAGTAACTCACTTGACCTGTAAAAATGCAGAAAGACAAAGTGAAAGAAATAAAAAAAGATATTCCATGCAAATAGAAGCCAAAAGCATGCAGGAATAGCTTTATTTATATAAGACAAAATAGATTCTAAGTCAAACATAAAAAGAGACAAGATAATTATATAATGATAAAGAGATGAATTCAGCAAGAGGATATAACAATTTTAATATGTATGCACCCAATACCAGAGCACCCAGATATATAAAGCAAATATTATTGAGTTAAAGTGAGAGGCCCAAAAACAATGAAGTTAGGGGACTTCAGTGTCCCACTCTAAGCACTGGACAAATAATCTAGACAGAAAATCAACAAAGAAACACTGGACTTAAACTACCCTATGGAGTCAATGGACCTAACAGGCATTTACCAAAAATTTCATCTAGTAGCTGCAGAATATATATTCTTCTTTTTTTTTGTAATTTTTTTATTATACTTTAAGTGCTGGGATACATGTGCAGAACATGCAGTTTTGTTACATAGGTATACATGTGCCATGGTAGTTTTCTGCACCCATCAACTCGTCATCTACATTAGATATTTCTCTGAATCATATCCCTTCTCTTACTGCCACCCTCCAACAGTCCCTGGTGTGTGATGTTCCCCTCCCTGTGTCCATGTGTTCTCATTGTTCAATTCCCACTTATGAGTGAGAATATGCAGTGTTTTGTTTTCTGTTCCTGTGTTAGTTTGTTGAGAATGATGGTTTCCAGCTTCATCCATGTCCCTGCAAAGGACATGAACTCATTCTTTTTTATGGCTGCATAGTATTCCACGGTGTATATGTGCCACATTTTCTTTTTTGTTCCCATCCAATTTTTTTTTATTGTGGTAAAATATACATAACATAAAATTGACATTTAATCATTTTAAGTATACAGTTCTATGGCATTAACTACATTCACATTGCTGGGTAACCATCACCACCATCCATCTCCAGAACTTTTTCATCTTTTTATTTTATTTCATTTTTTATTATTATACTTTAAGTTCTAGGGTACATGTGCACAACGTGCAGGTTTGTTACATATGTATACATGTGCCATGTTGGTTTGCTGCACCCATTAGCTCGTCATTTACATTAGGTATTTCTCCTAATTGCTATCCCTCCCCCACCCTCCCACCCCACGACAGGTCCTGGTGTGTGATGTTCCCCGTCCTGTGTCCAAGTGTTCTCATTGTTCAATTCCCACCTATGAGTGAGAACATGTGGTGTTTGGTTTTCTGTCCTTGCGATAGTTTGCTCAGAATGATGGTTTCCAGCTTCATCCATGTCCCTACAAAGGACATGAACTCATCCTTTTTTATGGCTGCACAGTATTCCATGGTGTGTATGTGCCACATTTTCTTAATCCAGTCTATCATTGATGGACATTTGGGTTGGTAGATGTGTGGTGTTATTTCTAAGGCCTCTGTTCTGTTCCATTGGTCTATATATCTGTTTTGGTACCAGTACCATGCTGCTTTGGTTACTGTATCCTTGTAGTAGAGTTTGAAGTCAGGTATCATGATGCCTCCAGCTTTGTTCTTTTTGCTTAGGATTGCCTTGGCTATATGGGTTCTTTTCTGGTTCCATATGAAATTTAAAGTAGTTTTTTCTAATTCTGCAAAGAAAGCCAATTGCAGCTTAATGGCAATAGCATTAAATCTAAAAATTACTTTGGGTAGTATGGTCATTTTCACGATATTGATTCTTCCTATCCATGAGCATGGAATGTTTTTCCATTTGTTTGTGTCCTCTCTTATTTCCTTGAGCAGTGGTTTGTAGTTCTCCTTGAAGAGGTCCTTCACATCCCTTGTAAGTTGCATTCCTAGGTATTTTATTCTCTTTGTAGCAATTGTGAATGGGAGTTCACTCATGATTTGGCTATTACTGCTGTATAAGAATGCTTGTGATTTTTGCACATTGATTTTGTATCCTGTGACTTTGCTGAAGTTGCTTATCAGCTTTAGGAGTTTTGGGGCTGAGATGATGGGGTTTTCTAAATATACAGTCATGTCATCTGCAAACAGAGACAATTTGACTTCCTCTTTTCCTATCTGAATACCCTTTATTTCTTTCTCTTGCCTGACTGCCTTGGCCGGAACTTCCAATACTATGTTGAATAGGAGTGGTGAGAAAGGGCATCCTTGTCTTGTGTGGGTTTTCAAAGGGAATGTATCCAAGTTTTTCCCATTCAGTACAATATTGGCTGTGGGTTTGTCATAAATAGCTCTTATTATTTTGAGATACGTCCCATCAATACCTAGTTTACTGAGTATTTTTAGCATGAAGGGGTGTTGAATTTTATCAAAGGGCTTTTCTGCATCTATTGAGATAATCATGTGGTTTTTGTCATTGGTTTTGTTTATGTGATGGATTACGTTTATTGATTTGCATATGTTGAACCAGCCTTGCATCCCAGGGATGAAGCTGACTTGATCGTGGTGGATAAGCTTTTTGATGTGCTGCTGGATTTGGTTTGCCAGTATTTTATTGAGGATTTTTGCATCAGTGTTCATCATGGGATATTGGCCTGAAATTTTCTCTTTTTGTTGTGTCTCTGCCAGGTTTTGGTATCAGGATAATGCTGGCCTCATAAAATGAGTTAGGGAGGAGTCCTTTTGTTTTTCTATTGTTTGGAATAGTTTCAGAAGGAATGGTACCAGCTTCTCCTTGTACCTCTGGTAGAATTCGGCTGTTAACCTCTCTAGCCCTGGGCTTTTTTGGGTTGGTATGCTATTAATTACTGCCTCAATTTCAGAACTTGTTATTGGTCTATTCAGGGATTTGACTTTTTCCTGGTTTAGTCTTGGGAGGGTATTTATGTCCAGGAACTTATTTCTTCTAGATTTTCTAATTTATTTGTGTAGAGGTGTTTATAGTATTCTCCGATGGTAGTTTGTATTTCTGTGGGATCAGTGGTGATATCCCTTTATCATTTCTTATTGTGTCTATTTGATTCTTCTTTCTTTTCTTCTTTATTAGTCTGGCTAGCAGTCTATTTTGTGAATCTTTTCAAAAAACCAGCTCCTGGATTGATTTTTCTAAGGGTTTTTTGTGTCTTTATTTCCTTCAGTTCTGCTCTGAACTTAGTTATTTCTTGTCGTCTACTAGCTTTTGAATTTGTTTCCTCTTGCTTCTCTAGTTCTTTTAATTGTGATGTTAGGGTGTCAATTTTAGATCTTCCCCACTTTCTCCTGTGGGCATTTAGTGCTATAAATTTCCCCCTAAACACTGCTTTAGCTGTGTCCCAGAGATTCTGGTACATTGTGTCTTTGTTCTCATTGGTTTCAAAGAACTTATTTATTTCTGCCTTAATTTTGTTATTTACCCAGTAGTTATTCAGGAGCAGGTTGTTCAGTTTCCATGTAGCTGTGTGGTATTGAGTGAGTTTCTTAATCCTGAGTTCTGATTTGATTGCAGTGTGGTCTGAGAGACTGTTTGTTATGATTTCTGTTCTTTTGCATATGCTGTGGAGTGTTTTACTTCCAATTATGTGGTCAATTTTAGAATAAGTGCTATGTGGTGCTGAGAAGAATGTATATTCTGTTGATTCGGTGTGGAGAGTTCTGTAGATGTCTGTTAGGTCCACTTGGTCCACAGCTGAGTTCAAGTCCTGAATAACCTTGTTAATTTTCTGTCTCATTGATCTGTCTAATATTGACAGTTGGGTGTAAAGTCTCCCACTACTATTGTGTGGGAGTTTAAGTCTCTTTGCAGGTCTCTAAGAACTTGCTTTATGAATCTGGGTGCTCCTGTATTGGGTGTAAATATTTTTAGGATAGTCAGCTCTTCTTGTTGCATTGGTCCTTTTGGTCCTTTTACCATTATGTAATGCCCTTCTTTGTCTTTTTTGATCTTTGTTGGTTTAAAGCCTGTTTTATCAGAGACTAGGATTGCAACCCTGCTTTTTTTTTTTTTTTTTTTTTTTTGCTTTCCATTTGTTTGGTAAATATTCCTCCATCCCTTTATTTTGAGCCTATGTGTGTCTTTGCATGTGAGATGGATCTCCTGAATACAGCACACCAATGGGTCTTGACTCTATCCAATTTGCCAGTCTGTGTCTTTTAACTGGGGCATTTAGTCCATTTACATTTAAGGTTAATATTGTTGTTTGTGAATTTGATCCTGTCATTATGATGCTAGCTGGTTATTTTGCACATTCATTGATGCAGTTTCTTCAAAGTGTCGATGGTCTTTACATTTTGGTATGCCTTTGCAGTGGCTGGTACCAGTTTTTCCTTTCCACATTTAGTGCTTCCTTCAGGAGTTCTTGTAAGGCAGGTCTGGTGGTGACAAAATCCCTCAGCATTTGCTTGTCTGTAAAGGATTTTATTCCTCCTTTGCTTACAAAGCTTAGTTTGGCTGGATATGAAATTGCGGGTAGAAAATTCTTTTCTTTAAGAATGTTGAATACTGGTCCTCACTCTCTTCTGGCTTGTAGGGTTTCTGTTAGCCTGATGGGTTTCCCTTTGTGTGTAACCTGACCTTTCTCTCTGGCTGCCCTTACCATCTTTTCCTTCATTTCAACCTTGGTGAATCTGATGATTATGTATCTTGGGGTTGCTCTTCTTGAGGAGTATCTTTGTGGTGTTCTCTGTATTTCCTGAATTTGAATGTTGGCCTGTCTTGCTAGGTTAGGGAAGTTCTCCTGGGTAATATCCGGAAGTGTGTTTTCCAACTTGGTTCCATTCTCCCTGTCACTTTCAGGTACACCAATCCAACGTAGGTTTGGTCTTTTCACATAGTCCCATATTTCTTGGAGGCTTTGTTCATTCCTCTTCATTCTTTTTTCTCTAATCTTGTCTTCACACTTGATTTCATTAAGTTGATCTTCAATCTCTGATATCCTTTCTTCCACTTGATCAATTTGGCTATTGATACTTGCGTATACTTCATGAAGTTCTCTTGCTGTGTTTTTCAGCTCCATCAGGTCATTTATGTTCTTCTCTAAACTGGCTATTATAGTTAGCAGTTCCTGTAACCTTTTATCAAGGTTCTTAGCTTCCTTGCATTGGGTTAGAACATGCTCCTTTAGCTCAGAGGAGTTTATTACCCATCTTCTGATGCCTACTTCTGTCAATTTGTCAAACTTATTCTCTGTCCAGTTTTGTTCCCTTGCTGGCAAGGAGTTGTGAACCTTTGGAGGAGAAGCAGCATTCTGGTTTTTGGAATCTTCAGCATTTTTGCACTGGTTTTTCCTCATCTTCATGGATTTATCTACCTTTGATCTTTGATGCTGGTGACCTTCCGATGGGGTTTTTTCGTGGGCATCCTTTTTGTTGTTGTTGATGTTACTGCTTTCTGTTTGTTAGTTTTCCTTCTAACAGTCAGGCCCCTCTTCTGCAGGTCTGCTGGAGTTTGCTGGAGGTCCACTCCAGACCCTGTTTGCCTGTGTATCACCAGCGGAGGCTGCAGAACAGCAAAGATTGCTGACAGCTCCTTCCTCTGGAAGCTTCGTCCCAGAAGGGTGCCCGCCAGATGCCAGCCGAAGCTCTCCTGTATGAGGTGTCTGTCGACCCCTGCTGGGAGGTGTCTTCCAGTCAGGAGGCATGGGGATCAGGGACCCACTTAAGGAGGCAGTCTGTCCCTTAGCAGAGCTTGAGTGCTGTGCTGGGAGATCTGCTGCTCTCTTCAGAGCCAGCAGGCAGGAACGTTTAAGTCTGCTGAAGCTGCACACATAGCCACCCCTTCCCCCAGGTGCTCTGTCCCAGGGAGAGGGGGGTTTTATCTATACGCCCCTGACTGGGGCTGCTGCCTTTCTTTCAGAGATGCCCTGCCCAGAGAGGAGGAATCTAGAGAGGCAGTCTGGCTACAGCAGCTTTGCTGGGCTGTGGTGGGTTCCACCCAGTTCAAACTTCCTGATGGCTTTGTTTACACTGTGAAGGGAAAACCACCTACTCAAGCCTCAGTAGTGGCAGACACCCTTCCCCCCACCAAGCTTCAGTGTCCCAGGTCGACTTCAGACTGCTGTGCTGGCAGCGAGAATTTCAAGCCAGTGGATCTTAGCTTGCTGGGCTCTGTGGGGGTGGGATCCACTGAGCAAGATCACTTGGCTCACTAGCTTCAGCCCCCTTTCCAGGGGAGTAAATGGTTCTGTCTCACTAGCATTCCAGGTGCCACTGTAAATGAAAAAAAAAAAAAAAAACCTGCAGCTAGCTTGGTGTCTGCCCAAATGGTGCCCAGTTTTGTGCTTGAAACCCAGGGCCCTGGTGGTGTAGGAACCTGAGGGAATCTTCTGGTCTGCGGGTTGTGAAGACACCAGGGGAAAAGTGTAGTATCTGGGCTGGATGGCACTGTCCCTCATAGCACAGTCCCTCACGGCTTCCCTTGGCTAGGGGAGGGAGTTCCCTGACCCCTTGTGCTTCCTAGGTGAGGTGACACCCCACCCTGCTTCGGCTCGCCCTCTGTGGGCTGCACCCACTGTCTAACCAGTCCCAATGAGATGAGCAGCTACCTCCATTGGAAATGCAGAAATCACCTGCCTTCTGCATTGGTCTTGCTGGGAGCTGCAGACGGGAGCTTTTCCTATTTGGCCATTTTGCCAGCCACAGAATACACATTCTTCCTATCAGCACATGGAACATCCTCCAGGATAGACCACATATTAGGCCACAAAAAAACAAGTCTCAACAAATTTTCAAAAACTGAAATCATATCAAATATCTTCTCAGACCACAATGGAATAAAACTAGAAATCAATAGCAAGGAGAACTTTAGAAACTTTACACAGAAATTAATATTCTCTTGAATGGCCAATGAGTCTGTGAAGAAACTAAGAAGGAAATCAAAAAATTTCTTGAAACAAATGAAAACAGAAACACAACATACCAAAACCTATGGGATACAGCAAAAGCAGTGCTAAGAGAAAAGTTTATAGCAATAAACATCTACATCAAAAAAGTAGAAATATTCCAAATAAACAACCTAATGATGTACCTTAAGAAGGTAGAAAAGCAAGGGAAAACCAAAGTCAAAATTAATAAAAACAAAAACGTAATAAAGATCAAGCAGCAGCCTGGGCAACATAGTAAGAACTCATCTCTACAAAATTTCAAAATAAGAATAAATTAACCAGGCATAGTGGCACATATCTGTGGTCCTATGATCCCAAGCTACTCAGGAGGCTAAGGTGGGAGGATCACTTGAGTCTAGGAGGTCAAGTCTACACTGAGCCATGATTGTGCCACTGCATTGCAGCCCAGATGACAGAACAAGACCCTGTCTAAAAAAAAGGAGGGAGGACAAAAAAGATCAATGAAACAAAAGAAAATCTATAAACCATTAGCTAGACCATGAAAAAAAGAGACACAACCCAAATAAAGAAAATCAGAAGCAAAAAAAAAGATACATTACAACTGATACCACAGAAACAGAAAGATCATTAAAGACTATTAATAAACAACTATACTCCAAAAACTGTAAAACCTAGAGGAAACAGATAAATTCATGTATACATATAACCTACCAAGAAATAGAAAGCCTAAACAGACTAACAAAGACAAACCCACCGCCAGATGGCTTTACTGTTGAATTCTACCAAATGTGCAAAGAAGAACTAAAACCAATTGTCTGAAACTATTCCAAAAAATGAAGAGCAGGGAATTCTTCCTAATTCATTCTATAATGCCAGCATTACCCTGATACCAAAGTGAGACAAGGATACAACCAAAAAAGAAAACTACAGGCCAATATCCCTAATGAACATAGTTGTAAAAGTCCTCAGCAAAATACTAGCAAACCAAATCCAAAAGCACATCAAAAAGATAGTACACCACAGTCAAGTAGGATTTATCTCAGGGATGGAAGGATGGCTCAACATATGCAAATCAATAAATGTGATACCTCTCACCAATAGAGTGGAGGGCAAAACCTTATGATCAATAGATGCACAAAAAATATTTGGTAAATTTTAACATCCCTTCATGATAAAAGAAAACTCTCAACAAATTATGTGTAGAAGGAACATACCTACACAATAAAAATCATATATGACAAACCCACAGCTAACATCAGACTGAACATGGAAAAGCTGAAAACTCTTCCTGTAAGAACTGGAACAATACAAGGATACCCACTTTCATCACTCTTATTCAATGCAGTACTGAACATCCTAGCCAAAGCAATTAGGCAAGAGAAAGATATAAAGGGCATCCAAATTGGAAAAGAGGAAGTCAAATTGGCCCTTTGCAGAGAACATGACCTTATAGATACAAAAACCTAAAGACTCCACAGAAAAACTCTTAGAACTAGTAAATGAATTCAGTAAAGTTGCAAGATACCAAATCAACATATAAAAATCAGTAGATTTTCTACACACCAATAATGAATTATCTGAAAAAAAATCAAGAAAGCAATCCCATTTACAATTGCTACCAAAAAATACTTGGGAAGAAATTTAATCAAGGAGGTGAAAGATGTCCAAGATGAAAACTACAAAATACTAATGGAAGAATTTAAGGAGGACACAAAACATGGAAAGACCTCCCATGCCCACAGACTGGAAAAATTAATATTGTTAAAATGATCATACTACCCCAAGCAATCTACAGATTCAACGCAATCTCCATCAAAATATCAATGATATTCTTCACAGAAATTTTTTAATCCTAAAATATGTGTGAAACCACAAAAGACAAGTAGCCAAATCACTTTTGAGCAAAAAGTACAAAGCTAGAGGCATTACACTACCTAACTTTAAAATACATTACAAAGCTATAGTAACCAAAACAGCATGGTATTGGTATAAAAACAGACATATAGACCAATGGGACATAAAAGAGAAACCAGAAATAAATCCATATGTTTACAGTCAACTGATTTTCAACAAAGGCATCAAGAATATAAATTGAGGAGAGGACACCCTCTTCACTAAATGGTGCTGGGAAAACTGGATATCCATATGCAGAGGAATAAAACTGGACTTTTATCTCTTACCATATACAAAAATCAACCTAAAATGAATTAAAAACTTAAATGTAAGACCCAAAAGTATAAAACTGCTAAAAGAAAACATAGGGAAAATCCTCAGGATACTGGTCTAGGCAAAGATTTTATGGGTAAGCACAGGCAACAAAAAACAGAAATGGGCAAATGGTACTACCTCAAACTAAAAAGCTTCTGCACAGCAAAGGAAACAACAAAGTGAGGAGACAATCTGTAGAATGGGAGAAAACATTTGCAAACTATACATATGAAACAGGACTAATATCCAGAATATATAAGGAACTCAATAGCAAAACAACTAATAATCCAAATGAAAAGTTGGAAAAACAGATAAATACCACAGGTCCTCACTCATATAGGAGCTAAAAAGTTGTGCTCATAAAAGTAGAGAGTAGAATTGTTGTTATTAGAGGCTGAGAAAGGCAGGGGTAGGAAGATAATGGTTAACAGATACAAAATTACAGCTAGATAGGAGGAATAAGTCCTAGTGCTCTGTAGCAATGTAGGATGAATACGATCAACAATAATTTATGGTACATTGAAAAAGGTAGAAGATTTTGAATGTTCTCAACACAAAGAAATGATAATTTTTGAAGTGACAAATATGTTAATTATCCTGATTTGGTCATTGTACATTGTATTTGATCATTGCACGTGTATTGAAATATCACTTTATCTCATAAATAGGTCCAATTATGAGGTGTTAACTAAAAAGGAAAAGAAAAAAATATATACTTTTGGGACATACTAAATAAGAAAGGAATAAAATAAATAATAAAGCAAATATTTTCTAAAATTGCTACAATGGGTGACTTCATCTATTACTTAAACCTATTTAATCTAACTTCACATTTTTACAGATGAGAAAACTTAGATTCAGAAAGGTTAAGTAAAATTTGCCACCAAATTTTACAGTTTGGTAGAATGTGATTCAACTGAAGTCCATCTAATTCTTTTTTTTTTTTTTTTTTTTTTTGAGATAGAGTCTCACTCTGTCGCCCAGGCTGGAGTGCAACCTCTGCCTCCCAGGTTCAAGTGATTCTCCTGCCTCAGCCTCCCAAGTAGCTGGGACTACAGGCAAGTGCCACCACACCCCGGTTAATTTTTGCATTTTTAGTAGAGATGGGCTTTCACCATGTTGGCCAGGCTGGTCTCGAACTCCTGACCTTCGGTGATCTGCCCACCTCGGCCTCCCCAAGTGCTGGAATCAAAGCCATGAGCCACCACGCCCGGCCTGAAGTCCATCTAATTCTAAAGCATAATTGCTTTTTACTAAACCATGATCCTCTCAAGGAAAAGTAACAAGGTTGAAAGTAAAAATATGTTAAGAGTGTAGGCTAAAATTTTCAGCTGGAATACTTCTACAATAGTGGTATTTCTGGGTGTTATTTTCAGGGGACTTTCCCCTTACAGTTGATATATTTCTTGGTTAATTTTCTTTTCTTTTTGGTTGTTTAAATGAGCAATAGTATTTTTTGTAAGTAGAATAGTATTAAAGAAATATTAAAGTACTTAGTAAAACTGAATTTAGACTGGTTAAAAACGTTTTAAATTATTATCTAGTGTCAGTGAGAGATGTAGGGAGAAAAGTCATAACACTGCTAACGTAAACTAATGTGTAAACTAATAGTCTTTTTGGAAGGCACTTTGGCAGCCTCTACCCTAATGTGTAATAAATTTATCCTCTGACTGGCTGGACAAAGTGGCTCACACCTGTAATTCCAGCACTTTGGGAAGCTGAGGTGGGAGGATGGCTTGAGATCAGGAGTTCAAGACCAGCCTGGTCAACAAAGCAAGACCCCCATCTCTACAAAAACTAAAAATATTAGCAGAGCATGGTGGCATGCACCTGTAGTATTGGCTACTCTGGAGGCTGAGTGGGGAAGATTCCTGGATCCCAAGGGTCCAAGGTTACAGTGAGCTATGATTGAGCCACTGCCTTCCAACCTGGGCAACAGAGCAAGACCCTGTCTCTAAATAAACACACAAAAAAACTTACCTTCTGATCCAATTTTAGTTCTAGAAATCTGTCCTGAAGAAATTTCTGTACCAGTACACAAAGATCTGTATGTTCACTGCAACACTGTTTATAATAGAAAGGAAGAAAAGAACTAAAGAACAAAAGAATGAAGAGAGAAAGAAAAAGAAAGAACAAACCTCAACTCCTTAATGGGGAACTGGTTAAATAACTTACAGTAAAACCATATTATGGAATATAAATAATCATTAGAAAGAATGTTGAAGATCAGCTGGGCACAGTGGCTCACACTTGCAATCCCAGCACTTTGGGAGGCTGAGGTGGGAGGATCACTTGAGTCCAGGAGTTCGAGACTACCCTGGGCAACATAGGGAGACACTGTCTCTACAACAACAAAAATTTCTGTATTAGCCAGGTATGGTGGTGCACACCCGCGTAGTCCCAGCTACTTGGGAAGCTAAGGTGGGAGGATCACTTGAGCCCAGGAGGTGGAGGCTGCTGAGTTGAGATCACATCAATGCACTCAGAGTGAGTAGACCTGGGCAACAGAACAAGAGACACTATCTCACAAAAAAACAAAGAATTATGAAGATGTGCACTGCTGTGAAAACATGTATTTGTACTGACAAGAAACATGTATAGGTACTGATGTGGAAACTGATACAAAATATAGTTAAAGAAAGGAAATCACAGAATATATATGTAATAACATTATATTAAAAAGTGTAAATATGTTATAGATACATAAATAAAACTAGCCATAGGATATATGTGGGTGTGTGTACACACAGATATACAGACATATATAGAAAGATCTAGAAAAACAAAAAAATACCCTAATAGTGATTGCTTCTAGAAACAGGTGTGGGATTGGATATATGCATAAGTAACTTTCTCTTTTACTCTTGCAGAGGTTGACCCACATTTTCTGTAAAGGGCCAGTAATTAAATATTTTAGGCTTGTGGGCTATACAGTCTCTTGCAATTACTCAACTATGCTGCCGTAGCAAGAAAGCAGTCATAGACAAAGGAGTGCAAGTGTGTTCAATAAAACTTTATTTATGAACACTGATATTTGAATTTCATAGGATTTTCACACATCATGAAATATTACTAATCATCTAATTTTTTTCAACCATTAAAAAATGTAAAGACCACTCTTAACTCCTGGGCTGTACAAAAACAGGTGCTGGACCAGATTTGGCCTACAGGTCATAGTTTCCTGATCCCTGCTCTAGAACAATGCTGCTGAATACAATAGCCATGAGCAGCACACTGCTACTGAGCACTTGAATTGTGACTAGTCCAAATTGAGATGTGCAGTAGGTGTAAAATTACAAAGGCTTAGTACAAGAAAAACCTCCTTAATGATTTTACATTGAGTATATAGCATATAAAAATAATAGCCTTTTGGAAATACTGGGTTAAATACAATTTTTATTTTTATTTTTAAATTAGAGATGGGGGGTCTCACTATGTTGACCAGGCTGTTCTCAAACTCCTGGCCTCAAACAATCCTCCCATATCAGCCTCCCAAAGAGCTGGGATTACAGGCATGAGCCACTGCGCCCAGCCTAAATATATTTCTATTTAATACCACCTATTTCTCTTCATTATGTGTAACATAGCTACCAGAAAATTTTAAACTATACTTGTGGCTCACATTGTATTTCTACTGGATAGCATTGCTCCATATACTTCCACACATTATTTGATTTGTTTTACAAAAAGCTTTTATCACCTCAGTAATTTTAATAATATTGAGTTAATAATGATCAATGCCAGTGTTCTACAAATATTTGTCACTATACCTGAGAAACTATATTATTCAATTATCTAAGAAAATTATTTCAAGCCAGTCATGGTGGCTTATGCCTATAATCCCAACACTTTGGGAGGCCAAGGTGATGAACTGCTTGAGCTCAGGAGTATGACCAGCCTGGGCAACATGGCAAAACTCCGTCTCTACGAAATATACAAAAATTAGCAGGGCGTGGTGGTGCCTGCCTGTAGTCTCAGATACTCAGAAGCTGAGGTGGGAGGATTGCTTGAGCCTGGGAGGCACAGGTTGCAGAAAGCCATGATCATGCCGCTGCATTCCAGCCTGGACAACACAGCGAGACCTTGTCTCAAAGAAAAGAAAAAAGCAAAAATGAAAATTACTTCATTACTGTAGTACCTAGAGGAAAGAAACACCTTCTATTACTGCTCCATTAACTCTACTCTAACCACTTGAAACTTCCAAACCTTCTGCTGCCCTTATAAAGAAAATGTATACAAAACAAATATCCAATTAAAATAGTCATCAAAATCATCTGGCAATGTAAGAATAGTCTCATTAACAACGGCTACTCAAAAATACCACAAATCAGGCCAGGCACTGTGGCTCATGCCTGTAATCCCAGCACTCTGGGAGGCTGAGGTGGGCGGATCACTTGCGGTCAGGAGTTTAGACTGGTCTGGCCAACATGGTGAAACCCCATCTCTATTAAAAATAAAAAGATTAGCAGGATGTGCTGGCGGGTCCCTGTAATCCCAGCTACCTGGGAGGCTGAGGCAGGAGAATCGTTTAAACCCAGGAGGTGAGGGTTGCAAGTGAGCCAAGATCACACCACTGCACTCCAGCCTGGACAACACAGCAAGACTCCGTCTAAAAAAAAATTGCATAAATCATCATCTATTAACCTTGTAGAGATGCAGGAGAGCAGCCATAAATAACTTTAAGATTTCTTTTTCACCCCTATTTAGAAGATCTTTACGTTTGAACTGTCAATGTTGATGACACTTCTCTTCTATTGTACCTATTAAATGAGATAAACACATAAAGCTCATGAAAGTAACTAGTATGTTAGTAAGACAAATAAATATTAGTAATGTTTACAATTTTTGCCTTATCCCCACCTTACAAATGGGATGTGTTCTGAAAAGTTCATTAGTAAGTCAGCTATTTAGAATTTGACATGCATTTTCTTTTAGACATATACATATATATATATATATATATATACACACACACACATATATATACACATATATATACAGGATATATTCACATGGATATAAACATATAATTTCAAATAGTACATAAAAGTACATAAAGTAATACATATTATGTATACATGTCTTAGTCCATTTGCTATATAGGAATACCTTAGTCTGTTGCTATAAAGGAATACCTGAGGCAGGGCAACTTATAAAGAAAAGAGGTTTATTTAGCTCACAGTTCTGTAGACTGTACCAGAAGCATCTGCTTCTGGTGAGGGCTTCAGAGTGCCTCAATTTACGACGGAAGGTGAAGGAGGGCAGGCATCACATGGCAAGAGGAAGCGAGAGAGAGAGGAGGGTGGTGCCAGATTCTTTTAAACAATCAGATCTTGCAAGAACTAAAGGAAGCAGTCACTCACTACCAGAAGGAAGGCACCACGCCCTTCATGAGGGATGCCTCCCCGTGATCCAAATATCTCCCACCAGGCCCCACTCCAACACTGGGGATCAAATCTCTGCATGAGATTTGGAGGGGTCAAGCATCCAAACTACATCAATATATAATTTTAAAATACTGCTCAACGTCAGGATATGAATGCCAGGGATAAGTTTATTCTAATATCAGAGGGGCTCCTTCCCCAGTTTTCTAAAGCACTAAGACAATCTTAAGCATATAGTAATCACTAAATAAATTCTTAGTTAATATAATTGTATGTGTTCATTCTAGATCTTTTTGCTCTGGAGGATTTTTTTAGTATGAAAAGGAGAAAACATAGGTAGAATATAATATTCTCTTATATTTAGAGTGCTTTGTGGGAAAGAACTAGAGTTAGTTTGGCATCAAAGAACTGATCTAGGACTGTTACCTGCAAATTATGGTGACCTATTTAGCCTCAGTATCAGAACTTTCTAATAACTAGGATATCAAACGATGTTGTAGTTTCTATGAAGTTTTTTTTTTGTTTTTTGTTTTTGTTTTTGTTTTTGAAACGGAGTCTCACTCAGTTGCCCAGGCTGGAGTGCAGTGGCGCGATCTCGGCTCACTGCAAGTTCCGCCTCCTGGGTTCACGCCATTCTCCTGCCTCAGCCTCCCAAGTAGCTGGGACTACAGGCGCCCGCCACCACACCTGGCTAATTTTTTGTATTTTTAGTAGAGACGGGATTTCACCGTGTTAGCCAGGATGGTCTCCATCTCCTGACCTCGTGATCCACCCGCCTCGGCCTCCCAAAGTGCTGGGATTATAGGCATGATCTATGAAGTCATTTTTTTAAAGTATGAAGCATTCCTGAATCAGAAGGCTACAAACCTGAACCATATTTTGTTCCTAAACCTTAGAGTCCTTAATTGAGATGATTCGATGTTGAGGTCTCAGACTTTTTAGGAATGGCCACTACAACAAGCCAATATTTAAAAATAATTCCATCTGCTATAGAACTATTAAGATGTTTATGTTCAGTGCTCCCTCCATGAAGCCCCATGACAAATTTTTTTTTAGAGCTGAGTATTAGGAAATGCCTCTTTCCTTGAGAAATGTTGTGTGTATGTCTGTGTGTATTGGGAGGGTGTTCTTCCTAAATGCAAGGAAAATATAACTGACTTTTTCAATTGACCACGAGGAAGCTTAGAGCCAAATGTGAGGCTCAACTATAGGAATTCAGTAGGCTTTATAGCCTGTTTAGTTGATGTTTTTTCAACTTATATCTTAATTTCCTACTCTTTTATAAGATCCTTATTTATGAGGTCTTGAGTCTTACTAAATGTTTAAAGCGCACAAATATATTTATTTATAAACTGCCTCAGATTTTTTATATATCAAGGCAGAGGAAGAATAAATGTTTATGTTTTTTTTTTGCCTTACATATGTCCTCTTGAGTCTCTAAGTAAAAATATCTATGTGAGAGAGATACATCTTGCTTGAACATATGGAAACGGGACAATCCATATACAGGAAGCTAAGGACAATTCGTGATTAGACTTTCTTGGGCGTGAAATGTGTTTGATCTTCATAAGTGTGTTTACCTGTATCATTTATTACCTATAAAGTTAAATACAATCACATGTGCATATTAAATATACAGAACATTCTCCATTTTTCCTTTAACATGGGTACAGAAGCCCTGATTTGTTCATACAATATCCATGACCAAATAATATTTCTGCCACATAAATTTTTTTCATGAGCAGCGCACTTAAACAACAATTGTACCTACTAAACCTGGGTTTTATGTAAAGATTATTTCAGAGGGCACTGGAAACCCCAGGTTTCTCTTCGATCCTCCAGTTCTTTAGAAAGCAATTTCTAACCCACCAGTTCTACCACCCTTTTAATCTCCATAAATTGTTGGTAAGAGCTGCATCAAGGCATTCTGCCATCAATTATGTTCACAACAGTAGCTCAATCATATATGCACTATCACTGATTATCCTAAAGAAATACTGCACTTAAGAGAACCAACTCTAAATCATCATACATCTCATTCCAGCAGATGTAGCTAAGAAATAAAAACAAAAAATAATTATATATATACCTCAATATTTATAGAAAAATAAAATTTCATATAATACTTTCCATTCAGATCTTTCAGAGTATTTTGTTTATATGTTTGTAATGGTAAACATATAAAGAATGTATTGAAACAATGGCCTTGTAAATTATTCTATTATCCAAATCCTAGAACAATAACTTATGCAAAACATTTAACCCTAATATAATCTTTACAGTTCAAGATTTAGTCCTTCATTAAAAAGTGAACTTTAAAAAATATAAATTTGATTTAAATTTTTTTGAATATGTTATTTTAAAAAATCTTTCACTCATTGAAGTTTGCCATTTTTTAGGGTTGAGTTAGTTTTTTAAAAATTTACCTTGGATACATAGCATATGCTTTTTGTTTTTGAAGAGGTAATCTACTCCAAATATTCTATTTTCCTTCTGTTAGATAATTATACATTTTAAAAGACATACTACATGCCAATGATAAGCTGCTTTCATTTAAGCTGGTTCCGATTTTCTCAAGCAATTCTCATTTATCTGGCTTGGTATTTCAGGCCAAATTCCAATGGCTGTGGTTTGTGACATTTTTGTGTAATTTCCATGATTTCTAAAAGTACAAACACCAGTTTGAATCACCTTTTCAGTATTACACCTACGTAATTCCCTACACAGTGACAAGATCAAATTGCCTTTTACATTTAGTACTTCACTTTTAAAAACTTTATAATAAACCCTAGATTTACTAGAGTCAGATCCCACAATTTATTTCACAAACTGGATATTCTGGGGCAATAATCAGTAATTTTCAAGTCCATCTGACACGTCTGTTGTGGTTTGAGACTCTCATTTTATTAGGTTTTTTGGGTTTTGGTTTTCTTGAGAAAATCTTATAAGGCAACTTTATTAGTCAGGTTTTCCTTGTGGCACTTACTGTCTGAAGAAAGTAGATTAATGAAATTGTTTCATATTAAGCTTTTTAATGCAAATTATTAAGCAATAAATTGCTTAAAATCTACCAAAATTTGCATTGATTTATGAGGTAAACATTAGCCTATTGCTTCCTTTTAAGAACAATTCTCAACCTACAATTCAGACAGATACATGTGAATACAAGTATCTGTCAACTATTCCCTCAACATTAGTAGTACACAGAAGAACAAAAGGGGACAAAATTGAGCAAATTATTCTCTAATTACTATATTGTCATAGCTGTTCCTTCTAAAATGTACACAGTAAAACTTTTTATTAACAAATCCAACAACCTAATAATCAATTTACCAAAACATCAAAAATTGGAGTTCTCCTTCAAGTAAGTGATGGTGGCAACAGCCCAATTACTCAGCCCAGATGTTAAAAACTGATACCTTCCTTGATAATTACAAAGTAATTTGTAAATGCAAGATGACACATCTTTAATGAGACTTGTAGGAGAAAAAGAGTTTACATTAAAGCCACTAAATCTCAGATTCGAAAAATGTGACAGTATGTGAGAAGTTATAAAGTAAGTATTTTTAAAAGCTTTGTGTATTTACTCTAATTAGGTTGTGTTGGAAACATGGTGGAACACTTAGAAAAACTAACTCCTCACACAAAATAACCAACAGAAATATAGTTTTGTTTAAAATTCAGAGGATTCTTTTTCCTATAAAACAGCCATTTAATGACACTCCAAAACATCTAAAAAATGTTGTTCAATGGAAATACCACTATGTTCCAAAATATTTTAAACTTTCTATATACACAAAATATACAATAAACTTGTAATTCAGAAATAAAAAATTATATTTCAATATTGCCATTGTTTTTCCCATACATGTATTATTACTCTAAAAAATGATTTTTAACATAGAAAAATTTGAATTTGTGGCTCAAGCTCCTAATCCTAGGGTGAGAGAATTGGGACACACTGGATAATTTCCCTATTTTTACTCCCCTGTTATAGCCCAGTGTTATTCTCTACTCTGACTGTAAAAACTATAGTGTTACAGCTTGACCCTAGAAGGGGAGGTTTCTTGTTTGTTTTTTTCCTTAGGGGGATGGGAGGAGGAATCATTTCATTGGACCATATTATAATAATTTTGACAACAAAATGTGATTACCTACTATTCATTCTCACACTGTACTAACAATTGTGTTAGCTTAAAATGTGTTTATTGATACCAATTATCATTGGTCAGAAAACAATTTTCAGTCTAAAATATCTGAATCTCAGGAAAAGGATCACAAGATTTTTTTGAGTAAACTGCCAGGAGTTTGTATTTTGTGAAGAAAATATGAAAGGATTACTGTGTCACATAGAAATAACAAAGCCTTATAAATGCAAGTGTAAAATTACTGTAAGACATTTAAAATAATTGAAATGAACACTATTGGAAAAAGGCTTATAAAGGGACTAAAAAGAAATGAGAACCAGATCTCAGAAACTGATGAATTTAGCAAAAAAAAGTAAAATAATTCAAATAAACTTTGTGTTTCATCTCTATGGCAGTTTTATTTTCCTCTTTATAACCTCAAATTTTGCTGCAAAATACTAGTATCCTTAAGATGTTTCTTTATTCCTTCCCAACTGCAAAGACAATATTTTAAGGCTACTTCCACAACATAAAACTTATTAATCAAATTGTTGCACAACTAGTTTAAACTAATTGCAAATGTAGCAAGTGTCTCAGTTCTAAAAGGCACTTACGTTTTTGGGTATCAAGCAGAAAGTTATATTTTCAAACAGTCTTGATGAGGAAATACAAGACCCACTGAAAACCTATTCACCACCTAGATAAACAATATTTCCCTCTAAGTACTGGCTGGACCCCCACTTCAAAGTGGGTATGTCAGAAGTTTCTCAACTCCTCTCAGGTCCCTTTCGCTGAGCTTCTGTCTGCCAAGAGCAAATCCAAACTGCAGAAGGCTCTTTCCTTAGAATTTTTTTGCTAAATATTTTTGGCACTAAGGCTATCTAACACATCAGAGATTTTCAACAAATACCACATTTTTGCCAGAAAGCCAGGAGTGTTTTGTCTAGAGAAATCTTGTCTTTTTGTCTAGAAAAAATTTCTGTATCTGCCACAGCCTATCTTCGTCTGTTTTCAATGTTGCAATGTGTGAAACTATAAAAACCTAAACTATGAAAAAGGCAAGGTACCAAATCACATAGAGCATGCTATCTTTTGTGTGTAAAATGGTAGTATGCTTCTAGATGGACAGGCCATTCCAAAAGAAACAGGTAACACCAAATTCCTCTGAGGCGAAGAACTAGGAGCCTTGAAGGATAGGAGAGTGAGAACCAATTCTTTTCACTGTATTCCCTTAGGCAGTATTTGCATTTTATTTTATTTTTTAATTTTATTATTTTGCTGGGTGCCAGCATTGTTTTTTAAGGAAAACAATGAGAAAACACTCCTGAGAAATACATTTCCTGTGAAATGCAGTTTAGCCAATAATATTTGAGAATCTACTAAGTATAAATTTCCACACATAATTTAGGTACACGATAATCTGATGAAATGAATACAAAGCTTCAATGGAATATCAATTGGGTTATATTGTGTCTATATATAAATGTACATATACATCCTTCAGACTATATCAATTTTCAGAATCATCCACACGCATCCAAATAGTGTTTCCGGCATGAAGATATGTAATTTCTAGAATGAGGTACAAACAATTGACAGGAAGAATTGTCAAAGACTGTAGATTTTTCTTTCCCAGAACTGTTTACCTACAGTGATGGAATACTATTTGGCTTATCAAGTTCCTAAGCAGTCAGAAAGTGACTCTCTGCAGAGAACCTTCAGATGTGATAAAGTGCTTTTAATTTAAAGATGGAAGCATTCCAGATGTATATGCACTTATAACAGGACCCAATGCAGTTGAAAAACAAAATAAGCAAAAATTGTAGTACAACCACTTGATGTTAACTGCTATGTCAAAGTTCTACAAAGAAAATTACATGAGATGAAATTTATAGCCTGAAAACAGAGTAATAATCATCTGGAAAAAATTAAAATTGTAAACACTTTTCAACTTGGACAACTAATCAATATGGAGATTATGATAATGCGTTTCATATTTGAAATACGTTTGAACTTGAAAAATAAAATATAATGGGCCACAAATAACTTTTATATTCACAGATGTCATAACACAACTATTTTTTACTTACCCTGTTGTCTCTGAGAAACATTTGAAATGACTATTATTTTATTTAAGCTAATACATACAAGTAAACAATACAATTTAAACTAAACCGGAAACGTAAAATTCAAACTGTAGTTTTCAGAAGGATCCCAGCAAGTGTTTAAATACATACATAAGTGCTTCTTTGTGTATCATTAGTTTGTTTTTCTTAAGTAGGTAATTCCAGTGCAGGTGAGGATGAAGACCTAGCCGATGTGTTTCAAGTTCATAAAAGACCTGTAAAAGTAGCATCGTGTTAAAACTGTAGCAATATTAATCTTGCTAAGTCAATACTGATGTTTGTAAACAATTCCTGTAACCTTGCATTTTATTTTTACAGTATATTAAAACATTACTCTTAACATTCGTCTGTCACTTCCTTCCCACAGGTGACCTATGGCTTTTTCCCCCCTAGAAAGGGCAGATTCTTTGCAAAACCATACTGAGTTGAACAAAACAATTATTAAAATCCTAAGAACAAAACCATGGAGAACATTTCCACCAAAGGGCTAAAACCAAACAGAAAAAGGAATATGTAACACTGTTCTTGCCTTCAAGACATGTACTGTCAGGTTAAACTTAAATCGATTCCACACACCCTTTTCTGGAAAAAAAATAAAACAAAATATTGCTTAAGAAAGCACTCTCCTTGTTTTTCTTTCTCCTGCTCCAGTTTCCAGGAAAACTTAAAAGTGTTATCTTTGTTTTCTCGTTATCATTATTATTGCTGCAAGATTGTTTTCAAAATTTAATCAATATGCTTTGCACACTGCTTTTGTCTTATGCTTTGTCTTGTTCAGTATTTAGTAGAGAGTTCATAATGTCTAAGTATTCGGGTAAAACTGCAAGTCAAAGGATGACAAAGTTTTAAAAATCTGTTTATCTATGGTTTTGTATTTTTCCAAAGAAACTACAATTTTCACCTGATTTCTGCATCCATTTTCATATCGCTTGAACAGGTTATATTTTTCCAACAACAACAAAAAGACCCGTTGCGAACAACTAGAAATATTTGGAAGTTTTGATATTTTGTCTTTCTCTTCTTTTTGATCACGGTAGTGATGGGAGAATAAACTTAAGTCAGAGATATTTACTGAGAGAAAGAGAGTAAGAACACACACAAAGGGAAAGAAAGCAGAAAAAACTTTACAAGTGCAAACTCAGTAGGAAACATTTTAGGAAATAAAAATGTTCCCCCTCTTTCCCTTGTTCAATTTCCATCCCCACAGAGGAAAAACAGAATACTTACAAGTTAGCATCTGCGTATTTATCAGTGTATGTGTGTTTTCTCTCTTCTCTGGGCTTGGATACTTTGAGCTAATTTGGAAGTGCCCGTTTGGTTGCCCACAAAATGATGCTTAAGGGTCTAAAAACGCATAAATTAGGGAGCCCTACAATGGCAAAGGACGGTCATTGTACCTCCTCTCTTTATGCGCTCTTACGGTGGGACCCAAGAGCCTTTTTTTTTTTTTTTAACACTTTAGGTGATGGAGCGAATGAGGGGCTGATAACTGGAGAGGACGAAGCAAGCCCCCGCAACACCCTCCCCCCAAACTTAGCAGCACGTTCCCCATTCCGCAATTATACCGGACTTTGGTGCGAAGTCACTTTAGAAAACTGGGATCTGGAAGGGGCCAGGCGCGGAGTCCATGTCTAGCCTCGACGCCAGCCTCCGAGTTTCTATTTCTGGTGCTCGAGGGCTGGGGTAACGGCCGCGGATGGAGGAGCGAAGGATGGGAAAAGCAAAGGATGGGAAAAGCAAAGATGGGAAAAGCAACGGGGAGTGATCTTTCCAAGAAACACCCAACTGCCCCTTTTACCTTTTTTTGCCTCCATTATGGGGCGGGGGTTGGGGGGGCGAGAGAAAAAGATGTCAATGACCATTGTTTGCTCGTTTGGGATGTTGCTCCGCCCCCCGAGTCTGTCGTAAACCTGGCGCCGGACTAAAATAAACCCCAGATCCCGCAGCCCGGGGGGCTCGCCGAGCCGCCGACTCCTCGTCACAGGCTCAGCTGCCGCGGCCGAGGTGGCGGCGACGAGCGGCCGCCGCGTCCTGCCGGCGCGCGCCCCAGGCCCCCCTACCTGGCTGCCCGCCGAGCCATGTCGTTGAGCCCAAAGCACACGACGCCCTTCTCCGTGTCCGACATCCTGAGCCCCATCGAGGAGACCTACAAGAAGTTCAGCGGCGCCATGGACGGCGCGCCACCCGGCCTGGGGGCGCCCCTGGGGGCCGCGGCCGCCTACCGCGCGCCGCCACCTGGGCCCTCCTCGCAGGCGGCGACCGTGGCGGGCATGCAGCCTTCTCACGCCATGGCGGGTCACAACGCGGCGGCCGCGGCGGCGGCGGCAGCAGCTGCGGCGGCGGCGGCCGCCACCTACCACATGCCGCCCGGCGTCTCGCAGTTCCCGCACGGCGCCATGGGCAGCTACTGCAACGGCGGCCTGGGCAACATGGGCGAGCTGCCCGCCTACACGGACGGCATGCGGGGCGGCGCGGCCACCGGCTGGTACGGCGCCAACCCGGACCCACGCTACTCGTCAAGTGAGAGGGGCCAGGAG
Source organism: Homo sapiens (assembly GCF_000001405.40). NCBI lineage: Eukaryota > Metazoa > Chordata > Mammalia > Primates > Hominidae > Homo > Homo sapiens. Next base: position 21,396,940 of record NC_000020.11, on the reverse strand, counting down.
CGCGGGGCTGCGGGCGGCTCAGGCGTTTCCCGCCACAGCCGAGGGGCGCGGGGGCGCGGGACGGGGTGCGCGCGGCTTAGGAGGTCCTGGGGCCGAGCGGGCGCGCGGGGCGTCCTGGGACGCGGCCCGGGACGCGCGGGGTTTCTGGGGACCCTGGGCGCGCGGGGGGTCCTGGGACCTGACCGGGAACGCGCGCGGCGTCCTGGGACCCGTTGAGGGCGTGGTGCTCTGGGACCCGCCGAGGGCGCGCGGGGCGTGCTGGGGCCGGAGGCCGCGGCGGTCAGGGGGTCTTGGGATTCAGCGAGGGCCCGGCGGCGTCGCGGCCGCGGCGTGAAGAGAGCGGCGGCTGGACCGGCTCCCGGCGGGCCTGGAGCTCACTCGCCTTCCCCCTTGGGACTCTTCCCCAGTCTCCAGGTTCATGGGGCCGTCGGCGGGCGTGAATGTGGCCGGCATGGGGTCGCTGACCGGCATCGCGGACGCCGCCAAGTCGCTGGGCCCGCTGCACGCGGCGGCGGCGGCAGCCGCTCCGCGAAGGAAGCGCCGCGTGCTCTTCTCGCAGGCGCAGGTCTACGAGCTGGAGCGGCGCTTCAAGCAGCAGAAGTACCTGTCGGCGCCCGAGCGCGAGCACCTGGCCAGCATGATCCACCTGACGCCCACGCAGGTCAAGATCTGGTTCCAGAACCACCGGTACAAGATGAAACGGCAGGCCAAGGACAAGGCGGCGCAGCAGCTGCAGCAGGAGGGCGGCCTGGGCCCGCCGCCGCCTCCGCCGCCGTCCCCGCGCCGCGTGGCGGTGCCTGTGCTGGTCAAGGACGGCAAGCCGTGCCAGAACGGCGCCAGCACGCCCACCCCCGGCCAGGCCGGTCCGCAGCCGCCGGCCCCGACGCCAGCACCTGAGCTGGAGGAGCTGTCGCCCAGCCCACCCGCGCTGCACGGCCCGGGGGGCGGCCTGGCGGCCCTGGACGCGGCCGCCGGGGAGTACAGCGGCGGCGTCCTGGGCGCCAACCTGCTCTATGGCAGGACGTGGTGACAGCGAGGGCGCCCCGGGGCTAGGTCCTGGTGCACCCGAAGGGTCTGCAAGAAACTGCTAGAACGGATGGGGGAGGCATGCGAAAACCGACTCGCGCGTGTAAACTGCGATTCAAAACGAACCGGTCTCAGAGAGGAGCAGGCTGTGAACCTCTTGCTGGGGGCGGGGGACAGCGACAGCCCGGAAACCGAGTAGTGTAACATTATGCCACGAGGCTTTGAGGTGGTGATTTTCTCCTCCTAGAAGTTCTTAAATGACGCGAAAAGGTGGAGAAGTTCACACGGCATTCTTAACTACAGCTCTCAAAGTTGGAAACTTTGTTGGCGTTTGTAACTATAAAAATCAACCCAGCTTTAACAATCAGTCCTTTTTGAAGTGGAATTTATCTTGGGAGATTAATTTTCGAAGGGCCCCCTAAGTGCAATTTCATTAATGTTTGATTGAAAGTAAATTGAAGTGTAGCTCAAGGTGGATCATACACATAGCAACATTATTGCAGAGGAATTATTGCCATTTAGGTAATAGAGCAATGGAATCAAAATAAAATACTGATTATATGGATTGATGGAGCTTTTTAAATTTAATGCTGATTTCAAAATGTTTTGATGATTATTTGGCAAGTGAGTGTTTGTATGTTACGCTAAAAGAGGATTTTCCCCCCTAAGATGCAGCTCACCATAAGAAAGGTTGTATACTATTTGTATATGAAATCTGGTCTCCCAACATCAACTGAGAAAATAAATAACCCTATCCTTCTGTAAACATGGTATTTACTCTCTTTGAGGTATTTTCTTGTCTGAATTTGAATACCTTGATAAAGTACTAGAACAAACAAGTAAAATTTCTAAAATTGACATCAATTAATCTATATTCAAAGCATGACAAGAAGAAGAAAGGTGATTTATTGAATTGTAATCAAGATATAAGGAATAAGTAACTACAATATAATTTTTCCACCATATTTAGAACTTAGGAGTTGCACTGGTTTTGTTGGTGTTTTATTGTACAAATAATGTATTTACTCTTTAATATGCCGATTTATATTTCCTATGTTTCTAATGGATATTTAAATATAACTTAAAAGAAACAAGTTCTTTTTTCTAAAAGTCAAGTGGTCATTTCTTTTTCATTAAGTTTATACATGGCTTGATGTGTTTTTAAAATACTAATTGTCATGATGTGACAACACAGCTCAGTTTACTCATAAATGACTGGTAGTGGACTAAAAATACTAAAAGCTGACGAATTTGTGCTTATAAATAATTAATGAAAATTAAAGAAATAACATGGATAAAGCATGATTTGCAAATGATCAAAACAAATAGTTACCGGAGACCCTAAACCTCTTCTACATTTGAGATTTTAGAATTACAGCTTGGGGCTGAAACATTGTGTTTCACTTCATTGTTAGAACATTTTTCTGAATGTGCAACTTGAATTCATAAGAAGGTGTTTTAGAAGTTAAACTTGCACTTTTTCTAGACTCTTGTATAGTAATTTTTTAAAACTCCAGTTTCTTTCACAGAGGGAGAAAAAACACTAAAGAAGCAAGGGAATCACCCTTTATCAAGGGGCCGTAAAAGAATTTTTAGAAAATGAGATCTAATTTTTAAAACATTTTATGTAAGAACAAATAATCTGAGCAGACAAATTTGTAAGAAAACGCTACAGTACACCCACAGGAAATTCTCTCAACTTGGGGTGTTTTTGGCATATTAATGGAAATGACTTTAGAAATGTTAACTAAGCTAGCAAATCTATTATTGATGTGCCAAATTTCAAAATGTTTGTTTATATTAGTTTGATTTCCTCACAATAGTACCATAATTCTGAAATTTTACTTCTAGAAAACGTTCTAAAAGCCCACATGGTTGGCAGTGTTTTTTGTTACAGTCCAATACCTACAAAAACAATAATAGCTTATAGTCCAAGGGCTCCGGGTAACATATTTAAAGAAAATGAGTCTTCATGAACAGTTTATTTCTGGAACAAAATCCTTTAGACTGAAGAAGTGCACTTTCTTTAAGAAATATGTCACATTAAGAAGAAACAACTTTTATATACAATATTTTCTGGAAGTGTATTTTGTGTGGGCATATCTTATTCCTTTCAGCATTCCTTTAAAGAGTAAAAAACCCCAAGCCAGAAATAATTGCTGCAAAGGGCTTAACATTCTATACCCAGAGACTGACTGACTGTATGTGTGCATATCCTGAAATTAGGGAAAGGTTTGATTCTTGAAGCTTAAAATAGAAATGTTTTTACCATAGAATCCCACCTTCTGATTAATGCAAAACGAGCTGTTTTCTTCTTTTTGCAATTAGTGCTTTGCAGATCTTTTATAAAAATACAAATGGCCAGACTAGGTGAAACTCATTAACTGAAGAGGAGGATAAGTGTCTCCACAACTGAGAGGGAGGACTGGCGCAGGGTCTGAGTGGAACAAAGGCCCCTCAAAGTTTGGCAGAGGCCACAGCAAACCTGTTTCAAAAATGCTTACTCAGCAGATGTGACCTTTTCCTAAATGTTTTTGGGTTTTACAACAATCTAACTTACCTTTTCCAATTGAGGCACGGAAACCAAAAGCCAGAGTCAAAGTTGCAGAGAGGAACGGAGGGATTGCAGGTACTTTTCTGTAATCTGTGTTGGGATGTATATTGAAGTGCTGTGTGTGCGAGTGTGTGCAGTTTTGAAGGACACAAGAAGGGTGTTTTGTATATGGAAGGATGGGGGTGTAACCCAGTTGTCTTCTATTTAAGTCTTTGCCTAGAACTAAAACCTAATGGTCAGAACAAGTAGTCAGACTTCTATCAACACAGATGTTGTGTTCAATCTCCATTCGGCTAGCGACTGTTTACTTTCAATTTAAAGCAAATCAGAGACTCAATCCTGTTCACTAAATGCAAGCATCTTCCATAGACTTGCTTTGTTAACTCCATTGAATACTGATGATTTTAAAAGACTTTTTAGAATAAATTTGTGAGCCATAATTATATAAAGACCTATCAATTGGATTTTTAGATGTGAATTTGTGCTGAAGAGAAAATAATGCATTATGTGATGGCAACACAAATTGCAGACACAGTTCAAAGCATGGATAATACTCCCTCACTGCTTACCATAACACTAATGTGTGGATGAAACCCTGTATGTTAATTATTTGAGTACAGTTTTTTGAAACACTATTATTATCCTGCAACCCAGTGAGACAGAGAACGATGATACATTTTTAAAAATATAAATACCCTTTCACTACTAGTGAGATTTGGTGAACATCTGGGGAAGTTTCAAAGAAGATGCCTAGACTGGGGAACTGCATTCACATCCCATCAGGAATTTGCGCTCTCCAGTAAGTATTGAGATAACTTTGTGATTTCAGGATCACTTTTGTTTTTATTATTTTTAACTTTAGAGGTAATGGAAGTTTCTGGGAGAGGTGGGTTTGGTTTTGTTTTTGCTTTAGAATGTTTACTTGCAATTGAATGAAATGCCTTTCGTTTTTTGAAATTCCATGTAACCTTCAGTAATTGTTTAGGTGACTTCTAAAAAAGTTTAACTAGGAACTAGGAACATTGCCTAAATTTAAGTTGTGCAAACTATTTTGCAGTAGTGAACAGCTATATTCCTATTTCATACACATCAATTCAAGCCTGTTCTCTTTTGGCCCTCATTCCATAAATAAGGCGTGGAGAAACAAGCCACAGGAGGATTCTGCTTTACTGAGTGGAGGAGAAATCCATCGAGAATGGGCCGTTTGCTAGTTCATTCGTTTGGTGACTTTTTCCTGATGGGAAATAGCAGAGCAGTGGATCACCAGGAATAGAGTCTGGCGAGATCGCAGCTCCAGGATCCTTTCGGGGTGGGCAGGAGGCGTCAGTCAGTGGGACGGAGCCAGATCGAGAAACTGGGGACTCTAAGTTGACTCTTCAGGGAATGTCCAGATTTTAGATTTCTAAGCATAGCAAAATTCGGTTACTTTCACACTTGGAACTTAAAACGGCAGCCTCGGAAGGAAGACCATTTCTGGTATTCTACAGCTCTGCTGCTTGCAGGGAGTTGAGATGCAGCGGCAGGTTGAGAAGCTGCGGCGCCGCGGACGAGGAAGGAGGGTGCGCCCGAGGGTAGAGGAAGGGGCTTTCCGCGCCCATCCTGTGCGTGCGGCCGGCTCGCGGGGCTCCCGGGAGGGCCAGCCGCGGGGTCTGCGGGCTGGGCCGGGCGACTAGCGAGCCGCAGGGGAGACCCAGGCGCCGGGCGCGTGCCCCACGTGCACCGAGGGCCTGGCGCTTCCCGACCCCGCTGGGAGAAAGTTGAGCCAAGCACCTAGGACCTGAGCTCTGAGTAGCACGCGGGGCCCGGGCGCCGCCACCATCCCGCCCCCGGCTGCGAGGTCGCGGCGCCCGGGCCCTTCAGTTCGGTCCAGGCGCGCCCAGCAAAGGAGTGCAGGGACCCCGGCCTCACCCGGCCCGTTCCTGGCATCCCACGTCATCGTACGAAAATTAACCTATCGCTCATTACACCCAATTTGCCTTTGTAACGCTAAATGGCAATCTAATACCAGTTTGTAGACGGCTTTGTACATTAACATACATTACCCCATTTGATCTTTAAAGGGAAGACAACTGCTCATTACGGGCCCTTAGCCCCAGAGTAGTCAGGCTGTTTCCAGGTTCTAAGATTTTGTTTAACAGGAGACCCTGAAAAAATGTGCCGTTTAAAGAGAATATAATTGCGTACAAGTAACTACTTAAAATTGGCCCAACGAATTTATTTTTACATCAGAATTTGGAGGAGATATTTACAGCTTTAAACATTAAAGCTCTGAAAAGCATTTTGCTGATTGAAATGGGCAGGGCATTTTCCTGGAAGATTCAAACGCGGAACCAAGTTGGAAAGAGATGAAGACTAAGGATGGAGAGGAAGAAGCAAGGGTGAGGTCACGGAGCAGGGCCTGAAGCCGGCTCAGCGAGGGAACACCTGCCAGTTCTGCAGAGGAAATCTGCCGTCATCAGTTTCTCCATCAGGCCTTTTGCTCAGATGTCTTCCAAACAGTGCTTTAAACATTCAGTCAAAAACTGAGTCAGTCTCAGGCCAGCTTAAAACTAAGCCAAAACTAAAGGTCTGAGAATATAAAGAGTGGAATTGTGGGTTTTGACTATGAACTATAAACAGTAAAACATTTATAAGCTCCTTTAGAATATGCAATGCTTTACTGAGATGGCTGTCTACATTTTTAATATTTGGGAGATAAACTTACAGAGAAATTTAATAGAAGGCATTATCACTTGAATGTTGAGCGAAGGCAATTATGTAAGGGTTGGGTTGGTAATTCCTGATGGAGAGACTCTTTGTCTCAACAATAAAGGATCCTGCTCTGGTCACCCATCATTAGCAATGAACTCAATAGCTACAAAATACCTTCCTATTCAAGGTTGAGGTGAGATTTTTTTTTTTCCCACAGACTAAGTTTAACAAGCGTGCTTCAGTTGAATATTAAAGCAAAAATATCCTAAGTCAGGAGGTCAAAGAGAAGCTTTACCTCACAATCTTGGGCTAGGAGGGAAAAACTGAAACAAAGCAATAGTCTCTGTATGTGTGTCTAAATATGTTTTGGCAATCAAATGAAAATGCATATGTAAGTGCTGTATGTGAACTCCAAACACACATTTAAGCAATTTATAGTGTACTTAGTAGCAAGGAAAAACATGAGTACAAATTGCAATCTAATGACATACAAAAATATGCTAAGGAGCATAGACTATTTGGCCATTAATTAAAATTGTCAACTTGAAGATTTAAAACAAGTCCTTAAAACTGGAGAAGTCTACATTAAATTTGTAAAAATGTAATTTATCTCACAAAGATTTCTGAGTTAGCCAGATCAGTCACTGACATAATACAACAAAGTTAAAGCTTTTGTTATGTCTTGCTGACCCTATCTTTTAAAATCTACTTCTTCATTGACTTCTTTGTCCTTTGGTTTGGACATCTGATTACAGAAATAGTTTTCTGCAAAAGTTAATTTTAAAAAACCACGCTTGGTCAAGATTTTCAAAGTTGAAATACTGCAAAATAACAACACAAAACAGAGTTTTAAAAGTTTAACTTTATTTTTTTTTACTAAAGTTCAGAAATTTCTGTAAGACAAGTACATTAATGAAATGTTTCCAAAGAAATACTGAACAATATATACTCTAGTTTGCTGAGGTTCCAGCTCGAGTTCAAACCTAATTCTTGTGCAATAAAAATCAGCATGGATCTTAGATGATCTAGAATACACTGTGTTTTGAAATCCACAGCTGGTTTCATTTTTAACCATTATGAAAAACCAGTACTCCTATTCCATCAAATGTGTTTTATAAGCAATAATAAATTCAGATCCACTGTATTATGCAACATACATCTTTGGAAAGCAACATAAACAGTGAGATCAGATCAGTAGAAATATACACAGTTAAAAGAAATACACAAAGTACTGTAGTTTTATTAAAAACTACTACTTGAGAAAGAAATCTTTCCACAAATAGCATAAAACTGTAGAATGATGAAAGGATTTGGGAAAGCTTTACAAAAGCTTAATTCCAATTGTATCTTCCTGAGGGTGGTGGCAAAGGGTATTTCCTTCCTTCTCTGGGATATCCCTGAAAATAAACAAAAGAAAGAGTTTATTTTCTGGACCGATACTCCTGCAAGTCAGTTAACTTTAAACCTCTATGGAAAAACACATCATAAGGAAACTGAGTATGTGTTAAAGGTACAGCACATGGAAAGGCCCCATAAAAGGTGCTTTGATCCAGAGCTTTAATACAGACTTGTTGCAAAGTTGGAGGCTAGCACAAATGCTATTACTGAAAAATAAAACAAAAAACCTTAACAATCACAAATGCACACAAATAACTAAAGTGTTCTGTGTAAACAACATGTACAGACAGTGGTTCTCAATTTTCTCACTGTCCTAGCAGTAGTAATTCAAGTCACTTTGTGGTAAGATACCCACATCAATTTAGACTTATTACACAAGGAAAGTAACTTTGCTTTAACCAAGGCAAGAGCTTGCTAAGTCAGTTAAGGCCAAATGAGCAATTGATTTTAGGGATTTTTTATTTAGCAACAAATAGTAGGGCTTTAAATGACATATTAAGGTTATTACACAATCCATTAGCCGTGACCTTTATAACATATCCTAGTATGTTTGCAAATAACATTTCTGTATAACAAAAGATAAACCTGACACCTCTTCATTATAAGTCCTTTCCTAGGCCTCTAGGGTTTTGAAATGGAACCCCCTCCCACCTCATTTTGCCACCCAGAGAGCACTTCAGTACTTTAAACATGAACATGTGCAGACTCAAGGCCAGAATGCAGGCTAAGGCCTTGTTTGGTCATATAAAACTTTACTAAAAATACAATGAAGTAATGATTCTATGTTTTTAACAACAAACTTCTGCAATTTAATAGTGCTTCAACAATTGTGATTTAATAAAAAGTATCTCCCTGGCAAAGGGACTGAGAAAGAAGAAATGTTATTTTCAAAAAGTCCTAAAAGAATAATAAATTTACCAATTGGTTTATATCTTCTAAGTAAATAAGAATTTTACCTCCTGTAACAGCACAGAGTTCCTTTAAAAGGAAGATCTCCAAAGGAGAGAGGAAAATGGATGAACTGGGGTCAGCAGTCTAGGCAGCCAGCTACCAGTTCTCCTGCTGAACCGTGTGGGGTTTTCAGGGTTTCAGTTCCTGACTTGGAAAATGAGGTGACTAGACTACACATTCTCCAAGGTTTCTTCCAGTTACAAATAGTCCTCACTTCAAAAATGCTCATCACTGAAACGGCCTAGTGCCATCTAACCATAGTAACATAAAGAGCCTTAGTTCACTGACACGATTTTTAGAGGTCCTGGGCTGAAAGAATTCAAAGCAAAATTCGATAAACTGATTCAAATAAACTGTAACAAAATCTCAGAAGAAATTATTTGCAATTAAGGTGATTATCTTCTTGTAAGGTGGAGATACTTGTAAGAATACATCAAAAAACATACAAAATATGTTCCTTAGCTGTGAGAAGAGAGGTCTTACTAATTAATATGTGAAGCACTGCAAAAGGCCTGGAGGCAACACCAGGTAAGCAATTTAAAAACCACTTCACATCACTGCAGGTGCCAAACTCCATACACATTACTCTGAATCACAGCATTCTAATCTTGTTCTCTAGTAAGGATTCCATTAAGAGCATGTAAATACTGGCCAGGGTGTCAAATTGCTGGAGGAAATTATGTCAAATAGACCTCAGTCTTAAATGCTGCTAAAACTGGATGCTGTAAAGAGAAGGACATGAAGCTTACATATACTAAATTTGTCTAGGAATTATGATAGTCATTCAGTGATACAGCTGCTTACATTGAGAAGAAAAATATGTGGAAGATTATCAAGCAGAAATTTCTTTTATGAGGAGGGATATCAGATGAATCAAGGCAGGAGACTTCTAAAATGACAACATTGTAAAATGACTTCTAAAAGACAACAGCTGAAAAAGCAGACTTACTTTCCAGCTTCCAGAAAATCATCACCCATTAAGAGGGATCTAGGTTCTATTGAAGAACAATATCCTTAAAGGAAAAACAATGTGTTTTGGTGACTGACTATACTTGGACTAATTATCACTGACTGCTATGATTTAAAGGGCTTTTGGGTTAGAAATTCTTTGGCATCTTCAAGGTATATAACCTATTTAGTGAAGCAGGTACTCAACCCATATACATTTTTAATGACAGACCCAAGTTCAGCCAAGCTACTCTAAGCTACTCTATCAGTGTCTTCTCCAGAAATGTTGGTAAGAAAATACGGAGTCCTGTGAGGCTTGTTGAAATATAAAGTGAGCAGTATACTTTTCATCCCACAACCATTTACCTGTCTCCCTCCACGATCATCTCGTCTGGGTGGATACCCACCAGGCCCAGCTAGCATCTGGTACTGGTTTGGCTGGAAGGCTGCATTCTGGGTTTGCAGCATCCGGTTCCATGGGAGCAGAGGTTCAGCCCCAACGCCTCTGTAGGAAAGTACCAGTTTTACATCAGAAGCCACACCTATTATACAGCACAAAGCCTAAAATCGGCAGGTATCATCTCCAAATTTTAGTACAATCCAATTTACCTGGATTTATCATATGGGATACAGAGTATCAGAATGGCCTTTGTGTCCCTTATATCCAGTATAATCTAACATGTTTCATGAAGCATCAGCATTTATTACAATGGATGTTTAAACTCAACTGAGAAGTTCTGACTTTTAAAAGTTATTTTGTTCATTTTCAATTGGGAAATTTCCTTTTTAGTCACTTAAAGATGTAGACCCAAGATCACCAAGATGGCTACATTTAAGATGCTATCCAAAGAGTAAACATGTACAAGACAGGAGAATGAGGCTTTATTTTCAAAAATGTCCAGACTCGTTCTTGGATCCATTCTTTCTACTTAATTGCAGGTTGCAAATGAATTCTTACTGCTGAGTATTTTGAATCCAGGGTAGGAGACTTGGCTGTTTTTTCCCATCCATTATTCTGTTCAATATGTCAGAAGGTCTGATTGGGAGGAAACCTTTTCAAGTTCTATTGATGCAGCTTTCAATTGACCACGGTGACCTAGCAACATGAGCACTAATTGGCATGGGCTGACTGGCATTTGGTGTACAGTTTACATGGGAACACAGATTCAACGGCTATTATAACCCAGTTTGCTGTCGCAGATTACTAGTCGAAAGAAATGTTTTAATTGTCTTCAAGTGACTATTTTAACTTTGCAGATGCAAAGCAACAGGTATAATGTACTAAATCATAACTTAATTAAAAACTGTCACATAAACAATGTAGCAAGGATATACCTTCTAAAGGCAATCACCATTTAAGACTTTACTTTCTCCTTAAGGCACTTTCCATAACTTCTATTTTATGGAAGGCACTACAAAGAATAAACAGAGGCAAATGCTCCAGTATACTTGAACATCAGAAGCTTTGGGGCCACTGACCATGTTAGGAGGAATTCAATAAAACTTTAAATTCACTGAAGTGCTGACTAGCTGGTAATCAGTTATAACCATATCAGCATAAGAATTTCACTTCCGAGGTCTTAGGGGAAAAAAGCCCGGCGCTGGGCTCATTGGGTAAAGCATTCTTCTCACAGCTATTCAAGCCTGAATCCATCCTCTCTACCCCCACTCTCCTCCCTTCACTTGGAGCTTGCCTTCTTTTTATTAAAACAACACCAGAGATAATTATTTTTGTGTGATGATTCGAAGAAATGAACTGCTCTCTAAAGAACTCTAGAAAGGCTAAAGTTTTTCTTTACAGTTGGTAGCTGAAACCAGAGCTCTAATAACAATGTGTTATAAGTAATTCAGAATACAATTAAAAATAAGTTTTTATCTCAGAAAGAAAATGCATATGGCTAGGGCTTTTAATTATTTTTCAGGACAATTACTAGCACAAATATATTTTAGCAAGAATGCCTCCATCTGTTTTAGCAAGAAGAGCTCCGTGTGCAGAGATAGGAATGGTCTCTTCCAGTCTCTGCAGGAGTGAAGGGCTAAACTAAGGTTTGTGCTGTAACCAAAGTCTCATCAAAACTGGGCCAATTAATGCAAAACCCACGGGCTAAAAACACAATTCACATCTTAACTGTGATCAGTTTTTCTTTTGAGTCTTACAATAATAAAATTCAATTGAGTTTTAGGAAGATCTGCTGGCATAAATAATATACATTATAAATGCAATTCAAAACTATTTTATGTTCCAAAAACAGGTTAAGAACAAAGCCACAGTTTAAAAACGCAAAGTTCTTTTTGTTTGAATTGATTACTTATAATGTTTTTGACAAATATAATTTTTATGAAAAAAATCATCAATAATTAAAATTAAACAGAAGAACAAAGCAAGGATGTCATGTACTACCTTCTTCTGACTTTTATGACAGAAAGGCCTTTATTTTCAACAAGTTTATCACATGTCTAGACTAATTATATATTTTGCAAATACTTACAAAACTAAAAATTTGCCTAGGAAATTATGTTTTAAAATCTGGGATAGAAGCACAGAAACTGACATATCCTAAATTCTAAAAATTAGCAATTAGGCCAGGCACAGTAACTCAGCCTGTAATCCCGGCACTCCAGGAGGCCGAGGCAGGCAGATCACTTCAGCCCAGGAGTTTGAGACCAGCCTAGGCAACATGGGAAAACCCCGTCTCTACTAAAAATACAAAAATCAGCCAGGCATGGTGGTGTGGGAGCCTGTAGTCCCAGCTACTTGGAAGGCTGAAGCATCAGAATCACTTGAACCTGGATGGCAGAAGCTGCAGTGAGCCAAGATCATGACATTACACTCCAGCCTGGGTGACAGAGTGAGACCTTGTCTCAATCAATAAATCAATAAAAGAAGTTAATAAATAAGGCAACTTATTTGAGCCATTTGGCATCGTAGATAGCAACAATTTTTTTAAGTTTCCAAATTGTTTTGGAAAGTTACTGGAGATGTGAACTACTACCAATTTGAATATTTTAAATGTATGCATATGGTAAAATCGGAGTTTTATTTAAAAGATTTTTCATGATTGAGCTTAACACTCATAGGTAAAAAACTAAATGGCTGCCTTGCAAATGACTGAAAAAGAGGCCTCCATTGACAAGAAGAACCCAAACAATGTGGCAAAACTCAAGTGACAAAGGGAACTCCAATGCTGGGTATCTATTAACTCTAGGCTGTGTCTGTGTTGGGAGGATGTTCCTGTTGTATTTTTAAATCTACTGGATATATGGATTATACATACCATCTTAAAGTAGGAAATTATTCAAGAAATGCAATGTAATAAAAAAAAGACACTCAAAATTCTCTTAATAGGATTCTCAACAAACAGTAGCGTCGTGGAAACATACTGAACTAAGAACTGGTAAAACCTGGTTCTGGAACAAAATGGTATCTTTCTTAAATGTCTGTGATGTAAGACTTTTATGATAGAACTCTATTATGCTCACATTTACCTTTTGCTTTCAGGCATAATTTTAAGTATCTGACTAAAACTAAACCAAAAAACATTCCCACAAAACTTGTCACTAACCTGCTGGGTTCACAAAGTCAGAATAATACTAGTACTTGGCTAGGGTAGAATAAGAACAAAACCTGATGGACAGCAGGGTAAGGGAAGGGACAATGATGATGATCTTAGGAAAACTTTTAATGTGAACAGAGGGGAGGAAAGCTGTTGGGGCCTTAGAAGTGGAAACAGATCCTTTACTTCCTTTGAAGTCCCTACGTCTTTATATTACGCTCAGAGTAAATATTCTGGTAAGTTTTGTTCCAGTGAAAAGTTTCTTGGTAAAGAATGGCACAAAAGAGTGACCTTAGGTAAGCTGCTGAACTTCTCTGTGCCTCACTTTCTTCATTTGCAAAAATGTAAACATAACAGCATCTATTTCAATGCACTGCTAGGAGGAATAAATGAAATCATTCTTATTAAAGGATGTTAACACAGTGTTAACACTTTGTAAGCAGACAAACATTTGCCATTATTATTAGTATGGAAAGTGAGCAATAAGATAGAGAAACCAAGTATATAATTTAGGAAAAATTTACCCCTTACTTACTTAATTTCTGCTTAAAATTTGTGGTACTGAGGAAAATGAAACAGCACATACTGTGTGCTTTCAGAACATATACTAAAATCAAAACATTAATACACACATTGCTAGTCGTATTGCATTTAATGAGACTTGCACTAAGTTGACACTATTAGTAAACATCGAATAACATGATTCCTTTTATCCTCTTGAAGATAACAATGAAATAAAGTTCTGGAGTCTCTAAAGAGTTATAAAGTTTTCTTAAAAGGGAAGCTGCATTTAGAATCCCATTTATAAAAACACTATTCATTTCAGATGTGAACAGATTAGAGACTGTAAACATGGCAGAGGAGAAGAGAATAAAACAGATTAAAACTGGGAAGGCAAAAAAGAAAGCCTTATTATGATGGGGCTTAATTTGTTTTTGCATTTACTGATGTTGGCAAAACCATCATGAAATGATACATCTTAAAGCTGGCCTTTAAAAATTATTCTACAGATGTTAATTATTCATAATGTGCCTAGTTGTCTTGTCGTACAGAGTCCATCGGACTTAGGAGCACACAACTTATCAATGAAGGAATACATGTTAAACATCCCTTGTTATTAAACCATGTCACATTCTTCCTAGTCCATGGTACTTATTAGACTGCAGATCCCATAATCCTCTTCTGAGTCCCTTCTGCGTTTAATTCAGTTCAGTCTTAAGTAGTTAAAGAAACTGTTTTCAGTGGCAACTAATAACTACTGACCTACAGTGACACTGCCCTACAATAGGCTTGTCAGCCCTGAAAAAGTTGTACCAAAGAAGCTGATTAGGACTTCAAGAGGTTTGTAGCAAGAATCAATGGTTGGTCTGTACTAACGCTGCATTGCCCGCACAGAAATGATAAAAGTGGAACACCATTAGTTATGCCTCATTAAGCTGCACAACCCTTCTAAAAAGAAATTTGTTTAGCCTGACCAAAACCTAATACAGTTTTAAGCTGTGTTGCATTTTTCAGGGCATCTCAAAAGCATCAATAAAATAAAGGCCAAGAACCAAGAAAAGTAAGAAAGTATATTAAACATGAGTCTTTTAATTCAAAGTATTAGCTATATATTTTCTTAAAGGATAGGCACAAGGGAAATTGTTTTTGGTGGGAAAAAGTACATTTCAAACCACAGAGGTTTTAGCTTCCATAAAAACCATAAACCCCAAATGTTGGTGTCAGAAAGTATTTAAAAGTCATGTCTACTTTTAATATTACCTGTCAAACCTTTGCTGCTGGAAAAGGGGAGGAGGACCTCGCCAGGAATCCTGGGGCCTCATATCTGAAAAAGAAACAGGAAAGGGTTAAGAAGATTTTTAAAAGTAACCAATATTCAACTACCCAATATTTTATAATTAAAAGTTCTTGAAAAAAATCTGAGAAAGACTGTAAACCAAATAAACTAGTATCATAATAACACACACCACAAATGTAAAAAGGTAAGTAACTAACAAGGTCAGCAAATTTTTTATTATTTTTCCTTTGATAACAAAATAGGTTTAGTAACCCCTGGTCACTAAACTCACATAATCCTGTGTGTGTGTGTGTGTGTGTGTGTGTGTATGTGTGTGTAAGTAAAGATACATACATTACACACAGTTTTTACATTTATATTTTAAATGCTGTGGAAAAGGAAAGGTTTAGTTCTTTTCCATAAATAGAATTAATACAAACTGAATGAATAGTATCTACAACAGAAATCCTGAAATTTTCCTTCTGAAGGCATAAATTGCTTTCATTAACATTAAGCAGAGCACACACAATCTCTCCAACACAAACCAAGAAAACACATTAATGAAGGGACCACCCACTTCTCCATCTTTTCTGATAGTTTTCTTGTAACGCAAAGCTGAACTAGCAACATCATCTAACTAGAAGAAACAATTAAATGGCTCCTGCTCTTCTACATAAACTGACGGATATAGGATGAAAGAAACATCTGGGCCTGTCTATATCAGCGAACCACAGCTTGCAGTCACTTCACCTTCAGCGGGGTCTGCTGTGACCTAATTAAAACTGCTGGTTCCAGAAGTTGTCTAATGAGTTCACCATGTGAGGACAGTAACCTCCTCTAGACTCCCGAGACCAAGGACAACGCTTACCATAATGTATTCAGGCTCACATTTTAATAGAAACACAAACTAGAAAAATGCTTTTCAAAATTACTTAAAGAAAAGAAGAGTTGAAAGCTTATCTCTGGTTAGAAACCAAAAATATATATGGTTTTTACTTAAGAAAGAGAGAGAAAGAAAAAAGTAGAATCATGCTTTAAAAGCCCCATGACAAAGAACACGGAATCAATAAAATATCTAGCTGCTCACAATGATTCTAGCTCATAACTGGCAGCCTCAGCCCTGGCTTCCTTCCCATCTCGACATGCTGAGAAGGCCAGACTGAAGAAAGTTTTCCTTATGTGGACAAACTACCTGAAGGAGGGCAGCCATCTGCAGCTGCCACAGCCCACTCCCACATCAGTCCATGGCCAGCTGGAAAAGTTTCTGCAGCCATACCCATGGGTGCCAAACCCACCTCTCAGAAAGGTGCAGGAAGCCCTTCACCAGCTGTCACTTCCAGGCAGATTCCCATTGTGAATTAAAAGGTGGTATCTTTAGTCAATTGGAATTAAGTTCCTTTTTTATTTCTTAAAAACCAAACTACTAGCAGTCAAACCGAGTAACAATGTGGAGGATGCTGACTACTACACACTCCACAGAAAACAGAGGAAGACAGTTCCCCACCCTACGCCCAGAGTAAGTTCTGAGTCATTACTACAGACTATACACTATCAGAAAATCAATTTTCTGAAGAGATAAAAGTAAGAAGTTCTTACAATAATAGCAATCATTTCATTTGTATGGTTTATTTCTATGGGAAAACTTAAGATACATTTACATATATGAATTTCAATGAGTTACCATTTGTGAGAAAGTAATCTACTGAAAGTAAAATCAATGTTTGAGCCACTTTTTCAGCTCATGTACAAAATTAGTTTAGTGAGAATCAGTTAAAATGTTCCCAGAAGTATTTCATTTTAGTGCCCTTATATATACAAAATTTGCAAATGTAACAGAAGTCAAAAGAAATACAGCAAATATTCATCCGGACCCCTCTACTTCACATCCCCTGGAATCACTGCGGTTACCCTGGAAACATACCCCTTTTTACCATTAGGACTTAATTCCATATTGTGCTTGCCTGGTGTCTTTTTATGTATGGTATAATCGCAGGATACACATTCTCCATGGTACTTACGAAAGCTTCCACAGTGGCTCCCTAATAAATTTAAAATCGAATGAAGACAATACAAAGATACAGCTACATTAAGAGAAACCTTCAGAAACAATCTAATGTTTTAAGAAAAATAAAGATGGGAAAAAAACTTGTATATTTTGTCCTAGAAACTGTGCTAATGGAGATGAAGCCATCACCACCCATAATATATATTCATTAGACTCAAACATGCTATTCTTAGATTAAGCACAGCAGTATTTCTAAGTAGAACTGGAATGTAAAGTTTACTAAGTGTAAATGCTTTTTTTGGAGGAGGAAATAATTGTCTAACCTATACAACTAGTTGTCTAACCTATACAACTAGAAATGTCTTAAAAAACAGCAAACATTTCTAATATATCACTTCTAGTGTGCCAGGTGCCTCTCTATTTTCCATTTTCTATCTCTCACCTCCAGGACAATTTTCTTTTTCCATATAAACTCAGCACATACAAAAATTACAGTTTTTTGTTAAAACCTAAGCAAATTTTCCAAAACTTTCAATAAACTCTGATGCAACTGTTAAAACACTCCTTGTTTTCAATCCAAAAAGAAAAAAGGCTCAAAGAAATATTTCAAGGCTATTTTTAACCAAATTTCTTCATATGGCTCTTAGTAACATATATAACCTGGAAGTATTCATAAAGCAGAAGTATTTCCTGGCTGATCTGTAATGAAGTAGATGGTAAAACAAACTTATTATCATTCATTTGTATGGCTCTAACAGAAGACCCATTTGAGAGGAAGAAAAAAAATTCTGAGACAGTGAATTGCACTTCAGAAGGTACAGGCGAGAGTGGAAAATTTTTTCCTTTGGTCTTTAAAAACTTATCCCTTTTCTAGAGCTCTAAGGCCATGTAAACCAAGCTTCGCCAATAGCTTCTCAAGTGACAATTTACCTAATCAGCGTGGCAATCACAGAAAAGATTCCATGTTTACTGATAGCACTAGTCAAAAATCACTTTTCAACGTGGCTAATTGACAAGTTTACAGACTAAAATGAAGAGAAGTCACATTTAAGGTTCTCTGGGCTACAGAAACCAAATGCTTTATTCAGACTGAGTACTCAGGGCTACACTCGATTCCAACAAGTTATCAGTACTCAGACAATTACTCATCAGCCAAAACTGACACATCAAAGACAAATCAAACACCAACAATAAGAAATACCTACAGCAGACACTTGACAGTTGTCAGTTTGACCAAATGGCCCTTCTTGAGTGCAATTTCATACTACACGAAGAAAATGATTATGATACTAAAAATATTTTAGACTGAATAAATGGCTTAGAACTCAATCTTACTAAAACAAGCTATTTGACTAAATTTTAAAGTTCAAAATTCTATAAAAGGAAAGATGATCTTTTATCACTTAATACTTTCACAGTACTTATTATGTACAACGTACTATTTTAAGTGCTTAGCTACTTAAATTCATTTAGTCTGGTTATTTTGTCAGGTAAATATTCTTATCCTCTGTACTATTTTCGAGATGAGGAAACTGGGGCAATGACCAAACCTGTCAGAGGTCACAGAGTGAGGCCAGGGGCTATGTCCCCGTAACCACTCTCTACTACACTGTGCAATCTCAAAGTTTCACATTCATTTATGCTGTCGGTTGAGATGGCACTTCATGTTAATTTATTTCAGAAGACGCAGAGGAGAACCACCCATGATTTTGTGCTGCTTAATCAGGAGGCTCAGAAACTTACAGTTTCAACAAGACTGGATGGGGGGTTTAACAACTACTCTCAACATCTTAAAGGTTTACAACCGACATTATTACTCATATCCAATTAGGATAGGAAAGAAAAATAACACACATTTTAGTTGTAAGCATCTAGGCAAATACAGGATTTATAGGAAGAAAATAAGAAAACATCTTGGCTAAAACACTGGAATCTCTGCTCTTTTTAAAAGGATAATACTACCCCTCAAAATCTGGCACTTAAAATGTAAAGAGAAGGGATCAGATAAAAATCAGTATCAGCGGTTCCTGAAGCACAAACCAAAACCCAACATCACTTCAAAGAGATCAGCCGGTCTGTCGAGGGACGGAAAGAGCGGAGAGGTGCTCTCGAAGCCGTGACAGCCTGGGTGAAATGAACCAGGTCCCCTTCCTGGTCAAGCCTATCTCCCTAGGGACAAAAAAGTACCTCTCTGCCCTCATAGCCAGAGGAAGCAACAGAGAGATGTGGCGCTTAGATTCACTCTACAATCCCGTCCATCCAAGTCCAAATCATCTTAAGGATGCTTTTCCTTGCCCTCTATCTCTCTTCCTTTTGTGTTTTTCTTCCTCTTATAGCAAGATGTGGATGAATGGATGAAAGATTGATACATAGGTGAAGACTGGTTCTACACAAATATTGAATCTAGAAGTAACAAGATCACAAAATAAATATGTCAGAAGTCTTAATGACAGTAAACTAAAAGAAAAAAAAAAACACAGGCCGGACGTGGTGGCTCACGCCTGTAATCCCAACACTTTGGGAGGCTGAGGCAGGCAGATCACTTGAGGCCAGGAAATTTGAGACCAGCCTGGCCAATATGGCAAAACCCTGACTCTACTAAAAATACAAAAAGTAGCTGGGCATGGTGGTGCATACTTGTAATCCCAGCTACCTGGGAGGCTAAGGCAGGAGAATCACTTGAACCTGGAAGGCAGAGGTATAGCGAGCTGAGATTGCGCCACTGCACTCCAGCCTGGGTGGCAAAGCAAGACTGACCAAAAAAAAAAAAAAGAAAAAACCGACAAATCATATGTTGGACTATGCTTAAAGAATATTAGGAAAATATCAGATTTCCTTTCTTCATTGTCTGCAGCATTTGCCTGAACTTATCATACTTTAATGACCATTCTAGATGAAGCTAATTATTTATCCAATACATTTCTTACAAAAGTATCAGGGAATGATTTGTGAAATGACATGGTTGCCTTCTAGGAAGTCCAAACTCTTAACCCAAGCTTTCCAAGGTTTTTTTTATAACCAAGAGCAATCGAAATCCATCAATCTATTCAACTCTTTTTTGAGCTTTTATGTTTCTAGTTTATATGCAGACAATCCCCAAATTTCTCTCCAACTACATCCTCTCTCTCTTGAGCAAGAACCTGACTCCTATGACTACCTAGCACAGATGCCTCTAAAGTATTTCAGGCACTTTGACCCCCACAAACTCACTCATCACATTCTTTCATATTCCTTCACCCTCCTGGGTTTCCAAACTCTGTGAAAGGCCTCAGTAAGCACCCAGGCATCACAGTGAACGCACAGGACTCTTCATTCCCTTCTCCCTCTCCTCCTCACTCTTCATATTCAATTATCCAGACTTTCAGCCTTCCCTTCCTCCCACCTTCCGGACTTTGGATCCACTCTGCCAGTGTAGTTCAGACCCTCATCATCTCTCCTTAACCCACAGAGTTGTGGTTCTACAATGGAGAGGTATCTGGTTAATTCTTCTAGAGTTTTTAAAACCTTATAAACAAACAGACTAGTGCCCAAATTAAATCAGCAAGGGACAAGAACAGCCAACTTACAAAAGAAAAACTGGTCAGTAAAAATATGACCAAAGCAGAAATTGAAAAATCATATCTTAAAACAAAGACACATTATTCCTTATCAAATTAGCAAGAACTTTATTTATTTTATGTTAAAGAGACAGGGTCTTGCTGTTACCCAGGCTGGAGGGCAGTGGGCTATCATAGCTCACTGCAGCCTCAAACTCCCGGGGCTCAACCAATCCTCTCACCACAGCCTCCTGAGTAGCTGAGACTACAGGCACATACCACCACGCCTGGTTAAATCTGTGCTTGGATTACAGGTGTGAGCCACTGCACCCGGCCAAGAACTTTTAAAAAATAACACCTGGTGGCTGGGGGCAGTGGCTCACGCCTGTAATCCCAGCACTTTGGGAGGCCGAGGCGGACGGATCACGAGGTCAGGAGATCGAGACCATCCTGGCTAACGCGGTGAAACCCCGTCTCTACTAAAAACACAAAAAATTAGCCGAGTGTAGTGGCGGGCGCCTGTAGTCCGAGCTACTCAGGAGGCTGAGGCAGGAGAATGGCATGAACCCGGGAGGCGGAGCTTGCAGTGAGCCGAGATTGCGCCACTGCACTCCAGCCTGGGCGACAGAGAGAGACTCCGTCTCAAATAAATAAATAAATAAATAAATAAAAAATAAATAAATAAATAAAAACACCTGGTATTGGTGGGAGTGGGATATTAGACATTCTCATATGCTATTGTAGGAAGTACAAATTGGTATACTCTTATTTAGAGGTTAATGTGGTGATACTGACCAAAAGTCTAGAAATTCACCATACCTTCTGATCCAGCAATACCATTTCTAGAAATTTAGCCTGCAGTTAAGAAATAAATATATTTTTAAAAGATTATTGGAAAAGCCCTATAAATTAAAAAAAAAATTAAGCAATATACTTCTAAATAATCCATGGGTACATAATAAAAAATAAAAATCAGAAAATACCATGAACTAAATGATAATAAATATGTGAGACCAAACTTTGTGGGATAAGGCTAAAGTGATTAGAGAGAAATCTGTAACACTGAAGTGCATATATTGGAAAAGACCAAAAATAAATTACCTAAGTCTCCATCTCAAAAACTTGGAAAAAGAATGCCAATTTAATCCCCCAAAAAAGTAGAAGAGAATAATGAAGACAAAAGCAGAAATCAATAGAAAACAAATGTACATGGAGGGAAAAGAACAAATATCTATATATCAACAAAGCTAAAGGTTAGTTCAATGGGAGGAAAAAAAAACAATAAAATTAAATAGGTTCTCAAAAAAAAAAAATTAAATAGATTCTAGCAACACTAATCAAGAAAAGAAGAGTGACTATATATTACCAGTATCAGCACTTAATTTTGAAGTCTTACAGTCATTAAAAATCTTATGAAAAATTTCTGGCAATAAATTTGAAATTTTAGAATGGGCACATTCCCACCAAAAAAAAAAAAAAAAAAAAAAAAAGAACTTACCAAAACCAACATAAGAATTACCGAAAAATCTGAAAAGCCAGAACTAAAAAATTTGAATCTATAATTGAAAACCTTTTCATAAAGGAATCTCTAAGCCCAACTGGCTTGGCCACTGAATTCTTCTAAAAATTAAGAAATGACGACAATCTAACGATAACCCATACAGAGAACAAAAATGTAGAAAATATTTTCTAATTTGTTTTATAAGGCCAGAAAAACCCTACCCCAGAACGTCCAAAAAAGGGAAATAAAACTAATCTCTCTCATAATACATAGATTTTAAAAATCCCACCATACACTGACACATAGAATGTAGTGACATATAAAAAGATGATATATTCCAGAAATTAGGTTTACTCCAGAAATGCCATGTTGGTTTAATATTTCAAAATCAATCAGTGTAATTTACCATATTAACACAACAAAGAAAAAACAACAAACAAAACCCCCAGGTTTTAGAGAAAAAAGCATCTGATAAAATTCAATACCCACTAGAAACAAAGAATAGAAGAACTTCCTCAGTGTGATAAAGGTTATCTACACAGAAAAAAACTGCAGCAAACCTCATATTTAATGATGAAACAGTAAAAGTCTCCCCCTTAAAACTGATTGGGAATGAAATATCTACCATCATCACTTCTATTAATTATGAGAGGTCCTAGCTTGTGCAATAAAGCAAAACAAAAAACAAACAAAAAAGGCATTAAGATTAGAAAATAAATAAATAAAATGGTCACTACTTGGAGATGACATAATTGTGTACACAAAAAGATTTCAAAGAACATATAAACTATTAGAAGAAATGAATCTAGTAAGGATGTCAGATACAAATATCAAAAAAATCAACTTTATTTCTACATATAAACAAGCAATTAGAAAGTGATATTTAAGATACTGTTACTTAAAACATCAAAACACATCAATTATATAGTATTAATTCTTTTTGTCCTGAATTTTTTATTGTGATGATTTCAAACTTAAAAGTTACAAGATGAGTACAAAGAATTCCCACATCCCCTTCACCCACATTCCCTAAATGCTGGCATAAACCTCTGTTCATCATATGACAGCAATAATAAAGCGAAAAGGCAAATTGCCAAGTGGAAAAAGATATTTCCAATATAAAACTACTCTCATAACCAGAATATAAGAACGCCTACAAAACAAAAAGATAGACAACCCAATTTAAAAAAACCACACAAACCTTGAACACTACCATCACACAAACAAAAATATCCAAATGGTCAATAAACATTTTAAAAAATGCTCCACTTAGTCACCAGGAAGATGCCAACTAAAAGCTCGGTGAGATATTCACTCCCTGCTTAGTCAAATAGCTAAAAGTGCAAAGACTGACAACACCAAGGGTTGGCAACAACATGAAGCAACCAGAACTCTCCTACACTGCTGGAGGAGTGTAAATTCATACAAACTGAATGTAATTTGGAAAATGTGTCTGGCACTTTCATTCACTAAAGCTGAACATACACACAATCCTACAGTCTTGCAATTCCACTCCTATGGAGTACATATCCATCATGAGTGTTTACATATGTGCATTGAAGGACGCACAGTTTCACAGCAGTCCAATCCAGCAACCTCAAACCAGAAACCAACCCAAATGCTACTGGATAAGTAAATAAATGGTGATATAGTCCTATGATTTAACACTATAAGCAATGAAAACAGATGAACTGCTGGGCGCGGTGGCTCATGCCTGTAATCGCGGCGCTTTGTGAGAACGAGGCGGGCAGATCACGAGGTCAGGAGTTGGAGACCAGCCTGGCCAACATGGTGAAACCCCATCTCTACTAAAAATACAAAAATTAGCCAGGTGTGGTGGCACATGCCTGTAATCCCAGCTACACAGGAGGCTGAGGCAGAACTGCTTGAACCTAAAAGGTGGAGGTTGTGGTGAGCCAAGATTGTGCCACTGCACTCCAGCCTGGGCAACAGAGCAAGACCCCATCTCAGGGAGACCAAAAAAAAAGAAAAAGAAAACGGATGAACTACTGCTACAAGCAATATAAATCTCAGAAACAAAGACTGAAAAAAAGGCAAGCTTTTAAAAGGGTAGTCATGTAATAGCTTTTTAAACTATTAGGTAATGTTAAAAAAACAAAAAGGTAATGTATGATACTATGATACTGCAGTCAGGATACTGGTTCCCTTTAATGGGCAGGGGGTAGTGCCTGGAAAGGACACAATGGGGGGCTTCTGAGGACTGACACTTTTCTACTGAATCTGAATGGTGAATACATGAATATATCTATTTCATAAAAACTACACTGTACGGTTCGATTTAGCACTTTACATATGTTACATTTCAATAAAAAACTATATGTAAAAATACACGTACAATAATCTAATTTTCAAAACTTGCACACATGAAATAATAAAAAGAAACACTGCTTATTTCGGGACTGTGGAATTATGGGTGTTTTTTATGTTTTATTGCTACATGCCACATTTTATTCAATTAACATGTACTGTAGTTAAAAATGCATTTTAAAAATATATTTAAAAATCACTAAAAATATTTTAAAAATTAGCTCTCCTCCCCTCATAATCTGTTCCAAGTATGCTCCCAGTCTAATTTTGTACCAGTTATGCTATGCTTAACACCACCCAACTACTTGCCATGTACTTCAAAGCTCATAATTTTCTCTCAGCCTAGAGGAGCCCAAATTCCCCACTTGTTGGCTCAATTTAAATATCACATGATTGCCAATTTTTTGTCCATAAACTTTTTCACTCCTCCCATTCCTGTGCCCTTTGAAAAGATGTTAAATGTCATTAGAGTCCCAGCACTAATCCTCAGTTGAGTCAATGTTTACAAGTCACGAGGCAGAGGGTACTTGTTTCTTGCTCTAAATCAATCCCTACTTTACAAAACATATCTCCCAATTTTTTCATGACGTAACTGAAATAAAGATATTCTAACTGGAATACATTCTAATTAAAGTCTGTAAGTATTTTGTACTTTGTAAGTACACATTAAATCTAATAACAGCCACAACAATGGCAAATAAGGAGTTATTTAACCAAAGTAATATTAATAAAAGTAGAGAGGGGACTCCATTATTTGAAATAAAATACACAGATGCAAACAAGAGTTGTCTATTTCCAAAGAAGGCAGACGAAGAACTATAGAACTGTAGGCCCCTAAGGGCATGAAATTCTCTCCTTTGGTGTAAAGCTAATAAATAAAAGAACCTTCTGGCTTCTTTCCCTTATTATTGGAACATGATCCTTCTGCTAGAAGCAAAAGGCCATGGTATCCATGTAAATGGTAAAAAGTCACAAGAAAAAAGAAACTGATAAGGAATGTGTCAGTAACAGCTGGCTTTAAAAATATGTTGGATATGCTTTCACCATTTATTAGTAAAATCTTAGGGCAAAGATAGCTCCTTCAAAATGATTAGACTCTCCTGTTGTACATGGTATGACTTGATACTGAATACATGGAAATACCTAGAAATGTTATTTGCTAAATCTTACGGGAAGCAGCTGTTAGCCACTGCACCAAGCAGATTCCCACAGGACCACTGACTCTGTACCTCTGTGCCCCTTCTGTGCTTCACTGAACACAAGTCCATAGTTTGCATGATAGAGCCTCACAAAGCTCCACTCAATGTCATTAAGCTATACAGCAAAGCTACACTGCCAGAGAGAGGAACAGAGACAGAGAGTGAATACACTAAAAACAGAGGGCCCTGAAAGAGTAAGACCTATAGAACCAATTTCTTCTTGGGTACTACATCCAGAAAATCTGGACTTCTGGTGTGTAACTTAACTAGCATTACAACAGTGCTAGGTGCATAGTACAAATATTTCCCATCAATTATCCATTTTAACCTGGCACGTTCTTTCATAAGTACAGCTTCGGTTTAAAAACAGCTCTGAGGGGTATCTATAACAAAGTATCACTCTGTTTTTTGGAAATCAAATTTTTATGAAATATTTCAAACATTTAGAAAAAAATGTTTTAATGATATGACACTCAGATTTAACAAACGTGAGCATCTTGCCACACTGTTTCTTCTCCCCCATGCTGCCCTTGTGGCAACCAGACAACCAGGAATGGAGAAACAAAGCCTTCATGAAGACATTCATTTTGAGAAACAAACACTGGCACATGACTTACAATTCTTTGATAAATGGGCATAACAATGGAGCTCAAAAATAACATTAAATGGGGACACAATTTAAAATCAATGTAAAATCTATGAAGTCTAACATTCAACTATCTTTTCCCTTTCCCACTGCAATCCAAATGCCATGTTAATTATTTTTGTGGTCAACATTTCTGACCTGTCCACAAAACAGATTATGAGGGGTTAAGGAAAGACTAATGTCTTCCAGAAATATAGGGTTAAAGGTATAGTCTACCTAAAGCAGTCCCTGGCTATATTGTAGGTAGCATTGAGATACAATTTGAATCAAGAAAGGGACACCTTTGTCTTTCAGGCAACTAAGTGATGACGATCCATATCTACCATATCTGATTTAATTATACTTGTATTAATTAAATAAATTGCAATCATTTCCTCATACTTTTTTTTGCCTGTGTTAACTGAGAAACAGATTTTAAGTGAAGATTAAGGAAGAAATCCAAATTACCTTATTCATTTAACTATATATAGTCAAGATGAAAAACAGACCCAGAATAATCAAAGTTATCCTGAGCAAAAAGAACAAAGCTGGAATAATCACATTACCTGACTTCAAATTATACTACAGAGCAATAGTAACCACAACAGTATGGTACCGGCATCAAAACAGATAACAGACCAATGGAATACAACAGAGAACCCAGAAATAAATCCATACATCTACAGTGAACTCATTTTCGACAAAGGAACCAAGAACATACACTGAGGAAAGGACAGTCTCTTCAATAAATGGTGCTGGGAAAACTGGATATCCATATGCAGAAGAATAAAACCATAAATTTATCTCTCATCATATAAAAAATCAAATAAAAATAGTTTAAAGACTTAAATCTATGAAACTGCTACAACAAAACTTTGGGGAAAATCTTTAGGATATTGGTTTGGGCAAACATTTCTTGAGCAATACCCCACAAGCACAGGCAACCAAAGCAAAAATGAACAAATGTAATCACATCAAGTTAAAAAGCTTCTGCACAGCAAAGGAAACAATCAGCAAAGTGAAGAGACAACCCATGGAATGAGAGAAAATATCTGCAAACTATCCATTTGACAAGAGTTTAATAACCAGAATATGTAAGGAGCTCAAACAACTCTATAGGAAAAAAACCTAATAATCTGATTTTAAAGTGGGCAAAATATCTGAATAGACATTTCTCAAAAGACACACAAATGGCAAACAGGTATATAAAAAGTTGCTCAACATCACTGATGATCAGAGAAATGAAAATCAGAACTACAATGAGGTATCATCTTGCCCCAGTTAAAATGGCTTTTATCCAAAAGACAGGCAATAACAAATGCCAGTGAGGATATGGAGAAAAGGGAACTCTCATGGACCACTGGTGGGAATGTAAATTAGTATAGAGCTACCATATGATCCAGCAATCCCTAATGCTAGGTATATACCCCAAAACAGGGAAATCAGTACGTCAAGGAGACATCTGCACTCCCACATTTACTGCAGCACTATTCACAGTAGCCAAGATTTGGAAGCAACCTAAGTGTGCATCAACAGATGAATGGATAAATAAAATGTGGTACATATACACAATGGAGTACTGTTCAGCCACAAAAAAGAATGAGATCTTGTCACCTGTAACAATGTGGATGGAAACGGAGGTCGTTATGTTACATGAAACAAGTCAGGCACAAAAAGACAAACTTTGCATGTTCTCACTATTTGTGGGAGCTACAAATTAAAACAACTGAACTCGTGGAGACAGAGAGTAGAAGGACGGTTACCAGAGGCTGGGAAGGGTAGTAGGGGAAGGGTTGGGGAGGGGAGGATGGTTAATGGCTATGAAAAAATAGTTAGAAACAATGAATAAGATCTAGTATTTGATAGCACAGCAGGATGACCATAGTCAATAATTTAATTGTACATTTCAAAATAATTAAGAATATAATTGGATTATTTCTAACACAAAAGATAAATGCTAGAGGTGATGGATACCCCATCTACCCTGATGTGATTATTACTCATTGTATGCCTGTGTCAAAATATCTCATGTTCCCCATAAATATATACAGCTACAATGTACCCACAAAAATAAAGATAAAAAATGTATGAAAGATTTTGCATAAGGTATTCTCTCACAACTCTTCTAACTTACATGTTTTTAAAGTTCACTGTCTGCACTGATACAACAAATCTTTTTCAGCAAAGAAGATTAGAAACCAACATTTGCTGTGATATTTAATTTATAATGTAAAATAACCGATTTGTAAAAGCTTACTTGACATAAGTTTTGGAATCTGGGCTTGTCCTCTCAAAAGCGGCCTGTATAAGTTTCCCTGGTAAGTCACAGGTGGTGGTGCAGCATTGCTGTAAATGCCAGTTCCTGAGCCTCTTGGCATCACATGGCTATAAAAGGACCCAACACAAGAAAAAAAAATTGTATAGTGATATACCCATCATAACACAGCTGACACAAATAAAACAAATGCTCATAGCCACGTCTTCACTAACAGATCTGATTAAGATAATACAAACAAAAAGGTGGTTTATAATTAAAGCTCAAAACTACATAATGGTAATAGTGATAGCAAATGTTCATCTGCCACACCAAGACTCTTAATTGATAACCATTTAAATATTTACAACTTACATCATACGAAAAATAATTTGCATATTTTTCTTTTTTTGCATTATGTTTCAGTTTTGTCCTTAAGGATCCATGTTCTTGCTATCACTGTATACATGACTACTCTACATCTTGCTATTTTTAATTTACTATATCAAATACTTGCCTGTATCTTTTCTTCATCTTTGTAATTCCAACACATAAACCTATAGAATACTTTACTATGTTGATGTCTTATACTTTACTAAACCATTTCTCTCATTTCGTACTAGTAGTATAGATTACAATACAATATAAATATTTGGGCATATAATTATGCTCATCTAAAAT
Organism: Homo sapiens; assembly: GCF_000001405.40. Lineage (NCBI taxonomy): Eukaryota > Metazoa > Chordata > Mammalia > Primates > Hominidae > Homo > Homo sapiens. Next base: position 21,367,912 of record NC_000020.11, on the reverse strand, counting down.
TATTTCCTCCTCACAAATCCAAGAGGTAGGAATTTGGACCAAAGGTTAAGAGTATCTTCTGAACTCACTGCTCTATTCAGAGGAAATACTATGTTGCTTTCCAAAACAGTTGAAATAATGGAAAAAGTTAAGACTATTTTAAATCTGCATTTCTTTTACTGCTACTAAGAATGAAGATTTTTCCAAAACAATGACAATAACAACTAATGTTTACATAGTGTTTAGGAACTACCCTAAGCGCTTGACAGACATTAGGCTCACTTAATTCTCATAACTTCATAATTTTAAGAATATGTAGGTATAATTACTGTCTCCACCTCAGACATAAGGAAATGGAGGCACAGAGTGGTTCGGTAAAGTTCACAAGTATATTAAGTGGTTAAAAAAAAAAAAAGGTATCTGAATCCAGACATTTAAGATCTAAAGCCCATGCTCTTAATCACTCTGCCACACTATCCCTCTTAATATTTGCTGTATAAATTACATGTTGATGGTGACCTTCTGCCTAAATAATTTTTTGAATCTTAAGGTTTCCCCACTAACTGGAAACATCTATTTATAAGTTATCATTATTAATGCATGAATCCTAACTCATTAACATTATGGCAAGCCTGTTGCTCTTTCTATACCAGCTTTACCTGTTATTGTTTACAAGTCCCCTCTCTCTATAGTATCTTCTACAGCTAGGAAAAAGACAATTCAGTTAACTAAAAAGGGCAAAGGATAAAAACTGGAAATTCATAGGAGAGGAAATACAAATTACTAATAAACATATTAAAAGATAATTTCAGTAGGCAGGGAAATGCCAATTCAAGCAACTACGAGATACCACTGTTCAAGCACTGGGCAAACAAAAATTTAAGAGACTGGAGGCTTCTACACCAATATATTGGTTAACACTTGAAAAAGAGTCTCCATCATACATTAATTAATTCAGCTAAAACTTTCTTGCGGGTAAAGAGGAGGTTTTATTCCCTTGAAGTAAGAGTCAGAAAAACAGTAAAACGTCTTAGAGAAAGTAATAGAATTCTCATGCAACACATATAGCAATACATAAATGGAGAAGTGAATTTTTAAAAATGAAGAAAAGCAGAGCAGTATCAAAGTTATTAAAATACTTACAAAACAGTTGTATTTTATGGTCTGTTAGATATTTGTGGTGTACAATAATGTGTTGTCCAAAATGCCTGTTTAGGTTTTAAAGATGGAGCTCCACTCTTTGCTTGGTTTTAAGTATGTAAGCAATGTTATGAGAGGACATAGTAGTAGTGGTGGTCTGCCATGGTGGTGAGACAAAAATATATGTGTGAAACAAACTCAGTATTTTCTTTTTTTCCCTTTTTTTTTTTTTGGTTGAGACGGAAGTCTCCCTCTGTCGCCCAGGCTGGAGTGCAGTGACGCAATCTCAGCTCACTGCAAGCTCCGCCTCCCAGGTTCATGCCATTCCCCTGCCTCAGCCTGCCAACTAGCTGGGTCTACAGGCGCCAGGCGCCTGCCACCATGCCCAGATAACTTTTTGTATTTTGTTTAGTAGAGACGGGGTTTCACTGTGTTAGCCAGGATGGTCTTGATCTCCTGATCTCATGATCTGCCTGCCTCAGCCTCCCAAAGTGCTGGGATTACAGGAGCGAGCCACCGTGCCCGGCCCAAACCCAGTATTTTCATAAAGTTTATATATATAATATATATATATAAACTATATTATATATATAAACTATAAATATAATATATATTTATATATATTATATAAACTATAAATATATATTTATATATGTTATATATATAAACTATAAATATAATATATATTTATATATGTTATATATATAAACTATAAATATAATATATATTTATATATATTATATAAACTATAAATATAATATATATTTATATATATTATATATATAAACTTTATGAAAATACTGGGTTTCGGCCGGGCACGGTGGCTCACTCCTGTAATTATATATATATAAATTTATAATTTTATATATATATTATATTATATATATTATATATATAATTATATATTATATAATATTATATATAATTATATATTATATATGTAATTATATATTATATATAATATATATAATATATAATCATATATTATATATATGGCATAAATTTATATATATGGCATAAATACTGACTTGTTTTATGGGATGATTCAGAAAAAGCAAAATATACAAGGGCTAAAAACTGACAACTCACCCCAAAGTCCTGAAGGCTGCCTGATCCAGGTGCACAGGCCTCCGGTCACGGTTAAAGCCAAGCTGAGGCTTCCACTGCCGTCCATTGCTGGATTTTTCCCAGTCACTAGGTTTCAGTACTGCTGCTGGCTTTCTGACCATTTAAAAAGACAACACTTAGTAATAGGGATGAAAACCATTTGTACAAAATAAATCTAGGTAATTTACTGTTGTTACCTTGCTCCTGGAAGCATTACAGCTTTAAAAATGTAATCTTCAGCAAACTGTGGGTCTTTAAAATTAATACTGGAAAAGAACAAGAAACAATTCAATGATCTGATTATATCAGCCTGTCTTATCATGTAGACTGAGGTATTTTTCATGTTTAAGTCCTCTCCAAAAATTATTTTAGTTAATAAATGGGTTTGACAAATGGCTAAATGTCTTCCTCACCAAACTGTCTCTAATTCCTGGTACATATAACCTTCATGTAACTTTCTCTGAGGGAAAAGTTATGTTCTAGCTGACTATTGGTGATGACAGAGAAGTAACAGACATTGCCCCAACTCAAATTTCAAAATGATATTGTAGACAGGTCGAAGAGGTTTACAACAACAAAAAATAAAAATAAAATAACCTTTAATTTTGTTCAGTCCACTGCAAAAACCCCAAAGCATCTTGAGGCAGATTAGCTCTTATTTTAATAAAGAAAAGATGGATATACCAATAGAAATATTTGCAAAATCAAAAAATGCACACAAATAGCTAAGAAATCTATGGTGCGGGGGGGATGGACTTAACAAAAAAAATTAAACTTCACAGTTGGACCCTTGTACCCTTCTCTCCTAATGTGTTATTTTTAAGTAATAAAATAATTTTCACCATTTGAAAACTACACAAATATGCTTTTTTTTTTTTTTTTGAGACAGGTCTCGCCCTGTTGCCCAGGCTGGAGTGCAGTGGCACACTCACAGCTCATTGCAGTCTCAACCTCCCAGGCTCAGAGATCCTCTCACCTCAGCCTCTCTCATAGCTGAGACTACAGGTACACAACACCATGCCCGGCTAATTTTTGTATTTTTTGTAGAGATGGGGTTTCCCCACATGGCCCAGGATGGCCTTGAACTCCTGGACTCATAAGACCCACCCACCTCAGCTTCCCAAAGTGATGGGATTACAGACATGAGCCACCGCGCCTGGACAGTATAACTATTTTTAAAAGCTATACACTCAGGCTTTGAGTATAAGCTGGGTCGAACTTCTTTTCTGGTAGTGATAGCCGTGGTAGTGGTATGTATGTGTGTTTACCTATCCCAAAGGTTGGTAAGTACCTAAGTCTGTCTTCTGACATAGCAATGCTTCTTCCAGGACTCTGGTTATACACCAGATTTATACTTAAGGATACTTATAACACTATTATTCATAATGTTTCAAAGACTGTAAAACCCAAGTGTATGAATAACAGTGGACTGGTTAAAAAAACTAGTCCTTCCTAAAAAGGAAGAACTCAGATAATATTTTTAAAAATTTAGTAATAGAAGGTTGGGTGCAGTGGCTCACAAGGTCAGGAGATCGAGACCATCCTGGCTAACACAGTGAAACCCCATCTCTACTAAAAATACAAAAAATTAGCTGGGCGTGGTGGCGGGCGCCTGTAGTCCCAGCTACTCGGGAGGCTGAGGCAGGAGAATGGTGTGAACCTGAGAGGCAGAGGTCGCAGTGAGCCAAGACCACACCACTGCACTCCAGCCTGGGCGACAGAGTGAGACTCCGTCTCAAAAAAAAAAATTTAGTAACAGAATACTTAATGACCTTAATGACATGGGAAACATATATACAACAGACTAGACATATTCATCAATCGATTATCAGTGATTTTTCTCTATAAGTTAGTAACTTGTTTCCTTTAACATATTTTTCAAAATTCCTCCAATGATTACACTTACAGTCAGTTAAAAAGGTTTTTAAAAAAAGTTTTATTGACCTGGTTGACATTTTTAGACAGCAGTTTTCTTTCTGAATACTGCCACTTTAACTAGAGTCTATCTGCTTTACAGAAATTTTCATTTTAAGTACACAAAAATGGATTCACTTACAATAAATATACCATAAGCTCAACAGCTGAACAATACTTATTACTCAACTAGTTCTTCTTACAACTCACTCTTCACTGACAACTGTCTTTAGCTCAGATTTTCTGTACTGGCAAGATGGCATGGGGCAGGGCAAGGTAGGACAGGCAGTGATAAAGGTTTAAGAGGATGACAGAGAAAATGGTAGTTAAGTATTTGTGCTCATTAGGGCTTTGCAGATAAAAAGTCAAGTAACAAAGCAAGACTTGCAAATAAAGTGTTTTGAAGCAGGTATCTGTGTTTCAGCAGGGCGTTTTTAGCACTTTGCCAAACTATTAGAATACCTATCGCATGCACGGTTCACGGTGGGAGGGAGGTTATGCACACCGCCAGGCATCAAGCCTGCCTCCCCTTCTAATAAGGGAAATAAGGAAGAAAGTGGAAAATGCAACAACAGGCACAGAAAAGATGCTGAGTCAAAGCATGTGTGTGTATACACCTTCCATATAAACATCTTTGTCAGTGTGGGCTAAAGCTATGTGTGTACTGCGGGGAGGGAATTATTTCACCTGAGGACCAAGGAAAACATCATCCAAGAGGCTGCGGTTTAAGATGAGACAGGATTGGTCACAGGGTGGCAGAGGAAACAAATGGAACAAAGATATGGAAAGGGTCCCAGGACCAAGGAACAGTACAGTTTTACTGGAGCAGCCCTTCTCAATGGGGATGTGGGAGGGAATTAAGCCCTACAAAAAATGATGAGTGAGTACATTCTCAATTCTCCCAAGGAAAAAACATAGCTAGTATCATTCTAGAGATACAGGACACAAACTGCTACCTACAATCTGATACATACAACAGATGCTTTAAGATCTCAAGGCAGAATTCTCCCATGGAACTCCAGTTGAGAAGGGCTAAATTAGAGTAAAAACGCATTTGAGCAGAAGTGGGGCAGGAAGAAAGGTAACAGAAGTGGGTTATGGTCATGGAGGGTTTGTGTGAGTATAATGTGATGCCTTTGCAAGTAGTCAATGAGGACGTGAAAGTGATCAAAGATAATTTCAGAAAGAACAACCCAGCAGCAGTGTGCGAGAGAGCAGAGGGACACCCATAAAGAGGTCACCAACAGAGCCTAAGCAACAGTCTTCGACACACATCTTGGATGGGAACGTTGGGAAAGTAAATGAAATGGTAAGGCTGGAACTAGAATGGAGATCGAGCTCAGATGAAGATCTCCAAGTCATGCACAGAAAGACCTGAAACTAAGAAAATGAAGGAAATAGCCAAGGTAATAAGCTCCCAGGGAGAAGAGAAAATCCCAGCGTCACAGAGATAACCACTTCTGCAGGAGAATGGTTATAACAAGAGATTTAATAAGACAGCTGAAACTAAAGTTTGAGAAAACAAATCCATTTGTTTTCCAATTATTCCTTAATAAAATTGTTTTTAAAATTCCATTATTCATGCTCATGCTCTGAAAGGGAAAAACTTTCCAAGTCAATAGGACAGTCTCCAAGATCATCCCTACTTCCCCTCAGAACCACATTCAACAAAAGGATCTACACACTTAATACAATACAAACCATTAGGAGATAGAAAAGGAGTATCTAAAAATAAGTTTGGAAGTTTCCATTCAAAGATGAGGACACTATTTATGATACCAAAGTATTAATATCATTTTTCCTTGGATCTTTGAGAACAATTTGAAGACACACTCTCTCCTAAAATGGATTAAGCTTCCAAGGGTTGAAAGATTCTTAGTATCTTAATTTGTTCCCAAAAATGTATACTAAGATCTACTATGTTTTTAGAAATGTATTTTTCCAATGTGATAACAGCCATAACTCAGATTCAAACAAACTTCCTAAAAGTCAAACACACAGACTAAGCAGGAACCCATTAGGCAAAGACTCAAAAAGGTAACTTTTTATATGGATCCAAACATTTGAAGGTCTTTTATTTTTTTCATGTCTATGTCATTTAAATTCCATCATCAGAAGCAAAAGGGTTACTTGTGGAAGGCTTATCTAGGGAAGTAGTAAGTAACACTGAGGTAAAGAGAGAAGCACCCTCAAGCAAGCTCTGAGAAGCAGAGGAAGGAAATGAGTTAATACAGCCTACGGACTCAACAGTCTGACCAGCTGAGGTAAGAGACTTGTGTTTAGATTCGTATTGCTTCATCTAATTCTGTAAACTGAAGTATTTTTAAACAACAGTATTTTCATCCACTTTTTCCAAATGCAGGTGAAACACTGTTGACTCATCAAGCTTTTATGTACCAGACCAGCTTTCCCCCAAGTAGCATAACAGATCCTTTCCTTAATAGGTAACCTCACTATTTTAAATGCTTGATTGTCTTCATAAACACATCAAGGGCAAAGTAAATAAAAATTTAAAACCTAAGCATGGTTGAAAATAAGGAAACTGAACAGTGCTTTTATTTATACCACAAGTAGCACTTTCAGCACTGCTGGTAAGAAGAAAATACTGTAGCAAAGTCTCAATAGAAAAGGAATGGAATATAGAACACCTTTTTCTGATTCGCTTTAAGAATTATCCTTAGAAATGCTATTTTAAGTATTACTGTTAGAGAGTGTTAACATAATTCAGAAAGAAAGCAGAAAACTCCAAATATCAAGTTTCATTTTTACACAACCTTTCCCTGATACATTCCATAATTAATGCTAAATTGGCATACAAAGGCAAACTGTTCTTGCAGGAAAATCTCATGATTCATATACTTGACATTTTAAAACACTTAAAGAGTTTATAGGATTGTGACATTCTATCAGAAGAGGTTAACCAATTAAGCATCGAAAGTGAAACCCTCCCAACTGTTTTCCACCATCAAATCCACTGCTGACTGCATGTATTCCACTTCCTTCAGGCTTTGGATCTTGAGTTATCTGCTTGCCAAGCATAAGCCTTGCAAATGCTGCAGAAATAGTTACTTAAAAAATCCATCTCCATACACATTCACATTAAAACAAAAAATCTCCTTGAAGGAATAAAACATTCTATATCTTGTCTGATTCATCCAAAAGTGAATACAAAAAGTCTAAGAAACACTCCTCTGAAGAAAAAAGTTTACGCTCTTCAAAGACTTTGGCAAACACTGGTTGCAACACTATGAACAACTGAGCTTTTTAAATATGGGTTTAGAACTCTGCTAGGTGCTATGAGAAAAAAAAAAAAAACAACCTAACAACACTACTGCTGGAAACAACATATATAAAAACTGTATAAATTATGCTTTAGAAGAAAAGCAAAGCAATAAACGGCAGGCTATGGGGCAGGTGGAGAAAAGAAAGGAAGAGCACTCCAAACAACAGGAGGAAGAGGCGGAGGTCAAAGGGTATTGAAGGGATCAGCCTGGGCAGGAAGGAAGCATCCTGAGGACCTGGGGGTTCAAGCACAGGGCCAGGGCCCTGCCAAGGTGCATCAGGCCTTGAAAAAGTAAAAGCACACATATGCACTTACCCTCCAGATGACAGACTGGGAGGAAAACTCACATGCAGAAGCTAATATGTTGAATAATTTGTGGAATTAGAAATGGGAAAAAAATATGATCTCCTAGGTTAGAGTTGACTATATTCTCTAAGGGTCTGTCTACGAATTTAAGGGACTTCAACAGCTTGTATAACATACTTTCTGAGCACTACAGATAAGAATGAATACAATGGGAAGAACTTACCTAAACTCAACTTGAGGAAACGATTTCTCAAATATCAAATGGGATACTAGATGTATTTAAATAAGGAAGAGGAAAAAAATGCCAGGAGTCAAAAGAGAAATAACTGGCAAATGACTGGTGAGTATATTCTGAGATTTTTTAAATCTGAAAATTGTAAGTTAAAGTTATAAAGCAAATTTAACACTGGAATGTACAACAAGCCCTAAAACAAACATGCAAAAACCTGCTGTAAAAACTGGATCTCTGCCTCAATGTTGCCGCCCTTCAGAGAAAACACTGAAAATTACTTTTACCTAAGGGAAAAGTTAACTTTGGTCTCCCACAAATCTTCAGCAAATTAACCTAATTTAGTTGATTTTATTATAAAGTTATTTTCAATATACACCTGAATATGCATTTAGATCTGGGATTTGTTTTATACATTTTTTTTTTTTTTGAGATGGAGTCTTGCTCTGTTGCCCAAGTGGTGTGATCTTGGCTCACTGAGGCCTCGGCCTCCTGGGTTCAAGCGGTTCTCTCACCTCAGCCTCCTGAGTAGCTGGGACTATAGGCATGCACCACCATGCCCAGCTAATTTTTTGCAGTTTTAGTAGAGATAGGGTTTCACCATGTTGGCCAGGCTAGTCTTGAACTCCTGATCTCAGATGATCCACCCACCACCCTGGCCTCCCAAAGTGCTGGGATTACAGGTGTGAGCCACCGCGCCCGGCCTGTTTTATAAATTTAATAATCTTGTGAACATAGTATGTACTAAATACCAAAGGCCCCTTTAGGCTCAGAAACAACCAACCAACATCATCATCATCCAAACAAAAAATCCAAAATGTTTCCATTAACTCTGTAACTCTCCTCTGGGCAAGCCTCTCTATCCTAATTAGAAAGTTAAGTAGAATTAACTATTTCTAGAGGGTTAGGCAGGAAGGCCCTTGAATATATGCAGAAAAATTGAGAAGCACAAGCAAACATGTGACAATCCAAAGAGAGAACCGTGGAATTAATTGGCCTGAAGCGCCAATGCTTTAATGAAAGCCAGAGACTCCAAGGGTTAATACACAGTGTTCACACTGAATCTGTCAGAGCCAGATTGTTTGTGATGGGTTTAGGAGCGTGGCTTTCAATTCTGTACTCCACCCTTAACAAAAGAGCACAAAGACAAAGAACCAGGACAAATTAGGTGTAAAGATAAACAAAAAATTATACGTAAAGATAAACGTAAGCAACTCATCCAGAAAGATTTTTCGAATTCACAGTAGTTTTCTTTAAATAAAAGCCTTTCTAGAATGGCAATCATTTACTACCTGAATCCATTTAAGATAGGAAATAAACATGTTTATATTTCACAAAGGGAAATCTAAAAAAAAATCTAAAATATTTCCTGAGGGGGAGAGAAACAAAAATGGATGGAAAAGGAGGATTCAGGATTAGCAGGCTTTTATCAAATTCTTGAATACCTGAGATGTGTTTGCTTTAGTCTTACCTAAAGATTGGAGAAAATGACAACTAAATTCTGTCATCAAGATTTGTCATTATAAAATACAAATGAGTAGTCAATTTGTTGGATTTTAGTCCAAATGGTCATATTACATTTTATATTATTTTTACTCAATAGAAAATGCTGTCAGCACCAAAGAACTGAGATATAAATTAGTTTTCCAGAGAGAAGAAATTAGCCCTTTAAGTTTATAATTGCTAATAAAAATTTTCACAAATATATTCTGTTCTATGTCATCTTAACTAAAACATACTACAGAATATTTTTGTGTTCAAACTCTGCAGGGCCATGATTATAAACATAAGTAAAATAGTCTGTTGTAATACAGGGAAGCTGTGTGAACCTCTGGGGTGTAGAGTTCTGTTTGTTCCTATATAACAAACTGCTAGATACTCCTACTCTTTACCTCCCACTTGCCTAATCCAGGAAGAATTACAGGTTGTCATGGGAAACCAGAAAACAGATAAGCAAGCATGTTAAATCAGTAACCTTAACAATATACATAATTTAGAGTTAAGAGGCTCTGCTGTAAGGTCTGCAACACAGGGACTCTCCAATCTCGAAGCATTGGTGGATTAACAGCTGCCATTTCCTTGTGAATCAAAGGTCTTTTAAAATGGATTTGCAAGTTCAGAGCTGTGTTCTGGGTGAATGCCATGAATTTTGGAAAACTTACCTGACTACAGTGTTCTGTGTCAGATCCCTTAACATAGGAACAGGAGAACATACTATTCTAGAAGGAAACAAGAGAAGAAACATCTCTCTGTAAACTGTAACCTTTTAGGTAAGTGGAAATAAGATGTTGCTATGTTTGTTAGTCTTTAGAAAAGATAAATCATTAGAATGCACTAACAAAAACAATAAAAACCATTTATATCTTAAAAAAAAAGAGTAAGTACCACATACATGAAATGGTTAACTATTAACCATAAGGCATTCAATCTCATTAGTACTCAAAGAACTGCAACTATAAACCACAAGATGTCAATGAGCATCCACCAGACTGACAGAAATTAAAGCTGTGACAAGGGTTTGCCAAAACGTAGAGCAACAAGATCTCTCACAAACTGCCACTGGGATTACAACACAGTGTAACCACCTTGACAAACCTCCTAGAAATATTACCTAGAAAAAAAATGAAGATACACATACTCTATGGCCAGCAGTTCCATTCCTGGAAATGTACCCTTGACATGTGGTTCACAAACTCTGGTCTCAGAACCCTTTTACATTCTTAAATCTCAAAGGGCTTTTGTTTATAGTGGTTATATTTATGAACATTTACCCATTAAAAATTATGACTAAGAAATTTTTAAAATACTAAAAGATACCCTACATGTTAACATAAATAACATTCTTATAAAAAGCTATTTTTTTACAAAGCAAAACGATGTCATTGTTGTATACTTTCAAAAATCTCATTAATATCTGGTTAGTATCTATTTAATAGCTACTCTCCTCTGCTTCTATCTCTTGAGAGGCCTCTGGAAAACTCCACTGTGCACTCAAGAGAGAAAGTGTAAGAAAAGCAAGTAACACCGTAACATCTTAGTATCATTATGAAAAGAGTTTTAACCTTCAGAATATCCTGAAAGGGACTCCCAGAGCTCCCTGCACAAGGTGACACAGCTACTTTGAAGAGCTAGGCTTTGAACCCAAGCATTTTTCAGTCAGCAAGGTTTTGTCTTATTTTAAATACAATTTTCTCACTATTATTAGAAAATAAACATTTAGACAACAAGGAAAAAAATCCTAACTAAACTTCCTTCCAGTCACCTCAATTATATACAAAATGAAACTTACTGATCTGGAAGAATGGCTTCTTCATCCAAAGAAAACTTTCCTTGAATCCCATGACATAGTTCAGGGGGTACCTCCACTGGCTGTGGAAAAATGCATTCCTGATCTCATATGCAAAGAATGGAAAACTGGGACTCAAGCAGATTCTTGAGTGTTCATAGCAGCATCATTCATAAGAGCCAAAAGGCAGAAACAAACCCAAATATTTACCAATAGATAAGTGGATAAAAAAGTACACATAGAGTATTATTCAGCCATAAAAAGGTATGAAATTCTGATACATTATTTAACATTATTTAAAAGGTACAGAAATTCTATTTGGGAAGATGAAAAAGTTCTGAAAAAGTGCTAATGGTTATACAACACTGGAAATATACTTAATGCCACAGAATAACCACTTAAAAATGGTTATAATGGTAAATTTTATGTTATGCATATTTTACCAAAATTTTAAAAAGTGCATTTCTAATTAACCAAATTGCGTAACATACCTCTGTGGAACCTGTCTGGTACAGCTCTAAAATGAAGTCATGGAGTGGGTGATGTTTCCCCACAAATAAGACATCACCTCCAAGGCTGTTTCTTCTGGCTAGGGAGAAAGAAAAGAATAAGACCTACACATAAAAAAATTGTACCTGCAAGACCAATTTTTATGAGCATAAAACAAGGGAAAGCATCTAAGTGTTAAGAACTTAATTATAAAATTTATGAAAAATAATTTTAAAGTGATAGGTTAGACAAGAGTAAGTTCTAGTATTTGATAGTACTGTGGAGAAGTTAGTAATTTATTACATATTTCAAAATAGAAGAAAGAAACTGTAATGTTCCCAACACAAAGAAAAGATAAATGTGAGGTGATGGATATCCCAATTACCCTATTTTGATCACATATTGTATATAGGTATCAAAATATCACATGGACCCAAAATACATGTGTAACTATTACATATCAATTTAAAAAAAATTTTTTAATTATAGTGATAGATCTAAATGCGTGATGTGCCTCTATGGGGAAAAAAATATTTTAACAAAAAAGTTTCAAAAAGATCAATAGTTATCAGGAAAAAAAACCCACTGAAATACGTATGAATATACTGCAAGATAAAGGGCAATATTTTCTTTTTATAATAAACTCATTTTCTTAGTATAAGAAATACATAATCATTCCCTAAGGAAACATATACAGTGTCATTTGATGAAAAGATTGTTCTAAAAGACAATCTTTTTGATACAGAAATTGTTTCTAGAGGCTTATTATAATGGTATTAAATTTTTCAATAGAGCCCAGCTTTGCAATTTCCGAATATGAATACTTTTTACTGTCAGTATTGATTACAAATTGCCTCCTTTTATGTCATATTTCAAGTTAGCACTCTAAGAGCATATGCTTTTGTTTCACCCTAACCTTTTAAACAAAGTAGTTATTACTGGGGAGAAAGGAGGAGTAGGGAAGAAGGTAGATGGAGAAAATGAATAATATCTTCCCAACAGGCAAAAGATACTTTCGTGTGTGCATGTCATATAAGAATCAAAATGTCAAAGGATATTGTTGAAGTATTGCTTTTTAAAAAATTTAAGAAATACTTGTAAGTTAAAACATTTTATTTAACTACTACTCAACTTACAGATAATGAATTAAGAAGCAAAGTCAACGTCTGTAATAAGAAAATAAAATCAATGATTTATATCCCCTTTATGGGAAATCTGACAAACAGGAGAAGGAAGGTCTAATTTTATACAGAAATATAAAGTGTATATTACACAGATCAATGTTAACTAAGAAGTATAATTCTTACTCTCTTCTGGAGTGAGGTCTGGGTATACCTCTTCTAGGGCAGCTCGTAGCCTTCGCTCATCCACGAATGGCAAGAGAGCAACACCTGAAAAAACAAGTGCAAATGAACCACCCCTGCTACCAGGATCACCCAAATTCCAACTTATCATTGCTCGAAATGAACGTTTCTAGTAGAGTTTCCTTGCTGATACAAAAACATTTTGGAACTGAACTCTTATTGTCTCATTAAGCCAAAACTCAGATGCTAATATTTCCCCTGTAGTTGCAGAAGAAAAAATTCTACGTATTTTCCATTCTTAAAATGGCTTATATGGAAAATCATGTTTTCTGAATCTTAACTCCATGGTGATAAAAATTTTAAATAAATGAACAAATGGCTACCTGGATACCAGTAATATATTCTCACTTTAGTTACTAAGATGCCCCCAAGCAAGCCAGTTACTCTCCCTAGGGCTTGAGTGTGTCCTTTCTTCTTTCTAGTACTTGGTTTCATCTTTTGTAAAATGAGAGCATTTCAACTAAAATACTCAATTCTGTTCAACCAAAATGCATAGATCTCCTCCTGCTCTAAAATTCCATAGTATTCTTTTTACATTTTAAAGCCTACTAATTAATTTATATACAAAAAAATTTTAAAGACTTGCTTAAATAACTTAGGGGGCAGGGGACAGAACAGAGGCTATTCATTTGAGACTTAAAATGATCCTCTGGAGTATGCTGAAATTAAGGGCACTTATTTGGACCCAAAAGCATAATTTTCAAAGAAGCACATCACTAATACAATGCTATAAGAAAAATATACAAAGTTATTGAAGCGTATATATTTTCTGCTCTACACAGTATAAGTAGTATTTTGGCTAAACAAAAATTTTACAATACACAGCAAAGACAAATGCTAAATAGTGTTAAATAATTCTGAAACTACTGCTACTCAAAACCACTGTTATTTGTGATTATTCCCTTTAAAATTATGAGAAATGAAAAGGTTTCCAAGTCTTATTTAGCTTAATTAATTATTCCAAGGTTAGGAATCATGTTCAATTTCACTACCTAGTAACAGTTGTTTTTTTTTTTTTTTTAAGATAGGGTCTCACTCTGTCACCCAAGCTGGAGTGCAGTGGCACGATCATTGCTCACTGCAGCCTCAAACTTGCAGGCTCAAGCAATCCTCCCACTTCAGCCTCCTGAGTAGCTGGGACTACAGGCACATGCCACCACCACACCCAGCTAATTTTTAAAATTTTTTGTAGAGATGAGGTCTCCTTGTGTTACGCAGGCTGGTCTCAAATTCCTTGTTTCAAGCAATCCTTCCAACTTGGCCTCCCAAAGTCCTGAGATTACAAGCATGAGCCACTGCACCTGATCTTTTTTTTTTCTTTTTAAGTTAAAAAGAAACTAAGTTCTAGTATGAATTTTGAATGGCCTAAAAGAGTGATTTCAAGGCTCTTAATACCTAACATGTGAGTCAGGCTATTTCAATTACTGATAAACACATGAAAAAAACCCAGGAAATTGCTAAAACATTATTTAGTCATACACTTAAGAGAACTATATCAAGGGGAAACTACAGCATCATCTAGCTTGTTTTCTACCCACTACATTTAAGAGATATATATATATATATATATATATATATATATATATATATATCCTACCCACTACATTTATTTATATTTATATATATATAAAATATATATAAACATATATTATATTATATATTAAATATTAAATATTATATATTAAATATTATACATATATAAAATAAGACTTTTCTACAATATCAATTCCAGAAGCTAAATCCAATCAGTTAACAATGTGAAGTGCTACTCAACAGCAAGAAAATCACTAAGCAATAAATTACCCCTACTGGCCAGCATAGAAAGGAATGCCTTACATCCAGATATGACAGAGCTACAGTGAGCTGATAGTAAACATGAGAATAGCAGCTACTGTTTTCTGAACACTTCTTATGTTACATGCATTATCTCACTGAATTCTTTCAATACCCAGAGGGAGCCCAAGTACTGGTAATAACTTAGGTATTACACAGTCACTTCAAATGTGAGCTCTAGTATCAGACTTTCTGAGTTCAGGTCTTAACTCTGCCACTGTGTGACTTGATGGAATTACTTAAATTCTCTATTCATATATAAAATATACAGCATCAAAACTACTATGCTATATATCTATATAGTACTAAGCAAATTGACCAAAACGATACTGCTTTTAAATTACGTGTGTTGGGCCGGGTGCGGTGGCTCACGCCTATAATCCCAGCACTTTGGGAGGCTGAGGTGGGCGGATCACCTGAGGTCAGGAGTTCGAGACCAGCCTGGCCAACATGGTGAAATCCCACCTCTACAAAAAATACAAAAAAATTAGGCAGGTGTGGTGGCACACGGCGGTAATCCCAGCTACTCAGGAGACTGAGGCAGGAGAAATTGCTTGGACCTGTGAGACGGAGGTTACAGTGAGCCGAGATCGCGTCACTGCACTCCAGCCTGGGCAACAGAGTGAGACTCTGTCTTTAAAAAAAAAAAAATTACATATAATGTTGATAAGCACACATTTAAAAATGTTGACGTATCCAGATATAGTTTATCTTCTATTAAGATGTGCTCAACCCAGGTAAGAGCTTAACTAAGTATTATCATTACTTTCACTAAGTAAGTTTTAAAAACATGTATGAGGAAGAAACTGTATTTCCCAACAGTACTAAATTTTACCTCAAGAAAAGTGTGTTCTCGCTACTAAGCTAAGTAAAAATATTTATATAAAACATTGTATAAAATACAAAAATATTTGAGGTCAAAATTTAAACCCATCCTAAAATTCATGTGAAATCTCAACGGACCTTGAATATGAATAAAGTTGGAAGACACAATTTCTGACTTCAAAACTCACTACAAAGCGACAGTAATTACAACAGTATAGCATTGGCATAAGGAAAAACACATAGCTCAATGGACTAGAATAGACAGCCCAGAATATTTTCAACAAAGAGTGCCAACTTATTCAATGGGGGGAAGAATGGTCTTTTCAACAAGTGGTGCCGGGAAAATTTGATATGCACATGCAAAAGAATGAAGTTGGACCATTACTTTACACCATATACAAAAATTAATTCAAAATGGATCAGATTTAAATGTAAGAACTAAAACTGTGTAACTTTTAGAAGCAGACATAGGAAAAAAGATTCATGATGTCGGATTTGGTAAAGATTTCTTGGATATGACACCAAAAGCACAGGAAACAACAAAAAAGATAAACTTGATTTCATCAAAATTAAAAACTTGTGTGCATCAAAGGACATCATCACAGGGTGAAAAGATAATCCACAGAATAAGAGAAAATACATGCAAATCATATATCCAATAAAAGATTAATGTCTAGAATATATAAAAAACTTCTATAATGCAACAACAAAATCAACCCAATTCAAAATTGAGCAAAGGATTTGAACAGACATTTCTCCAAAGATTTAGAAATGGCCAAAAAGGACATGAAACGATGTTCAGTATCACTAATCATTAGGAAAATGCAAATCGCCACCACAATGAAATACCATTCATACCCATTAGCATGGTTATTACTAATAAAAACAAAATAACAAATGTTGGAGAGGATGTGAAGAAATCTGAACTCTTGTACATTATCTCACTTTTCCCCTAGAGTTAAGTTATATTGAAAATATCCTGTCAGTGAAAGAAATAATGTATACCACAATGACAGAGTTGACAAGTCACCTGCATGTTTATATATTTAATTATCTACTTAATAAACCCAGACAACGATTTAATAATTTACTTATTTAACAAACACAAAAATATATTTGCTTCTTAATTTACTTAGTATTTTTACATCCCTCACTGTCCCATGCATCTTCTCTCTCTGCTTTAATCAAGACATCCTCCACAAAGCACCTTGAAAAACCCGAATCTCCAATCCATTTAACATGTAATAATACATGATCATGAAGCACACAACCCTTATATAACCCCAATGGGTGCACTTCCATGATCATTCCACTGAAGCGATATGATATTTCTGCTACTAAATAAATCAAGTCAACTCCAAAGCCTCCTGATTTTTCAATTTGTAAATTGTATTATTTATTCCCCCTTTGTCTCAAGATTCTCCGTAAGTCATTTTATTGGCCATTCCAACCACAGAGAACAATAAGTAAAAAATGAAAATATGATTTTACCAAATGTGTTTATTACCCTAGGAAAATGTATGGTGGAAGAAAAGGTTAAATAATTTGCTGCAGGATGACTTTAGTGTGAAACAACAGCTGGTTTACTGTGTAAGAGATATTTCTTTTTTTTTTTTTTTTTTTTTTTTTTTTGAGACGGAGTCTTGCTCTGTCGCCCAGGCTGGAGTGCAGTGGTGCTATCTCGACTCACTGCAAGCTCTGCCTCCCGGGTTCACGCCATTCTCCTGCCTCTGCCTCCCGAGTAGCTGGGACTACAGGCGCCCGCCACCACACCAGGCTAATTTTTTGTATTTCTAGTAGAGACGGTGTTTCACTGTGTTAGCCAGGATGGTCTCGATCTCCTGACCTCGTGATCCGCCCGCCTTGGCCTCCCAAATTGCTGGGATTACAGGCGCGAGCCACTGCGCCCGGCCAAGATATTTCTTTATTGTATTTTACATTCAATCATCA
The DNA here is from genome assembly GCF_000001405.40 of Homo sapiens. Classification (NCBI taxonomy): domain Eukaryota; kingdom Metazoa; phylum Chordata; class Mammalia; order Primates; family Hominidae; genus Homo; species Homo sapiens. Next base: position 21,350,207 of record NC_000020.11, on the reverse strand, counting down.
TTACATATTGGTTGAGTGGTAAACACACCTTAAAGTTAGTACAAATTTTATATAGCCATTCCTACAAAATCTGTTAATGGAATGAAAAACTAGTAGGAAAAGTAATGATCAACATCAAGTATTTAAACTACATAAAAGTTTCTAGCATATTTTTCAAAAGTTTCCATGGAGTATACATAAATCTCCACATGGATACTACTGTGTTTCTGTATTTCTCAGCAACCTCAAAAGGTGTTAATGAGCTACTGACTGAATGTAACAAGCCCCATTAATTAATCACAAAGGAAACAAAAGATGTAATTATCAACCTATTTCAACCCAATTTACTGCTTCTAAGAATGTTATAATTAAATTTACTATTAATCATTGCTAATCCCAGGTTGGATGGAGAAATATCAACATTTCACATATAATTCTCAAAATATTTACCTTTTAAAATATTTATTTATTCATTTATTTATTTATGAGACAGGGCCTCACTCTGTCTTCCAGGCTGGAATGCAGTGGTGCAATCGTGGCTCCCTGTAACCAAGACCTCCCAGACTCAAGCAATCCTCCCACCTCAGCCTCCTAAGTAGATGGGACTACAGGTGCAAGCCACCACGCCAGGCTAATTTTTGTATTTTTTGTAGAAATGAGATTTCACCATGTTGCCCAGGCTAAAATATTTATCTTTTACAGAATTATTTCATTTCAAAAATTATGTTTGTTCACAGTTTTACCAGAAAAGAACGTCTAAATTTTACCTTGCCATGCATATTTCTTCCCATTCAAATCAATAGCAAAATCTTCAGGATAGAAGTCAATTATACTAGAATCCTATATTAGGGAGAAAAGTAAAGAATCAAAACAGAAGTCACACATCTCTGTTATAAAGAATTTGATATGACTTTCATTCAAGTTATAAGGTCTGATGAGAAAATAAAGTGCATTCCTTTTAAAAAATGTTAAGAGACATTAGGTCATTAATCCCAAGTATAGTAAAACAAAATGAACAATGTTATTTTAAAAGATGAAAAAGCATTACTGTAGAAGAATTTTAGAATTGACAACTATGGGCTTCAGACAGGCAGAAAGTAAAGGGTTTACGTACTCTAACATTTCCTACTTCCCGGCTGGGTCTCACTCTTTCTAGCTAGCATACAAAACAAGTTCACAGGTGATTTTGGGTAAGGCAGTTTCCTCATCTCTGGTGGCTACCAAATATGGCTGGAACAAATAAAATTAAAGACTTACAGGTAGCCAGAGAACAAAAATTTTTCCCCGGCCAGGCACGGTGGCTCACGCCTGTAATCCCAGCACTTTGGGAGGCCGAGGTGGGCAGATCACGAGGTCACGAGATCAAGACCATCCTGGCTAACAAGGTGAAACCCCATCTCTACTAAAAATACAAAAAATTAGCTGGGCGTGGTGGCGAGCACCTATAGTCCCAGCTACTCAGGAGGCTGAGGCAGGAGAATGGCGTGAACCCGGGAGGCAGAGCTTGTAGTGAGCCGATGGTGCCACTGCAATCCAGCCTGGGCAACAGTGCAAGACTCCGTCTTACAAACAAACAAACAAAAAAATCAAAAACTAAACAAAAAAATTTCTCCCCAAAACAAACTGATTTACTGTGCAGGGCCAAAGAAAGCAGGAAATATATGTGTGTTTGGAGTAAAAAACATACTGTTTCTGTACTTCACTGTTTTAACTATCAGCTGCAAAAGCAATTGTAACTGATATGAATAAAATGTGACAAAAATCCTGTCACCCACACACTCAAAATACTGAGACTCACAGGATCACTCATGAGCTTCCGCCATGATGGAGGTAGAAAATTACCACTTGCAGCTGGAAATACCCCCATAAGTTGTTCTAGTGGTTTAAACTGAAAAAAGAAAAAACATTAAAGACCCAAGATTATTATCTAATCCAGAATTCTATAAACTTTATGACTTTAAGTAATTAAGCTTACCGGTTTCGTACCCTTCTCAAAATCAGATGGCATGTCTGCAATGCCTTCAAAGTCTGAAGCAAATGGTGCATAATGAAATGGATAATACCACTTCCAGGAAGCACAGCCCTAGAATCATTAAAAAAGTAACAACAAAATCAAAAACCTATGTTAATGATGAACACAATTAAAAAAAACAAAAATTAGACTGTTAACCTATAATATTCTACTTATAAAACACATGACTTCTGGCATATATTCCAAATACTGATCTTTTCCATGACTCCTAAAAATTCCTTAAGTTTGAAGTTTCTAATTCATATCAATGGCTCTTTGACTTTAAAAATGCTACAAAGCATCTTTGAAAAATCAGTAGTTACTGCCAAACTTCATATTCACAAACACAATTTGGTAAGATTTTTATCCTTAAAATACATTTGGTGACATTTCTTTCCATCTCTAGAGCTGTCATCATCAAGTAAAACCAAAAGCAGTCACAGCAGACATTTACTGAGCATGTAAGGTGGTTAGAGACATTATTGGAACAGCAGTTGAAAGTAAAACAGCCATGAGTTTCATTTTAAAATTCACCATTATATTTTCACCTGACAAGTTTCTTTTGACTATAAAAACATGTGAGTAAACACAGCAAAAAGAAAACAAAAGCAAGTTATACTCATAGGAAAGAGATATCTAAGATGTGTTAAGACAGTGTCTAGTGAGTTGAAATCTTGACAGTAGGAGTAAAACGCAAACAGAGTACTTAACGGTCAATACTCAGTGCACTGTGTTACTTTCTACTTGTCAACAAACTTCATCTATTCCCAGGTCACACCAAATTTAACTTGGTTTGCTCTCTAAGCACGAAACCAGATATTAACTATCAGTGTTACAGTCCTCAATATGTCTACCTAATCTCTCACCAATCTGACATCTCAATTATCAAAAGGTAGGATACAGGTTATTCCAATTAGAATGTGCTTCATGTATCATCACTATATTATGAAAAGCGTAGCATTCAAATTCCTTTAGAATTCTTATTTGTATTTTCCAGGGTTTGTCCTCTGTTCAGTCATTCAGTGACTGTCAATTCATTACTCAGTTATTTTTAAACTCCAATTTAAAAAGCACTAACCTTTCGTCATCTTAAAGACAAAGTGCAGTCAACCACATTACTTGATCCTGAAAATACTTTTAACAAAAATTAGCTTTGTTTCTATATTAATATCTAAGAAACTTCCACGTCTTCAGAAACAAATATTTACAAATACGGACTTCTGAATAGGGAGCTTTAAAAAATGAGCCTGGGTTTGTTTTCAAGATCCAGCTCAATAATACTATTATTACAGAAATTACTGGGCTGGACGCAGTGGTTCATGCCTGTAATCCCACTACTTTAGGAGGCTGAGGCAGGCGGATCACGAGGTCAGGAGTTTGAGACCAGCCTGACCAACATGGTGAAACCCCGTCTCTACTAAAAATACAAAAATTAGCCGGGTGTGGTGGTGCGCTCTGTAATCCTAGCTACTCAGGAGGCTGAGGCAGGAGAATCGCTTGAACCTGGGAGGCAGAGGTCGCAGTGAGTTGAGATCACGCCATTGCCCTCCCGCCCAGGTGACAGGGCAAGACTCCGTCTCAAAAACAAAAAACAAACAAAAAAAAAGAAATTACTATTTTTCTTAAATGATTAACTACAAATTCAGAGGAAAATATTCTTTTTGTACCTGGTAATAATATCTAAGAACCCAGCAAAGTCCTTCAACGTACGACTGCACAACTTTCCGACGGAATTTCTCATCAGCTGCATCCACATCAAATTTGTTCTTGTAGTACCGCTGCTTCCAGCCAGCTTCCCATAACCTAAAACCAGGCACAGCTCATTTATGCTGAATTAACACACCTTCAGTAACAGGCTGTCTACTAATTTATACCCCAAATCAATTTATATTTAATACCCAGGGGAAATGTGAAAGAGTTAAACAGTCATGCTAACACAGATTCATTTAACTATTTCTAAAAAGTCTAATTTCATAGGATTTATTATCAACTTAAAGACAGTTAAACACACCCCAATCACTGATTCTGGTAAGACCATTATAAAACCACATTTTCAAAAATGTTATTGAAAAAGATACAGAACACATTTGCTCAAATTTTAATACTACTTTATATGTTTCTTTGTACAATTCTAAAGCTACATTTTAAGATTCAAATATTGAAGATATTTTAAATAGTTCAAGTTCCTTAGTTTGTTAAAATATATTTAAACCATACAAAGAAAGTCAACTAAATTACTTAAGACGCACACAGGTAACTTTTTTAAATGTAAAAAAATAGTTTATAAAAGAATAATCTAGACATTAGGCAGAAATTATGTGTATACCTACTCTCTCTATCCTTGCTTGGGCCTTATCCCTCTTTCAGCTAAGAGTTGTTGATGGCTTAAGGAAAGGAGATAGAGATATATATAGAGAGACATACACATTCTATATCTCTATATATCTATGTATACATACACACACACAAACATATGTATGTTATGGTAAAATCTAGAAGCAGGTCAATGAATCCACTAAATTATCATTCATCACTGAAAATACAATGTGACCAACCACATTTTCATCCAATGTATTATTTTTTTTAAGAATCCATTTCTTATTCTCTAAGATTTAACATTTAAGGAACATAAAGAAGCCAAATAACACTTTACAAACATCAGAACAGATCAAGAACATCAAGATGATTCTCCATTTAGGCCTCTTTTCCATGTGCCAGATTTCACATATTAATTGCAGTCATGTTTCAGAATATACCATATCAATTTTAATCTGCCCCTCCCACAACACAAAGGAGTCACAGAATAACAATTAGAAATATCCCCCATTCATAAGGTGGATTATCACTATTTTACAGAAAAGGTTAATGAAAAAATGCTAAAAGCCCCAAGCATTTCTTGGTAGAGGCATTTCCTCTAGGATTAAACAATGATTTCCTCTAGGATTAAACAATTTCCTCTAGGATTAAACAATAAAATACTAAACAAATCAAGTTACCTATTAAACTAGTATTGATCATGATGGCTACATAGTAAACAAAACCAAAGACATGCTGTAAGAGGAAAACCCAAAGTACAGAAAGTAGAGGATAGAAACTAAAGATATACAGAGTAAATGTTCAATCACAAGTAGACATGGATCTGAAATCAAAGAATGTTAGAAAAATGTGCAGAACCACACGTGACCCTTGCAAAGTTTCTAATCATAAACACAAATCACACACTTTCCATGTCCTGTAAAAGAAGCATGAGCTGTAGGTGACTACTGTCTTGTTTACCTTTGAAATAGATCGTTTTCCTAAATTCTTAATGAGCTACAATTATTGAGATTGTTGGCCTTTTGCACTTGGAGCCCACGGTTCAAATCTGGATTTAATTACATGAGAGGTTGTTAATCTTATTATATAATGATCTCAAACTTCAGGATGAATTAAAGAATCAGCTTCCTATTTTAAATTTGAAGTATACAGTTAAAGGGAAACTCCTCTGTCATGAAATATAATTGCGCATATGCAAGTCTGTGGTTTTTAAAAAACATACATATTGATCTCTTAACAGAATGATTTCTGCATATTTCATTTTGAGGAAGAACTCTTTCAATAGAGAAGATTAAGGCAAACTATATTAAGTGTCTAAGTATAACTGAACTTTCTAGGTTAAGCAGCTTGAAAATTTAATCAGTCTCCAAACAGCAACATTCAGATCACATAGTCAGAGCTAAACACCTAGATATGATATCTAGCCGATCTTGTGCCTGGTCTCAGAGGGAAAAGTGGATTGGAGGACGAAAGCCTGCACGCATACTAATCTAGACACTTAGGTTTAACAGCTACAGCTTACACATCTCACTGGAATTTACTGACTATTCTAACCCTCCACATTAATTACTGATGGATAAAAAGATCACAGGCAAGCATCTGAAGGCACTGCTGCTCTAAGCTAAATAGCATTAATTAGACTGCATCTATTTCAGCAATTTGCTAACAAAGTGCTACCAAAAAATGGCTTCACCTGACATTATCCTCTGGCTCAGGTTCACTGTCACTGTCTTCTGCTTTTCGCTTAATTCCTCCTAATGGAGACGGGGAGCCATCAGATGTGAAACTCGTATTAGGAGATATCGAAGGACTCTGCAGACAATGATGACATTACAGAAGAAGGATTTCATTATTCATTTTACATAAGAAGGTACATCCAACCACCACTACTTACCATGTTTCACAGTAACATTTTTAAAGCTACTACATAGAGATGGTAAACATATTTAGAAGGTACAGAGACTGATCTTGCTCCATTTCACTTCCCCTCAAAAGAAGTAATGTAATACCCAAACTTTCTATGCTTAAACTAAAAACAATTAACATTATTAGGGCAAAAAAAAAAGTTTCTGAAGAAAAAAAAAGTTTTAATTTTATAGATTTTTAAAAATTATAGTACTTGAATTTTATTTTCCTTTGGTGGTTCACAATCATTTGTGACAATCAGTTGTAACAATTCCTGTTAGGAATTCACAATCATTTGCCACCTACCAAATGGCAAAGCTATGAGGGGAAAAAATTATGTGATATATAAAATGCATTACATATATAGCATATAATATATAATAATATAGATGTAATAATATATAAAATAGTCAATGCTGGTGAGAATGCAGCTAAATGGTTAAGTCTTCAACCTAGTACAACCACTCTGAAAAGCAAGTTTAATAAGACTGTGTTAGATAACTTAAATTACTTTATATGTTCAGTTTTAAAAATCAATCAACAAATAAAAATCTATTAGTCATCTTAGAAAAATGCAGATTTTATTGGTATTTCAAAGACTTAGCTGTCACTTTAAATTCAGTATTATCTTCCCTTTGTACCTAACTCAATTAACATAATACGTTAATTTTAATTAACATATTTTAATATAACCCTAACATATTTTAATATTTAAAAATTAAAAGAAAATGTTCTGCAACTTTAGTTACTCAAGCTAAAGGACCACATCACCAAAAACATAAGGGGCAGAAACATTTCCACAGTCAAGTTTTTCTTCTGTTACTCACAGTATATTAGCTATTTCAAGTAAACTGAATTTTTTTTAAACTGAGAGCACAGAAGGCCATTTGAATGATATAATAATTAGAGTATCCACAGCATAAACACAGTTCATACCACAGGTCAAGAAAAGTTAAAATAATACGAAATCATATTTCACATAGAACTTAGAGCACATCTCTTTTAAAAACATAATGTCAATGTTATTAATGAAAAGGTACAGACAATATTGTCAAAAAAAAACCCAATAAAAATAAATACAGGAAGGCACTGTTGTACTTGGAAAACGAGGCAGGTATTGTTGTATTTTAGTCATACAGATCTGAGTCTGAAATACCAAATTCAACCTTTACTGGCTGTGTGGCCTTGAACAATTTATTACTTAACCTCTGTGAGCCTCATCTTAAAATGGGGATGATAACGTTCTGTTTCCTTACAAGTTATTGCAAGGATTAAATGCATCAATACATGTGAAAGATTACTGGCATGCTGCCTACATGGTACATGGTAGTTAACCATTCAGTAAGTAATCACTATTGTTTTTTCAACCCTACACTAATCCATTTGTATTAAATTATGAGAGTGACATTCCCATTAACTGTCTACAGAGAAGTTGTGTAAAAAGCAAACTTTAACAAAATTAATTACTAACAAGATATAAACTCTATCTTTAGAAAACAAATAATAATATACTTTCTAGAAAAAAATGCTGTTCACCATTTAATGCTAAATCTCCGCTGCTGTCTCTACCAACAAAAATATTCCCTTGTGAACATACCAGATTCATATTAAATTCAAATTTCTTCTTAAGCTGTTTTTTTCATCAAATTAGATATAATGAAACCACACTGAAGAACGCTAAATATAAAACCACAAATATAAGGAAATGGAAGCTATTTAATAAAACACTAAGAATGTTAATCATCAGTAGATAAGTATTAGAGACTACAACCCAACAGCTCAGAAAAATAAAACACGAGAAATCTGTAACTTTAATGGCTCCCTTTAAATAAACTGGTAATTTGACTTCAAAATTTCCTTAAATTTAGAACATTCTAGGTGAAAATCCCACTCTGCAAAGATTCGAATTCCATACCTCCTCTATATAGAAATAATTGTGGCAAGGGAAGTTAATTAAGACAGAATCAAAGAAGCAACCTCATCACCAGTCTCCCCATTACTACTCCTATGGCAGATGTTATCGATCTACAGTCTGGTCCTGTGGCCTAATACTACCGGGCCTGAAGATAATACTGGAATGCTTCCTGAAGCAACCACAGCTGGCAAAGTTTAAACCTGCCTGCCTCCCAAGATTTAAAAAAAAAAGTACTCTACCATCAACAGGGCATATAACACCACCAGTCACTCTCAGTTCTGCTCTGCGGGGATGGTAGTCACTAAAATCTTGAATGATGGGCATCAGCTATTTCTGTTCCATATGAGCATCAATAGGATAACTAACAGAATAACAGAAATTAAATATCCAAGCTTATTCAATTTCCTTGGATATATCATAGCAAAAGTGTATGTTCCTTCCTCTACTGTTAGATCAGGGTCTGTTCCCTCAGCCCTGTTGCTGTCCCACTGGGTATTCTGAGAGCTCATGGTCTATTTCCACTACAATAGGAAGGTGGTGGACAAAGTACAGCCTTGCAGGATAGGTTGATTTGCTTCTGGAGTTTGGATTACCAAGTTCAAATATGGAAGAATACCACAAGGCAAATAAATGCATGCAGTTGCTGAGTTCACAAACAGGGAGTAACCAGTAAGTGCTACCTTAAGATATTTATTTAGATCTATTCCATGCTGAATTGGAGAGCCAGAGTTTACACCTAAGGAATACTATTTTGCAAAATGCTCACAACTGCCCACTGAAGGAAAGGGGAAATAAGGGAATAAAACCCATCCTCCTCCTCTTGCCTCAGCTTTGAGACATATGGATGTCCCTTGACAAGCTTCTAGAACCATTCACCACCCTATTCTTTGGAGAAGGGAGAAGCAGTGTGTGGTTCATCTGCATTACAAAAACACTGCAGCCACTTAGCTTATTTTTGAGACAGGGTCTCACGCTGTCACCCAAACTGGAATCAGCTCTTTATATTCGCATGTATCAACAATCCTACGTGCTCTTCTTTCACATCATTTGGATATTTTCATATTGATAAAGATGGACTTAACAGAACTAAACATTTCTCAAGGCAAAGCAATTAAGAAAAACTATAAAACAAAACTCCAGGCTGTGATAAATTTCACACACACACCACCCCTGCAAGAGGTATGTGATATTCACCACTCTTAAATGTCACATAAAAGTAAGCCACTTACAGAGTTATTCTGCATCCTCATTTCATAGGCTGCTTGTCTCGGATTACTGGCTACTTGAGAACCTGGTGAATTTCTTGAACCCAAGGCATGAGGAGTTAATATTCCACTAGGAGTGAAAGCTGGTTGATCTCTCTAACATAAATGGAATGAATGTAGAAATTAAAATTAAATCACAACACAGTTAGATGACAGAAAGGAAAGAAGGGCAATGGAATAAAGTCCAAACTGTAAGCACTTTACAAAACTCACTAAAAAACCAAATGATCTTCGTTAATATTACAAGGTTGTCTACACTTTGATTTGATGGTAACTTATACCTTCTAAACAATAGCCTATAATACTTAATAACTCAGTCCTAAAGTACATATAATACATTATACTGAAACATAGAGAAAATCTTTCAAGTCTCATTATGCTAACCCACTGCTTTTTATAATTACAGAAAACATTCGAGACACAATTTCAGGCTAATAAAAACAAAATAATTTAGGTTTAAAAAAAGTTGAGTTTGAGTTATACTTAGGAAATACAACTTTTTAAATTTATTTATTTATTTTTGAGACAGAGTCTCACTCTGTTGTGCAGGCTAGGGTGCAGTGGTGCAATCTCCACTCACTGCAACCTCTGCTTCCTGAATTCAAGCGATCCTCTCACCTCAGCCTCCCGAGTAGCTGGGATTACAGGCACACGTCACCACACCCGGCTAATTTTTGTGGAAATACAACTTTTATTTACCCTTTGCCTTGCTAGAATTTAACTCTTTATTTCCAATTAATTAGATATGATTATAGCTAACATAGGTGATAGTCTTGGCTGACTAAGATACTGACAAAAATAATAATATATAAGTAGAAACCAAATATGCCCCTCCCAATCTAAATGATTTTGAACCCACTGCAACAATAAATAACTCTACTTTTCTCCCTTCTTGTTTCCTGAAATTGCTTAATTCTAACAAAACGTAGTAAAAGGCAGTCCCTAAACTCCACAAGCTTGAAAATCTAGTAGGGAAGATAAGAAAACAAGAACTAAAGAAGTTAAATGACTATAAAGCATTATGCAATTAAGTAAGAAAACATGTATCAGACATAGGAAGCACCAGAGTTAAAAGAAAGGATTGCTCAACCTGTACTATGAGCATAACCAAGAAGGGAGGCCTTGTAGAAAAGGTATGATGTCAGTGAGCTGCAAAGTCAAAAATCCATTCAGAGGTTACAAATGAAGGCAACACTCTTAATCAGCAGGGATATGGCGTATTTAGAAGACAACAGGGGATGTGCTGGACGGCTGGAATTCAACTGGATGACAGTGTGCTCTGAACACCAAACTAAGACAGAATTGGATTCTGAGGGGATTAAGGAGTCAGTGGTGCTTTTAGAGCAGAGAAACAAGTTTAGAGTGTTGTGTTCTAGAAAGATTAATCTGACAAAGAGGTAGAAATAAGAGTACAGTAACTTTCAAGGGGATACAAAATATTGACCATTTTTACTTAAAAAACAATACTTGATTGCTGTAAACCATTCAAATAGCTAACTGCCACCCACCTCTCACCTCCCAAGTGTATCCCTTCAGACATCAGAGCCTAGAGGACCTTCTTTAAATCGACACCAGTGTTCTTTCTACAGGTAAAAAGGTAACTGGGTGGACACTTACGTCCCTGACTAAGTCCTACTGGACAAGGAATAAAGCTACTGTAATGAACATCTTCCTCATAAATTGTAAAATTACGCTATTGCCAATCTCATGAAATTAATTAAAACTCACCTTCATTCTCTTTCTTTTTTCTTTCTGTCGTCTTCTAAAACTGTCCTAAAAGTATAAAATCCACATATTCTGTCAAATAATTACACAAAAATGTCAGAGTTAAGCATTACCAGGAATGATTTGGGAGACAACTTAAGTTTTAAAGGACGACCCCAGAAATCTAGGTACATGATTAAACCAGGCAATAAGACTATATGTTCAAAATGCTGCTTATCAGAACTTAACAATGGAAGACTGAATTTAGATACAATTCAATTGATCTTGGTAATTCTGTTCAGAAAGCTTTTGAATCATTTTAGGAAAATGCAAAGCCATTACAAAGACCCTTGGTTTTATCCTGGAGCAAACAGGCTGTCAATATGGAGAAGATACAAGTAAGTTAAAAAATAAAATAAAATAAAATAAACAACTCAACAATTCTTAAGGTTTAGTTGAAGGTAGTTAATAACTAAGGTATCCATTTTTAAAAAAATCAGCAAGACAATTTAATTAGACTCTGTTATCTAAAAAGGGCTCTTATTCTATAGCATGCATGGCACAATGGAGAAAAGAGAGAAGTGGGACTCTACGCAAACATTATCCCTCACCCTGGCCAGATTCCAAAAATATCAATCCGATGGAAAAAAAGGAAGGAAATTGAGGTGTATGCACGGCTTACTACTCTGGGCCAATTTAATTCACAGGAGAGGGTCCAGCCCACGTTGATTCTTTCCCCCTACTCATTTCCAAATTGTAGCCATGGTTTCAACTAGACAGAATTTTGTGTTCATCTTGTTCCCTACTAACTCTGGGCCATTCGCAGGCCTCCCATAACCATGCCCAAGTTTCCCTGAGTATCAAGGAACTGAAATGACAGCTAGGGTGGCCATAGCTACTGTTGTAGCCTAAAACAGGGGCCAGTGGATCCTATACTGATGGTCATCCTAGTAGGTACACTTCCAAAGTCAGTCCTACCAACTGCAATATAAGGCCTTAAGGAAATTGGAAATTGGTGCTTTCTGCCAGGCAAAAAGCTGAATGCCGGATACATAAGTCTCCTGCTCTAAAGTGGAGCCCAGGTGATCAACTACCCTAAAACCTCCTCTGATGTAGAAACCACTGATTTATTTAATCAAGCTTCTGTCCCATCTTCAATGAAACGTCTCTTGTGTAGGTCACCAATGACCTGCAGACTATGAAATCCATTAGTCAGATTTCAGTCCTTATCTGACCAGGATTCTTTCCTCCTTGGATCAGTCTTCACTTGGCTTCCAGGAGGCTACACTCACCTGATCTCCTTCCCTCTTGCTATGTGTCTTTGTTCCTCAACTCCCCAGCCTCTTAACCCATTTATGCTGGAGGTTGCAAGTTTTTTGTGTGAAAAATCAAACCTTGGTGATGACCTTTAGCAGTAGGATATAAATAACTCCCACAAGCTTATCGTTCCAATAATGGAACACTGGGCAGAAATGAGTTAATGTTGGTGCTCCCCTGGGCCCAGTACTTGGATCTCTCCACTTCTCTCCTCCCATGGGAGTCATCACCTGGTCTCATGGCTTTGAACACCATCTACATGCTGATGACTCCCCAACCAGAGCCTCTCCATACTTAGCATCTCCATTTGGCTATCTCAAACTTCACATGTCTGAAATAGAATCCCCAACCCACCTTTGCACCTCCCAGTCTTTCCATGAGGGTTGCTCAAAACATCTTTCAGTCTTGTGTCACCTTTCCTTCTCTTACACTCTATGTTTAATCCATTTGCCAATCCCACTGGTTCTACCTTCAAAACATGTTCAGAATCCAACTGCCTCTGATGATCTCCACTGCTACCATCCAGGCTCCCTTGGATTACTGTAAAAAAGGCTCCTCACTGGCCTGGGGCTCACTGCTTTGACCTTTCCCTCCACACAGTACTTCCAACATGGCAGCTAGAGTGATCCTTTTACAGTATGTGTCAAATCTTGTCACTTTTCTACTCAAAACCTTACACTGATGCACAATGAAAGTTAACAGTCCTATGATGACCTGTTGGGTCCTACCAGACTGGGCCCTCCGTCTTCTTTCTGAGTTCATCTCCTACTGCTCTTCCTTTGCCTCCTCTGCTCCTTCCACACTGGCTCCTTTGTGTTCTGTGAACATCCTGAGTATGTTCCTGCCCCAGGGCCTTGGCACTGGTGATTCCCTCTGTCTGTAATGTGCTTCCTGAAAACATCTGCAGTGTGCTCCCTCACATCCTTTACAACTTTAATCAAGGTCAGCTGTCAGTGAGGCCATCTCTCGTCACCTTTTCTAGAACTGTAATGCCCAACCTCTCCCTTCCCAGATGCCTCCTCACCTGCTTTAGTTTTCTTTGTGGCACTTATTCTCTAACACTTAATGAGGTTTACTTAGTTACTGTGTTTATCTTCCAGCTCTCCCAAGAGAATGTAAACTCCATGAGGGCAGGGATTTCTGTCTCCTTTTTTGTTTTTTGCTGTATCACTAGCACTCAGAACACTGTCTGGCACATGGTAAATACTTAAATATTTGCTTAATAAATGAACAACATTCCCAAGTTAAAAGGTAAACATGAAAGCTCATACAATAAAAAGCAACACATTTCTTGCCTAAATGCTCAACTTCAATAACAATTTTTTTTTCTTTGGAGACAAGAGACTTGCTCTGTCGCCCTGGCTGGAGTGCAGTAGCATGATCCCAGCTCACTGCAGCCTCCACCTCTTGGGTTCAAGCAATTCTCCTGCCTCAGCCTCCCAAGCGGCTGGGATTATAGGCGCCCACCACCACGCCCAGCTTAAATTTTTGTATTTTTAGTAGAGATGGGGTTTCACCAAGTTGGCCAGGCTGGTCTCAAGCTCCTAACCTCAGGTGATCTGCCCACCTTAGCCTCCCAAAGTGCTGGGATTAAAGGCATGAGCCACCACGCTTAGCCAATAACAAATATTAATGTATTCCTTTTCTATCATTTGTTCTGCTGGTCTGTTAAATGCCTATCTCTAAGGGTGGTAGTCACGCACAAACAGAAGACCACCTGGGTGGACCTTATGGATCTCTCCCTTTTTTGTGCTATGAACTCCTTTGGAAATCTGTCAAATGCCAGGGACATACTTCCCAGAAAAATACATATATCTGGAAACTTTCCTATTGCGTTTTTGAGGGTTTCCCCTGGTGTCCAATCATGCTGAAGGACATGGCATGACTTCAGGAACACCAACAAAGATCCAAAGCTTTAAAATGCCCTCTCCTGCCAGGTCAGCTGAAAAATCGTATTAATTAAATCTGTAACACTATGGTGTCTACCAAATCCCATACTTCCTCCTCTAATGCCAACTCAAGGTGCAGAGTCGGCTAAAGAGACAGTAGAAGCTACTGTAACTCAAGGTTTTTAAACCAAGTGGTACAAAGTATGTAGCAGCAGATCAAGGGATGCCACCATAATTGTTGAAAAAGTAGTTAAAAATGTTCCAATTGACATCTGATCTTCCAGACAAAGCTAGTTCTGTAATTTGAATTCTATATGCAAAAAACTCTTGACATCACATAAAAACATTACCAAGTACTGAAGGCTTTTGGAAAGAATGCTTACAGTCAACCCACTATGTTACATAAAATGACACCCAAAGTTTTAAAAATAAGAGATCACTAGCTACAGTATACAAAGTTGATGAAAACAGAAAATAAGATTCAATGACACATTTTAATGTGCTGGGAGATCATGAAGCAATGTAGCAGTAATATATGTTGTTATCTGCTTAAAATAGCCACATGACTTTTATAAAATCAGTTTCTGAAAGGATTTCCTTGCTGTTTCTAAGAAGCTATTACCTGCTTATTTTGCCCACTGCTGGCCTCCCTTGCTACACCCTGCAATCACCCTCCAATCACTCTGCCTCCAGGCTGCTGCTCCTCCACTCCTATCAGCTCACCAGTGGATCCCAAACCCTGTCCACGGACGAAGTGCCTGTCCATCTCACTGTGACCCCTTGAGCATGGCTTCCCATCTCTTCAGGAATTTCCTTCTACCTCTCTATAACTGGCTCCTCTTTCTCTTTAAATGTCCGTGGTTCCCTAGGCTTCTATTAAAGGTACTTTTACTCCACACAAGCTCCCAGGGTCACACTCATAGTACACTCATAGTTTCAAGTATCTTCCATTAGTTAATGGTTCTCAAATCTCTTCAAAAGACTTCTGCCCTGAGCTTTATACACATTCAACTGCTTAATGGACTTTTCTCCTCTCAGGTGTCCTACAGCCCCCTCACATTAAACATCTCCAAAATGAAACTCAGTTTTTACTTTGTCCCCACCCCAACCCATTCCACCCCTAGTGCTTGCTATCTTAGTAAATGGCACCAGCAAATTCCTAACTGCCCAAGCCAGAACCTGGACTTTTCATGTAAGCGCTCATCCATAATATGCAATCAATTTTCAAATGCTTTGCTATTTTATTTCCTTCTTGTGTTTCAATTTTTTAAGAGATTCAGCTCTCCACAGATCCTACATTCTCCCAACCCTCTGCCCTGGCTGATATAATCCAACCCACACTCCCTACATTGTCAATTCTTCTTAACCTGTCTTCCTGCCTTCAAAACATGACAGCCACTAGTTCAATCCCAATAGACTTCCAGCCTTGGTACCCGCATTTCAAATCCTATTGATTAGAAATGTGTTTGGATTTATATTCAGATTATGAAGACAGAAAAAACATTACAATGCAACTCAAACAGGGTACAATACATAGTTCCACAGAGCAAGCAGCACAACCTTTATAAAATAATCAAAGCACTGACCACTCATGATTACATTAGTGTTGACACACCATAATGATATAAAAACACACTCAAAGAGATTAAAAGTAATCACAGGATCATCATAGCCTATTAGAGACAGGAGCAATTTTAGCTACTGCAATAGAAACACTTTACCTCATCATCCTTTCTCTTTTTAAAAATGCTATCCTCAACTTCACCAACTGCTAACATGATCATCTGTACTCTTTGCAGATTGACATAACCACTTTCTGTAAGGTAACCCTGTAAGTGATAAAATATATGTAAAATGATCTTCTTATAAAAGCAAATACTTCTGTTTTGAAATCATTCAAGAATGAACTTACCCCAGTTTTGTGTACCACATTTTTGTATATGTTAACCAAACGGTCAATTGCATTTTCCCTGTCAGCAAGAGACAAACATTATGCATTAGGACCAGTAGGCACAGTAAAGTCAAGAAGCCTAAAACAGTCGTTTGAAAAGCTACACAAATGCACATACCTAATCTCTAACGATGGCAAATGAGGGAGGAAGTCATTTCCCACAAAGAAGCACATGAAAACCCAGTCATCAATGCTCCTCTCAACATCAAATGTGAATGGTAGGCTGGCCATTGTGAGTTCTCTTTCCAAATACTACAACCAAAAAGGAATGCTGCCATTACAGCTATCAAAGGCACCCTGCTTTAGAGTGCTGATTTCAATGATTATTGCTACATACCTCACGAAGAACATTAAGCCGAAGGAAGATAAACTCTCCTTCTGCACAAGGAAGACTATCGGCAAGTTCATCATGCTGCAAGAACAGGAATGAAGATGAAACAAGTCTACTCTACGTCCAGTAATTTTTTCCAACCAAGCAAATTTTAAGGCTTTTTCTAACGCACAATCCATTTTAATATCACAAGTATTTAATTTTTAAAAGCTCACCAATGCATTTTAAAATAAAAATTACCCATAAAATCAACCACGTCTAGATCAGGGGTCAGCAAACATTTTCTGCAAAGGGCCAGACAGTAAATTATTTTGGCTACTGGGGGACATATATGATCTCTGTTTAATAGTCTTTCATGTTTTATTTTGTTTTTAACAACACTTTAAAAATGTAAAAAACATAGCTCACAGGCCAAACCTGGAGGATTGAAGTTTGCCAACTGATGACCTATACCCAACCAATGATTACCCCTTCCTTGTGAACAGATGTGCATAGATACATGTATACTGTCTTTATTGTATTACATATCTGAAATAATACACTATATTTATCTCTTTTTTCACTTAACGATGTCTTTGAAAGAGGCACCATATTCTTTTTCCCCCCTCAAAAAGCATATGACTCAAGAGGCACCATATTATTGAAACAGAAGCCCCTTTAAAGGGGACTGGACATAACCAAGTGAACCTAAAATACATAAAAAGTGGGAGTAACTTAAAAGTCTTAAGAAGTTGTAGTTCCTTTTAAGAAGAGTATTTCAAACAAATAACTTCCACAAACAAATTACAAGCTATGGGCATTATTATCTATGGGAACTAAGCCTCGTGTAGATATAGGCAATATCAGAAAAAGTGCTAAGTAGAAAGGATGAGTGTGTGCATGTTTTTGAATGCAGGTTTATTTTAAAGTACTTTAAAAGATTCGTCTCTGTCGAGACTGTCTCAAAAGAAAAAAAAAAGAAAAAAGATACATCTCTGTGAAGGGTAACGGTAACAGAACAAGCACATAAAGAACTAATCAACCACAATCTTCTCTTCATCCATTTTAAAAACAAGGTAACTCAAATATTTAATGCTATTTAATTGTATACTTTAAAATGGTTGAAATGATATTTTATGTCATATACATTTTACCACAATAGATTTTTTTTTTTAATGAGGCAACTACCATCTCAAAGTTCTTACCTTTCCCTTCTTTTCTCTTGGCAAACCTTCACAATCTTTGACCTCATGTCCAAACTGATTACAAAGACCACATGGTTTGGGCTTGTTTGGTTTGAATTCTTCTCTAATAATGGTAAAGTTCGGTTCATGTGTGGCAAGGCCAAGCATAATGAGATCAGCTATCAATCAACAATGAGAAAAACATCGAACAGTGAGTATTCTGAGAGAAGTCTTACCATAAACTACTATGAGATGCCAACACAAAGAAAAGCCCAAATGAGCACCCAAATGAGCAGCAAAGCCCCAAAGCTTGACACTTCCTGGCATTTCCCAGTTAACAGGAAGTCCTCTAGATACGTGGACCTACAACATAGACTGCCACTAAGGATTAAACACTTGGGAAATTCTCCATTTTAAAGGTATGGGGAGTTAAAAGGTTGAAAAATGTAAGAAAGAAGAAAAGAAATTAAAGATCATTGACCACAGATTAAACAGCAACTCAATACTAGTTCCCTGTCGAACATAAAATAACCAAGGCATTTTGGAACTTCCAGGTAACCATGAATAATCCATTACTGCACACCAACCCATCAACTTGCTATGGTTTAATCCAAAAGAAGCAAATCCCAAAGAAGAAACTTACCATCTGCTCCACATAAACAATGATGAGTATTTGGGTCATGGTTAGGCTGGGCTAAACAAGAGAGAAACATGTATTTATATTAATATATTATATACCACAAGAATATCACTTCATACCAAGTATTTTCTATGCAATGGCTTTTTAAAAATAGAACATATAATCAAATATTGGTAAGTAAGCTTTACCTCTTTGCCTTCTAATGTAATCCATGATTTTATGTTCTCCTTCACCAGGAGCACTAGCATCAGATAAAATAACCTATAAAAAAATTGTTAACACTTTCAGATTATCCCCAATTTTCTATAGGCACAAAAATCAAAAGAATTATATGTCTCAAGAAAAACTGAGATAAGTGTTACGGGAAAATTTTCTGAATAAGGGTGTGTGTGTGTGTGTGTGTGTGTGTGTGTGTGTGTGTGAAAAACACCAAAACTACTTCACTGAAAATTTTCTGAATAAAGAAGGGGTGTGTGTGTGTGAGAGACACCAAAACCACTTCATTGATTGACTTACTACATGTAATGGAAAGGAATGAAATGTCTGGGTCAGACCTAGCCATCAGAAAAACTGATCATTCACAAGCTCCTATTTTCACTACTATGCAAGGATATAGTGCTGAACCATATATGCCCCAAGAATAATCAATAACACATATCTATAAAATATAATTTACCATTTCTCATTAATAGGGAAGCCAGCTTATGAACCTAAAATTACAAACAAGTTCATTTACATATTATTTAAATATTTGGGAACACAGCCATTTAAGACAGCCCCACAACTTACTAATTTTGCTGTATATTGATATGTAATAATGGAAATTTCCATTTAAAAATTACTTTCCTATATATATTTTTTAAATTATGAATCCCATTTTATAGCTTCATAGTGATGGTAAGAGGACAAAATTGGCTTTAAGAGAAAATTCAGCTATCTAAAACCTAACCATGCAAGGATACCCCATCTCCAAAAACCCTGGAAGCTTTTCTTTCTTCCAACAGTCAACTAGCATTTTATGGGGCAGGGCAGAAGGATAAATAATGTCAGTCATATCAAAGTACAGCCTCGAATGATCACCCTAATCTTTCTGAAGTATCAAAATGTGAAACTTACTGTCAAATTTTTCCACCCAGGGTCATTATTTAAACGATCAGCTATGTAATAGCGAAGGCATTTAGCAAGATTGTCCATGAATTCAGTTCCCTAAAATGATAGAAAGAAATAAATTAACCTATCATTTAAGAGTTAGCAATAGCTAGCAAAGTATGAGACTACTTACTGGTGTAATACAGTTGCTGTCAAATCTTTCTTTTATTTCTTCTGGAGGAAGAAAGCCACCTAGAGAAAAGAGGCAACGTTTTGTTCTCCCCATAAAAAGTGAGATAAATTACTCAACATTAAGCCAGAACAACAAAAACAAAAAGTTCCACTACAAAAGAAAGTGAAGTCTCGTCATCCGAGGAAAAATGTTCCCTCACTGGGAAGAAAATAAGATTCCATCTCTCAAATTTAAATTATTATTATTATTATTATTTGAGACAGAGTCTCATTCTGTCACCCAGGCTGGAGTGCAGTGGTGCAATCTCGGCTCACTGCAACCTCCGCCTTCCGGGGTTCAAGCGATTCTCCTGTCTCAGCCTCCTGAGAAGCTGGGATTACAGGCGCCTGCCACCACGCCTGGCTAATTTTTGTATTTTTAGTAGAGACGCAGTTTCATTGTGTTGGCCAGGCTGGTCTTGAACTCCTGACCTCCAGTCATCTGCCGTCCTCGGCCTCCCAAAATGCTGGGATTACAGGGGTGAGCCATCGTGCTCAGCCTTTTAAATTATGTTTTAATAAGACTGTAAAACAATATATGGTACACAAAAGATATTATATTGTTACATAAAAATTATGAAGTTCTTCACTCTGTAAGAGAATACACACACACACACACACACACACACACACACACACACACACCAGTTAGAGGCCATATTTTTTGATAACAGTTCCTAAAATAAAGGTGCCTAAGAAAAATGAAATTTAAAATGCCGAGTTCATCACAGCTTTACAGGATAAGAAATACAATTATCAGGTAGAGGAATATAAAAATCCTATTTTTTCCTCTCTATCACTATTAGCTGCTTCTCAAGAAACAAGTATATTTCATCACATCTTCAAAAAAAAGACATTCTTAAAATCAGAAACATTGTTATAAATACAAACAGGTTTTAGAGTCTTAATTACAAGTTGCAGCTAAAGGAACTATATACTTGTACACTTCCAGCAAAATTCAAGTAATATAAAATTTATTGTAATTGCAGGCCTGAGCTGGCTATACTATGGCATCCTTTTTCAACTGCAGAGTGCAATTATCCGGAGCCAAGACACTGTGGCTTTTCTGGTCTATTATACCCCCTTAAGTAGCAGAACACCAAACAAACCTGCTACAACCATACCCTACCTCACACACAGGTGTGGTAGGAGAGAACCAGTCCCAACTGGCATCAACACTCCCTGATCTTCCTTTTCTCTGAGGCTTAGTCAGTTCCTACCCATGTAGCCACCAGGAATTTTAAGGCTTTGGGGAACTGCAAAAATGAAGACATCCCACCCTAACCCCTCCAAACTTGAAGGAACCATAAGTACTGTGCCTGCTCCATCAACCTATATTGAAAGTATGCAAATGACTTGGCAACAGCCTGTAAATGTGGATCGAATCACCTCCGGCTTCCTCAGATAGACCTCTGAGTTTCAAAAAGCAAGCAAACCAAAGCTGATTTGAGGAAAATGTTTACAGCACTATAGCTTTCTGACAGCCGCCACAGAGAAAAGTAGTAAAAAATACTTACTATATTTCTATTCTACAGAGACATAAAAGTTTGTTAAAGAGCTGCACTGGCCCTGAGAGGAGTTGACAATCTGCAATCTCCACCAGAATTCCCTATTCCCAAGGCTCCCTCTTACTGGAGAGTTTGAAAATAAACAAGCCTATTAAGCCTATTGGTAGATTTCATGAACTACTTTTCCTCAACAGTGAACACTGGATATTCTGGGATCCTTATTAAATTAAAAGCTTGCCTCTTTGTAAGAAAAAGTTGCCACCACCCCCTCATTCTGCATACATCTTATGAAAAAATCCAACTTCAAGATGCATATTCTTTACCTTTTGCCAATATTTCTTCCCTGACTCGCTGCTTCTCGACTGCTGCTTCCATTCCTTCTTTTGATGCCCTGAACCTCCTTGAACGCTGCTGGTTCATTTTAGCACGTGGTGCCTGAAAATGTATTTCATATTCCATAACACTCATCAAAATATTCACAAATAAATCTGTACCTTATTTTGAATCAGTTGTTCTTATAAAAGCAGTACACTAAAATGGAAGAAAGGTAAGTAATGTGTCTAATAATCCTTTCATGACAGATACCAGATGCTGAGAACTTAAATTTGGACCGAGAACCCAAAAGCTGAGCTCAATCAGGTGAATGAGTGCCACGTCAAATGGACAAACATCCTATGAAGCCCTAGCACTTATACTTCAAGCCCTCCCAGTCTAACACCAGTTCCCCTCGGTTAGGGTGCTTGATTCAGGGCACCCAAGAAAGAAAGCTCACTTTACTCAAAAGACCCAGCCAACATCTGATGAGCAGTTACTACTGAACTAAGATCAGGAAGACATTCTCTATGTCCACACCTAAAAGGAAGAATGGTGTCCAAATGGGATCCACAATGTCTCATAAAAGCAACAGAAAACTATTTCTTTATGTGAAGAATCTCGGTGCACTTCTATTTCCCACAATAAGGTTTATAATTTTTCTGTCTTTTCAATAAGGCATAGCAGTTAGAAAGAAATAATGCCTTAACCAGAAGTACTTTTAAATCACTCTAACCAAATGCAATTTCAGTGGAAAAGCCCAAATAAAGTGAACTAGATTGTAAGATTTTCGAAGTTACTGAACTGAGTTTTGGGGTGGGAAGAAACTGTGAAATATCCTGTTTACATCTAAATGTAAGTTATTTAATATTCTCTTTAAACAATTCCCTTTTCTGTAGAATGAGACCATCTAATGAAGCCCTCTCAAGTACAAAGTTCTGTATCTACATTTATATATAAACAAAAAAATGTGTGTATAAACATGTACACACACATGCATATAAATGTGTACATATTTTATACTTGATGTAGCAGAAAGAACACACTGGAGTAAAGCTAAAGATTTCTTCAAAAAAAATTAGCTGAATATAAACTGAAATGTGCTCTAAACAAGACATATTCCTTTTCTTTTTACTCTTTACTCCATTCTAACTGCAACTTAGCAAGTTATCAGGTAGCTAAGGTTTTTCACTGAGTAAGACGAATCTCACAGAAAAGTTAATCTTCTTGGATTCAAAGTTCTCTGAATTTCCAAAATCATCCCATTAGCCGCTAGGATGCACTAAAATTAAAAGAATCTACTTGCAGATAGCTAAATAAATTTAGAGTTATATCTTACCTTACCCCCCTAATAGAGTTTGCTGGTCATTTATAAAAGGAGCTACTTGGTATTATTATCATAGGTCAGTAACTTACTCCTCTCAAATCATTTTCATGACTACTCATTGCCTATAGGATACAGTCCAAACTCCAGACGGTAAGGCTTTCTCAAGCTTTTGCTATACTTCCCTTCTCAATTCAAACCACCTGTAGTTGCCAAAACATGTCAGTGTGGTCAAAGGCACGGAAAGTGTGTTTACCTGCCACATTTGAGAAATCTGGAAGGTCCTCCCTCCCCAAACCCTGTCCCATCCATCTCCCACCACCACCCACCAATCTCCCAATTATTCTTCATTGTTAAAGAAATGGAACAAAAGTCACCTCTTCTCTATATCCTAACTTCCTTAGTAGCACTGACTTCCTCTTCCCTCAACACCCTGCATGTATTATCTAGTGCTTATAATGCCTATAAATAATTAAGCTCACCCATTTATCTATGCCTCCTTCCCTTTGACAGTAAGCCAAAAGTTCAAAAGCAAGGGCAGTCGCCAACATCCCCAGTATTTCACAGTACTGAGCACAAAATAAGCACAAAACACACACACAAAAAAACATCTGAATGAATGACTGAAGGATGAGGCTTTCTTTCTCAAGTTCATCACTGTCAACATTTTTCATTATTTAGCTGACTTTCATTCTAGACACTGGTAACACAGCAAAAAAAAACAAAATGGAGGCTTCTAATTATTTTAGCACTTACCACTCCATCTATTGCCATGTAGAGAAGTCTTCTTGGTCTTACAATACTGAAAAGTCTGTCAATGTACTCAAAAATTGCAACCATCATTTCATCTTCATTTTTTGGTGCTGGTCTATAATGACAACCAAACAATGTAATATAATATAATGTTTCCTCTGTGATTTGCTATATCAGTGACAAAAATGGGTTACGTACTTGTCTTCAGGATGAGTACAGGGATGGATGATTCCATTCATATCCAAATACAGATTATCAAACTCCACATCATTTGGATTAGGTTTACTGGCATCAACTGGAATCTTTACACCATTGCATTCTTTTGGCTATGAGGAAGTGATAATTAATAGTAGTTTGATTGTTCAAGTCTAAAAATGACAGATCCTAGGCTCAATATGAACTTGTGTTTCATTTCTGAACTGGAAATAAAACACTTCAAGTAACCTTTAAATTATAATAAGTTATTTTATTCCTTAAAGCAAACTGAAGCAGATATTTTATCTGTAGAAAGTGGATGGCTTCTAACACAAGTTATTTTTGACAATGTAGATGTTTAGAAAATTCACAAATCATTCAGGTTGTTCAAGTGAGAAATCATGGGAGTCATCTTAAAATTCATTTCCCTCACCACTCACATCAGTAAGTCCTGTCAAAGTAACGTAAAAAATGCTTACCTACTTCATCTCCTTTCATTCCCACCACCATGAACAACAAGAAGTTACCATCTCTAACCTAAAAGAGCACAACAACCTTCATCTAGTCTACCCCACCTCTAGACTCTCTGGTCTCCAGCTCACTTTCTGCATTGTCAGAGTTCTCTTTCTAAAACATAAAAGTGTACGTCCTTAATCTTACCTAATTTTTCTAATGATTCTCACAGCAGGTGTTTATCAATGAGCCTGGAGCCTTCCTAGTCTCCTATCCTGCCATACTATTGTTGAAGCCCACTCACTCTCTTGTAAGTTCCTGGAAAATGCCTTTTGATCTCTCAATGCCGTCACATGATGCTTCTTTCAGAACACCTTCTTCCTCCCTTGTCAACACCCACTTCCTGAAAAATTACTAATTTCCAGGGTCTACACTCAAATCAAATGTCACTCACTTTATAACACCTTGTACATATCTCCCAAGAAATTGTTCCTTCTGAATTTCCTCATAATTTTGCTTATTCACTTGTAGCACTTCCACTGTTTTACAGTTAGTCAATCTACCCCAGCTACATTGAGTTCCTCAAAAGATAAGGGCTTACTCACTGCCAGAGATACTCAATTATGTTTTTGTAAATGTTACTTCCTTTGTTTTTCTCTTCCAGAGCCTCAGCAAGAGATTAAGACTATGAGATCTAATTTTTACTATTAACAATAAAAGTCACTTAAAAAAATAACAGTTCCTCAAGCACATATAAAGCATCACTTGTAACAGCAAAAACTGTAAGCAATTTAAAAGCCCATCATGTACATACTACATCATGGATGAAGCTCAAAAACATTAGGTTAAGTGAAAGAAGCCAGTCATGAAGTACCAAGTACTATACAATCCCATTTATATGAAAAGTCTAAAATAGACATGTTTGCAAATATAAAAAGTAGATTAATGGTTGCTTCAGGTGAGGGTGGAGACAGGGGAGGGAGATGGGTAGCAACTGCTAATTACTTTTGAGAATGAAGACCCTCTAAAATCAGATAATAGTGATGATTGCACAGCTCTGTAAATATACTAAAAACCACTGAATCATACACTTTCAGCAGGTCAATTTCATGATACACAAATTATATCTCAATAAAGCTGTTAGAAATAGAAATTTAAAATCAGGTATGGTGGTATGTGCGGGTAGTCTCAGCTACTTCGGAAGCTGAGGTGAGAGGATTGCTTGAGGCCAGGAGTTCAAGGCTGCCGTGAGCTATGATCACACCACTGTATGCCAGCCTGGGCGACAGAGTAAGATCTCATCTCTTAAACAAGTAAACAGATCAACTTAGAGGAAAGGAAACAAGCCCATCAGGAAAAGAATAAGCTCATATAACATCCATATACTTGTGAGATGCAAGTGAGATTGGAAGAGCTAGAGCTAGATGGTCACAAACATACTAGGCCAAAAAAAAAAAAAGAACATATACAGTATACCACTTACAGAAAGTTATGAATAAATAAAACAGCATTCAATATTGCTCAGGGACGAATACATATGCAATGAAAGCATGGTGAAAAGCAAAGGAATGATAAACACCAACTTCAGGATATTGACTGTCTTTGAGAAGGAATCACGGGAATGCAACTGGGCTTCAAGTTGCACTTAGAATTGGAGGGAAAGAATAACAAAAGGGATTTAAGGCAGAACAGAGAAGAAGCTACTAGACAATCTTCTGTACATACATGCTGTGAATCAAGAAAAAAAGGCTTGATCAGGAACAGTGAGTGGAATAAGTGGTAAAGAAAAAAGCAGGTCAATTCTTGGGGGGGTGGGTGGAGTCTATAGAAAAAGATAATTTGATGACCCCAAAATTAAAACAAACTCTATGATGGCAAGAGGCTCTCTGCCTCTTCATCTAACCTCTACACCCCAAAGTCCACATCCACCTTCATCCTGTCCAACGGCCCACCACACTCAGGAAAATCAAAACTCATTCTTTGTGCCCTCCAGGAAAAAAATCAGTAAATATTTCAGACCTGCTGGCCATATGATCTCAGCTGCAACAACTAATATCTGCCTTTGAAGAGTGAAAGCAACCATAAACAACACAACATGAATGGACATGGCTGTATTCCAATAAAACCTGACTCACAAAAACAGGACGTCACCAGCAGGCTAATCCCTGCCCTAGTGCCTAGCACAAGAAAAGGCACAGCTCTTCATATGGAGTGGAGCTACATGAGAATTTCTACTTCTACTACCTAGGAAAAAAAATAAAGTACGGAGTAGGTGGGTCCTAATTTTGAGAAAAGAGCTCCAGGTATTCCCAGTAAGAAAACTGAATATATTTTCCCCTCAAGAGTACTGTAGACATGTCCAACACACTTATTATGTAACTTTAGAATTCCTTTCATCAAGAGAAGACTCTGATGCTCAACAAAGAACTGACTCCTCAAGAACCTTGTCCAATGCTATACCAACACGTTTCCTGTTCAGTTAAAGAGAGATCCTTAATCAAAGGGCAGCTAAAAGGAGAGCCACTCTGAACCCTAAAACCAATGTATTTCAAGTAATGACTTTTAATTATTTTTTGGATTCCCCAGATGACAGACTGAACACACACTGCAGTCTTCCCTTTCTACCCCAAGACCACATGAAAGACCAAA
Organism: Homo sapiens; assembly: GCF_000001405.40. Lineage (NCBI taxonomy): Eukaryota > Metazoa > Chordata > Mammalia > Primates > Hominidae > Homo > Homo sapiens. Next base: position 21,323,307 of record NC_000020.11, on the reverse strand, counting down.
CAAACAAACAAACAAATCTACTGTATAACTACGGCGGAAAACCAGAATTTGTGGCTGAGAAATGATGAGTGATACCTAAAATATGGGCAACCAATAGCCCTAACTGAAGATGGAGTGCAGTACCTCCAACATGTGAGAAGAGATATGCTGCCAAAGGTGGGCTAACACAAGAGGGCTCTAGGCCCAGAGAGGAGGCTCAAGGGACAGCTTCTGGATGATTCATCAGCGCCAGTCACAGCAACAGCCAGATGGGTCAACTCCTGCCCTCTCCTCTCCCTTCACCCACCCAGGTCCCATGTGAACCAGGCAACTTGAGACAGAAGCTCCCAGAGAATGTGAAGGCTTAGGTTAGAAAGGCAGTGCAGTGCCCTGGCTGAGTAACAATGCCTAGGAAGGAACAGAGAGCACCCCTACCAGAAGGCTGGCAGTCAAGGTAGCTCTGCCTAGTAGGAAGCCTGCTCCTTCGTGACTTCATGGATAAAGCAGGGGATATATTTATTCCAAATAGGCAGTTGGGATATCATTATATTTGTGCATGAAAATGCCAAGAAATCAAGATAAAGAAG